>NC_000008.11:111964222-113214222 GCF_000001405.40 Homo sapiens
TACTGAGGTATCAGTTGAGTACCATCAGTTGGCTTCAATTTTAGATGCTTTCAGAGTGTCAGGGCTCTGTATGGTATCTTTATGTGTAGGTAAATTCTTGCACTTGTTTTCATATGAGCATATAATTAGCAAGATAATTTTTGATGTTGTAGTTTGGGCTGCAATCCAGTAGATGGCACTTAAGAGTAATGTCCAGTAGCTAGACTAATACCCAGTAGTGCAGCTCTTTTGTACTTCCTGGCATTCACATGTGAGGTCTGCAGTGGAGGTGGAAAAAGATGGTCCCCTCAGGTCCACTCCTGGGCCTTGGTGGAGCCTCCTCTGATCTCTGATGCTGCAAGTTCATTTTTTTTTTTAGGTGTTACGGGTAATGGGACCCACTCAGGCAGCAGCTATGGCAGGTAGGTATGCCACACCTTTCTGGACTAGCCCTGTGGAGGGAGACATGCCCTGCTCTAGATCTGGCCTAAGAATCCATGCATCTTGTCCCCTCTCAGTTCTATGAGGGTGAAGGCTCCTCCCTGTTGCTCAAATGCCTGCCACAAATTTCATATTCCTGAGCTATGAACTGCAGCCTAGAGGCACTGTGGCATCTTACAGCTTGGGGTCAGGTTTTGGCTGCACTGGGGGATCCAATTTGCTCTTGGGTTACCAGGAAAGTACTCAGGTGAAACAATGCACTTATGTTGAGTTTCAGAAGCTGTGCTATGTACACATTCACCCAAGGTGGCTAGGCATGGTCCCTTTTAGAACAGACATACCCCAGTCCCACAGGGAAGCTAGCCCCACTCTCTACTGGCTTGGAGGTCAGCTGGGAAAAGCCCCTCACAGAGGGGGATAGAGAGCTCTGGGAAATGTGCATCTGTGGCCTCTCTCTGCCTGAGCTGCCTATCAAAAAATCTCCTAAGCTCTATGCCATCTGATACTGTCCAACTGTATGTCTTTTTTGAATTCTAATATTGTATGCTTTCTTGATGCAATGTAAACAAAATACAGTTTTTTTGCACGTTAGAAAAACAAGATAGAGAAAAATCATTTTATACATGATAGATATTTCAAAGATTTAGTCACATTGATATTTAAATTATATTTTCTATTTACACAGGAGGGTGAAATTTGGTCAAGACCTGCTCATATTTATTCAGCTAAAGTAACAACTAAGGACTTATTATCTCTAGCTTAAAGTCAAATTTTACTTTTTATTACTTCAAAAAAAATTCAGAGATTCTTGATAGATTATGGGTTTCCTCCTCACTTTCAATAATAGTGAAGAGCATTTATTTGATTAAAAAGTAATGGCCAGCTGCCAGAGAATTATGTCGACAATTTATAAAGGTAGATCAAATTTATCTGGAAAAAAATGTTGCCTGGAGTCTTTTCCAAATGAATATAACACAGGAATGTGGCAGAACTCCTTGTAAATAAAACCAAACAAAAGAAGCTTACATCAGCTCCTACTTTCAAATGGAATTGGAAGCTAAGTTCACACTGGGAAAGTAAAGGTACAACAAGTAATTAGCACATTAAACAGTGAAGATATCACTCATCATAGACATCTGAAAGCCCTCATGTACAATCTGTAGAGAACAAGGGAATAAACTCATTTGTAAAGATACAGAAAAAATGGAAGATGGATTAACAAAGGATTAGTGAATATTGTCATATTTTGAAAAATCATGATACAAACAATGTTTCTTAGACCCTAAGAATTACTCAAGATCCCAAGTTATGATTCAAATATCACTCCACCCCAAAATTTCAAGGATCAACTTAATTCAGTATATATTTTTAGAGCACGGAATTTAATGTGCTCTTTCATTTTTCCACCTGCAATTTGTTCCTCAGTCTGTCTTTTCTTATGTGCTTCATCTAGTTCTATTAAAAATCCCTGCTCATTTTCCCATGTGATTGAAAGGAACACTAATTCACTCTTTTCAATATGAACTTGTCACTACTTCATGAGCCCCAGCAAAGACACATTTTCCTTAGCTGTCTATATCAATATGAATCCTGGCAGAAAACAGATGCTGTATGTATTGGGTAACATGAGAAAAGCTTATTAAGAGATTATTTACTAAGTTGTAGGCAGAGTATTTATTTTTATAACCACTTGAGTAGTGGGTAGTTATAAAAATACTTACCTCTAGGTCTGAACAGGCAAGGGAAGAGAGCAGTTTCTAGATCGCAGAAGGATACAGTCACATTCAAAGGGGCTATCCAGTCACATTCTTATGTCAAGGGATTTAGTCCAACCAAGGCAGCCACACAGGTAAGGAGCTGGGTGATTTAATATTTCAACCTTACTCTTCTCTTTTTTACCATTCTCTCCCTGGGGCTCTCTAGCAAACAAATCAAATCTGAAGGCAGATAAAAAGGGAGTCTCTTGATGTAGCTCCTATAGGTAAGCTCACGGAGATCCAGAATATTGTGAAGAAGGGTAGAGAGAGTAGAGACTAAATCGGAAGGAACAAATAGAAGACATTCTTTAGATTTTAGAGATAGTAATGTGAAATTTATTAGTCCTGTTGTGAGGTTAGAGAAATTAAGGCTACTATAATACAGAATAGAACAATAAAATTATATGTAAATATGATGGTTTCCAAGTCCTCAATGAAAGCCTTAGGTGAACTGCTTCACAGAGTTTCCCTTTTGTCAATGTCTCCAGCTTCTAATATTAAATCTACAATTTCAATTTTATATCTAAGAATGTTATTTTCAAACCACACTCCTTGTACTTACAGGATTATTCTCCTCACAATATTCATCCTTCTTCCCACAAGTATGTTTCTCATTAATATTCCTGAAATAACACACAGAAGGCTGCAGTAGAAATGTGAATGGGGCATGAAGGCACTTTGACTAATAACTACTTGAAGGTCTCTCCACCCAGGTATACTTGCATAGTTATCAGTTGGTAGACAGGTAACTGTAGCATTCATCACACATAAATACACACAAACACATAGTCACACATATATATGCACATGCACACACAAGTAAAATCCTGATTTCTCTACAACACTACAGTATAAACCACGAGGAGAAAAATAAGCATTTTTCCCAACTGAGACATATTTAAACCTCATAATTATCAAGGTCAGATTTCTCACAATGGAATTATTACTTTTCATTGCCATTCAGAACCATTTTGTTTATCTCCAACTTCCCTCTATATTCAAATAATGCCCTTTTGAGATTACAAATAAAAAAATAGAACCATTATTGCATCATACACAACAGAAGATTGTTTATCTAGGAATCAGAACACCAGAATCATCCCAATAACATAGTTCATCTGTTATTTAATCCATTTAACACAAACAAATAACAACAAAAAATGGTGTAAAAATAATTTAAGAATTCTGTGCTCTACAGCACAGTGTATGGAATGACATCTGCTCAACTGTAAATTACCACTTAGGAATATCAGTGGCCCAACCTTTACCAGGTGAGCTGAGAAACACAGATCATACAGATGGATAAAAGTTATTTTACGGTGAAATTAAAAATACCAAAGCTGTTATAGAACTAACATAACAATAAAGACATCACAGCTGTTCAAATTATGTTACTATATTCTTATATGTAGATCAACAAGTTTTCATCAATGATATCTGCATATATTTGCTATTATTAAGTTATTATTATATCATTTTAATTTCATATTAGTTTATATTAAAATTTCAAATGCCTAAATAAGAAATAAAAAAAAATTAACACATTTGCACAATTATGTTTATAACACTAAATGTTATCTATTATAGGTATGGTTTTTATTTTAACATTTTCAGTAAACTTAATGTTTTTGATTCCTGGAAAATATTGCCATATTTAATATATTCTTCACTTGATTCGTAGAGCATGCATATTTCTACTTAATATGAGATTACTTATGACATATACATTTTAAACAAATTTTTTATTCCATCTCATGTCCCATATTATACACCATGCTTTCTGTGTTGAGCTTTTTTGTTTGTTTGACTGATTCATTGATTGATTTATATCAGTCTACGTTTGGGAGTTTAAAAGATAGGTTTCAGGAAACATAAATCTGAAAATGGTCAGGTAAAATATTGCTAAAGTGCTTTTAAATAACGGCTTTTGAAAAGCTGAAGACCTGTTTAAAATTTGGAATTAATAGATTTGTGCTTAGTTTAAGTACTTAGACAAGGGGTGGAACTCTTTCTCAGTCCCTGAGCAAGAAGTATTCCATTTTTCTAATTAAAAAAAATAAAAAGAAAATAGAAGGAGAAGAACCCAAGCCATGAATAGAGATTGATTTATTTATTGAAAAGGCTTACTCTACCTACATTAAATCTATAACTTAAAGAAGTGACCAAAGAAACAAATGAACAAACAAAAAAGAACTACTTTGTAAAGCCAGCAAATGAACATAACATTATTTGCTTTTCCTTCCTCCAAGTCATCAAAAGTGGTATGGTACAGGAAGAAAAAAGAATTATCAATACTTTAGCCTGATATTGTCATATGCTAGTTGTATTCTTTGAGAAAAAATGATTTAATTTATTTGAAATTGTTTCAATTATTCATTTATTCATTATAAAACCATTTATTAGAAAGCAAATAGTTACTGGAGACACAGCAGTGTTCCTGAGGATTTACTTTAGTTGGGAAAGGAGAAATTGCAAAATTAATAATACATATAGTAATTTAACTAAGTAGTAATTAAGTGTTGTGTAAAACAGGTATTGGGAACCAAGAGGGCATAGAAAATCAGTATCCTATTTAGAGAATTAAGGGAAAGTGTTCACAAAGAGACAACCTTTAAGTTATCTTTGAAGGTAAAGTAAAAATGAATCTCACAAAGAGTTTCTTAATGGAGAATATTCAGATCATCAGATGATCTTATATGCATAGTACCTTAATAGGTAAGGAAGATGACCATGCAAGTTTAATACATAAAAAGAAGTCCAAAGAAGAAGTGTAATGAGAAATTAATACTTGTAGTTCTGTGTGTATTTTCCTTGAAATCAGTAAATAAAAATTTTAGTTCTGTGCATTTTTTCCATGAAATTAGTAAACACAGGAGAAAGTATAAATAAATCCTTTCCAAAGGTTTATAGATTTTTATAGTTCATCACAAGTAAAACACAATCTCTAACAAAATTCTAAGGACAATTTTTACAGGAATAGAATAAAACAATTCTAAAATGTATATCAAATCACAAAAGGCCCTGAATAGTCAAAGAAATCTTGAGCAAAAAGAACAAAGAACCAGATATTACATTACCTAATTTCAAAATATACTCTAAAGCTGTAGTAATCAAAATAGCATGGTATTGATTTAAAACAAACACAGACCAATGGAATGGAATAGACAGCACAGAAATATATCCATGCACTTACAGCCAACTGATGTTCAACAGAGATGTCAAGGGCAGAGAATGAAGAAAGGACAACATCATCAATAAACAGCATGGAGAAAACCGAATATCCACAGGCAGAAAAATAAAATTATCTTATCCTGCAAACAAAAATAATCCCAAAATAAAGACTTAAATGTACTATCTGAAACTATAAAACCACTAGAATAAAGCTTAGGAGAAAAGCTTCTTGACATTTGGATATGACCCCAAAAGCACAAGCAAAAAAAGCAAAGTTAGACAAATGAGATTGTATCGAGCTAAAAGGCTTCTGCGCAGAAAAGGAAACAATCAATAGAGTGCAAAGACAACCTACAGAATGGGAGAAAATATCTGAAAACCATACATCTGATAAGAGGTTAACACACAAAATATGTAAATAATTCAAAGAAGTCATAGCAAGAAGACAAATAAGCCAAATAAAAAATTGGTAAAGAACCTAAAAAGACATTTCTCAAAAGAAGTTATACAAATAGACAACAAGTACATGAGAAATTGCTTGACATCACAAATTATCAAGAAAATACAAATTAGAATCAAAATGAGATATCATTTCACACCTGTTAAAATGGTTATTATCAAAAGACAAATTATAACAAGTGTTGGCAAAGATGTGGAGAAATTGGAACCCTTTTTCAATGTTGGTGGAAATGCAAATTAGCATAAGGATTACATAAAAGTAGAAGTTTCTCAAAAAATTAAAAATAGGATTACCTTATCATCCAGCAAAGCTACTACTGGGTATATATTCAAAGGAAATGGAATCAGTAGATTGAAAAGATATTTGTATTTTCTCATGTTCATTGCAGCATTATTCACAGTAGCATTATTCACATATTCCAAGATATGAAATCAACCCAAGTGTCCATCAACAGATGAATAAAGAAAATGTGGTATATGTACATACAATGGAATTCAGCCTTTATAAAAAAGGAAATCCTGTAACGTGCAACAACATAAGTACACCTGGAGAACATTATGTTAAGTGAAATAAGCCAGGCACAGAAAAGATAAAGACCATGTGATCTCACTAATATGTGGAATCTGAAAAAGTCAAACTCCTAGAAACAGAGAGTAAGATGGTGGTTCCCAGAGTCTGAGGTGTGGGAAAATTAGAGAGATAAGAGATACTGGTCAAATAATACAAAATTTCAGCTAGACAGGAGAAATATGTTCAGGGGAACCGCTATACAACATGGTGACTATCATTAATAACAACAGATTATATACTCGAAAATTGCTCCAACAGTAGATTTTGAAGGTTCTCACTCCTCCCCCCGCCCAAAAAAAAAAAAAAAGATAAGTGGTTAGGCACAGTGGCTCACACCTGTAATCCCAGCACCTTGGGAGGCTGATGCAAGAGGTTATCAGTTGGGCAAGGGAGTTCAAGACCAGCCTGAGAAAGACAGCAAGACCCCATCTGTAGTAGTCTGTTTTCACACTGCTATAAAGAACTACCTGAGGCAGGTTGATTTATCAGGAAAAAAGATTTCATTGGCTCACAGTTCCACAAGCTACACATGAAGCATGACTGGGAGGCCTCAGAGGCCTCAGGAAACTTACAATAATGGTGAAGGGTGAAGGGGAAGCAAGCACATCTCACATGGCCAAAGTAGGAGGAAGAGAGAGAAGGAGGAGTTGCTACACACTTTTAAACAACCAGATCTCATCTCATGAGAACCTACTATCACAGGAACAGCAAGGGAGAAGTCCACCCCAATGATCCAATTACCTCCCACCAGGTCCCCTCCTCCAACACTGGGGATTACAATTCGACATGAGGTTGGGGTGGGGTCACAGAGCCTACCATTACACCATCTCTACAAAAAAAAAAATTTAGCTCAAAATGTGTTATGTGTTTATTTATTTAACTCAAAATGTGTACTATTTTCAATTAGCTAGGCATGGGATGTGTGCCTGTAGTCCCAGTTACTTGGGAGGCTGAGGGGAGAGGAACCCTTGAGTCCAGAAGTTTGGGGCTGCAGAGAGCTATGATTGCACCACTGCACTCCAGCCTGGGTGACAAAGTAAGACTTCATCTCTAAAAAAAGTAAAAAATAAACTAAAAATAAATAAAAATATATATTTTTAAAATGATAATTATGTGAGGTAATACATATGGTAATTAGGTTGACTTAGTCATTCTACAACATTTACATATATCAAAACATGTTTACACCATAAATATACACAACTTTTATATGTCAATTAAAAATAATTATAGACCACCCCCAGATATGAGAAAAAAATTAAAATAAAGCTTTATATGATGACATGCTTCTTTCTCTAAGTTTAAATACATTTTTTTTAAGTAATTAAAATAGGCCAGGCACAGTGGCTCACACCTGTAATCCCAGCACTTTGGGAGGCTGAGATGGGTGGATCACTTGAAGTCAGGAGTTTGAGACTAGCCTGGCCAAAACTGTGAAACCCCATCTCTACTAAAAATACAACAATTAGCCACGCATAGTGGCGGGCACCTGTCATCTCAGCTACTCAGGAGGCTGAGGCAGGAGAATTGTTGAAACCTGGGAGGCAGAGGTTGCAGTGAGCTGAGTCTGCGCCATTACACTCCAGCCTGGGTGACAACAGTGGGACTCCGTCTCAAAAAAAAAAAAAAAAAAGTAATTAAAATAGAATTTTTTGTCTCCATTCTAAAATAAAATGCCTTAGTCTTACTCTATTACAATTTCACTTTTTTTTTTCTTATTTTACCACAATGGTATTAATGCCATTTTGTCAACAGGTTGAGATTACTTTCATAACTGTTCAAGATCAGCATATGAGATACACTGTTTAACTAATTAGTAAACTCCATTTCCATTTTAGGACCCAGTTTGTGTTTTTCACAATAAAGCATAGATCAGAACATGTTTCAGAAATACTAGCTTCCATATTAAGACTTCTTTTAACTGATATTTTATTATTATGTTTGATATTTTTAAACATTTGAATATTAGAGCTTCCATACAAAAAAAGAATCTTACATTAGGTCTTCTTTATCATAACCAATTGACAAATGCTGGTCTGATTTTAAAAGCTCAAGAACTGACTGGTGCCTTTGTACTTCTTTATATGTAATTTGTTTTACTTTATTTCATTGAATGTGCTTTTTGTTTAGCTTAGTCTCTTTTCATACTGTTTAGTCTCCTTGCATAACCTATGATTTTTCTCTCTACTCATATAAGCTGGAGAACATCCACACAGTACCTTTTAGAATAAGCCTTTGAGATACTTTAAATTGTAAACTGTCAGGAAGAAAATGATACAAAGTATGAAGAATTTCCTTTTTCATCAGAACTATGGTGGATGGATTAGCAATCTGGGAACTCTTTGAAAGGTAAAAGAAAAAATAACTTACAATAAAGTATTATAAAATAAATATATATGCAATGAAAACAAGGTGATGGACAAAAATAAATTCTCTTGGTTGGGACTGCTGTCCTTTATTTATATATTGGAAGATAGAAATTTTCACAATATCTCATTCTGAGCTAGTCTACCATCAGCAATATAGAATTTAACATTATCATTTTCAGTGTGTCCTATATTCCATGCTCTGAGCCAGTCTACTGAACAAATGCTGCAGACTTGGTGCTGTTTACATAATCAATTGTGAACAAGTAAAACTTTTTATTTGTATTTAACTCAAAATGTGTACTTCTGAGCTCCCATTCTTCTGGACAAGAGGGATCATTTTTTAAATTCATAACAAATAGTTTATACTAAGTACTTTCTGAACAATCCTATCCACTCCCTTGTAAGGTTGTACCCAATTTTAAGCAATACTTGCAAATGGAGGAGTGGGGATGGTGAAGTACTAATACAATCCCTAACCAATCTTTCACTTGAAAAATTTCCTTGAGGCTTTCATTATCCCTATACACACCACCCCTTCAAGTCTTCTGAATGACTGCTACCTTCTTGCCACTTAGTTGACACGGAGACCTTTTGAGATGCTCTATATGGGCCTGTATAAACTCCTTTTCAAGTATCTCATATATACATCTATTAGTCCTGTCCCTCTAGAGAACCCTGACTAATACACTCTGCATCTGACAAGGCTTTAATACCCAGAATATATAAAAAACACAAATAACTCAATGGTGGAAAAAATAACAATTAAAAATGGACAATAGATCTGAATAGAATTTTCTCAGAACATACAAATGAGCAACAGATATATGAAAAAATGTTTAATATTACTAATCATCAGGGGAGTACAAGTCAAAATCACAATGAGATATCACCTCACCCCAGTTAGAATGGTTAGTATCAAAAAGACAAAAAATAACAAATGCTGGTGAAGATGTGGGAAAGAGGAACTCATACATTGTTGGTGGGGATGTACATGAGTATTAGCATTGTGGAAAATAGAATGGAGGTTCTTTAAAAACTAAAAATAGCACTACAAATGATCCAATAACCCCGCTATCACACATCTATCCAAAACAAAAATGAAATCAGCATGTTAAAGAGATATCTGCACTCCTACGTTTACTGCAGCACTATTCACAATAGCCAAGACATGGAATCAACCTAAGATTTCGATTGATAAATAAAATGTGGTATACGTACACAATACAATATTCTTCAGCCACAAAAAGAACAAAGTCCTGTCATTTGCAACAACATGAGTGGACCCAGAGAACATTATGTTAAGTGAAATAAGCCAAACACAGCAGGACAAATACCGCATGATCTCACTTATACCTGGAACCTAAAAAAAATGAGCCTATAGAAAGAGAGGGAAATGTGGGTTACAAGAGGCTGGGGAAAGTAAGGGTAGGGTATGAAGAGAGATTGGTCAAGGACTACAAAGTTAAAGTTAGAAAGGAGGAATAAGTTCTGATGTTTTGATGCACAGTAGGGTAACTAGAGTCAACAATAATTGTCTTCTTCAAAATCTCTAGAAAAGTGGATTTTGAATGTTCTCATCACAAAGAAATGATAAGAGGTTGAGGTGAGGAATATGCTAATTACCCTGACTTGATCATAACGCACTGTATGTATATATTGAAACATCACACTGTACTCCATAAATATGTACAATTATTATGAGCTAATTACAAATAAAATAAAAACAAAAAATAAATCAAGATCTGGTCCAGCAAAGAGTAGCATCATTAATTTGGGATTATTCTAAAGTGGGTTATGAGAATTTCTAATTTGCCAATTTCAAATGTCCTCAAGTGTTTTTGTGTGACAAAACAGCACTCATTATTAAGTGTATTCCCTAAAGACTGTGCTGTATTGACATGTTAAAAAAATCCAGATGTCTTCCTTTTCTTTTAACATAGGTGAATAGGAAGTTTAAATCTATGCACATTCTTGGAGACATTACATGAGCCAAATGAAAGAACAGTCCTTTTTCAAAAGAGTTTGTAATCATGTAAATTTCAGTGATAGATTTGTACTAGATTAGGACTCAAATATTAACTGCTACTGCTGTTCAAAGACTTTCTCTATTTTTATGCTTATATGTGTAGGTTTCTTGATATCTGGAGGATATACTTGCAAATTCATATAGCCATAAACAAAAACTTAAAAAATGTATTGTAAATAATGTCATTAATTTTTATATTTCTTTAAACTTTAGAAGCACTTTTATGAAAATTATTTATACTTCATATTCACAATGACCCTGTGTTCACAATGACTCTGTGAGATAATTAGAGGAAGTATTTTTTCTCCACTTTTAGATGTTAAATAGAGATTCAAGGGTAAGTTTTTATCTGTGGTCACATAATCAATAATGGAACCACTGGCCTCTCAATACAATTTCTGACTCCAAATGTTGTTTACAATAGAGCACTTGCTCTCAAATGTTGATGTGCACTAGAATCACCCAGGGAACTTGTTAAAATGGAGATTACCTTGGTCACTCAGAGGTTCTAATTTATAGTCTGGATGGGGGACATAAATATTAATTTTCAGTAAGAATTGGACCGCAGTTTGAGAAGCATATTACACCATGTGACTAACAATAAGCATCCCATGTCATTGATACTTTTGTTACGTGAGAATGCAAATTTCATGAAAACCCCGGCTAAAAAAAATCTTTCTCACTATTTTATCCTAGGCATCTAAGCACCCAACAAACAGTATCACCTTTATAATTTACAGAGTAAATAAACACATCTAGAGTTATTGTATAGCATAACTTTAAGTGTACATGGTAGATTTTGTTTCATATGAACTAATTCTATTTTTTTCTCTATACCAAGTATATTTAACATAAATTGCTTTCAAACAGTTCAATAGCTTCAAAATTTACAGTCTGTGCTTTCATGCCTATATGCATGCTTCAGCCTTAAGAACTTTCACTTCTGTTCTCTTTATCTAGATGGTTTTGTTTTTTGTGTACAAATAGCCACATGGCATCACTCTCCATTTATTGTCTTTTTTCTTTACATTATATTCTGAAAATTTTCAAACATACAGAATGATAAATAGTAAATTGAAAATCCATATACACAGTATCTAGAATCTAAATTAATATTTCATTTGTCTTGTTTTAACATGTATCTGTCAATATTCTCATTTATCAATCCATTCATCAATTTATCTTATTTTTGATGCATTTGAAATTAAGTTGCAGATATCAATGCACTCCTTTCTGGACATTTTAGCAAGTGTACACTTAGCTAGAGATTAATATTAGTTTTTTTTTCTTTTGAGATAAGCTTTTCATACAATGAAACACTCAAATGATAAGTGGATCATGTCAGAAATTTGACAATCACTTATAACCCTTATGTAAACAAAAAATTTATTAAAGTACAGAACATTGCCATCACTCCAGAAAGTTCACACAAAAAGCTACCCAGTCAATAATGCCTATGCAACCTTCTTAGAAACAAACAGAACACTTATTTTTTTAGCCATAGAATTGTTGTGCCTCTTTAGAGCTTTATATAATTTGAATCATAGTATATTTGTGTATTATTTTTCTCTCAGAATATTTTTAAGAATCATCTATGTAGTTGCCTATATTAGTAGTTTTTATCTTTTTTATTCTTGAATAGTATTCCATTATATGACTATACCACAATTTTTCTATTTTTCTATTAATGAACACCTGGAATATTTCTAATTTTAGCTACTGTAAATAAAGTGGCTACATTTGTTTTTTGAACAAATATGTTGTGAATATTAATTCTCATCAGTTGAACCATTTTGATTGTACAACTTTACATGCAGATCAATGATTATGAGCTTCAATTGCTTCACATTCTCAAATACTTGATGATGTCTGTCTTGTTAATTTTAGCCATTTTGTGGGTATAAAGTGATCCTCATTGAGATAATGATATCTACTTCCTTAAAGGCTAATGATGTTAGTCTCATTTTCATGCCCTTATCAGTCATTTGTATATTTTCATTTGTGAAGTGGCTGCCCAAATCTGATAGTACGACAAATACCTGTACTTGTATGTTAAAACTTTTCTTACTGTTGCACAGGTATCTGAGGCTCTTAATTCTTAAAAATCTCTTCTTTAGTTTCTTTCAAATTAGATAATTCTCATTGGTCTGTTCTCATATTCACTCTTTCTTTTACCTTTTGTCGCCATTCTGCTCTTAATAAGAACATCTAGGAATTTTGTATGTCAATTACTATGATTTGCAATCTTAGACTTTTAGGTGGTTCATTTTAGTTTTAATTTCTTAGCGGAAAGTTTTCTATTTGCTTATTTATTACAAGTATATTTTTATTTATATATTTGCACATTGTTTTGATTACTATTTTAAAATTCAGGCCTGTTAATCCCAACAACTGGATTATTCATCTCAATTTCTGAATTTTATTTTCTCTTACAAATAATTTTCCTGTTTCTTTATGTAATGAGTAATTTTACATGGTGTCTTGAACATTGTAAGTGATATGTCTTAGAGACTTTCAGTTTTGTTATTGCTTTTGAGAAGTGCAGATTTTTGTTGTTTTTGCTGTTCATTTAGCAGAAATTTAACAAACTAAAACTACAACATCTTTGTATCTCTTTCAGCTCAATTTCTATTCACTTATTTTAGTTTCAGCTGTTATCCTTGAACTTTTCTCTATGCTTGCATGGTTCAGGGGTCTGTTAGAGATTTAGGTAGAGTATATTCACAGGAATTTTGACTCCTCTTTCTGGCTTTCATTTTTCCAGGATTCCCCATCCCCAAACCAACTTGTCAGAAGCTGTGGTTGCCCAAAACTCAGTTCTATGGTTCTTAGGCTGAAAAACCTGCAGATTCTCTATTATAGTTTTATCTATCCCATGGTCCTACCTGGAAAAGTCCTCAAACTAAAAGATATAAAAACAAAAAAACTCATGCAGCACCATTCCCTTGTTCCTAGTATACACTCCCCTCCCATATCTGCATACCTTTTTTTTTTTCTGGCTTTCCAATGTTCTCATGTCATTGTTTCATAAATTATTTACAGTTTTTTGAAAGTTAATCCAATAGAAGCTTCTGGCAATGTCTGAATCAGAAATCAAGATATTTTTAAAATATCAATTATCATTGTAAACCTTTCTTAACCACGATATATAAAATAGCACACCCTAACTTGCCTCATGTATCATCAAGGATTAATATAAAGCTAACTTTATTAAAGCATTATTTCTATCTTAAGTGAGGGTATACTGACCTATGGAATAGAGAACACATAAGTAGCCAGGCATGTGTGGAAATGATTTGTTACAGAGATGGAAATAATTTTCTTCCTAGTGCCATTATCCTAGCACAACAAATTTTGTAAATGAGAGAATTACATGCAAAAATCAAATTCAAGTAGGTATGTACCAACTTGTTCATCTTACGCTATTGTTAATGTTTGTATCATCAATACAAAAATAGAAATTTGTGTAGCTATTTAAATGAATGTGTATGATTTTTTCCAGAAAAATTGTTTGAAAACAGTTTTTAAATGGTACAATTTTATAAACCGATTTGTTTACAAATAAATATTTGAAATTTTTTTCTTATCATCCTGTTTCACACATAAACATGTCCCAGTGTCGATGATAAATTGTAAAAACACTATGCTCTTTCACATATAAAGATGATATTCACCCTGATTTCTAAGCACTTAAATGAAAAACATACCCATTATGAAGTGGTATTTTACAACCAACAGTTTAGTAAACATTTAAAAAGTAAATAATACCAAAATTCTTTAGAAAAGCAAACCAATTAGAGATGTTCCTCTCTATGAGAGGAAGGATAAATTTGTACAACGCCTTTGGAAAACAGCTTAGCATTGTTTAAAGATACTGACATTGTGCATAATGTATAACATTGCACAAAGATGTATATTTACAATATCTGTATATTCTTTATATTTTTGAATACAAATAAGTCAAAGGAAATTAACACATAATATTAACACATCTTGTTCACAATGAGGGAAAACACTGAAAACAGTATCAGTTTAATTAGTAAATTATAGAATAATCATGTAATAAAAGACTATACATTGATGAAAGTGAAAGTACCACTGCTACATACATTAACATAACTGAATCTCAAATATGATATTGAACAAAAAAACAGGTTTACAGCCAAACAAATGCAATATTGTTTATTCCAGTTACAAAAATTTTTTAAAAAACAAAGTTTTTCCTCTTTAGGGGAATTTAAAACCATGATTTTCTTTTTAGGAGAAAGAAGAAAATGCATTTAGGAAGAAACACTTTGGGGGCTTCTGGGATACTGTGAATGTTTAATTTTTCATGTGGGTAATGGATATATATATATATGTACATATATGAGCTTATTTTACAATTGTTCTTTAAACTATATATATACATTTCCAAATATGGTGTTAGATGCATGCTATGACTAAAAATGAAGAAAAAAATAGAGGAATTAAAAATAAACTTGCCCAGCTATCCCAGTTATTAGATCTTTTTATATTCCCTTATCACTTCTGGTACTTACAAAAATTTGAGAAAAATGTGCACATCTGAGCCAAGTTTATATAAATTAAACAAATTTTTGTGGGATTTATTTTTGGGGATTACATTTTTAAAATATCGAACTTCATGAGGGAATATTAATTCAATTTAAAATGTTATTATCTGGAAAAACAAAAGGCTCAATTAAAAATATAAAAGATAGAATTTTTAAAAAGCTTATTGATATATATTCTGTGCACAGTGGCAGGTTACGATCTGACCTGTGTAGGGTCAGAAAGTTTGTTAAGCACTTCCTCTGGATATCTGCTTGATGTATTTCATCACATATGTAGTTAATAAATATTTACGTTAGAGAACCACGAACATAAATAAGAGCACTTGTTACAGCTCCTCAACGAATCTGTTCTTATTTTGAAAATGGATATTGTTCAGCTACCTGTCATATCAATTTCCTGCCTTCTTTACTGATGAAAATAACACTAAAACATTTCAAATATTGCTACATCATTGTTGTGATATCTGAGGAAATTTTGAGGAACATAATGGGAAAGTTCTATTTGTGGATATAGTTTGTGTGAAAGTTAAGAATAGCATTTCAGGTATTTTCCTCTTCATATAAGTAAAAATTTATATTCTTAAAATAACTATTAGAGATATAATTATTTCTAGTTCATCAATGTAAATGAAAAAATATAATTTTATGTACAAAAAACATTTATTAGGTTCTTGGATGACAGGAACACTTCAAAGATAATGAAGTTATTGTAATCAACTATAGCTTATTTGCCAATGACAATGGCATGCACTTAACTTATAGAATCTCAAAACAAAATATTAACATTGCTTCTATATATACTTTTAAATTAATGCTGAAGTTATGTTACAAGTGGTTATTATCAGCCTTTACTCTGCTATGGCATTATTGGTTGCACACCAACAAACATCTCCCTGTAGTCTTTCTAAGAGAATCCCAATTTTGAGTGCATGGTAAAGTTTCCATATGTTACTGAAACAGCAAGGGTTCAGTCTTGCACCTACTGCTTGCTGCACAGAAAGCCAATGACTGAGACGAAGAGTATTGCCAAGAAAGAAGGCTTTAATCAGATGCTGCAGGTGAGGAGATGGGAGATCAGTCTCAAATCCATATCCCTGACTGACTAAAATTAGGGGTTTATATAGTATGGAAAAAAATGTAAAAATGTGTTGGAAAACAAGAACTAAGAAGGGGTAAGAGAAAAAGGAGTGGTTTGGCATCTGATTGTCTGGGTGCCTGATGTGGTGAATTAGTTCTTTGATACTTTTTGAGAGGGCTGGAGGTCCTTTCCTGAGGAGGAAACTCAGATAAAACAAATGTAAGTTTCGAGCCTTAAGACCAGAAGAGTCAATTTCCACGTTTATTCAAAAGAACTATCTATGGAACTATTGGATCAGTTTTACACATAGCAACTCAATCAAGACTAAGTTAATCATTGTAAGGAAGTTCCCCTCCCCATTAAGATAATTGTCCTAATGTAAAGAAAAGCTTGCTTGGGGCTTCTGAGAAAAAACAAATTCCAGTTGTAAACAGAGTGGCCTTTGGTTCCCACCTCTTCCTTTTTGCTTGGGACATTTCCAAGGAAGGAATTAGTGCTTGAATCCCTAGTAACTGTCTTTAGAGATGGTATTGACAACACTGCAGATATTGGAGCAGAAAGAAAGCAAAAAACCTACTGAGCTACTCCCCTTGTATCAGCACTTGTTATGCAAAATATATCAATATATTTATTGGTAAAGCTACATTTATGGATAATCCTTATAATTCAACTCAATGAATTATTGCTGATTCATTTTTAAGGCAACTGATGTTTATTTTAGATTCTATGCATATCTTCATAGATAACTTATGATTATTGGTTTCACAATCAATATTAAGAGCCTAATACTTTTGTATTCTAGTGTTTATTCTATTCCATTCTGTTCTGTTTTATTCTATTCTTTGATTCTTCAAATAAATAATTCTTGAATTCTTTACCATTCTCTGCCCAAGAGCCTGCCTTGTGCCATATGACTTGCAATTTCTTCCAGCTATAAAGGCAGTTGAATACAGACTCAGCCGTTTCATTTGCTTTGGTCAGCAGAATGAGACGGAAGTGACAGAGTAACACTTCAGAGCCTAGGCCTAGGTATCTTTCATGCTTTTACTTGCTTGTTTGTCCTCTGCCATTGCAATGAGAGGGATTTGTCTAAATCAGTCCACTGATACCAGGGAAAAGAGGAAAAACAGCAGAAATAGTAAACAGACAAATGAGTTAGCCCAGCCGGTATCAACAAAACACTGTCTGTATCAGTTGAATCCTGCAGATGAAACGGGACAAGCTCCCTTGTCCCCCTCGCAGTGTGTGAGACAGGGGAGTGGCTCACTCCTTCAGTGTCCTGTTGCTCAAGCCTCTAGAGGAGCACACAGATGGGCAGGTTGTGGGGCTCTAAGCCCACAGCAGCATCTGGGGGTGGATGTTTACAGCTCCTGAAGCCCCAGTGGGTGGGTGCTACCATGTGCTCTTTTAGTTTTACTGTCTATAGCCAGCTTGTGTTAACCAGCTCAGTCAGACCCTCTACCTTGTCGCTAGGACAGAAGGCTTTCTGTATTCCAGGTTCTTGATTTGGTGTACCAGAAGAATCAGATCACACACGGGCTTGGAGAATGAGTGCAAGGTTTTATTGAGTGAAAGTAGCTCTACAGCAGATGGGGAGCCAGAAGGGAGATGGTTTCCCCTGGAGTTGGGCTCTCCTCTGACTGCTGTCCTGGCCAAACTCTGCCAGATTCTGCTGGTGAATGGCCTGCCGGTGTGCTGGTGCCTGTCGTGTGTTCTTCCACACATGCTCCCTTCAGTGTCCTCTCGATGTCCAGCTACTTGTATCTTCTTACCTCGATCCCTCCTCTCGATGTCCAACCACCTGTATGTTCCTCCACCAATGTGCTCCTCTGGACGTCTGTCCAGCTGCCTGTGTGACTGCCTGCTAGGATCTTCGGGTTTTTGTAGGCACAGGATTGGGGCGTGGTGGGCCAGAGTGGTCTTGGAAAATGCAACATTTGTGCATGAAGGCAAGAGTGCCTGTCCTCACGGGCCCTAGGGTGGAGCCCTAGCCAGAGACCCGCCTTCTTCTACCCAGCACTTCCCTGACCCCTCCCATATTACAGACACATGAGAAACGTATGCTTTTATGATATGCCATTGACTTCTGGGAAGGAACAGTAAAACCTAAATGATAGAATGTTTATTATTTAAATATTTCAGTGTACCAGTAGAAACTCAGTAATTCTCTCTCCCAATGAATGAAGCATGCTATAAAGCAGTTGAGTACAATTGACATAATTATAGATACATGTTCACAAATTTCCCTTATTGATTAAAATTAAGTAATTTTTACATTTTTTACTTAATAATTATTAATGGTGGATTGTGACATACCTCAAAACTTTATCACTATTTTAATCTCAATAATTGTAAAACTGTCACTTTTAGACTCATGATTTGAATTTTTTTTCTCTTGGAAATATTTGCCCAACTTTCAAAAATGTTATCCAGTTTATGTTTTGCTTTTCATTTTATTGTCCTGAGAGTCTATATTTAGGTTTATCTTTTTAGGGATATCTTCCAATTCAATTTTCTTCAGCTCTACATCTTCTATACAGTTTCATGTAAATAATATGCAAAGCATAGCATGTTGGAAAGAGTGTATCCTGTTATTTATCAAGAGCTACCTTAATTGCATAAAAATGACTAATATTGTAATACTATTAACAGGAATTAAAACTAATTATGGATATTCTAATCATCTCTTACTCGTGTCAATCTCCCTTACACTGAAATACTATAAAAAGGTTTGTATGACTTTTTTATTTCTCACCTAAGTGGCAAAAGTCATGTCCCATTTCAGAATTTAATATGGCACTTGGAACCTCTAAGATCTCCATATCTAACCACCTAAACTCATTACACACTATTGCTTAGTTGAAATGGGATTTCAGATTTTACAAAGTAATTCTTTAACAACTATTTTGTAACCAATATAGAAGAAGTACATGCATTCCTTTGGATTGCAAGGCCCTAAATAATAAGATCAGTGATAAATGGAGCAGTCTGCATTTATTGAGGTATTGGGAACTGAAGTGTTGAATTGATGCACTGCTAGGAGGTGTTTTTCTCTATTAAAGATATTTCAATTTCCTCTGATATAAGAAACTCTCAATTCAAGCTACTGAGTAGGATATGTGTTATCTCTGGAGACTTCTTTTAAATTTAAGATTTTGTCACTCTCAATATGTGAGATATACAGGCTAGTTTTAAAATTACTGACTCATTACTTTTCAACCTGTCCTACCATGCCACTATTCCACATGAAAATATATGTATTTATTTTCTTCTGAAAGGAGTTAATAGAAAATTTGTAAGAACATTATGTGTCATATTATAGAACATGTAGAGATTTTACATAACTGATAATTCAGGTTAGCTCTCCTATAATGGATACAATTGAACTCATATTAAGAATACTGAGACTGGGCACAGTGTTTCACGTCTGTAATCCCAGCACTTTGGGAGGTTGAGGTGGGCAGATCACCTGAGGTCAAGAGTCGAGACCAGCCTGGCCAACATGGTGAAACCTAGTCTCTACTAAAAATATAAAAAGAAAAAGAAAATTAGCTGGGCATGGTGACACACACCTGTAGTCCCTGCTGCTTGGGGAGGATGAGCCAGGAGAATCACTTGAACCCAGGAGGCAGAAGTTGCAGTGAGCCAAGATTGCATCACTGCACTCCAGCCTGGGTGACAGAGGGAGACTCCATCTCAAAAAAAAAAAAAAAAAAAAAAAAAAAACCCGAGAATTTTAAAGTTATTAATGGTTTTAAATACTTCACTATTTAATATATGAAAGCCTGCAGTAAGTACATATTTTATTTTTATTTTGGGCATACATTTACTTTTGTATTTTAGGAACAAACCTTCTCTTTCAATGACAACATAGAGACAACATAGAGGCTCTAAGATTAACTTTCAGTTCTTATATCAATTTATATGGTAAATTCTACTATCTCTCCTATGATTGGAAGTGGTCAAGTATGTGACAAATGAAGGCAAGATGGTACGATGGTGGCAGGGGAAAGAGACAGTGAAGTGGGAAGCTCTACATACTTTCAAACAACCAGGTATCATGAGAACTCATATCACAAGAAGAGCAGAGGGGAAATTTGCCCCCATGATCCAATCACCTCCCACCAGGGTCCTCCCCAGTATTGGGGATTACATTCAACATGAGATTTGGGTGAGGAGACACAGCCTAACCATATCACTGCCCTTCATCCTATTCTTTTTTTTTTTCACTGAAACTTCCTCTGTCACTGATTCTCCATTGTTCTTTAACTTTTCCTTTCCTGTTTATATTATCTTCTGCTCAGCTTATTAATGTAATCAAACATTCCCCTCAAAGATAGAAACCTAAAGAGAGAGAAAGAATATGTCCTATTGATAGAATATTGCCCTTTCACTATCATGCTTTTACTTTACTTGTTAGTCTAAGCACACACATACTCTGTTTCCACTTCTTCTTTGTCCCCAGCTATCAAGTAAAATTTCTCTGGCAATGAGCTCCATGATACTAAATTATTGTCTTTCTTGTTCTTTTTAAACATTTGAAACAGCACATTAATTTCTGCTACATATGAGATTTATACAAATCTAACTATTGTGTTTAAATACTAGTCACTTCTTCCTGAAATTCTTCATGTCTTTGAATCTCATAGGCAAGATGGCCAAATAGGAACAGCTCTGGTCTGCAGCCACCAGCGAGATAAACGCAGAAGGTGGGTGATTTCTGCATTTCCAACTAAGGTACCCAGTGCCTCACTGGGACTGGTTAGACAATGGGTGCAGCCCACAGAGGGTGAGCCAAAGAAGCACGGGGTTTCATCTCACCTGGGAAGCGCAAGGGCTCGGGGAACCCCCTCCCCTAGCCAAGGGAAGCCATGAGGGACCATTCTGTGAGGAACAGTGCACTCCAGTCCAGATATCATGTTTCTCCCACAGTCTTCACAACCCACAGACCAGGAGATTCCCTCCGGTGCCTACGCCACCGGGGCCCTTGGTTGGAAGCATGAAACTGGGCGGCCGTTTGAGCTAGCTGCAGGAGATTTTTTTCATATCCTGGTGGCTTCTGGAATGTCAACAAGACAGAACTGTTCATTCCCCTGGAAAGGGGGCTGAAGCCAGGGAGCCAGGTGGTCTAGGTCAGTGAATCCCACCCCCACAGAGCCCAGCAAGCTAAGATCCACTGGCTTAAAATTCTCACTGCCAGCACAGCAGTCTGAAGTTGACCTGGGATGCTTGTGCTTGGTAGGGGAAGGGGCATCTGCCATTACTGAGGCTTGAGTAGGTGGTTTTCCCCTCACAGTATAAGCAAAGCCTCCGGGAAGTTTGAACTGTGCAGAGCCTGCTGCAACACTGCAAAGCCGCTGTAGCCAGGCTGCCTCTCTGGATTCCTCCTCTCTGGGCAGGGCATCTCTGAAAGAGGCAGCAGCCACATTGAGGGGCTTATAGATAAAACTCCCATCTTCAAGGGACAGAGCACCTGGGGGAAGGGGTGGCTGTGGGCGTAGCTTCAGCAGACTTAAATATTCCTGCCTGCCTGCTCTGAAGAGACCAGCAGATCTCCCAGTAAAGTGCTCGAGCTCTGCTAAAGGACAGACTGTCTCCTCAAGTGGGTCCCTGACCCCCGTGCCTACTGAATGGGAGACACCTCCCAGCAGGGGTTGACAGACATCACATACAAGAGAGCTCCAACTTGCTTCTGGCAGGTGTCCCTCTGGGATGAAGCTTCCAGAGGAAGAAATAGGCAGCAAACTTTGCTGTTCTGCAGCCTCTGCTGGTGATACCCAGGCAAACAGGGTCTGGAGTGGACCTCCAGCAAACTCCAGCAGATCTACAGCAGAGGGCCCTGACTATTAGAAGGAAAACTAACAAACAGAAAGGAATACTCTCAACATCAACAAAAAGGAGGTCCACAAAGAAACCCATCCAAAGGTCACCAACGTCAAAGGCCAAAGGCTGATAAATCTACGAAGATGAGGAAAAACGAGTGCCAAAACGCTGAACATTCCAAAAACCAGAAGACCTCTTTTCCTTCAAAGGATTTCAGCTCCTCATGACCAGGGAAACAAAACTGGACAGAGAATGAGTTTGACGAATTGACAGAGGTAGGCTTCAGAAGGTGGGTAACAACAAACTCCTCTGAGCTAAAGGAGCATGTTCTAACCCAATGCAAGGAAGCTAAGAACCTTGAAAAAAGGTTAAATGAATTGCTAACTAGAATAATCAGTTTAGAGAAGAACATAAATGACCTGATGGAACTGAAAAACATAGCATAAGAACTTTGTGAAGCACACAGAAATATCAATAGTCAAATCGATCAAGCAGAAGAAAGAATATCAGAGATGAATGTCAACTTAATGAAATAAAGCATGAAGACAAGATTAGAGAAAAATAATGAAAAAGAATGAACAAAAACTCCAAGAAATATGGGAACTATGTGAAAAGACAAAACCTACATTTGATTGGTGTACCTGAAAGTGACAAGGAGAATGGAACCAAGTTGGAAAAAACTCTTCAGGATATTATCCAGGAGAACTTCTCCAACCTAGCAAGACAAGCCAACATTCAAATTCAGGAAATACAGAGAACACCACAAAGATACTCCTCGAGAAGGGCAACCCCAAGACACATAATCATCAGATTCACCAAGGTTGAAATGAAGGAAAAAATGTTAAGGGCAGCCAGAAAGAAATGTCGGGTTACCCACAAAGGGAAGCCCATCAGACTAACAGCAGACCTCTCTGCAGAAACCCTACAAGCCGGAAGAGAGTGGGGGCCAATATTCAATATTCTTAAAGAAAAGAATTTTCAACTCAGAATTTCATATCCAGCTAAGCTTCACAAGTGAAGGAGAAATAAAAATCCTTTACAGACAAGCAAATGCAGAGAGATTTTGTCACCACCAGTCCTGTCTTACAAGAGCTCCTGAAGGAAGCACTAAATGTGGAAAGGAAAAACCAGTACCAGCCACCGCAAAAACATACCAAATTGTAAAGACCATCGACACTAAGAAGAAACTGCATCAACTAATGGGCAAAATAACCAGCTAGCATCATAATGACAGGATCAAATTCACACATAACAATACTAATCTTAAATGTAAAGAGGCTCAATGCCCCAATTAAAAGAAACAGGCTGGCAAACTGGATAAAGAGTTAAGACCCATCAGTGTGCTGTATTCAGGAGACCCAACTCACATGCAGAGACATGCATAGGCTGAAAATAAAGGGATGGAGGAATATTTACCAAGCAAATGCAAAGCAAAAAAGCAGGGGTAGCAATCCTAGTCTATGATAATACAGACTTTAAACCAACAACAATGAAAAAAGACAAGGAATGACATTACATAATGGTAAAGGGATCAATGCAACGAGAAGAGCTAACTATCCTAAATGTATACCCACCCAATACAGGAGCACCAAGATTCATAGAGCAAAACCTAGAAAGAGGCTTCAACTCCCAAACAATAATAGTGGGAGACTTTAACACCCCACTATCAATATTAGACCAATCAAAGACACAAGAAATTAACAAGGATATTCAGGACTTGAACTCAGCTCTGGACCAAGTGGACATAATAGATATCTACAGAACTCTCCACCACAAATCAACAGAATATACATTTTTCTCAGCACCACATCTCACTTATTCTAAAATTGACCACATAATTGGAAGTAAAACAATCCTCAGCAAATGCAAAAGAATGGAAATCATAACAAACCGTCTCTCATATCACAATGCAATCAAATTAGAACTCAGGATTAAGAAACTCACTCAAAACCACACAACTCCATGGAAACTGAACAACCTGCTCCAGAATGACTACTGGGTAAATAACAAAATTAAGGCAGAAATAAATAAGATATTTGAAACCAATGAAAACAAAGACACAATGTACCAGAATAACTGGGACATAGCTAAAGCAGTGTTTAGACGAAAATTTATAGAACTAAATGCCTACAGGAGAAAGCTTGAAAGATGTAAAATTGACACCCTAACATCACAATTAAAAGAATTAGAGGAGCAAGAGGAAACTGATTCAAAGAAGCAGAAGACAAAAAATAACTAAGATCAGAGCAGAACTGAAATAGAGACACAAAAAACCCTTCAAAAAAATCAATGAATCCAGGAGCTGGTGTTTTGAAAAGATTAACAGACTGCTAGCCACACTAACAAAGAAGAAAAGAGAGAAGAATCAAACAGACACAATAAAAATGATAAGGGGAATATCACCACTGACCCACAGAAATACAAACTATCATCAGAGAATACTATAAGCACCTCTACACAAATAAACTAGAAAATCTAGAAGAAATGGATAAATTCCTGGACACATACACCCTCCCACGACTAAACCAGGAAGAAGTCCAATCCCTGAATAAACCAATAACAAGTTCTGAAATTGAGGCAGTAATTAATAACATACCAACAACAACAACAACAAAAAAACCCAGGACCAGATGGATTCACAGCCGAATTCTACCAGAGGTACAGAGAGGAGCTGGTACCATTCCTTCTGAAACTATCCCAAATAATAAAAAAGAAAGACTTTTCTCCAACTTATTTTATGAGGCCAACATCATCCTGATACCAAAATCTGGCAGAGATACACACAAAAAAGAAATTTCAGGCCAATATCCCTGATGAACATCGATATGAAAATCCTCAATAAAACACTGGCAAACCGAATCCAGCAGCACGTCAAAAAGCTTATCCACCATGATCAAGGAGGCTACATCCTTAGCTTGCAAGGCTGGTTTAATATACACACATCAATAAACATAATCCATCACATAAACAGAACTGACGACAAAAAACACATGGTTATTTCAATTGATGCAGAAAAGGCCTTTGATAAAATTCTACAACACTTCATGCTAAATACTCTCAATAAACTAAGTATTGATAGAACATATCTCAAAATAACAAGAGCTATTTATGACAAACCCACAGCCAGTATCATACTGAAGGGGAAAAAGCTGGAAGCAATTCCTTTGAAAACTGGCGCAAGACAAGGATGCCCTCTCTCACCACTCCTATTCAATATAGTATTGGAAGTTCTGGCCAGGGCAATCAGGCAAGAGAAAGAAACAAAGGGTATTAAAATAGGAAGAGAGGAAGTCAAATTGTCTCTGTTTGCAGATGACATGATTGTATATTTAGAAAACCCCATTGTCTCAGCCCAAAATCTCCTTAAGCTGATAAGCAACTTCATCAAAGTCTCAGGATACAAAATCAGTGTGCAAAAATCACAAGCATTTCTATAAACCAATAATAGAGAGCCAAATCATGAGTGACCACCCATTCACAATTGCTACAAAGAGAATAAAATACCTAGAAATCCATCTTACAAGGGATGTGAAGGACCTCTTCAAGGAGAACTACAAACCACTACTCAAGTGGTTTGTAGACAAAAAGAGAGGACACAAACAAATGGAAAAACACTCCATACTCATGGATGGGAAGAATCAATATCATGAAAATGGCCATACCGCCCAAAGTAATTTATAGATTCAATGCTATCCCCATCAAGCTACCATTGACTTTCTTCATCGAATTAGAAAAAACTACTTTAAATTTTATATGAAACCAAAAAAGAGCCCATAGAGCCAAGACACTCCTAAGCAAAAAGAACAAAGCTGGAGGCATTATGCTACCTGACTTCAAACTATTCTACAAGGCTACAGTAACCAAAATAGCATGGTACTGGTAGCAAAACAGATATATAGACCATGGAACAGAACAGAGGCCTCAGAAATAATGCCATACATCTACAACCATATGATCTTTGACAAACATGACAAAAACAAGCAATGGGAAAAGATTCCTTATTTAATAAATTGTGTTGGGAAAACTGGCTAGCCGTATGCAGAACACTGAAACTGAACCCCTTCCTTACAACTTATACAAAAATTAACTCAAGAGGATTAAAGACTTAAATATAAGACCTAAAACCATAAAAACCCTAGAAGAAAACCTGGGCAGTACCATTCAGGATATAGACATGGGCAGTCTTCATGACTAAAACACCAAAAGGAATGGCAACAAAAGCCAAAATTGACAAATGGGATCTAATTAAACTAAAGAGCTTCTGCACAGCAAAAGAAACTATCATCAGAGCAAACAGGCAACCTACATAATGGGAGAAAATGTTTGCAATCTATCCATCTGACAATGGGCTAATATCCAGAATCTACAAGTAACTTAAACAAATTTACAAGAAAAAAACAACCCCATCAAAAAGTGGGGGAAGGATATGAACAGACAGTTCTCAAAAGAAGACATTTATATGGCCAACAAACATGAAAAATGCTCATCATCACTAGTCATTAGAGATATGCAAATCAAAACCACGATAAGATACCATCTCATGCCAGTTACAATGGAAATCATTAAAAAGTCAGGAAACAACAGATGCTGGAGAGGATGTGGAGAAATAGGAACACTTTTACACTGTTGAGGGGAGTGTAAATTAGTTCAACCATTGTGGAAGACAGTGTGGCAATTCCTCAAGGATCTAGAACCAGAAAGACCATTTGACCCAGCAATCTCATTACTGGGTATCTACCCAAAGGATTATAAATCATTCTACTATAAAGACACATGCACGCGTATGTGTATTGCAGCACTATTCACAATAGCAAAGGCTTGGAACCAACCCAAATGCCCATCAATGATAGACTGGATAAAGAAAATATGGCACATATACACCATGGAATACTATGCAGCCATTAAAAAGGATGAGTTCATGTCCTTTCCAGGGATATGGATGGAGTTGGAAACCATCATTCTCAACAAACCAACACAGGAACAGAAAACCAAACACCACATGTTATTACTTGTAAGTGGGATTTGAACAATGAGAACACATGGACACAGGGAGGGGAATATCACACACCAGGGCCTGTCGATGGGTACGGGGCTAGCGGAGGGATATCATTAGAAAAAAAAAAAAGTTTTCTTTGACAGGCACAGTGGCTCACACCTGTAATCTCAAAACTTTGGGAGGCTGAGGAAGGAGACTTACTTGAGGCCAGGAGCTCAAGACTAGCCTGGGCAATACTGCAAGACCCAATCGCTACAAAATAAATAAATAAATAAATTATCCAGGCATGGTGGTGCACGCCTGTAGTCCTAGCTACTTGGGAGGATGAAGTGGAAGGATCATTTGAGCCCAGTAGTTTGAGGTTGCACTCCAGCCTGTGTAACAGATTAAGACCTTGCTTCAAAAACATAAAATTACAAACTTTCTTAAGTTGCCTATCATCTCTCTGAACATCCTGAAACCTTTAATGGAAATTTCTTTCTTCAGTCATCTTTTTAAATTAGCATTTCTCATGCCTCTGTTAAATGTTACTGCTCTTCTGGACATTACAGGCTTTACAATAATTTCATCTATTTTCATAATTTCATTGCTTTATGATGATGTCTCCTTAATCTATCTCTCAAATGAACTTACTTCAAATGTGATTACTGCAAAAACTTAGTGAATGCCTTTATTTCAATAAATAGGAAGATCAGAGGTTGAGTAAAAAATATGGGGAAGAAGAATAGCTGAACTTTATTAATATGTATAACTTTAATATTTAGTCTAACACATATGACCATATTTGAATACCACAAAATCCTTGATTCAGGAAACATTATTGTATTAAATGTCATGTATGAGAAAACTAAGGCTTAGAGAAGTTAAATAATATTCTCAAAGTTCTGTAGCCAACAAAGAACAGAGAAAAGAATTGGAATATATATGCTATAAAATCTAAGCCCATGTTGTAGCCCCTATGCAACAGTTGGGTCTATAAGTGTGTCAAACTCAACATGTTCAAACCATTTCTACCTTCTATTCCTGTATTATCTCTTCCTGTATGTGTTAATCTTATGGCATTTGTGTCTACTAAGCCATAAAATTTGGCATTATTCCAGAACCACAATGACCAGGCTCTGTCAATCTCTCCCATTTTAGCTCTAACTGTTCCCTAACATGTGTTTCAAGCAGCAAAAATATGGAACAGCTTGTATTTCTTCAGTGTTGCCATGGTATTTTATTTCTCTGTGACCTTACTCATTGTGTGCCCTCTGCTACAATGTACTCCCTCTTTTTTATCTAACTAATTCCTACCTATCCATTATGACTCAGTTCAAGCATTCTATACTCCATCTATGTTTTCCTAAGACTTTAGCTACCATAACTCCAAAAGCTACTATATACTTGTAGTTAGAGTAAGATTTGTTTAGTTATTACAACAAACATAACAGATGGTCGTAAAATATAATTAAGAAAGATGACTTTTTTTCCCCAATTTGCTCAGAGTCTTGCAAACTGCCCTGCCTAAACTTTAGCATTTGAGTAAATGTCCCTCTTGTACTCCCTCAGATTCCTCTAATTTACATAAATAATTAGTTGCCTACCCAACTGCAATATCTAGCCTCTTTCTTCTTTTTGGTTAGAAAGACCCCACATCAGTTTTTATGTGCTCAAATTCCAAACATGTACATGTGCAGCTTTTTCTGCTGCAGTGAGGTACTGGGCATGTGACCCAGTCTTAGCCATCAGGACCTGAGAGAAAGTCTGCTAAGAGTGAGAAAGATTACACTCAGTTTAAAAAGAGAGAAACATAAGGAAACCCCACTCTCTCTGAATGTTTCCTGAATTCATTTGCTGGGGCTGCTGTAACAACATACCACAGATGGGGTGCCCTTAAACAACAGAAATTTATTTTCTAACATTTCTAGAGGCTGAGAGTCCGAGATCAAGTTCCCAGCAGGCTTGGTTTCCTCTGACACCTTTCCCTTTGGCTTGCAGATGTCTTCCTTCTTGGGGTCTCTTCACGTGGTTGCCCTTCCACACAGGTGCCCCTGATGTCTCTGTGTGCCTAACATTTATCTCCTAAAGGTACACCGGGCAGATTCATTAGGGCCCATCCTAATGACTTGGTTTTAACTTCCACTTTTTAAAAAAGACCTTATCTCCAAATTCTGAGGTGCTGGGGGATTAGGGCTTCAATGTTTCACATTTGATGTGGCGGCGGGGGGCGGGCGGTGGCAGTGAAATTCATCTCATAACATTCCCCAAGCCATTTATTGTCTTGGACATTGCTGTGTAATATGATATTGGATAGCGTAACATGCTCCAGAAGGAAAAGACAAATGAATCCCAGAGAAGTTAACCCAGAGTCCTAATATCACTGACTTGCTATGTTATCCAGCCCTGGAACTCCCGGGCTTCAACATTTTGAGATTTATAGGTGTGCCTTCATTTTAAAATAATTTTAGTTTGATGCATTGCAACTTTTACCCTAAAGCATATAATTGATACACTAATATAGCATTTATGTGTTATAATAGTCAATGAATTGATTCTAACTCGAGTGATACTGCATTTATCATTATCCCTCTGCTACACATCACAGGGCTTAACACTCAGTATACGTTTACTAAACGAACTCTATGCTTCTACTCCCACAGCTCAAAGAACACACACACTCACAATCTCACATCAGATTCCTTCCCCTGAACCATGGATCACTCTGGAAAGGTCTTTGATGACCCCTTTTCCTTGTAACCACCAGAAAATCCCTCTTTTATATTCTTTTGCAACTACCTGTATCTCTAAGTCTTTCTGCATTTTGATGCTTTTTTGTTCCCTAATTGTTTGCACCTCCAAGCAGTTATGAGTAAATAATGATTTTATATTTTAGGAAATAACATATATTAGTTGTGACTTCATTATTCAAAATATATGATCCAGCTGATAGTTGGTATAATTTTTTTGATATTTTGGTCATTGCACGGTTTGAAGTTTAAAATATAATGTCCTAGAACCAGTAAGCACCTCTAATGCATTCATCTCTGTTCTGACACAGGCTCAGTTCTTCTTCATTCAACTAAATTTTACTTGTTCAATAATATTTTATCAAACAAAATGCTAGATTCACTTTAATATTACATTTTATGGCTTTCAAATCATGGAGCTGCATTGACTCTTGAAATATGTAATGCACCATAACTTATGACAATAGTCTCTAATTTGAGCCTTCAATGTTTAAAGATTCTCATTTTTAAAATAAGACACACAGAAACATAAGTAGCTTCATGAAATGAATACTAATACTGCTTATACACTCCTTTATGTAGTTTTATAGGAAAAAGAACCTTTGAGTTTAACATATACTTCATGGTTCCTCTGATACATTACTTTAGGACCTCAAATTCCCTAAGTATCCATAGATGCTCTGAATTGATGCATATTTCTGGTGAAATTATGTTCTTCGCTATTTCCTCTTGACAGGTGTGGTAATGTTTCTTCTCAGTTCTCCATAGCTGAAGAGAAACAGAACTACAGCCATTGCCAGACAATTTAGATAAACAAAACTGCAAGTAATCCCTACTATTCAAAAACTCCAACTTGCCCATTTTATTGAAAAACAATAGAGAGAAAACAAGAGAGGTATGAATAATCAAACAAGGAGCAAGGGGAGTTTTGGAAAGAAATGAACATCATTATTTTTCTAATTAGTCATTATATTAACCAGGAAATGTGAAAAATCAATGTGTTAAAATAATACATTGAGAACACAATAATTTTTTAAAGAGAGTTCTTCAAATGCTCTTCTGATAATAGGTAATTTTACTCTAAGGTAATGACAGCTATTTCCAAAAAACTTGTATTCTTTAAGAGTCTCTATAGCAGTATTAGTTTAGATTTCGTATTACAACTTTGTACAAATGGACCTCTTATGTATCATATATATTTATGTTCATATTGCATATTACATATGACTAAGCAGTAAGATCATTGTTTTAATAGCCAAAACAAGTACAATATTATATTTAAGGTAGAATTTTTCCAACTTAATTCACTGAACTGAGCTCACAGACATAATATGCAGCATGTACTTCATGAAAAAAAATTATATACTTTTAGTTAGGTTCTAAAGGCTATACTTTGTTGGCAGATGTACTAAGCAGATGTAAATATACTCATCTGAAAGGTAACAACTTTCACACAATTAACCTTTACACAACTTTACCCAGACCCCCAGAAAAATAAAAGGGGGTTTTGGCTCTAAACGTCAGTAAGTGAGCAAAACTCCCAACACATACACAAGGAGCTGGGATTACTGCCAGTGGGAGCCAGAGGATGATGTGTGGTATTGCTGAAAATGAATGCCTCTATAAAGGAGTTTATGTGGAGTGACACGGTAATTTTATAAAGTCACCAAGCAGTTGTGAGTATCTCACGTCAACCTTAAGATGGTTAAAAAAAAGTGAACAATTTGAAGTAAAAATACATTAAAAAACATGTTTTTTAAAAAAATATTTCTCACTCGTGAAAACGCGGGTCAATGTTTGCCCCTGGAAGCCATTCATTTTTCAGTTCCTGGAGCCAAGAGGATTGTAAAGATACCTATTGACCCCACTTATTTGCTTTGACAAAGTATTCCACGGTATAAAGACAAACAGCAGCCTCATAGTATTTTATAAAAGTACAATAAATAAATAATACATAGACTTAATTAAAAGAAGAGAGATGATTCAGGACTGGAAAGATGACTGGCACAATAACACAGTAGTTACATTCTTCATACTGATTGAGCATTTGTAAAGTGGGGGCAAAAATGAAAGGGAGAAAGGAGAAGAAGAAAGTGATTTCTGAACTTCTGTCATTTATTATAGGTTGTAATGAATACATGCAGACAAACAAGCAGATATATAACCATAAAATCAAAATAAATAGGTCTTTTTTGGAAGGTTTGCTGAATTTTAACCATCTATTTTTGCAACATGCATTATTTCCCCTAAATGGTATGTGTACCCAGCCTCCTGCACCCCCCAAAAAATGTTTAGTGAAAGCAACCCAAATATCATGAAATTTGAAAATAGCTGAGATTGGTCTGTGTTGTTTTTCTGTTTTGATTTTGTTGCTTAAGAGAAGCAGAAAATCTGCCCAGGTTTATTCTGAAGAGCGTTTAGGAAATGGTAGAATAATGCTTAAATGTCTGCCAGTTAAGCTATGTTTTTAAATAAAAACTTAGCGTGCAGTTTTTGATCAGACATGTATCTAAAAATCAAATCTATACACACTGTCACCATTTCCTGTCCTCTCCTCTCTTACTTTCTCTTCTTTCATATCCAATGTCTTTTTTTCTCTAGAATTCAACTCAGGCTGCTCCTATTAAAATCAATAGTTATCTCCACTGACTAAAGCTGGATATCAGCTTTCACTCCTCATCTTGTTTGAACTCTCAGCAATATTTCATAATATTACTTACTCCTGCTTCACTGAAATTGTGTTTTCCCCCTGGCTTCCAAGATGCCATATACTTCTCATTCTCTTAACTCTTTGGCTACTCTGTCTCAGTCTCTTTTGCTGGTCATTTCTCATATTTCCAACAAATAAACGTTGGGATTCCCCAGAGCCCAGTCCCTTGCCCTAGTCTGCTCTTTCTTGACACTCATCTCTTGATGTTCTCATCCAGTTTCCTGACTTCAAATAACATCTTTTTATTGACTACTTCCTAATTTTTATTAGCATTCTAGTCTTTAGTCTTTTTTTTTTTTTTTTTTGAGATGAAGTCTCACTCCGTTGCCCCAAGCTAGAGTGCAGTGGCGTGATCTCGGTTCACTGCAACCTCCACCTCCTGGGTTCAAGTGATTCTCCTACTTCAGCCTCCCAAGTAGCTGGGACTATAGGCACATGCCAACATGCCCGGCTAATTTTTGTATTTTTAGTAGAGACGACGTTTCACTATGTGGCCAGGCTGTTCTTGAACTCCTGACCTCATGATCTGCCCGCCTCAGCCTCTCAAAGTGCTGGGATTACAGGCATGAACCACTGCACCTGGCCAGCCTTCTAGGCTTCTTATCCCAACTCCAGTCTCATGTATCTAAATGCTCATCCAATATCTCAGTGTCAATAACAAATGCATTTCAAATGTAATACATCAAAAAACAAACACTTAATCTCCTTCCAAAATATGTTTGTTTTTTCTCAAGTTTTCAATTTAGTCAATGGCAACAATATCCTCCCACATGCTCAAACCTCACTCAGTCACTTCTAACATTTTTCTTCCTCATACTCTTTGTCAAATCCATCAGAAAGACTTAATGTGTATACTTACAAAATACATCTGGTATCTCATCATTATTTACCATCTCCAATGCTACCATACTGTACTAAACTACTACCAAACTACTTGCATTACTGCAATAATGCATCTTCTTCTATCTTTGCATCCCAAAATATTTTTCTCATCACAGGAGCCAAAGTGATCCCTTTATATTCTTCAGTTTGATATTCTCCAGTGGCTATCTCTCTCATTCATCAAATGTCCAACGTGTACAATTACATGGAAAGCTACAAAATCTGGACCTGTATCCTCTCTAACTTCTCTTAATAACTCTTTCCATCACTCACTACATTCTTGTATCACCGGCCTCCTTACATTTTTCTAAATACATAAGTCATGCTTGAGTCCTTTGCACAGCTGTTCTTTCTACATGCAATGCTTTTCCATCAATGGGCCCTTTCGCCTTCAATTATTTGTTTCCACCACTAGAATGTAAGCTCAATCAGCATAGTGACTTGAAACTTTTTTGTTCACTGTGGTATCTTCAGGTCCTGGAAAAATATCTGACACACAGTAGGTAGCCAATACAAATGAATGAATGATGTTGCTGAACTTGAAATATTTTATTTGGATAAAATATTTTTTAATAAAGGTGAAGTTAAGAAAGGAAAAGAGAGGCATATGTAAGAATTAACTTTGAGAAGTCGAATGGGAAGTTTTCATTTTATGTCATTGCATTCCAATTCCAAGGTTGACAGTTATTGTCAGAGTTCTTTTTTACCTGTATAGTGCTATGTTCAAATTCTTAGAACATTTTATCTCACACAGTGGTAATGTCATACTCTGATTTATTGCATTATTATATTAATAATATTTAGTGGTTAATTAATAAAAATGTTTATATTTATATTTATAGCCCTTAACATACTTATCAAGTGTCAAGAATTGCACTGGACATTTCTTATGTACCACTTCAAAATCCTTTCATTCTACACTCATACTCTATCCACAGCTGTAGCAACCTGTTCCAGGCAGGTTTTGCATGCAGTGTCCTCAGGAAACTGTGCAGTCATGCATGTTCACCCTTATGATGTGAGGGTGAGAACACTAGAGGGTCAGCCCATTATCAGTAGAAAATTAGAACTTATGGATATGGGCTTTATTGCTTTGTCCCCTGGGGAGTCATTTCTTAGATGCATTTAATAAGGAAATTTATAACGGACAGGTGTAATCAAACATCAGTGACAAATGGCAGCGATGAACTCAGAAATGCACTTACATTGGCTGTCTTCCTTGTTTCACATCCACTGATTTGTTTTTCTGCTTTTTGCATACAAGAGTCTCTGTCAGTCTCTGTCTCAGAGAGAGCACAAACACATAACTGTATTTAGACACCTTAAAATATTAGTTTATTCCTTCAAAAACTCTATTAGGTATTATTACAATCTCTTTTAAAAAAAGAAAATAAGTCTCATCTTACAAAGTACAAAATAACATATCTTACAAAGACAAAAGAGTCAGAACTGAAGTCATTTTTTTCTGATTCAAAATCCGTATTTGTTCTGCAGGGTAGAAAGATCTAAACTAGTGAGCTAATAGGATTTTTGAACTCATTTTGAGCTAATAGGATTTTTGAACTCATTTTATGTTTTCATTTAAAAAGTAAAATGTACAGGATACAGAGTTGATAATGCACAATAATTAAGATTACAAGTCAATTCATCAGAAATAACTTCAAAAGAAAATATATAATGGGCCCATAAATAATTATAATGTGCCACCACAAGAATGTGAGGTCTTTCCCGTGTTATTTTGTAAATATGTGACACATACTTTGTTCATTTTATCTTTGTCTGCCTTGCAAAGTGCCTCTGTGAGGTTTATCTTTCTGGATTTGATGAGCAATCTCCCTTGCCCTCTGGTTACAGTTAGTTTCAGCTGGTGGGAGGCTTTGGCAGTAGAACATAGGGTGGGCTAGTGTGTGGACAGGGTATCTATTGCCGAGGTTCCTTCACTGCCTCCAGGAAACATCACAATCTCAATACACAGTTCTCTTTGACTTGCAGAAACCCTTCTAACCCATGCTCATTAAAGTTCGCCAGCCCTAGGGCACTGTTCCTCTCTGATAGTTCCCTTAACCTCACCCACAACTTTATAATTAGATGCTTTATTAAACTCCTCCAATGACCCCATTTCTGAGTGGGCCATCTGTTTCCTCCTGGGATTCTGGCTCATACAGGAGACAACAAAAATCATAAAAATATATATTCTTGAGAAAGAAATGGTTGAAAGTAATTGGAGACAAATTGTCCAACAGGGAGAGTGGGGGTAGGAATATAGTAATTATTAATGGGAATCAGTAGTCATATATTATAGAAGGGGGAAGGAAATAAATGTATTATTTATGGACCAGAGGGGGTCTCTACAGTATGATATGAGAAATGTGAAGGTATATAAACTAATTAACTAACAAACCAACTAAAATTCTTTGCTATGTATATTTTGTAAAATAAATGTATAGTCCAATTTTCAATGGTGTTGGTCATCAATTGACAGAATGTTCACTATAGTGAGTATCATATTTAACAAAATGTCAACCGTGACCTGTAGATTATATTGATTATATCCTTGATATAAACTGGCATTGGCACTGACCATAAAGATTTACTGTGAATTGTGTGGTTTGAAATTTGAAATCATTTTTATATGAAAAGCATTTCTCTTACTACATATAGGTTTACATTAAACAGGTTTTATTCTACATAGACTGTCCCACAAAATTGGAATTTAAAGTTAAATTTTATGGATATGAAACCATGAAATCTAATCTTAATAAAAAAATCAAAAACTCTTTCAGGACTAGAGACTTATATAGCTGTAGAATAGAAGATTAATGGAGTAGGAAGTATGAAGCACAGCTTACTGCATTTTCTTCCCCTTTTAGACATGGTGCTTGGCCTCCTATTACCTGGCAATTTTGTAATATCCTTCTTCACATTTCTTTTCTTATATAACTTTCACTTTGAAAATCATGTTTCAGGTTTATTATTTTTAGCAATAAATAACTCTCCAGATAACTTTCACAACTGGTGCAAGTTTTATGAGCCTTCCCTGATTGTGTTCTCTCCGATTCCTTTTAAATAGAGTCCTTACTCACAGGAAGATAGGACACTTTCAACTTGCATTTTACATAAGCATTTTTTCCTATTAGGTTACTTTAACAGGGGCCCAACATGTGTACACAATCAGACCAATTTTATAGATAGAACAGCACATCTACAATTCACATTATCTGAACCTTTTAAAGTTTGTCATTGCCTTGAAGAATTATTTCTTGCTGCTCCTTTTGCCCTATGATTGTTTTTTAATTTTATACTTTGGAAAAATAATTTACATGTAAAATTTCCTCTACATATTACAGCTTTGAGTGTTTCTTTATTAAAAATTATAACACACTTAAGGGAAAATATACAGAATAATTTATCGCAAAATGAATACCGATTTTATTTCCACCATGGACAAGAAATAAAACACTGCCAGTAACCCCCACCTCTCTCACTCCAAATAACCCTAATTTCTTCTTTCACTTGCTGTTCCTTCTCTCCCTTCCTAAAATGTTACAGTCATTCTAATTTTTACGCTAATCACTCTTTCCTTTTCTTTTAAATTGTACTCTCTAAACCCATTTTGGTAATCATTGTGGTTAAGTTTAATCTGTTTTTATTCTCAGTGTGTAACTTTTTTGCTCAATATTATTTTTGTTAGAGTCATGCATGGTATTGAAAATATTTATTTCCACAGCTGTATGACATTTCAAGTTTGAATATATTCTGTTTATTAGTACATAATGCCAACTTTTTTTCTTCCAAATGGTGGCATAAACATTCACTCTTATTAGCAGTGTAGGAAAGTTCCCTCTTTGTAATATGGCTCTGGGATTGACTTTGCAAATGAGATAAACTTGTGTATGATTTACCAGACGGAAGTAAGGCAGAAACCACTATTTCTGGAAAATTACAGCAGTTCTTCAGATCACCACGTTATACCCTTTTAGCTGTGCAATATCCCAGCCCATCCCCTACTTAGGCAAGCCATAATTAATAGCCATATTAGCTTCCTAAATAATTTTATAAAGCCTAATTAACATTGATGCCAAAACGAGAATAATGAACTAATATGTTTCATATACTGGCAGGGATGGTAGATGTGAAAAAGAAAAGATAACTTACGAGAGAATGAACAAAGAGAAAACACAGGAGCTGTGGCTGACTAGACATAATGAACTAAAGAAAGAGATTATTACTAATGATTTGGGGCCACAGGTCTTAAGTAGCTGAGAATATGGTGATATTATAATCATATACAAAAGTCAGGAGGGAGTATCTGTTGTGAAGTACAACATGTTTAGATTGAACATTTTGAATAATGTTAAGGAATCACAGGAGATCATAAGGAAACAAATAATAAAGACTGAAAATATAGAAGTTGATAGAGATCAGAGATGAAAAAATGGATTTGTGGATCACTTTGAAGGTAGTAATGCTTTTCACAGCAATCAGTATCTTACGGTTTAAAGAAATAGTGAAAACTAATCCTTTATATTCAGAATATCTACACACATTTATAAATGCAATATCTTATCTTATAGCTGTTATTATTTTTTGCAATCCTTCTAATCAGACAATTTCATAAGTGGTTTGTAGTACTCATGACACTAATATGTATCACATATTTGTGCTATCTCAAATAGCACAGATTCATAGATTGCCACTTTCTTGAAAAGGGAAGATGATGCCATATATATCGCTGGATTCCTAATGACATATGTAGTTAAAATTTATCAAATATCTATTTAGTTAAAGGGCACAATAAATAAATAGATAAGACATAAATAAATAAATGCAGTGGTACCATTATTCTGTGTGTAACTGCAAAGGCGAGTTCAACTTATATTAGGAATCTATACATATTTTTTCAGTTTTACTTACACCTTATTATATTAATTAGACTGTTACTGTGATTATTCAATAATCCAAATTTCAATGACTTCAATATGTATCTATTGTAAATCGCTAGCATAAATTATTAACATACTTTCTTTTTCCATTAACAATTTTTATCTCTTTGAAATCATTAGTGTTTCCCTCTCTGGTGAAGCGCATCTCCTGCCCTAGGGAAAAGCACTAAACCTCTTCCAGAAAAAATAGGAAGAATCCGAGATAAATATTCTAATGAAAATAGCAGTACTTCTGAATGCAATTATGATCAAATTTTCTAAGGACCATGGTTTCCCAGTGGAATTAAATTTTAAGTATAAATCTCCCCAATTTATATAGTAATAAAAGCGAATGAAGAGTCCTGGAAGACTGCCTTGCCCTTTAGAGCTTACAGTCAAATAAAAAGTTTCATTTAGGGAATCCGGTCAAGTGAAATGTCCTGAGAATCTAGAGATGAAAGTCTTCAGAGGCTCCTGGTGTGAGACAGAGCAAATATCCTTACACAAAATCAGACTACGTGTGACATTACTTTTTTTTTTTTCCTTTGAGAAAAGAAAAGCTCTATATTGCCAGTCAACTCACAAGGAAACAGGAGTAAAGGTCAAATCTATCTCTCCATGCTGATTTTAAGGCAATATTTTTATCAGTGATTGGTGGAAGGAAAGGGGAAGTCAGGAAAGTCTTTGGACAAGGGCAATTATGTCTTCATGCTACCTCATGGGGTGTATGTGTGAATTTAGCAGGATCTGATATGAAACATGCAGTAGAATTTCAGGCTGTGATGTCAGTATGCTCATTCTGCACAGACTCCAGGCAGCCATATTGGTTCCAGCTGAATTTGAACCAGTTCTTTTACCTCATAAACTGAGGGAGTTTCAGCATTTCAGCAGGTGGTTTCTTTTTCACTTTTTATTTTGTGGTTACGTAGCAGGTGTATATATTTACGGGGTACATGAGATGTTTTGATATAGGCATGCAATGTGAAATAATCACATCATGGAGCATGAGTTATCTATCCCCTCAAGCATTTTTCTTTAGTTACAAAAAATCCAATTACATTCTTTAGTTATTTTTAAATGTATGATTAAGTTATTATTGACTATAGTCACCCTGCTGTGCTATCAAATAGTAAGTCTTATTCTTGCTTTCTAACTATTTTTCATATCCATTAACCATCCTTATCTCCCCTCAACCTCACCACCCTTCCCGGACTCTGGTAATCATCACTCTACTCTCCATGTTCATGCATTCAATTGTTTTAAGTTTTAGACCCCATAAATAAGTGAGAACATGCACAGTTTGTCTGTGCCAGGTTTATTTCACTTAAAATAATGACCACCAGTTCCATTAATGTTGTTGCAAATGTCATGATCTCATTATTTTTTATGGCTAAATAGTACTCCATTATGTATATGTACCTTATTTTCTTTATCCACTCTATTGATGGACACTTAAGTTGCTACCAAATCTTAGCTTTTGTAAACAGTGCTGCAATAACCATAGGAGTACAGATAACTCTTCAATACACTGATTCCCTTTATTTTTGTTATATATTCAGCAGTGGGATTGCTGGTTTATATGATATCTGTATTTTTAGATTTTGAGAAACCTCCAAACTGTCCTCCATAGTGTTTATACTAATTTACATTCCCACCAACAGTGTACGAGGGTTCCCTTTTCTCCATATACTCATTAGCATTCATTATTTCCTGTCTTTTCGGTATAAGCCATTTTAACTGGGGTGAGATGAATATCTCATTGTAGTTTTTATTTGCATTTTGCTGAGAATCAATTATGTTGAGCACTTCCTCATATGCCTGTTTGCCATTTGTGTGTCTTCTTTTGAAAAATGTCCTTTCAAATATTTTGCTCATTTTTAAATTGGATTATTAGTTTTTTTCCCATAGAGTTGTTTGAGCTCCTTATACATTCTGGTTATTAATCCCTTGTCAGATGAGCAGTTTGCAAATATTTTCCCCCATTCTGTGGGTTGTCTCTTCATTTTGTTAACTGTATCCTTTGCTGGGCAGAAGCTTTTTAACTTGATGTGACACCATTTGTCCATTTTTGCTTTGGTTGCCTGTGCTTAAGGGGTATTGCTCAATATTTTTGCCCAGATCAATGTCTTAGAGATTTTCCCCAATATTTTATTATAGTAATTTCATAGTTGAGGTCATAGGTTTAAGTCTTTAATCCATTTTGATTTGATTTTTGCAAATGGTGAAACATAGGAGCCTCGTTTCATTCTTCTGCATATACATTGTTGTTGTTTTTAATCTGCTATCCTGAAAATTTAAGAATTTATGTTACTCATTGATGTCTTTAATTGTTTGGAGCATCATTTCAGTTCTTCCTATCCTACATACATTCCTCAATTATGAATATTAAGAGCAATGACAACTCTAGCTACTTCTTGCTGACTAGTGTTGCATTTGTGGGTCTAAGAAATGATATTTTAAAATATTTAATTGTAAACATTCATGTTTCCCAGGTTGTGGTCAGACAGGTGGGTCAGAGAACTCTTTTGCATATTGGGTAATCATCTGATGTACAGAAAATGTTGATTTAAAGAAAAACTGTGAAACAAACAGCAGGTATATAGGACTTGATGAAAAGGAAGAGAAATCCCAACACATACAAAATTTTAATTCCTAGCTTAAGTAATATTTCAAAAATACATCATTTTTCCTGATGAGATCCATGAAAACAAGGGTTTTAATATATTATTTCCAGATTTTTAAGAACAGACATGCAGGAACCAGAAAATGATTTAGGATTTAGTCCAGATTATAGGCAAATAATACAATCTCTAAAACAATAGTCAGAGTTGGAATCTAATAACAGATGTGTTTAAGTTTTCTTTTGAAATATAGTTTTTTTCTCCCTCCAATTTCTCGTTTTTACCACAGCAAATCACAATAGAAATAATTTGTGTATAAAATAAGTTTTAGTCTTATTATACCTGGCCTAATTATTTACATAAAGTGCAGCAAGAACAGCGCACTATAGGATCTTTGAAAGAAATTGCTTTGCTGGAAATTTTTAATAAGTGATCTTGGACTTTAAATGCTTTCAGGCTAGCTATACCAAAGATTTGTCATGAGACTGTGCCTGTAATACCTGTATGAGTGAGTGCATTCCTCTCTTTTTGAAGTCCTAAATTATCTTGAGGCTCTCAAGACTGTAAGAAAGTGCCATTTTTTAAATTTTTATTTTAAGTTCAGGGATACATGTGTAGGTTTGTTATGTAGGTAATTAGCATAGTACCTGATAGGTAGTTTTTCAATCCTCACTTTCCCCCAACTCTCCAAACTCAAGTAGACCTCAGTGTCTATTGTTGTCTTCTTTGTGTCCATGTGTAATCAATGTTTAGTTCCCACTTGAAAGTGACAACATGCAGTATATTTTTTTCTATTCCTGCATTTGTTTGCTAAAGATAATGGCCTCCAGCTCCATCCATGTTCCCATAAAGGATATGATCTCATTCTTTCTTACAGCTGTGTAGTATTCCATGGTGTATTTACACCACATTTTCTTTATCCAGTCTACCACTGATGGGTATTAGGTTGATTTCATGTCTTTGTTATTGTGAATAGTGCTGCAATGAACATATGAGTGCATGTGTCTTTATGGTAAAACATTTTATATTCCTTTGGGCATATACGCAGTAATGGGATTGCTGGGTCAAATGGTAGTTCTGTTTTTAGCTCTCTGAGGAATTGCCAGACTGCTTTCCACAACAGTTGAACTAATTTACACTCCCACCAACAGTGTTAAAGTGTCCATTTATCTGCAAATTTGCCAGCATCTGTTATTTTTGGACAAATAATAGCCATTCTGACTAATGTGAGATGGTATATCATTGTTGTCTTAATTTATGTTTCTCTAATGATTAGTGATGTTAAGCATTTCTTTCAGGTACTTGTTGGCTGCGTGCTTGTCTTTTGAAAAGTGTCTGTTCATGTACTTTGCTCACTTTTTAATATGGTTGTTTGTTTTTTTGCTTATTGATTTAAGTTCTTAATGAGGTTATATATTAGATTTTTGTTGGCTGCACTGTTTGCAAGTATTTTCTCACATTGTGTAGGTTGTCTGTACTCTGTTGACAGTTTATTTTTCTGTGCAGAAGCTCTTTGGTTTAATTAGGTTCTATTTGTCAATTTTAGTTTTTGTTGTAATTGTTTATTTTTTTTTGATAGGGAGTCTCACTCTGTCACCCAGGCTGGAGTGCAGTGGCGCGATCTCGGCTCACTGCAACCTCCGCCTCCCACGTTCAAGTGATTCTCTTGCCTCAGCCTCCTGAGTAGCTGGGATTACAGGCATTCACCACCATGCCCGGATAATTTTTGTATTTTTAGTAGAGATGGGGTTTCACCATGTTGGTCACGCTGGTTTGAAACTCCTGACCTCGTGATCCACCTGCCTTGGCCCCCCAAAGTGCTAGGATAACAGGAATGAGCCACGACGCCCAGCCTGTAATTGGTTTTGATGACTTTGTCATGAAATCTTTGCCAGGGACTATGTCCAGAATGTTATTTCCTGGGTTATCTTCCAGGATTTTCATAGTTTTAGGTTTTACATTTAAGTCCATCTTTAGTCCATCTTGAGTTGACTTTTGTATATGGTATAATGAAGGGGTCTGGTTTCAATCTTCTGCATATGTCTAGCCAGTTATCTCAGAACCATTCATTAAAAAAGGAGTCCCATTGCATTCTTTTCTTACTCAAGGACAGAAACTTTGTACGGAAACTGTGTAGAGAAGGTAGCAGGTCAATCATTTTAATGGGCTTTTTATCAGCTCTATAAAGTCAACCAATTCCAGAAAGAGATCTAGTCATATCTGAAAATATGCCATTCCAAAGTCTTGGTAAAACCATCAATGTCTCCACTTGAGCCATGTTAAAAAGAAAATAGATTCTTATTGAATGTATACAAATAATGACATTGTCATAAATTAAGAATATTCACAAATAGCCTCCAAATTCTGGAGCAACCAAGAAGAGAGTAGGATAAATATTTCAAATTTTTGTTCACAAAATTATATTTTATCTAATTTGTTTCAAGTTAGAAATGGATCAAAAGAAAAGAGGGTTTTTTTGACTCTGGAAAACAAAACATAAGGAGAATCAGCAATATTTCAAATAAAAACTTTATTAAAAAAATCTTTTTAGTCCTGTATCAGTTCAGAACCATGTAATCAACTCGTGTTCTACTCATTGTCACATAAGTAATCTTCACGCAGCTTTTTAATTAGAGTCCTGGAAGTTCTTTCCTAGTCCAATGGTATGATCTCCAAAGCCATCAGAAACCTGTACTTGTATTTGTCAGAATCCTTTCCATAAAAAGTAATTTGGATTATACTTTATTGGAAGTGATTTTAGAGAAGGATTTAAAACAATAACTGGGGATGACAAATCTTTATTAACTGGAATTCTGGAATACTGCTGAGTCAAGAACTGTATTCCTTCTGTTATTTATTTATTTATTGCTATCTCCTCCATCAGTCTGGATTCCATCAAATAGTGCTTAGCACTATTTTTTTTCATAATTTATAATCAGTCTTGCTGTAAACCATTTGAATTCTCAAAGCATTGTCACATTCTGGGGTCAACTCACATTACCATCAAAACAGTTAAAACTCTCCTTTTTATAGTGCATTATAATTCACAGATTCTTAACAGTGAAGGCCGAATCTGGTGGCTAATGCCTATAATCCCAGCACTTTGGGAGGCCTAGGTGGCAGATCATTTGAGCCCAGAAGTTTGACATCAGGCCTGGGCAACATGGCAAAACTCCATCTCCACAAAAAATACAAAAATTAGATGGGTGTGGTGGTGCACACCTGTGGTCCCAGCTACTTGCGAGGCTGAGGTGGGAGGATTGCTTGAACCTGGGAGGTTGACGCTGCAGTGAGCTACGATCATGCCACTGCATTCCAACCTGAGAAACAGAGCCAGCCTCTGTCTCAAAATAAAGTTATATTTTAATTTTAAAAACAACTTTATGCAACAAATATTATTGTCAGGCTTTGAAATGTAGAAAATTGAAGAAGATAAAAATAATAGACAGCAATTTATAGAATGAGGACTCCATTGCAGAATTATTTTTCTCTCACTCATGTATGTTTTTTTTGTTTGTTTGTTTTGATATCTGCCTTTCTTTGTTCTTTAGAAACATTTTTTTTCTGTTCTTTAGTTCAATGACAGAACACAGCCATGATCAGCCTCGTAATTCTCACTTTCATGACAGGTTTCTACTTACTGATCCAATACCTTTTTTTCCCATCACGTATACTATAACCACAATGTATAGATGATTATTATGCCTCACAGAATAAAAACTACATTTCCTAACCTCCAATTTTTTATAAGTAGTAGCCAAACAAATATAAGCAAAATTCCTTCAGGAATAAGTCATAAGCATTTGAGGTTTTACTTCATTTCTCCTTCCAACTAAGTGAAATGCAGAAATGATGGCTGGAGCACTAGCAGCCACCTTGAGGGATGCCATCAACAAGAAAGTGGAAATCAGTGCTAAGGATGGCAGAGTAGAAAGACAGAAGGAACTCAGTTCCCTGATTACCATGGAATCACCAAACCAACGGTAGAATACATAACTCTAGACATCTTCAAAATGTGAGGTGACTATAAGCTTCAACTCACCTAAGCCCCCATAGTTGAGTTTCTTCTATTAACAGTCAGCCTTAACACTAATTTACACAGCATGCTATATTCAAATTCTCAAAGACTGATCAATCTTTCAAGTTCTACACCCCATAAACAACTGGTTGACAGAACTTTGACCAGTTTCCTGTCATTTTACCAGTCAACTTTGTATAAAAGGGTAGAATTATATTTTACAAAAGTATTCTTTTCATGATAATCATATGGATGGAGATGGCAATAATTCTCAGAAAATTTGGGGAATAAGCATGCAAATAAAAAAGATGACCAAGACAGCTTTTCCAAAATTTCCCCTTCCTGTGAAAGACTTTTTGTCCCTTAAGTATCTTCAACTCTGTTTTTAGAAGTCAACTGTGGTTAATATAAATAAATGACAATTGTGGGTGAAATACTGGATGCCTTTAAACCATAAAATGTATTATTGGTGGCCCAAATCAAGATACTAAGAATTAAATTGTAACTGTTGTCTGATCTTTTCTGTTTGCAGTGTAAAATGAGAAATAGTACATTGTTTTAATTCTTCTAATAAATATGCCATGTTGGATTTAAAGCCTGTGCATAACATGAATAATAAATATGTTATTGAGAAATGACTAGAACTTGATATTATAGTCTTGACAGAAACATGTGACACATTAACTTTTCTTTATAAGTTTATACAATTGTCTTGACAAAGCACCTATTTCTGAATGCAAGGTGGCTTGTTAATAAAACTTTTACAACCATCGTTTTGTCATAAAGATCAAAGAAAATGTACATTTACTTAGCAGATGTTGCAATCATAACATTTCATTGGTTTGTATCATACCAAAGTTGCTTAATTTAAATTGATAACTTTTTTATCACTTTGTGAAAAACAACATATATTTAGGAGTGAAATTTAAGAATATTCAGACAAAATAGAAGACTAAGCTAATCTAAAAATATTCAGGACAGTTTTTAGGTTCTACATATAATTCCCTCAAAAGACTGAATATTAAGATAGGCAGAGTAAGAATAAAATTACTTCTTCCCAGTCTTTTTTTTTTCTTTTGTGAAAACATGGGCTCTATCTCTACAAAGTAAAAGAGGTTAGAAAATTGAGGTTAGAAAATATGCAAAATTGTTCATGATAAGGAAATTTTAAAAATCATATTAACATCTTAGGATATAAGATGGCAGGCAGTTTGATATACGGAGAAATTCTCAGGGTGAATGTAGAAAAACAATCGCTAGTACATTTCTTTATTAAGTAGCTATGACTTCGGGCAAGCAACTCAGTCTTAGTACATGTTGGTTTTTTCATGCAAAATAAGAGTTAATTTGACCTCACATGAACTGTGTGAAAATAAAAATTTTCTAACAGGCGATGCATTAAAAAAGTTTTGAAGTTTCCAAGAATGGAGATATTCTATCACATAGAAATTAATCATAATTTGTTATGCTTAGAAAAGTGAAATATTTCAAATATTTTGCCTGCAATTCAGAGAATTTCACACAGGCTGGATTTATGTCACTAAAGTCTGAGGAATCTTTTTTAAATTTATATTTTCCTACCCAATAGATACATAGTATGGCTACTATGAAGTTTCTGTTTTTCTTTTGTTTTGTTTTTTAATTTAGTAACCCTGAGTAGAACACGCTTTATGAAACTCAAAAATTATAAGAAAAATTTTACTGTAATTATAAGAAATCTTTCACTGTAAAAGAAAGCAAATAGTTTCTTATTTTACAATTACAGTTTTAGTTTTCTTCTATATTTTCAGGGATTTAAGAGAAATTCCTAAAAACTTTGAGATGTACCAGACTGGGAATAATACTAATACATAATCTGAATATAGCATGGTGTTGTAGAAAATATGAATATGATCTACAGTATAAAATTTAGGAGGAAATTAAATTAGACACCTAATTCAGAATGATAGTTGAAACATACCATTTTAAAGAGACCAGATTCTCCCTATCAAATAAACACAGGAAATATGTATGCTTATTATATATGTGTATGTACACACACACACATATACATATATATGTGTGTGAATATATATACATATATATATGTAAATATATATATTTACGTATCTGCCTTAGTTCTTGGGTGACCAATTTACCTGGTTTGTTTTCAACTTTCCCTGTTTAGCACTAAAATTCCCATGTCTGGAAACTTTTTTAGTCCCAGAGTAATTATATAGTTTGCCTGGGGATGTCATGATTTTAAAACTAAGTCCTATTTTCTGAGAAAACCTTCAGTCTCAGTCAAGCCAGGACACTTGGTCACACTACTTAGTTCATTGGTGAAGGTGCGCTACAGCTGAAGGAAGGGAAGAGAAAAATCAGTGGAGGAGGGATATAAATATGTGCTAGGCCCAGACCTACTGCTGGGCATGGGGCAGGATAACTGAGGGGGTCCCCAACTGGAAGATTCAATGACAGACATTATGCATGCTCAAAACTGAAGATTATTCATAAAGACAGAGATAACATCCTACTCTCACTCACACACTAGACTAACAAAAGTACAAATAACAACTTTAAAATATATATATTTCTGAAAAAGAGGCAAGAGCAGAGTGAAAAAAATTCCAATGGTGCAGGAAAAGGGGTAAACATTTGTAAAAAGCCAGATCTCAATCTAAACACAGGTGATACTAAAAATCTGTGGCCTGTAGTACAGAAAGAGTATACATGGAAAAGCCAAATTACAAACACAGCTCAATTCCTGAATGGATTGACTCAACTCCCCAAAATGAAGTTCAGAATAAAGGAAAAGCATGTTAATTTTCAAGTATACAAATTGTCTTCCTCCACAAGATGTCTGGGTTTCAATTAAAAATTATAAGGCATATAAAGAAGTAATATTTTTAAAAAACCTTATTGTCAAGAGACTAATTGTAACAGTATTACAAAGTAATTGTAAAAGTATTACAAAGTAATAAACAGAAGCAAATTGAAACATGACATGCATTTTGGGACTCTCAAACAGAAAACTTTAACTAACTATGATCAATACTTAAATCTTCTGTAGAAAAACAGGACAGTGTGCATTATTGAATGGGTAATTTCAACAGAGAGATGGAAAGTTTAAGAATGGATCAAATGGAAAATGATGGGGATAAAAATAAACAAATAGTAACAAGTATGAATATCTTTGCCTTTGGTGGCTCATCAGTGGATTTGAAACATGTAAAGCAAAATTAGAGAATTTGGAGACAGCTCAACAGAAATTGTCTAAACTAACACACGTAGTGTACCAAAAAAAAAAGTGAAAAAAGAAAAATAAAGTAGCCAAGAGTTTGGGAAAGCATCAGATGATTTAATTTTGGAATACTTGGAATTCCTGAAAGAAAATACAGAGAAAACAGGACAAATAAAACATTTATAGAACTAACAATTTTCCAAAATTAATGACAGATATAAAGGAAGCATATTAGATTCCCTTTCCACTCCCCTGCCCCCCTACATGTACATATCATATTCAAACTGCTAAAATCAAAAATGAAAATAGTATCTTCAAGGCAGCCAAAGACAGAAGACATTATAGAGGACCAAACTAAGAATTACATAGCAAGGCCAGGCGCAGTGGCTCATGCCTATAATTTCAGCACTTGGGATGTCATGGCGGGCAGATCACTTGAAGCCAGTAGTTCGAGACCAGCCTGAGCAACATGGCTAAACCCCGTCTCTACTAAAAATACAAAAATTAAGCAGGCATGGTGGTGCAGGCCTGTAATCCCAGCTACTCGGGAGGCTGAGTCACAAGAATTGCTTGAACTGTAAGAGGCAGAGGTTGCAGTGAGTTGAGATCATGCCACTGCACTGCAGCCAGGGTGACACAGCAAGACTCTGTCTCATAGGAAAAAAAAAAAAACTTTGCATAGCAGATTTCCCTTTAGAAACTGTAAAAGCTAGAAAACAATGTAGTAGCATCTAAAAGTGCTAAAAGAAAATTAGTCAACCAAGAATTGTATAACCAACATAAAGATTGTTCATAGAGGAAAGCAAAATGATAAATTTTCAGCAAAAAATAAAAGAGTGAGATAAAATTTATTGCCAGCAGATCTGCTCTGAAAGAACTTTTTAAAAAAATGTTTACAGAGAAGGAAAAAGATACAAAACAAAAGCCTGTACTCATATAAAAAACTTAAAATTGCTGCAAATCAAATAAATAAAGGTAAATATAAAATTAATTTTGTTTTGTTTTAACTATTCTAAGTAGTTTACTTTTTAAAGCAAAAATAATAGCAATGTATTGCATGTTTATAACATGTGTAAAAGTAAAATGTTTTAAAATAATAGTAAAAAGAATAAGAAGAAAGATGTAGGAGTATACTATTGTAACTTTCACTATAGTGGAGCAGTGTATTTTTTCAAGACTGATCATTTACTTGTCAATATTAAGACAACCACTAAATTTTTTAAAAAGAAGCAAACATATAAAATATTATATGAAAACAATAAATGAAAATAGTGGATTTAATATGGAATCATAAGAATACTCAAAATAAGTCAGAAATACAGAAAAGATATAAACTTTTATCAACACAGTATATTTTAATCCAGCCATATTAACAATCACTTTAAATGTGAATGTTTTAGAAACTCCAGTGAAAACATACATATTGTGAAATGTATAAAAGGCAAGATCCAACCACATGATATCTTCAGGAAAATCACATTAAATACCAGTTGCAGAGGTTAAAACTAAAAGAATAAAAGTAACTCATGTAAACATTAACTAAAGAAAAGCTGGAGTAAATATGTAAACTTCAGGCAATGTAAATTTCAGAACAAGAAAGATTATCAAGGACAAAAGTGGACATTGATTAATGATATGAGGTCATCTCCAAAATGATGTAATTATTCTAAATGTGCATGAATTTAACAGAGTCCACCAATGCAGTACCTCTCAAACAGACATGTAACGTTCATTAAAATGGACCATATTCTCACTCTTAAAATAAGTCTTAACATATATATAAGAATAGAAGTCATACAAAGTACAGGTTCAAATAACACTGGAGTTAAACGAGAAATAAATAATAGGAAAATACCCAGAAAACTTCCAAATATATGAAAAATTAAACAATACACATCTAAATAATCCAAAAGTCAAGGAGGAAGTGAGAAGCAAAATTTAAAAGTATTTGTAAATGAATTAACATAAGAATACAACATATTAAAATTTACAAGATACTGCTAAAGCAATTCTTAGATGAAAATTTTTACCATTAAATGCTTGTATTAGAAAATGAGAAATGTTTTATAAGAGTAAGCTAAGTTTCTATCATAAAACTCTAGAGAAATATTAAAATGAAATGAAAAATTCAGGGGAAATCATGAAGGTGATATCAGAATTCAAGAAAATTGAGAATAGAGAAAATCAATTTTAAAAATCTGCCTCTTTTAAAAAAATCAATAAAGTTTATATTTTTCTATGAACATTTATCAAAAAGTAGAAAAGTCAAAACTACAAATATTAAGAATAAAAAAGGAAACATTACTACTTATGTCATTATCATTAGAAGTACAGAAAAGACATTCAAAGAATAGCTCTATGCCTTTAATTTTTTTAACTTAGATGAAAAGCACAAACTGTTTGAAATCATAACTGACATGGCTCACCTAAGAAGAAATAATCTTTATCTCTTGTAAATAAATAAAATTTTTACTTAATAATCTTTCCTTGAATTAAATCTAAGATTCAAATGGTTTCACCAGAAAATGCTACCAAAGACTTAAAGAAAAAATAATACTAATCCTCCACAAATTATTTAGAATATAAAAGAGATGACACCTCCCAACACATTTTATGTGTCCAAAATTATGTTGATATTAAAATAACACAGACATAACAAGAACTAAAATCTATTATAGCTTATGATTATAAATTCAAAAATTCTCAAAAACAGCTAACAAATCAAATATCATATCATATAAAATAGATAATACAATAAGACTGAGTGATACATAGTTTAGGAATGCAAGGCTGGTTCAACATCTAAAAATCAATTTTATTCATCATATCAACAGACTACAGGAAAAAAATAATTTTCATAGATAAAGTGAAAAATGTAACTTTGGGAAATTCAACATACATTCATGATCAAACACCCACAAACAAGGAACAGCAGGAATATTCCTCAATCTGATAAAGAATTTCTGCAAAAATCTACAGCTACATCATATTTAATGATCAAATATTAAACACTTCCTACTTAAGATCAATAAAAAGGCACACATCTACTCTCAAAGCTCATTATTAATCACTGCCATAAAGTCCTAACAAGTGTAAGAGAACAAGAAAAATAAAAGTATCAGGATCAGAAACAACAAGAACAAAAACAAATTCCCTATTTGCCAACAATACAACATTTTTCTGTAAAAATCCCAAGCAATCTACCAAAAACACCTTAAAATAAGTGATTTTAGCATTGTCACAGAATACATTATCAATATTAATCTAAATAGTATTTATAATTCAAGCAAAGAAAAATTATAACCAGACATAAATAAAACAGACTATGTATAATAGCATCAGAAAACACAAAATACAGATGCTCTTGTACTTATCATGGGATTATGTCCCAATAAACACATTGTAAGTTGAAAATATCCTAAGTGGGAAACACATTTAATCACATTTTTTGTAGTTTTGTGATTATTTTTCCAAGATGGGAATTAGAGGCTTTTAGCATGCCTCAGCCACTTGGATATAGCAAGATAGTGGATAAAAATAGCTTTAATTCAAATTAGAAAATGAGACCATCAGAATTGTGAAGGACACTTCAGATACCAGAAATGATAACATGAACAAACAGCCTCCATGACAGCAGCGGGCTGATAAAAGTTAGTGAAAGTCCAATACACAAGAGGGGAAGAGAGCTTTCCTCTGTGACTCACCTTTCCACTAGGGATCCAAACAACCTAGGCCAAGGGAGAGCGCTTTGTTTCTCCCAAGCCCTGAAGCTAACTTGGGGAAAGAATATTGTGAGGAAAAGACACTGAGCAAAGCTGCAGGCATTTGCCATTTTCCTAGATCTAAGATGAATAGTAAGATGCTATTTTAAATTCAGAAACATACAAACACAGCCATTCTTCCTTAACCAACAGCAGGGCCACCAGGCATTTTAGTCACAGGAGAAGAGATTGGAGTACCTGCTCTAGAGCAGAGTAGAAGCCTCAACAGCTAGAACTGTTGAAAGTACCACCACAGTAGGCACTGGAATTCTGCTCTTTCCTTTTGCAGGTCAGGGCACAAGGAGAGGTTCCACAGGTGGATCTCTTCTGGATGATAAGCATTGCACCCAAGGCCAGCTTAGTAACATAGAGGCAGCTAGAGAGAAAGGTCAGATTCTGTACGAAGGGAACCTCATTAGGCTAACAGCGACTTCTCAGTAGAAGCCTTACAAATCAGGAGCGATCGGAGAGAAGCCTTACAAATCAGGAGAGAATATTTTTCAGCATTTTTAAAGAAAATTAATTCCAACTGAAACTTTTATAGCTTTCCAAAATGAACTTAATAAAACATCAAAGAAAATCTTTTCGAGACAAGCAAACACTAAGGGAATTAGTTACCACTAGACCAACCTTACAAGAGAGCCTTAAAGAAGTTCTAAACATGAAAATGAAAGAACAATACCTACTACCACAAAAACATACTTAAGTACAGAGCTCACAGACACTATAAAGCAAATACACAATAGAAACTACGAGGCAAACTGCTGACAACTTCAGGATAGGATCAAAACCTCACACATCAATATTAACTTTGAATGTAAATGGTCTTAATACCCAACTTAAGAGGTACAGAGTGAAAAGATAGATTAAAAAAACAAGACCCATTCATCTGCTATCTTTCAGAGAACTATCTCACACATAACAACACCCACAGGCTTAAAGGGTTTGAGAAAGATCTATCATGCAAACAGAACACCAAAAAAGAGATGAAGTTGCTATTCTTATGTCAGATAAAACAGACTTTAAACTAACAATGGTAAAAATGGACAATGAAAGCCATTACATAATAACAAAGGGTAGAATCGAATCAGAGGACTTGAAATACATATTCTAAATATCTATGCATCTGAATAACTATTCTAAATATATATGCATCCAACATTGGAGCACCCAGATTCTTAAAACAAGTACTTCTAGTCCCACGAAAACACTTAGCCCCCAAATAATAGTGGCAGACATCAAGACCCTACTGAGAGTGTTTGATCATTGAAGCAGAAAACTAATAAAGAAATTCTGGACTTAAATTTGACACTTGACAAATTGGACCAAATAAACATCTGCTGAATACTCCATCCATCAACCGCAGAATATATATTCTTCTTCTCATGCGCACACAGAACAACTCCAAAATCAACCAAATGCTTGGCTATAAACCAAATCTCAGTAAGTTAAAAAAGATCATACCAAACATACTCTCAAACGACAGTGAAATAAAAGCAGATATCAATACCAAGATCTCTCAAAATCATACAATTACATGTAAAATTAAACAACTTGCTTCTGAATGACTTTTGGGTAAATAATGAAATTAAGGTGGAAAAAAATTCTTTGAAATAATTGAAAACAGAGACACAAGATACCAATACCTCTGGGATTCAGCAATAGCAGTGTTATGAGACAAGTTTATATGACTAAGTGCCTAACTCACAAGTTAGAAAGACCTTAAATTAATGATCTAACATCACACCTAAGAGAACTACAAAAACAAGAACTAAACCTGAATATAGCAGAAGAATATAAGTAAAATTAGAGCAAAACTGAACAAAATTGAGACACAAAAATACAAACAAAGAATTAAGGAAACCAACAGTTGGTTATTTGAAAGGATAAATAAGATTGATTTACTTCTAGCATTCCCCTAAATAATTAGAAAAAGGCAAGCATGTCCACTCTCACAACTCATATTAAACATAGTTCTGGAAGTCCTAGCCAGAGCAATCAGGCAAAAAGAAGAAATAAAAGGCATCCAAATAGGAAAAGAAAAAGTCAAACAATCTCTGTTTGCTTACAATACTACAATATTATTCCATAGCTAAAAAATTCTAAAAACTCTGCCAAAAGGTTATCAGAACTGATCAACGACTTTAGTACAGTTTCAAAATACAAAATCAATGAACAAGAATTAGTAGCATTTCTATACATCAATAATGTTCAATCTGAGAGCCAAATCAAGAATACAATCCCATTTACAATAGCCGCAATAAAATAATATAGAATCCCTAGGAATACATCTAAACAGGGTGATAAAAAATCTGTACAAGGGGAACTGTAAAATACTGCTAAAAGAAATTATAGATGAAATGAAGAAATGAAAAAATCTCTCATGTTCATGGATATAAATAATCAATATAGTTAAAATAACCATACTGCCCAAAGCAATCTACACATTCATTTCAATTTCTATGAAGTTACCAATGTCATTTTTCACAGAATTAGAAAAAAAAAGACCATGTTAAAATTTATATAGAACCAAAAAAGAACGTGAATTGACAAAGCAATCCTAAGCAAAATGAACAAACCCAGAAGAATCACATTACCTAACTTCAAACTATACTATTATGCTATCATAACCAAAACAGCATGGTACTGGTACAAAAGCAGACACATAGATAATGGAACAGAATAGAAAACCCAGAAAAAAAGCCACACACTTACATTCACTAATTTCAACAAAGATGACAAAAATAAGCAATGGGGAAAGGACTCCCTATCCAATAAACGGTGCTGGGATAGCAGGTAGCTATATGCATAAGAATGAAACTGGACACCTACATTTCATCATATGAAAATTAACTCAAGAGAGATTAAATAATTAACTGTTAGACTTCAAACAATAAGAATCCTAGAAGAAAATCTAGGAAACACTATTTTTTGTTTTTTGCCTCGGCAAAGAATTTAGGACTATGTCTTTAAGAGCAATTACAGCAAAAGCTAAAATTGACAAGCGAGACCTAAATAAATTAAAGAGCTTCTGCACAGCAAAAGAAACTATCAACAGAGTAAACAGCCTACAGAATGGAAGAAAATATTAACAAGTCATGCAACTGACAAAAGTCATAAACAATTTAACAAGCAAAAAACAATAAAGACCATTAAGAAATTGGTAAAAAATATAACCAGAAACTTTTCTTAACATATATAGTCAGCCAACAAACATGAAAAAATCCTCAATATTAATACTCATTAGACAAATAAAAATTGAAGCCACAATCAGACAATATCTCACACCAGTTAGAATGGCTATTATTAAAAAATCAGTAAACAACAAATGCTGGAGAGGCTGCAGAGAAAAGGGAATGCTTATATGTAAATTGGTTCAGCCACTATGGAAAGCAGTTTGAAGATTTCTCAAAGAACTTAGAACTACAAGCTGGGTGCAATGGCTCACACCTGTGATCCCAACACATTGAGAGGCTGAGGTGGGTGAATCACTTGAGGCCAGGAGTTCAAGACCAGCCTGGTCAACTTGGTACAACCCTTTCGCTATCTGGGTGTGGTGGTGCACAACTGTAATTCCAGCAACTCAGGAGACTGAGGCATGAGAATCGTATGAAACCAAAAGGTAGAGATTGCAGTGTGCCAAGATTGTTCTACTGCACTCCAGCCTGAGTAGCAGAGCTAGACTCTATTTCAAAACAAACAAAATCAGAACTACTTTTTGACCCAGCAATCCTACTATTGAGTACATATTCCAAAGAATTAAATTGTTCTACCAAAAAGGCACATGGACTCATACATTCATTGCAGCACTACTCAGAATAGCAAAGACATGGAGTCAACCTAGGTGCCATCAATGATGGACTGCATAAAGAAAATATGGTACATATACATGATTGAATATGTATGCAGCCATAAAAATGAACAAAATTCTGTCCTTTGCAGCAACATGGATTCATCTGGAGGCCATTATCTTAAGCAAATTAACACAAGAACAGAAAATCAAATACCACCTTCTTACTTATAAGTAGCAGCTAAACAATGGATTCTCATGGCCGTAAAGATGGCAGCAATAGACACTGGATTACTAGAGGGAGGAAAGAGGAAGGGAGTAAGTGTTGAAAACATAACTACTGGGTACTGTGCTCACTACCTGGGTGATGGAACCATTTGTACCTTCAATGTCACCATCACACAATATACCTAGGTAACAAACTGACCATGTACCCTCTCAATCTAAAATAAAGTTTGAAATCATAAAATTAAAAAATTTTTAAGCCCAGCACTTTGGAAGGCTGAGGCAGGCGGATCACCTGAGGTCAGGAGTTCAAAACCAGCCTGGCCAACAAGGCGAAACCCCATCTCTACTACAAAATACAAAAATTATTTGACTGTGGTGGCAGGTGCCTGTAATCCCAGCTACTAGAGAGGCTAAGGCAGGAGAACCACTTGAACCTGGAAGGTGGAGTTTGCAGTGAACCGTGGTTGTACCACTGTACTCTAGCCTGGGCTACAGAGAGAGATTCCATTAAAAAATAAATAAATAAATAAAAAATAAATCTAATACCTGTCAGGTTTATTGCATTTGTGCAGACTGAATTAATATGGTATTAATTAATATGTTATGAATAAGCTTGACAGACTTGAAAACAAAAGAAAATGCATTTAGTTCACTAACCTACCAAACATCATAGCTTAGCCTAACCTATTTTAAACATGGTTAGAAGATACACATCAGCATTAGGTTGGGCAAAATCACCTAACAAAAATCCTATTTTATAATAAAGTGTTGAGTATCTCATGTAATTTATTGAATGTTGTACTGAAGATAAAAATAAAATAGTTGTATGGGTATTTGACCTACAGTTTCTACCAAATGTCTATTGCTTTCACATCATTCTAAAATCAAAAAAAAATCTTAAGTTGAAATGTTGTTAAGTCAGGTAATATTTGTACTTATGTATAAATCTTCCAAAACATGTGCAAGTACTATATGCTGAAAAAGACAAAGTGCTGATGAAATGTAATTTTAAAATACTTAAATAAATGAAGAAATATGCTGAATTTATGGATCAAAACTAAATATTCTGCTTTCAGTTCTCCACAAAGTGATCTAAACATTTAATACAATTACAATCAAAGTCCTAGCAGACTTTTTTTATATAGAAATAAACAAGATAGTTCAAGAATTGTATGGAAAGACTAACAAACTAGTGTACCCAAAACAATATTGAAAAATAAAAATAAAGTTGAAAGACTCACATTACAAAATATCCAGAAAATATAAAGCTGCAATGGTCAGAACAGTATACTATTGGGAAAAGGATATGAATGCACATCAGTGGAACAGAACTGAGAGTGCAGAAACACCCACATATGTCATCAGTTGATGTAAAACAATAGTGCAAGGGAAGTTCAAAAGGAAAGTTTGTTCTTTTCAACAAATTGTGCTGACACACACATATATGTAGAAGAGTTAATTTCAAGATACACTTCACAACTAGTACAAATTTAACTAAATTTGATCATAGGCATAGATATAAAATTTAAAACTCTATGATATTTAGAAGAAAATATAGAATAATATCTTTAAGCCATGGTTAGCTACAGAATCCCCTGACAGGAAAAAACATGTGACACCCCCACCCCCCCCAAAAAAAAAACTTGCTAATTTTCATTTTATCAAAATTAGAACATTTTGCTCTTCAAAATATATTATTAAGAAAATGATAGCTGGGCCCCCCAGGCATGGTGGCTCACACCTGTAATCCCAGCACTTTGGGAGGCCAAGGCGGGCAGATCACCTAAGCCCAGGAGTTCAAGACCAGCATAGGAAACATAGGTAAACCACATCTCTGCAAAAAAATACAAAAATAGTGGGGCATGGTCATGCACGCCTATAGTTCCAGCTACTGGAGGGGCCTGAAAGGGGAGGATTCCTTGTGCCCAGGAGGCGGAGGTTGCAGTGAGCCATGATACCATGAACATACTGCTTCAATCCAGCCTCAGTGACTAAGCAAGACACTGTCTCAAACAAACAAGGAAAATAAAAAGACAAGCCATAGACTGAGAGAAAATATTTTGCAAACCCATTTGACAACATCCCTCCATGGGAAGAAGATTTGAGTAAATATTTACCAAAGAAGATAAATGGATGTCAAATAAGCACATAAAAATATGCTCAACCTCATTATTAAGTAAATGCAAATAGAACCATAATTAGAATTTCTAAATTAAAAATGTCTGACAATACTAGGTGCTGATTAGGGTGCAGAACTACTTAAGCTTTCACACATTGCTGATGATCATTTAAAATGATAGAGATATTTTGGAAAATAGTTTGGCAGTCCTTGTAACAGTAATCATGCATTTACCATATGACCCAGCAATCCCACTTGTAGGTATTTTTCATACAAAAACCTGTGCATGAATTTTTTTTAGAGATATTTTATTTATAATACCCCAAACTGGAAACAACTAAGACGTCTTTTACATGTATGGATTAACAAACTATGAAACATCCATGTAATCAGATAGTATTCCACAAAAATGGTATAATTTAATTTATTGAATCTCACAGAAACATGGATGAATCTCCATGCATTATTGTTAGTGAAAGAAGCCTATTTCAAAAGTATATATTGTCTATCATTGTATTATTATGACATCCTTTTAAAGCTGAGCTATAACTTTAGGAAGCAGGTTTGTTTTTACTGGATATTTTGTGTGAACGGAGGTATTGTCCACAACAGGGAAAAAGATAGTTGTGATAGAAATGTTCTATATTTTGACTGTAACTGTGGTTATATAATTGTAACTCTTTTCAAAACTTATGGAAGTGTACACTTAAAATGATTAATTTTACTGTATGTAAATTATACCTTAATTAACAAAATGGCAATAAACAAAATTTTTTTGGAAAATTTTTGGTCCAAATGTTTTTCTTTTTCACCTACTTGTTGTAGTTGTAATTTTTAAAAGTTTTCAGCATCTAATTACTATTTAAATGATAGCATTTTAGCTACCTCCAGATGCTATAATGTTCCTTTTGTGTTATCTTTTGAAGTCTCTGCTCCTTCATGTTTTGCTGTCCTCTTATCTCATGTTGTTTGTTTGTTTGTTGTCCTTTCTCCTTCTTGTTTGTTCTGCCTGGGTAATGCCCTTGTTTCTCTTGTTTCCTAACATAGATAAAATCTTATCATTAGAGTCACTGATGGCATGTCTTTTCCATTTTTCTGATATTTCTGCAAATTGGAGGCATTCTAAGATCATACCTTTTTTTTTAGCAAATAAACTCCCCAAGTCAATGTCTATTATCACATACAATTATTAATAAGTGAATTTCTCTACCCTTCCTTTCTGCAATGTGTTCAATGTATTTTTTAAACTCTCTCTCACTCCCTCTTTCTCTCTCATTTGCCCTGTGTGTGAAATAAAATCATTAAATTTTCATTTGATAATTTTCACGGTGCTGAGATCTTTTAATAACAATTTTGTCAATAGAAACCTTAGCTCTCTCTTAAGGTTAATGTGTCCTAAACATTTCTGAAGCATGTATCTATCTTCTTATCCAAACTCACTGATAAATAGATCAGAGAGTGAGACAAGCAGAGTTCTATCCTACTCCACTCCAGGCCTCCTAGCGTGTTTGATTGTTTTGATTTACTTATTCAACTCACCAGAGGTAAAAAATACTGTGTCATTTTCTTCTCTCTGCACAAGGATATGGTTGGCTTGGGAAATAAATAATAACAAGTTTAGGAAAACTCATAAAATTTATCTGCATATCACATCAGAATATCCTTCTGCAAATAAAAAATATTTTGAAAAGCTTTGATAGATACACCATATCTACATTACACTTCAGATCTATCATTCTTGTCTATGGAGAAATGGGGAAAAAAGAATCATTCTGGTTATTCTCCATTTGTCTCTCCAGGCCTATTCTCAACTCTTCTTCTACATCCTTCTGTATGCATCAGGAGGCTACCCTGGATGAACTGCATCACCTCCACAGATCTTACCCTTCACAACTTGGCTATGTTGTCTTTAACAAGTAGGGAGCAAGACAAGAAGAAATTTATGAGAACTGGAGTACAAATTCAGAAGAAAGCAGAAAGTTTGACTTGATGGTTGATTAAATTTCCTAAAATTCTCCCGAAGGAGAGAAGATACTTCACTACCCACAATAGGGCTGGACCCATAACTAGAAGCAAAGCGACCCACTACTGAAAAGGTGAGAAGGTCAGATCAAGAAGCAAAGGCTATAATTACAAAACCACTTAAAGGTAATAACCTCAATGATTTCAAATATCCAGGTACTTAAAAATGTTAGTTAACATTTCAATATGTCCCTATGTTTTAGCATAAGAATAATAGGAGCTATCATTTATTTAACCTTTGTATTGTGTCGTGTTTTTAATATAAGTATCACCTGTAAGCCTATCACAGTCATAGAAGTTCTGTATTACTATATGCATTTTTCAGAGAATGACACAAAAATGCAGAATACACAATAAACTGTCCACAATCACATGGCTAATAAGTACTATAGCCAATCCTCAAATCCCACTATGATTCCAAAACCAGTTTTCTTTCTATTTTCTCACTCTGCAATTTCAGCTACGGTCCTTTCTTTTAAAATTGGGTCACAAACTGTGGACACTTTGGACACAAACCTAGTGGGATATGCATTTAATAAAAATCTAAATTAGGACTATGATTTATTAATGTTATTTAATGTAATAATTGCATCCTTTACAGATCTTCATAATTTGTGAAGAATCTATTTCAACGAGAGACTAAACATGCTACACAGAAATTTTCTGAGTTCCTTTCAGGGATCTACAAGTCTTTTTCACTTGACTATAGCCTGCCTTCCAACTATCTTATGAACTTCAGGAAAAAGAAGAAAAATGCCACTTTCTTCCTTTGGACACTCCCGAATATGTCTAACCACAGTATTATTCACACTGTGGGTAACCAACTTATTTTGCTAACTGACTGAAAGATTATATTATTGTATAATAAAGTTTCCTTTTCTTCAAAGGGAGTAAAGTGAAAGAATGCATAAAATTTGTCACAAAGTTTTCAGATAAAACCTGTTTAGTAATGACAATTAGTAATAGAAATCATTAGTTATAGCATGATGCAGGGAATACTAATGAAGGCAAAGCGTATTTTGACTAATCTGCTTTCTGAAACGTTCTTGGTAATAAGCATTAGAATGAGGTCAAAGTCATTTTTCTTTTTTGAAATAGAAAGGTAATTCTAATGTTTATAAAAGAAAGCTTTGTGGTCTGCCAGGAATTTTAATTTCTAAGCTGTCAACATTTTAGCACTTATATCTGATAACGGCTGTGATAATGCATGCTCCAGTCTTGTATCAGTTGCTTGCTCTTCCATAAGTCAAAAGTGAAATATGGGTAACAATAATGTGAAAGACACAATGCAACTTTGAACTTTGATGCAATTTCAATGTTAACAAGTTATGTAAAATTGACATATGGATGACAATGTTACATATTTCCACATCTGACAGTGTTTTGCTGAAATGTGATTTTTGTATGAAAAGGAAATAGAAAGTGAAGTAGTTTCACTTAATTGAATAACTGATAAAATAATCAGTGGTGCTCCAGTTTTTGACATGGAAGAAAAGTGGAAATGTTTTTCTACCTCTAGAGACACTGACAAAATAGAGAATGGGAATGAAATACAGAATACAGTTTGTAGATCCTTGAGAATAATTAAGCCACCAAAACTCATCTCACTAACAAAATCAGGCAAAAGTAATGGATAAAAGGGCAGACAGAGGAAACAACAACATAAATATTTGAAAGCTATTTGGCATATTTGGTTATGTTCAATTTGGTTTACGATCATGGAAACTTTGGTTTGTTTTGATAATTCCGACATAGGGAACAACAAAAAAAGAGAATTAGTAAATCTTATAGTAAGGGAGAAACTCTTTAAAATGATCTGGGTTAGGATAAAGAGGGTAGGGGCTCAAACAGAAATACTATCAGAAAGCAATCTTGGTTAAGTATAGGATCCTCATGTTATGTGATATTTTACAATCATTTAACAGCACTGGCTACTCTGCTTCAAGGCAGAAGAACTTTTAAACAGATGTCCTGGAAATAGAGGAAAACTAATAAAACTAATAAAAATAAGGGAGAGGAAAACTAATGAGTTAGCATCCCTATTTTCATGAAGTGCAGAAAGAGTCTGCAGGAGCACCAGTCTCATTAACAAAGATGAGACTTGGGATATCTTACTTAGATAACCTGGAATGTTGCTCACTCTAAAGTCGCAGGTCAGAAATGACTTTCAATTCTAGAATAAGATAAAGAGAACAAACGTTTAAAATTCAGAGGTGAATCTAGGTTTGCATTATTGCAACAAAGTGAAATAGTCAAAATACAACCTCTTCCATAGTCCATAAATAAGTCTATGTAAATAAGTCTGTAAATCGTCTATAAATATTTGACCAAATACTATCCTTCATGTACTCCTGAATGTTTACTGTGCAAATACAGCACCACTCATCAAACAAATGAACACATTTCAACATTTCACTCCTTATGCCTTCAACATGTTTTTACCCTTCCGACTGGAATTCATTTCCCCTAGTCATTTGCTTAGAGGATTTATAATTTTCTGTTTACACTTAGATCCAAAAAGGCTGCCAAAGAATCTAATTTCTTTCTCTTACAAAAACATTAAAACTCAAGAATTGACAAGTCTGTCAATTGTACCAATACTACAACTTAAACATACTTTTACATATAATTTTATATATATTCTATTTTAGTCATCTGTATCTCCCATTAGTCTGTGAGATATCTGTGAAAAATATTCATGACTTACTCATGTTTTTAAATCCAGTGCTTTGCACGCTGACATGGTTAATAACTATTCATTAAATAACTAAAATTTACTGTCTTGAAATCTTGTTCTGAGTATATGGTCTTTAAATTTTATTATTTATACACAGGAAATTCACAATTAAATTTTATTTTGCATTATAATTTAAATAGTCAAATTGTGTTAGTGGAAGCATATAGCTTTAATTTTTTGATTTTGGAATTTAAAGTCACTGTGTTGTGGTTTAATATGTTACTCATACTTCTGTATTTACTATAAATTGGTGATTGAATCTAGGCAAAATACAAGTTAGATATTTTGGTAAGACTACCTTGTGATCTTCCATCAGTAGACTAATAATGTCAGGCTGTCTCTCTTTTTTATACTGGTTAAAGCTATTAACGCCATTAATATCTTTTTGCCTTTGAGGAGGTTTGGCTGATTTGGGAATGCTTTAATTTTACTATGATATGTCAAAATGTGTTTTTGTGTGTGTCACTTATGCTGGGGTTTATTGGTCTTAAGAATGTGAGATTTGAATTTCTTATCAATTCTTCAATATTCTTAATCACTACCACCTATAACTTGGTCTTTCTTGTTTCACTCTTATCTCCTTCTGGTAATTAATTAGAGTATTTTGATTTTCTAAAAAATTCTGTTCTCTGTATCTCTTAACCCCTTAATATAATATCCTATTTCTTTATTTTTATGTGCTCCATTCTCTCTTTTGTCAGTGTAATTGGCTGACCCATTTATTAAATTTTTACAGTCCTCTTTTTATTATTTTTATACATTTTCAAATCAGTCCACTTTGTTTTATTGTCTTGCCTCTTAAATTTTCAATTTTTTCTTTTATTTGTAGTAATTTATTAAACACATGTATATTATGTTCTCAATGTGATGTATACAAATTCAGCATTCTTTGCTGTTGCTTTTTAAAAATATCTTATATGTTGATCTGTTTCTCTGTTGCTTTTTTGTAAGTGAGCTTATATTCCTTATAACTATATTATAGGAAATATTTGATGTCATATTTTATAGCTTTACCCAAAAGCTTTTCCTTGTTTTTTTGTTTTTTGTTTTGTTTTTTGTTTTTGTTTTTTTGCCAGGTGCTAGAAAATTGCTAAAAACCCTGGAACATTTTAACCTAAATTTTTAAATGGCGCTTTTGTACCACACAGATGCTAATATTTCAGCCTTTCCTCTGTGGGAGGCAGTATTCTGGCAAGATTTCTCAGGGAGAGTCATAATACCATCTTCTAGCCCCATTCCTTTATGCTTCAAATCTATAGCAGGCAAGTCTGAATAATGTCTCATTCTAACTGTGCTTTATTCTAGATTTTTCAGAGCAAATGTGTTGCCTGTTACAGCTTCCAGCTTCAGGAAGTGGCTTCTTCCAAAGTGCATACAAAATTACAAACTCCAAGCCACCAGAGGGTTGACAGATGCCCTGTGGCCACATTTAGAGGTGCCCCAGCTCTCTGGATTCATATTTTATACTTGTTTCTGGTTTGCGAAGATTTGTCTTAGTTTCCTGTTAGTTTACTCATGCATTTTAAATGTGGGAATTAGCTCATGTTTTGTATTTTTTTTTTTAACTTTTTGGTGTTCTCCCTATACCAAATATGCAATTTTGTGAGAAACAATGTACACATTTTAACTAATTTACCTGAAAAAAAAATGACTCCAAAAAGTCAAATATGTATCATCTTTTAATATGTAATATAATCAAAGAGTATATTATTTGGTATAATTTTGAGCTACTCACTGTAGAACTGAAATTGTTCCGTGTCTCCCAGATAACAGCTTGTATTCAAATCGATTGGTTCTATCCAGTCAACCATTTACTTACATTTATTTGTCATCATCACAAACTACTAATTTTGTAGACTAATCAATTCACAGTACTAATTCAATCTGATTATGCACTTCCAATAAGCAAATGAGGATATTTATCATTATTAATTTTAATGAATGAGATTTACTTTCATCTGCTGTAAATGTAAACATGCCTCCTGATAAGAAACAATTTCCCAAAAAGATGCTTCTATGTAAAATTATAAGAAAAACAACCATATCACTGAATAGATGATTTCTCCAAAACTTGTGTAATTAATGACAGATAACAAATACTTGTTTGCTTTTATTAAATAAGTCTTTTGTTTCTTTATGTTTTATTGATGGTAAGAATCTTTATATTTAAATTTTAGTGACTTTTTTTCTTATTAGCAATACAAAAATCAACATTGATTTTTTTTTCGTTTTAAGTAAACATGTCATTTGGAAATAATAACATGCTTAATGTTCCAGGATAATTGGTTCTGATGTTCTCTTTATTCTATTCCTGAGGCAAAGAACACTTTTAATGGGTCAATAATGGAAGTAAAATGCAGAGTGAGTATAAAACCATGAAATAGTTAAGCTGAGATTAAAATATTCCTTTGTATTTTAAAAATATATATTGATTCAGCTTTTCCTTTATTAAATACCTTTTTTGCCCATCATCATTATAAAGCATGACTATCCATATCACTTACACAAAAAAATGAAATAATTGATTATGGTTTTAATAAAACAAATTATATTTAATAAAACATGAGGCTTAGCAAGCTTATCTCTAAAAAGTGTGAAACTTACTTTAAAAAATGTAGAATTTTTTTGTCCCATAAGGTACCTCTCATATTTCTGCTGAATTATTGTTCTTCAAGCTCACCATGAAGAAAAAAAAGGTATGTTCCTAGTAAGTTTTGGTATCAGTAATACATAACATGACAGAATTTTAGTTAATAAATTTGCTGGTGGTGCTTCAATTTATGTGTCTATATAAAGGCAAGTTTTGGGCCCAACTATGTCTGGCTCATATAGATACTTCCTGAAATGAATGAGTAAGAAAAAAAATGCATTAATTTTAAATTACAAAATTTAGCATAAATGAGTAAGAAAAAAATGCATTAATTTTAAATTACAAAATTTGGCATCAATTAGATACATGAAAGAAAGGGATTAAGGCTCATGACCCCTTTTCTTTAGTTTTTAGAACATTTACAATGCATAAGACAATCGTGATGGAGATCGGCAAGGGAGAAGAGACACAAAGGCTACAAGAGGAAGAAAATTGAGTATCTGAGCAAATTGAGTATCTGAGCTCACTATCAGGTACTAAATCATTGTAGGGCTATATACTTTGGGGTTCAACATGAAACTAAGTCAAAAACCATCGAGTCTCCCTATCACATTGGCTAGATTTTCAAAAAACAACCTTTATGAGTAAACTTCATGAAGTATAACAGTGAAATCCCTGGCTATATATATTTTTTCAAACACACACACACACACACATATACGTATTTTCACACACATACATCTATATGTGTATATATACATATATATTTTTTCACAAGCATACATATTTATATATATCTGGAATTTAAAACTACATTTCTTTTTTGATCTTTTCCTATTATTTACAATGTTGTGGCAATAAAATTTGAATGCATGTCTTTGCACACACACATTCATATATCTGTATAATTGCTTTCCAGAAATGAAACTATGAAACTGCCTAATACTGAAGACAGTTTAATACAATGTAGTTTTCCTTTCTAACATGTGTGCTTCTTTAATATTTTTCTTTACCTTACTTAGAAATGGACACATTACAATAATTTTTTGTTTTGAAATATGAGCTCTAACAAAATCTTTTGATTTATTTCCACTACTTAGAATATGAAATTTCTACATAGTGAAATTGAAAAAATTTTAAACCACATTTTAAATGAAAACAGTTTGGGTTTTTGTTTCCAGGAAACACATACTGAACATGACTTGTTTAGCACTCAAATGAGTGACTCACGCATTATGGCACTATTTCTACATATAACTACAGAAAGACACAGGTGGCTCATGAGAAGCAAAAAAACATCCTAGAGCTTATAATGCAAATGTCAAAAAAAAGTTTTCACAAAAGGAATGGTCACTTTTTGTTGGTTTTGCAATAAATAAATAAATAAGAGAAAAAGCAAACAACCTTAAATCAAATTTATAACTCATGTCTTGTTGAAATTGCCCTAGCCTTGAATGAGTGTGTTTATTTATACTTTAAGTTCTAGGGTACATGTGCACAACGTGCAGGTTTGTTACATATGTATACATGTGCCATGTTGGTGTGCTGCACCCACTAACTCGTCATTTACATTAGGTATATCTTCTAATGCTATCCCTCCAGACACAGGAAGGGGAACATCACACACCAAGTGTGTTTATTTCAAGTATGTGTATATCTCAATCATCCTCTGCTCCAGCTCTCCTGCCTAGGATGTTGATAAGTTTTACATGAATTGACCTATCTGGGACCCTCATTCCACACACTTAATCCATATATGTGTCTCCTTGACAATTCCATATATCTCTTGTATGCTTGCTTTTCTTGTTTTAGGTGACTTTCCTAAACTTGACAATTAACATACCTCATTTTCAGAATCAAATGTCCTTCTGTCTGGTCAGTTATCATGTCTAAAACATTGTCTATCCCATTCCTCAATAACTACTGATTCTTGGCTGAGAGTGATGGCTCATGCCTGTAATCCTAGCACTTTGGGAGGCCTAGGCGGGCTGATCACCTGAGGTCAGGATTTCGAGACCAGCCTGGCCAACATGGTGAAACCTCGTTTCTACTGAAAATACAAAAAAATTAGCCAGGAGTGGTAGTGCATGCCTGTAATCCCAGCTACTTGGGAGGCTGATGCGGGAGAATCACTTGAACCTGGGAGACGAAGTTGCAGTGAGCCGAGATCGCACCACTGCACTCCAGCCTGGGAGACAGAGCAAGACTCCATCTCAAAAACAAAAACGAAAACAAAACAAAACAAAAAACAAACAACAAAAGAACAAAAACAAAAGAATTACTGATTCTAACATAATATATATTAATATTAATAGAATTTGCTTTTTTAAAAAATGGTTTTACATAAATGAAAAAGTTAATGAAAATGCAAATAAAGGAAAGATAACTTATGTTCATGAGATTGAAAGAATTAATATTGCTAAAATTTCCATTCTCCCCCAAATGATCTACAGGTTTACAATTCCTATAAAAATTCCAATGACAATTTTTACAGAAATAAGAAAAACAATCATAAAATTCATATGGAACCACAAAAGACCCTGAATCGCTGAATAGCCAAAAAATTCTTGAGGGGAAAATAAAGCTGGAGACTCATACCACCTGATTTTAAAATATATTACAAAGATATATTAATTAAAACATCATGATACTGGCATAAAAATAGACAAATAGGCCAATGGAGTAGAATAGAGAAACCCAAAATAAATCCACACATTTACAGCAAACTGACTTTTGAAAAAAATACAAAGAACACACAATGGGAATGGGCAATGTCTTCAATAAATGGTGTTGAGGAAACTGGATATCAACATGCAGATGAATGAAATGAGTGCCTTATCATATATCATACAAAAATCAACTCAAATTGAATTAACGACTTAAACAGAAGAAAGAAATCTTAAGGGAGAAAAAAAGCTGGAACACCACACCACCCGATTTTAAAATATATTATTAAGATATACTAATGAAAACAGTATGATACTGACATAAAAGCAGAAATACAGACAAATGGAATGACATAGAGAGCCCAAAAATAAATTCACATATTTACAGTCAATTGACTTTTTTATTTTATTTTTTTGAGACAGGATCTTGCTATGTCACCCAGACTGGAGTGCAGTGGTGCAATCTCGGCTCACTGTAGCCTCTACCTCTTGGGTTCAAGTTATTCTCCCACGTCAGCTTCCCAGGTAGCTGGGACTATAGGCACACGCTCCACTCCTTGCTAATTTTTTTGTATTTTTAGTAGAGATGAGCCAGGCTGGTCTTGAACTCCTGAATTCAGGTGATACGCCCACCTCAGCCTTCCAAAGTGCTGGAATTACATGTGTCAGCCACCATGCTCAGACACAGTCAATTGACACTTGAAAAGGATACCAAGAACACACAATGTGAATGTGGACTGTGAAACTACTAGAAGATAACATAGGTGAGAAGTTCTATTACATCGGTCTGGACAATGATTTTTTTGGATATGACACCAAAAATATGGGGGAAATTTTTTCATCAAACTAAAAAGCTTTTGCATAACTAAGGAAACAGTCAAGTGGAAAGGTAACCTATGGAATGAAAGAAAATATTTACAAACCATATATCTGATAAGGGGTTAATATCCAAAATATATAAAGAACTGAAACAACTCAGCCAGAAAACAAATAACCTAATTAAAAAATGGACAAATGACCTAAAAGATGTTTCTCAAAAGAAGACATATGAATGGCCAACAGGCAAGTGAAAAAATGCTCAACATCACTAATCATTAAGGAAAGGCAAATTAAAATCAAAATAATGTATCACCTCACACCTGTTAGAATGGCTGTCATCAAAAAGAAAAAATATAATCAGTGTTGGCAAGAATGTAAAGGAAAGGGAACTTGTGTACACTACTGACGGGAATGTAAGTTAGTATAGCTATTACGAAAAACAGTATGTAAGTGTCTCAAAAAATTAAAAGTAAGGCTACCATATGATCCAGCAATCCCACCACTAGGTATATATTCAAAGGACATGAAATAAGTATGTCAAAGAGAAATCTGCATTCCCATGTGCATTGCAGCATTATTCATAATGGCCAATATATGGAATCAACCTAAGTGTCCATCAACAGATAAACAGATAAATAAAACATGGTATATGAGGGTCTTCAAAAAGTTCAAGGGAAATGCATAGTATGACCAAAACTATGCATGAATTTCCATTTTTACACCAAAATAAACTAGTACTAACTTGTTATAACATGTCTGAATAGGATCTAGTTTGAGGCACTAAGAAGAATAAAACATTGCTTTGAAAGAGCCCTCATCAGAGTGACATAAATTTTGCTAAAATTAAAGCAAGAACAAACACCAAATTTATGATGAGTCTTGGGTGAAAGAATGTGAAGTCACTGATGCTTTACAAAAAATTTATGAGGTCAATGCCCCCAAAGAAATCAGCAGTTTATAAATGGATAACTTATATTAAAAGGGGTAAAACAATGTTGACAATGAAGCCTGCAGTAGCAGACGATGGTCTGCTTCAATTTGTGAGGAAAAAATCAAAGAATACCCTGCTCCTCTTCAATTCATGCCCTAACTGAAAAAGACCAATCATTAACAGTAGAAACAATAGCCAACACAAAGATGTGTCAATTGGTTCAGCTCACTGAATTTTGACTGAAAAATTAAAATCAAGCAAAGTTTTTACTCCATGAGTGCCAAACCATTGTGCCCAGATCAGCTGCAAACAAGAGAACTTTCAATGGAAATTTTAAACAATTGGGATCAAGACTCTGAAGTATTTCTTCAAAAAATTGGAACAGGAGATAAAACATGGCTTTACCATTACAATCCTGAAGACAAAACACAATCAAAGCAATGGCTACCAAGAGGTAGAAGTAGTCCAGTGAAAGCAAAAGCTGACTTGTCAAGAGAAAAGGTCATGGAAACAATTTTCTGGGATGCTCAAGGCACATCCCTCCGTAAGTTTCTGAAGGGTCAAAGAATGAAAACACCTGCTTAAGTTAGCCAAAGCTTTGGCAGAAAAAAATGCTTGTGAAAACTTCACTTGAAAGTCCTTTTACACCACAACAAAGCTCCTGCTCATTTCTCATCAAACAAGGACAATTTTGCAAAAATTTTGATAGGAAATCATTAGATGTCCACTTTACAGTCCTCATTTGGCTTTTTCCAACTTCTCACTGTTTCCTAATCTTAAAAAATCCTTATAGGGCACTCATTTTTCTTTAGTTAGTAATCTAAAAATGACTGTATTCCATTATGTTTAAATTCAAAGGACCATCATTTCTTTAAAGATGAAGTACATGGCTGTTATCACTGCTTACAAAAGTGTCTTGACTTTACAGAGCTTATGTTGAATAATAAAGTTTTTTTTTTAGCTTTTAGCATATAATTCCATTTTTCTACTAACTTTCTGAAGTCTCCTTGCAAATACACAATGGAATACTATACGGAATTATAAAGGGAAGAAATCCTATTGTGTGTGACAATAGCAGGGAACCCGAAAGACGTTATGTTAACTGAAATAAATCATGGACAGAAAGACAAATACCACATGATCTCACTTATATATGAAATATTAAAAAGTTGAATTCATAAAAGCAGAGAGGAGAATGGTGGTTACCAGGATCATGATGGGAAGGGTGGGGAATGAAGAGATGTTGGTTAAAAAATACAAAACTTTCAGTTAGGAGAAATAAGTTCAAGAGATCTATTGTATAACATGATGATTACAGTTAATGACAATGTATTGTATCATTACAAATTGTTAAGGGAGTAGATTTTAAGTGTGCTTTCATCACAAATAAATGATAAATATGGCAGGTAATACATATGTCAATTAGCTTGGTTTTTTTTTTTTTTTCTGAGACAGAGTCTTGCTCTGTCACCCAGGATGGAGTGCAGTGGTGTTATCTCGGCTCACTGCATCTCTGTTTTCCGGGTTCAAGCAATTCTCCTGCCTTAGTCTCCCAAGTAGCTGGGATTACAGGCACCAGCCACCAAGCCCGGCTAATTTTTGTATTTTTAGTAGAGACAGGGTTTCACCGTGTTGGCCAGGCTGGTCTCGAACTCCTGACCTCGTGATCCTCCTGCCTCGGCCTCCCAGAGTGCTGGGATTACAGGTGTGAGCCACCACACCTGGCAAATAATTTTTAATAGTGAACAATTGCAAGGCGAAGAGACAAGATCCTGCTTATCAAAGTATACAATATAGTATTGTTAACTAAGATACATTAATATTAGTCATCATTTGTTAATCATTTCACAGTGTATTATGTATATCAAATCATTACATTGTACACCTTCAATATACACAACTTTTATTCATTAATTATACCTCAATAAAGCTGAAGTTTAAAAAAGGTTTAGTAGAATTGGCACAGCATATTGATAGTTTAGATAATTAATAATCATGATATCTTCTACCATCTAGCAATTTCTAATTTTATGGAGACACCACTGAACTAAAGTTGATGAATCCTGGGTTCTAGTCTGTCCTCTGCTTTAGAAAAACTGTATAATAAAAAGCAAGACAGATAAGCTTTCTAGACATTTAGGCCTGTGAAATGCTGAGTACATTTTAATCTACCTACATCCTAAGCTAATTGGAGAAGTTAAATATGAATTATCTTTGTATTAGGTAATGTAAGCACTTTCCTTAGCACCTGATGGATATTTGTTGAGTGAGAAGAAAACATAATTTTTTATCCCTTTTTTTTTTTAAATTTAAGACTCAAAGTTTGAATGATTTATATAACATACTGAAACCCATATTTCTGACTTCTACACTATTTTGGACTTCCTTTAACCAAGGAACCAAACAAATTACCATTAGGTTATATTTAATCGTGACAATGATAATAGCTAAACTTTACATTTTGTGGAGATTTGCTTTAGAGTTATATTAAAGTGTTTAAACTTCTCATTACCTTATGGATATATATATGTGTGTGTGTGTGTGTATATATATATATTATTGAGTAAAACAGACAGTGAAGGTTTTTAAAAGTATCTCTAAGAAGTGAAAACATTTTCATTCATTTTGAGTTTTGTCTATAGAAAGATTCTGAAGCACTGGCATGATTCTATCAGTGCCTTTCCTCATAGAGGTGACAAACAGGCTTTTAAAAATCATCTTTTAAAGGCAGCTGTACAGTGAAGGAAAGGTATCATTTGCCCTTCCACGTTAAAATCCTGTCCCTTTCCTCTTCATATGGCAAACACTGACCCAGATGCTGAGCTGTGAGCCGCAGTTCCCCACAGCAGCAGCTGGTGCCTTGGCAGCCTCATTAAGTAGCTGAACTGGCCCCCTTTAATATCGTCTACTAGTCTAGAGCATCATTATGCTGCTAATAGCTGTTCTGGGATCTTATGCCCTTCTGCTTAACTTGTCCTCTTAACTGATATCTTCCACAGATTTTGTTAGTTTTATTAATGTATTAATTAGGCAATTATCATTTGGTTCTTGCCCACGTGAAAGAGTATCCACAGAAAAATAAAATATGTAATTACTTTCCATCTTAGTTCATTGTGAGGTAAGAGTGCTTTTAAAAATCTACATATGAAAAAGGTGTTTTCCAACCACCAATTCCCAAACCAAAAAGGAATGCAATTACATATAGCAATAATCGTTGGATCAATCTCTTCCTAAAGAAAGTCACAACCTTCAGCCTCAGGAAAAGACAATCTACCACATAAATCTATTGGCATTTTCCTTCCTGTTTCATTGATTCATGTGTCTGTGAATTCACAATATTTAGGACAAAAATGAGAAACATATAAACCAATCAATACATTGTTTATTCATGTGGCTCTAAACAATAAACTAAATAAATTAACAAATGTACCCGTCCAATGGCTAAAGGTACATATTGAAAAAAATAAAAACAGAAACTGAGCAAGAGAATATTTCATTTACTTAATAAAAGAGATATTTAAATAGCTCCTTTGTAAAGCGTAAGCCAACTCTCTTTGCTTTTTTTCTCAGAGCTTCAATGTATGCTTTTTTATATCACAAGTATGTGCTTTAACATTTCTTTAGTGAGATTCTGCTTGTGGAAAGTGATTTAATACTGAAAATATTTTTGTTTAACCCTAATCTTTGAAAAATTATTTCAAAAGGGGTAGAATTATTGACTTTTTGTTATTTTCTTTTAGCACATTGAAAATAGCATCCTACTGTTTCTGGTTTCCATTGTCAATATTAAAAAGCATGTCAGTCTACCATTTTTGCTCCTCTTAAAGAAAATAACTATGACAATCTGCCAGTAAATACAATTCACCAAAATATACTTTTGTTTGGGTTATACTCCTGGAGCAGCCCAAGAAAGTTATGCTGATATATTACTTTATAGCACATTACATACATATAAAAGAGTCATCTAAGGCAAGAGATTTAAAAAGTAGCACATCTTTTATTTGGAAGGTAGTCTAATATATAGTCCTACCCACTGGGCTTTTGAACTGCTGTACCAGTCACATAAAATATGAACCAATATGAGAGTTGTTATTGTACACTAAAACTAATTTATTTCTCCCTTGAATATTTTTATATATTTTATGAGCTTATTCATATAAATACAGAATGAGAATAATGCTATAATTTGTTGAGAAAACAGCCATACTATAGAGTAAGCTTTTCATTTTTCCAAACTTCAGTTAAAGATTTTCTTCTTTTCAATTCTATTCATCCTAAGAAGTCATTTTTACCAAAATAGAAAAAGATAAGATCTATAAAAATATATATCATAGCTATAATATTTTAGAACTTGTTTCTACTCACCATCTCATTTTTATTTACATCATGATTGTTTTCAGCAGAATACAGACTGAAAAAAATACTAATGTAAACATCCTAAAATATATTGTGTTCAAAAAAGTAATATTTACATAGACTATGACAGCGTATTTCCAAATTTAATCATTTGGAACATATGTCCAGGGACATTAATCATAAAAATAAAACAATAAGGTATGTCTTTAGATTTATCACACAGGTAGATAAGACTGACATTTTTGTCACCCATGTTAGAATTCTGTGTCTAATGGAATTTTAGGCAGGAATTAACTTTTTCATGTGAACTGAATGACACAAATATTCATAAATATGCACAGCAGTGATGAATTATGAAGAACGCAAGCTAAAAGATCTTTATCCTAAATATCTAATAAATATTTCTTAATTATTTTATCCTAGTAACTCTGGGTAAGAAACTTAACATAGCAGGGCGTAATGCCATCTAATTTTATATGCAATTTATCATAAAGTGTTTTAAGATGAAAGTTCACAAAACTACACAGTAAATTACATTAGTTTTCTAGTCACTAGTATGTGAAATACTGTGCAAAAGAGATGTCAAAAACGTTTCTTTTTGCCTCCTACTCTGAAAAATTGTTGCTGACAAGAATTTCAGATAGGAAAGGAATGTGAAGTAAAATGGTAGCAAGTCAGTTCAACAGAACATCAATCATTTAATTTTTTATTTGCTATAAAAATTGCTAATGAATCATTCATTTCCTGATGCAGTTCTCATATGTGACTGTAATTTTAACAAAAGCTAAAATTTGTGTATTTTATTTTCTTATTGCAAGAATTGCTAATCAATGAAATAACCAATTTTTTAGAAATGATTTTGTTAACTCAATATCCAAACGAACATGGTAATTAATTTAAAATTATCATGACAATTTCATCCATTTCACCAGAGATCAACTTATCAAATTTTTTTTTTTTTTGAGATGGAGTCTCGCTCTGTTGCCCAGGCTGGAGGCAGTGGCGAGATCTCGGCACACTGCAAGCTCCGCTTCCTGGGCTCACGCCATTCTCCTGCCTCAACCTCCCGAGTAGCTGGGACTACAGGCACCCGCCACTATGCCTGGCTAATTTTTTTATTTTTTATTTTTTGTATTTTTTGTATTTTTTGTAGAGATGAGGTTTCACTGTGTTAGCCAGGATGGTCTCGATCTCCTGACCTCTTGATCCGCCCGCCTCGGCCTCCCAAAGTGCTGGGATTACAGGCGTGAGCCACCCACCGTGCCGGGCCTTCAGCTTAGCAAAATTTATGTTACCAAATTCTGGGCAATAAGACTTAAAGCTAGTTCTAGAAGTATGCTTTTTGAAATGGGAGAGAGAAGGAAAAAAAAGAGAGAGAGAGAATTTAAAAGTGGATAGTTTCTTTTAGCCTCTTTTTCCTATGGGTATTTTCTGGTCATATAATCTGAAATGGCTATAGCCATCTTGAACCAAGAATGGCTTTAAAACAAAATCAAAGCTTCAGAGATAGCAAAGAATAAAGATGTAAAGAATGCGAGTAATATACCATGTCTTTAAATCACTGAATTTTACCAATCCTGGTGCCACCACCATTCCTTGGGATTTTTTTAATGTGAGATTATAAATCTTATTGCTTAAATCACTTTGAGTTGGATTTTCCACTAATGGGAAATGAAATATATGCTAATTTGCTCACCTTACTGGAGAAATGAAGAAGCTATGGACCATAGGAAATAAGGAACTAAGTAAAATCCCCCTAGTTACTGAAGAGGATATTTAGGATGAAAACCTAATATGCCTACATCTACAATCTATCCTCATTCTATTACAGCATGGGAACTAACCTATGGCCATAGTGGAAGTTATTAGGTACACTGAAAACTTCAGCTCCTTTCTGTTACCCTTTATCCCCCATAATATCACTGTTCACTATTGTCACTTTTTGGAAAGCTTAATTCAAAGAAAACTAGCATACATTAAAGTATGTCCTTTTCAGACAATTTTAAAGTGAATGATAAAAACTGGTATGTTAATTTGTAGGGAATGATTCTTAATGAAAATACAATTTTGACCCTTAAACAACACAAAGATTAGGGGTATTGACCCCCACACAGTCAAAAATCTGCATATATTTTTTGAGTTCCCAAAAACTTAATTACCAGTATCCTACTGTTGATCAGAAGTGTTACTGATAACATAAATAACATTAGTATTAATACATAATCTATTTGTGAAAGAATACTATATATATATTGTATTCATACAATAAAGTAATCTAGAAAAATGAAAATGTTATTAAGAAAATCATAAGAAACAGATAACATATTTACTACTCATGAAGTGAAAGTGGATCATCATAAAGGTCATCATCCTTGTCATCTTCACGTTCAGTAGGCTGAGGATGAGGGTGAAGAGGATAGGTTGGTCTTGCTGTTTCAAGGTTGGAGAAGTAGAAGAAATGGAGGATGTAAAAGATGAGGCAGGAGAGGCAGGCACACACAGTGTAACTTTTATTGAAAAAAATCTATGTGCAAGTGGACCCTAACAATTCAAACCCATGATGTTAATTCTAACTGACACAAAACAGTAAAAGTTTTCTTCTGTATATTTTTGGTTTGCTGCAAAAAATACACAGTGCCTCAAATACCAAATTGTTATACTATTAGCTTTAAATATTAAAACAAATTAGTTGCCTTCTTTTAGGTATATATTTTCTCAAAAAGTGATGTGTATTTGTTTAAAAAAACTCAGAAACCTTACTTTTGTTTTAGAGATTCACAAGTATTCAATGAAACATTGATTTTAAATTTTTAAAATGCTCTTCATGGCAAAACAATCATCTCTTCATAATATTCTTTCTATTGTTTCTTTTCTCATCATTCTTAAATAAAGCCTTTGCATATTAAAAGTTATAGGCTTTTGCAGATAGGCATATAATAACATGGGTTTTCTTTTTTTTTTTTTTCATTTCTTTTTAGCCAGTTGGGAGTAACATGTAGAGCATGTTGACAAAATTATTTAAAGAAGGATTTTCATTGAATTAACTGCTTTTACATTTTTTTCTGTTGCACATTAAACAATTGCCTGCAGCACATTGCAAAAATAAAAAAGTCCGTTTACATTTAAATGTTACTAAGAAAATTTCAAGATTAGGATTCAATTATTTTTTAATAATACAGTCATGTGCTGCATAATGATGTTTCAGTCAACAGTAGAATGGATATACAACAGTGGTTTTACTGTACCTTTTTTGTTTAGATATGTGTAGAGACACAAATACTTATCACTGCATTACAATTGCCTATAGTATTCCATACAGTAACATGCCCTACAGGAGCTTGTGTGGAAGGAATAGGCTATACCATACACCTTGGGTGTGTAAAAGACTATATCATCAAGGTTTGCACTTAGGTACACTATGTGATGTTCTCACAATGCCAAAATTGCCTAATTGTACAACTCTCAGAACACATTCCCAACGATAAGTGATGCACATATATTTACTGGCTCGGTCTAATAATTTTCCCTTTGTTTTGCTGATATTTTATCCTTTGTTTCCCATCAAAAATTTGTCACATAAAGTAAACAAAATTACTCTATTTCCTTAATAAGGAAGGTAAAAACTTTCGAAAAAGCACGTTAGCAGGGAAGCAAAAGGATGTGGCTTGTAAATTAAAAAATAGTCTTGGGTCTGCAGGCTGGGATCTTTGAGCACTACATTTATCTCAGTGGCTTTTCCTGAAGTTCATATAAATGAGCTTTGTGCTTCACAGGCTTTGTTCTCCCCTCCTCTGCTAGCGGATATTACCACTTGGAAGTGTGTGTGTGTATGTGTTTTTTTTCTTTTCTTTTTTTCGGTTGTGTTTTCTGTGAGCCAGTCAGGATAGTCAGGGATCATATATACCTGGGCAGCCTTCTCCTTATCTATATCTTCCCTCTTTGATAATGGCAAAGATGTCCAGGCCTCCTCAAGAAGTAGAAAGATTAACAATTTTTTAATATAAAATGCCTTCTCTAGTTCTTGGATAGTAAGACCTCAAGAAGTATTAGTGAATATTGATGATGATAATTATTATCAGTAGCCTTTAATATTTTTTATTATACTTAAATTCTGGGATACATATGCAGAACATGCAAGTTTGTTACATGGGTATACATGTGTCATGGTGGTTTGCTGCACCCATCAACCTGTCATCTACATTAGGTATTTTTCCTAATACTATCCCTCCCCTAGCCCTCCGTCCCCTAACAGGCCCTGGTGTGTGATGTTCCCCTCCCTGTGTCCATGTGTTCTCATTGTTCAATTCCTACTTATGAGTGAGAACATGTGGTGTTTGGTTTTCTGTTCCAGTGTTAGTTTGCTGAGAAAGACGGTTTCCAGCGTCATCCATGTCCTTGCAAAGGACATGAACTCATCCTTTTTTATGGTTGCATAGTACTCCGTGGTATACATGTGTCACATTTTCTCTATCCAGTCTATGATTGATGGGCATTTGGGTTGGTTCCAAGTCTTTGCTATTGTGAACAGTGTCACAATAAACATATGTGTGCATGTGTCTTTATAGTAGAATGATTTATAATCCTTCGGGTATATACCCAGTAATGGGATTGCTGGGTCAAATGCTATTTCTGATTCCAGTTGAGGAATCGCCACACTGTCTTCCACAATGGCTGAACTAATTTACACTCCTACCAACAGTGTAAAAGCGTTCCTCTTTCTCCACATCCTCTCCACCATCTGTTCTTTCCTGACTTTTTAATGATCACTATTCTAACTGGCATAAGATGGTATCTCATTGTGGTTTTGATTTGTGTTTCTCTAATGATCAGTGATGGTGAGCTTTTTTTCCTATGTTCATTGGCTTCATAAATGTCTTATTTTGAGAAGTATCTGTTCATACCATTTGCCCACTTTTTGATGGGGTTGTTTTTTTCTTGTAAATTTGTTTAAGTTCCTTGTAGATTCTAGATATTAGCTATTTATCAGATGGACAGATTGCAATATTTTTCTCCCATTCTGTAGGTTGCCTGTTCACTCTGATGATGACAAACTCACAGCCAATATCATACTGAATGGTCAAAAATTGAAAGCATTCTCCTTGAAAACTGGCAGAAAACAAGCATGCCCTCTCACCACTCCTATTCAACATAGTATTGGAAATTCTGGCCAGGGCAATCAGGCAAGAAAAAGAAATAAAGAGTATTTGAATAGGAAGAGAGGAAGTCAAACTGTCTCTCTTTACAAATAACATAACTGTATGTTTAGAAAAACCCATCATCTCAGCCCAAAATCTCCTTAAGCTGATAAGCAATTTCAGCAAAATCTCAGGATACAAAATCAATGTGCAAAAATTACAAGCATTCCTATACACCAATAATAGACAAGCAGAGAGCCAAATCTTGAGTGAACGCCCATTCACAATTGCTACAACAAAAATAAAATGCCTAAGAATACAACTTATAAGTGGTGTGAAAAACCTCTTCAAGGAGAACTACAAACCACTGCTCAAGAAAATAAGAGAGCACACAAACAAATGGAAAAGCATTCAACGCTCATGGGTAGGAAGAATTAATATCGTGAAAATAGCCATACTGCCCAAAGTAATTTATAGATTCAATGCTATCCCCATCAAGCTACTATTGGCTTTATTCACAGAATTAGAAAAAACTACTTTAGGCTGGGCGCAGTGGCTCATGCCTGTAATCCCAGCACTTTGGGAGGCCAAGGCGGGTGGATCACGAGGTCAGGAGATCGAGACCATCCTGGCTAACATGATGAAACCCTGTCTCTACTAAAAATACAAAAAAATTGGCCGGGCATGGTGGCGAGCGCCTGTAGTCCCAGCTACTTGGGAGGCTGAGGCAGGAGAACGGCATGAACCCGGGAGGCAGAGCTTGCAGTGAGCCGAGATCAAGCCACTGCACTCCAGCCTGGGCGACAGAGCAAGACTCTGTCTTAAAAAAAAAAAAAGACAAAAAAAAAGAAAAAAACTACTTTAAATTTCATATGGAACCAAAAGAGAGCCCATATAGCCAAGATAATCCTAAGCAAATGAACAATGCTGGAGGCATCATGCTACCTGACTTCAAATTATACTACAAGACTAAAGTAACCAAAACAGCATGGCACTGGTACCAAAATAGATATATAGACCAGTGAAACAGAACACAGGCCTCAGAAATAACATCACACATCTACAACCATCTAATCTTTGACAAACCTGACAAAAACAAGCAATGGGAAAAGATTCCTTATTTAAAAAATGGTGTTGGGGAAACTGGCTAGCCATATGCAGAAAACTGAAACTGAGCTCCTTCCTTATACCTTGTACAAAAATTAACTCGAGATGGATTAAAGACTTAAATGTAAGACCTAAAACCATAAAAACCCTAGAAGAAAACCTAGGCAATAGCATTCAGGACATAGGAATGGACAAAGACTTCATGACTAAAACACCAAAAGCAATGGCAACAAAAGCCAAAATTGACAAAGGGGATCTAATTAAACTAAAGAACTTCTGCACAGCAAAAGAATAACCACTTGCACATATTAATGTCCATGAAAAAATAGTGCAATGATCATTTTTAAATATCCTAAGACTCTTTTTATTATTCATGACTATATTGGGCTAAATAGTGGCTACTGAAGGAGATCAGTTCCCAATCACTAGAATCTGTAAACATTACTTTAAAAGAAAAAAAAAAAAGGCCTTTGTAGATATGATTAAATTAAGGATTGTGAGATTGGAAGATTATTCTGGATTAGCAGGATGGATCCTGATAATAAGGGTATCTTTACAAGAGGGATGCAGAAGGAGATTTGATATAGACAGAAGAGGAAAAGTTCATGTAATTACAGAGGGAGAGATAGGAGTGATGTGGCCACAAACCAAGGAATGCCTGCAGGCACCATCAGAGCTGGACAAGACAAGGATGCATTCTCTCCCAGAACCTCCAGAGGCAGCACAGCCATGCTGAAATCTTAATTATGGTCCAGTGATACCAATTTTGGACTTCTGGCTGCAGAACTATGAGAGAATAAATTTCTGTGATTTTAAGCCACCAACTTTGTGATAATTCATTACAACAGCCAAAGGAATGAATACAATGATGTAACCACAAAAAGAAATACACTCTGAGTTATTTTAAATGGTCATACACACCATCTGTATACCTCTTCTCAAAAATAGGCAGTTCTTTGTGTCAGTCATTCTTCAGATACCCTAAATTAGGAAACCATAGGAGTCGTTCATATAGAGTGATGATGGGTACTTTATTCCCATTTCATGTACTTACATACATCAAGTACCTTGCCTATTAAGTTATGAATTTGATCCTGTATAATTATCTTATACTTCCTATTATATGTAGGTAAATATATTCTATTAGGGATTCATAAGACTACTGTTTATTGTAATTTTTGTGCCCCCAAAACTCTCTCTTTCCTTAAAAACTATAAACTGTATATGGGGAAGTTCGTAAATAAGCATACACCATCCAAATGGAAATAGGTTTATATTGACTATGACCTAGTTATTTGCAGCCTTTGTTTCAATTCTGATTGACAGCCAAGGTAAAAAATACTTCAATTTAGGGGGCATGAGCCTATAAGTCTTTACAGAGGGAAACTTCTGTTCATGGTGAAGAGAAAGTTTTATCTGTGTAAAGATTACGGTGAGATTTTTGGCTTGCATATGACCTTCTTAGTTCCACTTGTGAAATATTTCAAATGATTTTCAATCATTTTTGTGATTCAACATTATTTCCATACTATATCAAAATATTCTCTTAATTTTATATATTTTTTCTTTTTATGATTATGAATGATTCTTGACAGAATAACTACTTCAGAAAGTTGGACTTTCAAAGGACAATCTCCTTTAAATGATTTGGATGCAAAGTTTGCCATTGCACTGTAATTTACATTTGCTGAATGATTACCAGAAAAAAAAGCTCTATAAAAATCAAAATGGAATGAAGTATCTTTTAAACAGGAGACAATACAACTACATTCCTGAATAGAAACCACTTCAGAAAACAAATGACAAGGCTTCAACCTAAATTAAGTAAAATCAAAACTGTAGAAAAATTATAGGATGCTGTCAGACAGCATGTGAAAACCACACACTGGAAAATTCCAAATAAGTGCAAATTACTGTATACCAAGTTTGTTTTCCTAGTCATTTCATCACATTAAGACTTGAAAAACAATGAAAATTGCTATGGTATTTGCTTTTGTCTTTTTGCCTCTTAACGTGCCTCTAAAGGAGTCTTCAGTGTCTAGTAATATATATTGTTTAACATAAAATTAAAACCCATTTTTGGCTGATATAATTAGCATGGTCAAGTACTAATTTACTAAGGACTGAAAGTGTTATTATGAAATATTTTCAAACTAGAATTTATGTTTGTTGCATCAGATGATCACTAGCTTAGGAATAGGAACTTGCACATGCATCCAACAGAAATTACTCTTGAAAGTCCAAGTAAAACGAGAATTACAGAATGCTGCCAGGATTATGTGCTGGAAGATTAAAGAATGTGGTCACAAATTCCAGGCGATCTAATTCTGTTTGACACTTAAGAAAAAAAAATGTAAATTGTAAAAAATGTAAATGTATTCTTTATTGGCTCATTCAGATGTCTTGCAAAGAGAATTCACTCAGAAAACAGAGAAACCTAAATTCTATCACATTAATACTAGATATTCCTAGAGCATAAATTCATTTCTGGCATATAATGATTAATTAAATGGAGAGTTTCCAAATACACCATGACATTCTACTTCAAGTATAATTTATGAGAGCTAATGCCATTTTTGCAAGCCCTGTGAGTTCAACAGTCTATAAATTTAGATAATAACCATTATGTTTCCACTTTTTGTTAGATTTTTATAAACTTTGTAGATCTGACTAAAAGATAAGGTTATATATTCCTAACATATGAATTCTAAACAAATGTTAACCTACTTCAAATCTAGCGATGTGACTGACAAAATGTTTTTAAGCTGCAGTTGCTGGAGAAGTTCTGAGCATCTGAATAAAAATTTCTTTTGAGAATTCAAGTACTACTCAGGGAAAATTGTCATAAAAATCTCTAATGGAAGAAAGAAACTATAAATAGCTCAATGTATAGTAAAAACTGGGGTATACCAAGACATAATAGGAGAATTTTACCTTTTTGTTTTTTTGAGACGGAGTTTCGCTTTTGTCGCCCCGGCTGGAGTGCAATGGCGGGATCTCGGCTCACTGCAACTTCCGCCTCCCAGGTTCAAGCAATTCTCCTGCCTCAGCCTCCAGAGTAGCTGGGATTACAGGCGCCCGCCATCACGCCAAGCTAATTTTTGTATTTTTAGTAGAGATGGGGTTTCATCATTTTGGCCAGGCTGGTCTCAAACTCCTGACCTCAGGTGTTCCACTCACCTAGGCATCTCAAGTTCTAGGATTACAGGTATGAGCCACCACGCCCAGACGAGAATATTACTTTTGAAAACTAAGCTTAAACTAGTAAAATACTTTAGAAAAAAATGAAGGTAATAACATTATTTTGTTCAATGTTCTAGACCCATTCTGTTGTCTTTAGGTGCTTGGACAAATTCTCCAAGAACTTCATACACTGATTTTTTGCTTGAGTCACTGTTCCCTTAATCTCTACCTGATTAAGTCCCATTCTTCCTTCTGATTTCAGTTTGCATGTGACTTCAAGGTAAATTTCTCTTCAAAGTCATGCCTGACTACCACCCTGTCATCAGAGATGTAATTAGTGGGTAATCTGTGTTTTCGCTCTGCCCTTAACTTACATTATCAAAATACAGCAATTGCCACATATAAATGCTATTTATGCCGCATTCCTACAGGGCCATTAACCCTCTAACTTAAGGAACCCTGTCTGTCCTTATCACCTAGGCTTAAACAAGTTATTCAAAATAAAAGCTGTTCAAAAACTATTGTCAACTGATTGAATGAATACATTAAGGAGAAAGTGGGTGAATAGAAAGAACGCTGGGTTTAAATGTTTGTGTTCCTGGTTTTTTGAAGAAGAGGTGAAAGATTCTGTCATTTCTATACCCTGCCAGCAGACGCAATGGCCCCCAATTAGTGAAAATTCAGAATTAGTTTTCCCATTTACTGAATCACCATTAGGCAAAATAAACTTCACACTGAGTAATACAGAAGACTTCAATTGTTTTCTTGAAAGATTATCTCAACTTTTTGACCAAGACCATATTTTATAAATCTAAGTTTAATGTAACCCCTAATTCTTTCATACCATTTGACAGAATATAAATTGCTTCAACCTTTTGAAGTAGAACTTCTAAATGACACAAAATGCAAAACACATATACATTTGGACCTAGCAATTCTAACACCATGCAAAAACACAGGTACAAAAATATTCAAGTGTGCATATTATTGAATAATTAAAGACAACCCAAACTTCATCTTTCAGAAACTGGCTAAATATTAATAAATTATGGTACAATTAGATACTATGCAGCTATTTAAATCAATGAAGATGAATTGACTATATTGATATGAAAGAATATTTCAAACTTGTTAGATGAAAGAAAGCACATTACAGAACAACATATAGACTGTGATTGTATTTTTTCTGTACACATATGCATATATATTCATTTGTAATTCATTAAATAAATATTTCTTGAGGAATTACTATAGGTTAAGAAGTGCTCTGTGCAGAGGATATAAAGTGATAAATTAGTTATGATGGGTAATAATACATCCATGTTTGCATGCTCATTGGGATGATGCAACTAGGTGAGGGTGGGGCTCGAGGCTGGAATAAACAGTGTTCTTGAATAAATGAAGATGGATAAGTCGCATCCACAGTGACAGGGTTGGACTTAGATATGAGTAGAGAGAGTCCATCCATCATAACAGGAAGGCAGAGTCTGAGTACATCACAAATAATATTGAAAATGTTGTGGTAGGAAGATGATATGGTATCCTTATCATGCTTCTGGTTTCTCAGAGAAACAAAAAGCAAGGTAATAAAATGAGAGAAAAATAGACAAATTTGGGTGTTTGTGGAGAAAGAGACATGAAATAGTTTTCTGAGAGAGTTGGGGAGGAAACTCCCTACTCAAATGGAGTAGGTTTGATATAAGAGTGAGTTGATTGCTACTACAGATAGGAAAGTCAGAGTAGGCTTCTCTGTGGGGGGGTTGGGGGTACATTTAACCAAAGAACTAAACAAAAATGAGTCATCCATGAAAATATCAAGAAAAAGATCATTTCAGGAAGAAGGAAAAGCAAACAACACATCTTAAGGCAAGAACAAACTTTTGTTTAAGGCCGTAAAATCAGACCAGTGCTTTTTGGTCATGTGTGTGAGAGAGAAGGTGTTGTAAGATATGGTAGAAGAATTAGGCAAGAGCCAAATCCTGTTAGCCTCTGTAAACTAAGTTAAGAATACTAGATTTATAGCATATGCAGTTATGTGTTAAATAGACATTCCAGTTTGGTTTAGTACAGTATCTAAAAACTGGGCACAATAGGAGGCAAGTGCCATGAGATCCCAAATGATGCACTTGACCAACCATAAACTTTTTCATGGGGTAGATCAAAGCCTACTTTATAAACCTTACTTGATAACCATCCTCTAGGTCATATCAAAATAGTGGAAGACTGTTTTCTTTCATTGAAAGGCTGATAAAAGACTGAGAGTTTGTATCAGAGTGCCTGATTCCCTGTATCCATTCACTCATTTCCCCTACCATGTCTTTTGGCTCAACAAAGTTGGGAGCTGGGTGACATGATCTCACCAAAGAAGTGTGCCTGTCAGAATGATGTGACCCAATCATAAGGAATCCACATGGGATGAAGAATCGCACGGAAGAACTGAGAGGTGAGTTATAAATGGTCAGTTGGTAGGATATAATTTGGCCAATAAAAAATATATTTCTGTAAATCTCATTTGATGGATTTCAAAAAACAAACAAACAAACAAAAAACACACAAACATCTGTTCCACAGGAGGCTACAACAGCAGATACAATAGAAGGAGTCACATAAGACTTTTCCATTTCTTCTAAACCCTTCCTTTCTTTACACCAGATTCTGGGGAAGTCAGGAATAGCAGCTATCAAGTCAGGGAGGAGAGAAAGGAAAAGACAAAACAAAACATATTCTTCTTCTCGGCAAAAGCCTTAAAAAAATATGATTCATGCCTGAGCTGTAGAGGGAGAAACTTTAAATTACATGACAGATTGAAGTGTTTTTATATTTCATTTTTCTGGCCTTTTTTAATACCAGAAAACAAGACTCCTCATCAATACATGACTGCAAATAGAAAAATCTATAGAATTAGCTAAAAAAAAAAATTCCTGAGATGGAGAGGAAAATTCCAAAAGAGTAATTTTGAATGGCAGCTGTGAGACAGTATGGAGATGTTTCCTTCTTTACTCATTCTAAGTCCAACTCATTTAATGACTGAGTCATATGTATGTTACGACAGGAGGCTTTTGAAGGGTTTTAGTCAGGGAATGACATTTTTTGATCAATAGATTGAACATATCACTTTACTGGCTGTGTTGGAAACAGGTTGCTGTAGAGGAGGAGACAAAGTAAGGGGGCAAATTATGGAGCAGTGACAATAGTCCAGACAAAAGATGGTGGTAGCTTGGTCTAAAATGGTTATTGATAGAGATTGAGATAAAGAGACAGTTCTGTGATATACTTTGAAGGTAGAATCAATATGACCAGACGATCTGGGAGTGAGGCATAATAAGAAATGAAGAGCAACTGCTATATTTTTGGCTCAAACAATAAAGCACTGAAATTTAATGAGACAAAGAAAATTGGGCAAGGAGCAGAGTGCCATTCAAGAGATAAATCAATGGTTCTGTTTTGGTCATATTAAATTTGAGATGTCAAGTAGACATCCATTTGGAGATGTGACATTTGGAATGGGTTGTAAGAGTCTGCAGTTGTGGAGGGAAGGCAGGAATAAATTTGTAGATTTTGGAGTCTTCAGCACACAGTATTTAAAGCCCTTACTTTAAAACAAGTTATCCAGGAAGAATGAATATAAAGAAAAGAGTAAGGGAGCCAAGACAGAAAAATGTGGCAATACAATATTTGGAGTTCAAGAAAACAAGAGAAACAAGAAGGAAACTGAGGAGGCACAGTGGTCAAGCAGGTAGAGAGAAAAACAAGAAAACATTTTTCCTCAAAGCCATGAGAAGAAAATATTTCAATAACTGAGTGAACAGTCTTGTTAGATGCTGATGAAAACAAAATCAAAATAAAATTGAATTTAGTACAAAGTAAGTCATTAATGATCTTCGCAATTATTCTCAGTTAACTGAAGAGGAATCCAGGGTTTAGGGAGATAAGGAGAAAATGGATGATGGTCAAATCCACACCCAAAATACAGATAAATCATTCTATCAAGAAGTGAATGGAAAACAAAAAGTTAAATAAGCCAGAAGAGGATGTATGTTCAAGAGCTGGAAGAGGAGGAGGAAGAGGACAAGGAGGAGAAAGATGAAGAAAGAAGTTAGTAAGCACTCAAAAACATGTTTGAGTACTGCTAAGAATGATCAATGGAGATGGATGATTCAATTATGCAGGGTGGAGAGTGAGAATAAAAGAGTGACATTGCTGAAAGTTTAAAAGGTATTCAAAACTAGCATGAAATTTCAGGCTATGGCCCTGATAGAAGTACAGTTTGTTTTTGTTTTTTTTTTTTTTTCAGCTATAAGAACAAAAGCAGGGAGTTAGGGCAGAGGTAGATTATTTTTATTATAGTGAGATGATGACATCCCCATGCAATAGCTTTTATTTATTTTCAAATGAACTGCTTTAGACACTGAAATTTTCATCTCTAATTTCAAGAAACTAATTCTCAAAAGTATAGATTATTTTTGCCAATTCAGCTGGCAAAGTCCTTATGATGAGCATTCTTCTCTTTTCTGAGCAATAATAGCAGATCTAATCTATCATTGCTTTTTTTCACTTTTCTTGAGTGCTCAGGAAACTACTAGTGAACTTGTATACAGGATTAATTTGGAAAACCATATCTGAAATTACATCTGCTATTTCTGTTTTCAGTCCACAGATTTCTTGGCAGTTTTTCTTTTATGCTATGAATTTGATGTTTCTTTTTTCTTTCTAACTTTTATTTTAGATTCAGGGGATACATGTGCAGGTTTGTTATATGGTAAAATGTATGTTTATTGGGGGAACCTGCCCCCAATATTTCAAAGTAGGTTCTATTTTCCATAAGTGTTGGCTGGCATACAAATAAAAAGAAAGAGTACAAAGAGAGGAATTTTACAGCTGGGCTTCCAGGGGTGACATCACATATCAGTAGGCCCGTGATGCCCACCTGAGCCTCAAACCAGCAAGTTTTTTAGTAAGGGCTTCAGAAGGGGAGCTGGTGTAAGAACAGGGAGTAGATCACATCCTTTAAAGGGCAAAAAGGAGAACTACTGATAAGGGTCCAACAAAGATCACAAGGCAGAGGGCAAAAACAGAACTACTGATAAGGGTCTATGTTAAGCGGTGCACGTATTGTCTTGATAAACATCTTAAAAAACAGAAAACAGGGTTCCAGAGCAGAGAACCAGTCTGACCACAAATTTAGCAGAGTTTTTCCCCACCCTAATAAGCCTGAGGGTACTGCAGGAGACCAGGGCGTATCTCAGTCCTTATCTCAACCGCATAAGAGAGACACTCCCAGAGCAGCCGTTTGTAGACCTCCCCCCAGGAATGCATTCCTTTCCCAGGGTATTAATATTAATATTCTTTGCTAGGAAAAGAATTTAGCAATATCTTCCCTACTTGCACGTCCATTTATAGGCTCTCTGCTAGAAGAAAAATATAGGTCTTTTTGCCCGACCCCGCAGGCAGTCAGACCTTATGGTTGCCTTCCCTTGTTCCCTAAAAATCGCTGTTATTCTGTTCTTTTTCAAGGTGCACTGATTTCATATTGTTCAAACACACGTTTTACATCAATTTGTACAGTTAACACAATTATCACAGTGGTCCTGAGGTGACGTACATCCTCAGCTTAGGAAGATAACAGGGAAGAGATTAAAGTAAAGACAGGCATAAGAAATTATAAAAGTATTATTTGGGAACAGAAAAATGTCCATGAAATCTTCACAATTTATGTTCCACTGCTGCGGCTCCAGCCAGTCCCTCCATTCAGGGTCCCTGACTTCCAACATATGTTTCCTATAGAGATTATTTCATCACCCAGGTAATAAGCATAGTACCCAATAGGCAGCTTTTCAATTCTCACCCTCCTCCCACTCTCTACCCTCAAGTAGGCTCTGGGGTCTATTGTTCCCTTCTTTGTGTTCCTGTGTACCCAAGGTTTAGTTTCCATTTGTAAGTAAGAACATGCAGTCTTTGGTTTTCTTTTCCTGCAATAATTCTCTTAGGATCATGGCCTCTACCTTCATCCATGTTGTTGCAAAGGATATGATCTCATTCTTTTTTATGGCTGTGTAGTATTCCATGCTATGTATGCACCACATTTTCTTTATCCAGTCCACCCTTAATGAGCATTTCAGTTGATTCCGTGTCTTTGTTACTGTGAATAGTGCTGCAATGAACACACATGTGCATTATGTTTTAATAGCAGAATGATTTCTATTTCTTTGGGTATGTACTCAGTAATGGAACTGCAGAATGGCAGTTCTAAGTTCTTTGAGAAAATCTCTAAACTGCATCCCATGGTGGCTGCACTAATTTGCATCCCTGCCAGCAGTGTAAAAGTATTCCCTTTTCTCCACAACCTTACCACCACCTGTTGTTTTTTGACTTTTTAATAATAGTCATTCTGACTGGTGTGAGATGCTATCTCATTGTGGTTTTGATTTGCAGTTCTCTAATGATGAGTGATATTGAGCATTTTTTTTCATATGCTTTTTGGTCATGTGTATGTGTTCTTTTGAGAAGAATCTGTTCATGTCCTTTGCCCATTTTTTAATGGGGTTCCTTGTTTTTTTTTTTCTTGTTGATTTATGATTTATTTAAGGTCCTTATAGATTCTGGATACTGGGCCTTCATTTGATGCAGTTTGCCAATATCTTCTCCCATTCTGTAGATTGTCTGTTTGCTCTAGTGATAGTTTCTTTTACTGTGCAGAAGCTCTTTAGTTTAATTAGGTCCCACTTGTCTAGTTTTGGTTTTGTTGCAATTGCTTTTGGGTTCTTAACCGAATATTCTTTGGCAAGGTTAATGTCGAAAAGAGTATTTCCTATGTTGTTTTTCAGGATTTTTATAGTTTGAGGTCTTACATTTAAATTTTTAATCCGTTTTGAGTTAATGTTTTGTATATGGTAAAAGGTAGGGATCCAGCTTCATTTTTCTGAATAGGCCTAGCCAGTTAGCCCAGCATCATTTACTTAACGAGGAGTCCTTTCCCTATTGCTTGTTTTAGTCACCCTTGTTAAAGATGAGATGGTTTTAGCTGTGCAGCTTATTTCTGAGTTTTCTGTTCTCCTCCATTGGTGTATGTGTCTGTTTTTGTACCAATATTACGCTATTTGGTTACTGTGACTTTATAGTGTAGTCTGAAGTCAGGTAGTGTGCTGTCTCCTACCTTGTCCTTTTTGCTTAGCATTGTTTTAACTATTCAGGTTTGTTTTTGTTCCATATGAATTTTAGAATAGCTTTCTTTTTCTAAGTCTGTGAAGAATGACATTGGTAGCTTGATAAGAGTAGCACTAAATCTATAATTTGCTTTGGGCAGTATGGCCATTTTTAATAATATTGATTCTTCCAATCCATTAGCATGAAATGTTTTTTCCATTTATTTGTACCATCCCTGATTTATTTCAAAGTGTTTTGTAGTTCTCCTTGTAGAGAACTTAAACTTCCGTGGTTGGCTGTATTCCTAGGCATATTACATTTTTGTGTGGCTATTGTGAATAGGATTGCATTCTTGATTTGGCTCTCAGCTTGGATGTTGTTGGTGAATAGAAATGATACATATTTGTGTATGTAATTTTTATATCTTGTAACTTTGCTGAAGTTGGTTATCAGATCTAGAAGTCTTTGGGCAAAGGTTATGGGGTTGAATCATATTGTCTACAAAGAGAGATAGTTTGACTTCCTCTCTTCCTATTTGGATGCCTTTCATTTCCTTCTCTTGCCTGATTACTCTGGATAGGACCTTCAGTACTATTTAGAATAGGATTGGTGAGAGTGATCATCCTTCTCTTGTTTCAGTTCTCAAGAGAAATGCTCCAGTTTTTGTTCATTCAATATAACATTGGCTGTGGTGGGCTTTGTTATAGATGGCTCTCATTATTTAGTTATGCTCCTTTAATGCCTAGTTGAAGGTTTTTAACATAAAGTGATGCTGAATTTTATCAAAAGCCTTTGCTGCATCTATTGAGATGATTGTGTGGTTACTGTTTATAGTTCTGTTTATGTGATGAATCACATTTTTTGATTTGTGTAAACCCTGCTTGACCATGGTGGATTAGGTTTTTGGTGTGCTACCGGATTGTTTGAAAGTATTTGTTGAGAATTTTTGTACTTATGATTACCAAAGATACTGAGCTGCAGTTTCCTTTTTTTAGTTGTGTCTCTGCCAGGTTTTGATTTCAGAATGATTCTAGCCTCATAGAATAAGGGAGGGAGGCATCCCCCCTCCTCAACTTTTTGGAATATTTTCAGTAGAATTGGTACCAGCTCTTCTTTATAGGTCTGGTAGAATTCAGCTGTGAATCCATCAGGTCCGAGGCATTTTCTGGTTTGAAAGCTTCCTATTACTGATGAATTTTGGAACATTTGTTGGTCTGTTCAGGGTTTCCATTTCTTCCAGGTTCAATCTTAGGAGGTTGTATGTTTCCAGAAGTTTATCAATTTCTTCTCAATTTTCCAGTTTGTGTACACAGAGGTGTTCATAGTATCTCTGAGTATTTTTTGTATTTCTGTAGGATCAGTGGTAATGCCCGCTTTGTCATTTCTAATTGTGTTTATTTGGTTGTTTTCTCTCTTTCTCTCTCTTTCATTAGTATAGCTAGTGATCTGCCAATTTCATTTAATCTTTTAAGGAACCAACTCCTGGATTCATTCTTTTGATCTTTTGTATGTTTTTTTTTTTTTTGCATCTCAGTTTCCCTAAGTTCAGCTCTGACTTTAGTTATTTCTTGTCTTCTGCTAGTTTTGGGGTTGGTTTGTTCTTGTTTCTCTAGTTTCTCTAAGTGGGGTATTGGGTTGTTAGTTGGAGCTCTTTCTAACTTTATGATGTGTGTGTCCAGTGCTATAAAATTTCCTCTTAACACTGCTTTAGCTGTGTCCCAGAGATTCTGGTATGTTGTGTCTTTTTTTTCAATAGTTTCAAGGAATTTCTTGATTTCTGCTTAATTTCATTGTTTACCCAAAAGTTATAATTCAGGAACAGGTTGTTTAATTTCCATGTAACGTCATGGTTTTGAGAGATCTTCTCAGTATTGATTTCTATTTTTATTGTGCTGTTGTCTGAGAGTGTGGTTAGTATGACTTGGTGTTTTTTAAATTTGTTGAGTATGGTTTTATGGCAGATCATGTGGTTGATTTTAGAGTATGTGGCATGTGCAAATAAGAATAATATATATTCTGTTTTTGTTGAGGGTAGTGTTCTATAGATATCTATTAGGTCAATTTGACCAGGTGTCAAGTTCATGTCCTACACATCCTTGTTCATTTCGTGCCTCAATAATCTAATACTGCCAGTCAGGTATTTAAGTCTCCTCCTATTTTGTGTGGTTATCTAAGTCTCCTCATAGGTCTTTAGGAACCTGTTTTAAAAATCTGGGTGTTCTGTTATTGGGTGCATATGTATGTAGAATAGTTAATTGAATTGAACTCTTTATGATTACATAATGTCCTTTTTCTATCATTGATGGTTTAAAATTTATTTTTTCTGAAATTAGAATACTAACCCCTCCTCTTTTATGTTTTCCATTTGCTTGGTAGATTTTTCCTCATCCCTTAACTTTTAGTCTCTGAATGTCATTGTATGTGAGATGGGTCTCTTGAAGACATCATACTTTTTGCTTTTTTTTAATCCAACTTAGCATTCTATGTCTTGTAAGTGGGGACATTTAACTTGTTTATGTTCAAGGCTAATATTGATATGTGTGGATTTTATCCTGTCATTATGTTTTTAGCTGGTTGTTAAGCTTGATTGATTGTGTAGTTGCTTTCTAATGTCAATGTTGTATGTGCTTAAGTGCATTTTGTGGTGGCTAGTAATGGCCTTTTGTTTCTACTTTTAGCACTCCCTTAAGGACGTTTTGTAAGGCAAATCTAGTGGCAATGAATTCCGTTCACATTTGCTTATCTGAAAAAGATGTTATTTATCCTTCACTTAGGAAGCTTAGTTTGGCCGAATATAAAATTCTTGGTTGGAATTTATTTTCTTTAAGAATGCTGAATATAGATCCCCTGGTCTCCTCTGGCTTGTAGGGTTTCTGCTTAAATATCTACTGTTAGCCTGATCGGGTTACCTTTGTAGGTGACCTGCCCCTTCTCTCTAGCTTCCTTTAACAATTTTTTCTTTCACGTTGACCTTGTAGAATCAAATGACTATATATCTTGAGGGTGGTTGTCTTGTCTGTTACCTAATAGTGATTCTCTGAATTTTCTGAAATTGAATGTCAACCTCTCTACAAGGCTGGGGAGATTTTCATGGATAGTATTATAAAATACGTTTTCCAAGTTGCTTTCTCTCTTTCCCTCTCTTTCAGTGATGCCAATGTGTCATAGGTTTGGTCTCTTCACATAATCCCGCATTTCCTGGAGGTTTTATTCATTCCTTCTTATTTTCATTTTAAATCTTTGTCTGAGTTGATTTGAATAATTGATCTTTGGGGTCCAGGATTATTTTCTCAGCTTGGTCTATTCTGCTGCTAATACTTCCAGTTGTATTATGAAATCCTTATGGTAAGTTTTTAGCTCTATCAAATCAGTTTTGCTTTTTCTTAGAATGGCTGTTTTATCTTTCAGCTCTTGTATCATTTTGTTGAATTCCTTAGATTCTTAAGATTGGGGTGTCAACTTTCTTCTGAATCTCAATAATCTTTTATTCCTATTCATATTTTGAATTCTATGTCTGTCATTTCAGCCATTCAACCTAGAAGGCTGAAAAAACCATAGCTGAAAAACTAGTGCAGTTGTTTGGATACAACAAGACACTCTGGCTTTCTGAGTTGCCAGAGTTCTTGTGCTGACTCTGTCTCATATGTGTGGACTGATATTCCTTTCATATTTGAAGTTGTTGTCCTTTGGATGTGTTTTTTTTTTAATTTTATGTTATTTGATGCCCTTGGAGTTTGACTGTGGTGTAAGATGGCTTCATTCAAAAAGCTTCATCTGGAAGATTTCATGGGGGTGGAGTATGGCTCAGCTCAACACTCAGGCTGTTCACTCTAACCCTTGGGGGCTGGTGTCAAGCCCATGGCTTTGTTCTCTGGACCCTCAAGATTAAGCACCTGCTGCACTGGAGGGTCCGAGATATTACCAGTGCACTGGCATCAACATTCTGATGGGGGGTACCAGCTAAAGCACTGTATTGAGGCAGTGGCAGTGGGGTTCACACTTGCATGTTCATGGCAATAGATGCATGGTGGGGTTTGCATGTGTTGGTAGGGATGTGGCACCAGTGGGGATGGTACAGCGGTGCCTGTGTACATGTGCATGTGCCATGGCAGTTTTTTATAGAAGTAATTATCTACCCGTGGAATGAGTAGAAAGTCATTCCACGGGTAGTAGGTATTGTGAAAGATAATGGGATTTTGCATCGTTATTCTGTTTAACTTTAAACATTCCACTCCCTTAAATAAGCTTGCATTTCAAAGCCTAGCTATTTCTTTTGTTAAATTTTGCCATGCTTGTGGTGGATTAAAATGAGCTTTCCAACTGATGGAAGAATTAAGTCAATGAGAGCCATGGTTAATGCCATTAAGAGGCTAGAGATGTAGAAACTGAAGTCTAGCTGAAAGAAAGCCAGTAGCTAATAGGTCAAGGTTGCAATGTACATAACCCTTCATTCATTTGGATCAACTACAATATGAACAGCATGTCCTGGGACACTTGACTAAAGTGGCCCTGCAAGGGGTAGGCTTAGTGTTCACAGTTAAGGCAAGAGCTTGGCACAAGGGCTATTCCTTAGCTGAATGGCCTCAAGAAAATCTAATTGAATGTATTATTGGCTTGATTACAGTCACTCAGAAAATGGCTTATTCCACAATAACCCATAATTACACCTCATTCACTCTGAGACAGAAACTTCTTTTATTCCTTACTCCTGACCTTTTTAGATACTAATAAAATGTGTCATACTTGATAAATGAGAGAGGGCTATTTACTTGTCCTAATGGAAGAAACTTTAGATATCCAAACTACTAACTTGACATATGCATATGCACAGATTCAGGGGCAGATTTTAGTATTTCTATTTTATAGCTCCATTGTAAAGAAGCCAAAGTGAACATTATGTAAATAGGCATCCTCATGGGATATTCTGCTTTAAAAGGTCATGGTTTGGCAGGAAAAATGAGTATATATATATGCTTTTTGCGTCTAAAAGACTTAGAAGCAAAACAGGGTTTTATAACTAAGAAATGGAACTGAATGTCTCCTATATAATATACAAATATTTACTTGACTTACATTGAAATAAGTAACTCAATCAGCTTCTATTTTTTCTATGCACCAGGAAATTTTTCCTTTTGAATGTCATTTATTGTTCATAATACTGAGAATATGCTGGTGTCATGAGTAACTAGCTTCATAACACTGTAGGTATCGTGTATATGGTATAAGGTATCTGCTATAATATCTCCATTTCTGTTGTTGACTTTAAGGCCTAAGTTAAAAATAATAGTTTCTTTCTTTCATTATTATTCCATATTTACCTTCTTATTCACCTCTATTAGACTCAGTCAGCTGAGAGTTTTTAATTGGTGAAGGGATCCCAAATATAATGCTCACAAGATCCAAATTACCTTATCTTTATTGGGTTCTCATAGTTTCCCACTGACTTATGTTATTGGACAGGGGATACTAAAAGACGCCTCAGTTAATTCTCAAATTCTGCATGTAGACTTCTTATTAGGTTCCTGTTGCTGCTATAACAAATTATCACAAACTTGGTTGACAGTAAGTCCAAACAACACACATTTATTATATTATAATTCTGGATATCAGAGCTCTAAAATGGACTCACAGGTCTGTGCTCCTCCTGAAAGCTCCAGGAGATCATGTTTTCTTGTCCTTTCCAGCTTCCAAAAATCACCCACACCCTTTGGCTGATAATCGCTTATTTCCCCTTCAAAGCCAACAGTGTAGCATCCTCAAATCTCTTTCCCTTTGCCCCTCTGTTTCTGCCTTCTGTCTGCCAAAAGATCTTTGTGGTTACACCACTGGCCCCACCTAGATATTCCAAGAAAATCTCCCCATCTCAGTATCCTTAATTTACTCAAATCTGCAAAGTTGATTTTGCCATATAAGGTAACATTTTCACACATTCCACAGATGAAGGTGTGGACATCTTTTAAGGACTATTATTCAAGCTACCACAACCTTTATTTTTCCTCATTATGTAGCAGCAATCCAAGATTTTCTTGGTAATCTCAATCAACCATCCCAAACAACAGAGCAAACTCGTTTTCTCCTTGTTGAGTCATTAGTATGGGTAGTATCAAACTCATTATGTTGGTCAAAATAGTTTTAACTCCTAGTCTGATGGAACCATGACTGTTGCCTTGGGCACTACAATCTGCAAATCTGTTAAGTCCAAAGCTATAGTCAAAAGAAGCAATATTTCCACAAGTAGATTATTAAGTGTAACAGAGAAAGAGATCTCTTTCTCTTATATCCTTTAGTTTCTAGGTTCATATTTTGTCAGTGGGGAAAGCAACACTATATATTGCCTCTGCTTTAAGAAATAAATTGTGTCCTATAGAACAATAACCCATAAGGTGTCATACTCAGATGGAGTTCTGCTTGGGTCAACTGGAAGCCATTTTATTGTGAATAGGCTTTTGATAATATAAAGGAATTCTAGGGGTGGGAGCTTATTGGTACATATCTTTTTTTTTTCTTAAAACTAGTTGTTTGTCTAGGGGTGATATCATGTAGACAATATGTTAACAAAAAGTCCAGTGGTGTGCTGTACTGATGACACTAGCTAATGAGAAACAATTGTTAAAATTTTAAGCATTTTGCTAATTGGTTACTAAACACAGCTATTATTAAATTTAAAGTTTAAAGTTGACAATAGGAAAATGATAAAACTTTACTGAGCTTGTTATCACTTCTGTTAAAAGGTTTAGTTTCCTAAGTCCATCCTTATACCTTGATAATTAGATTTGTAGCCATCTGTTTAGTTAATTTCTCTGATCAAAAAGGGTAACAAAACTTCTTTTATCATCCTAAGAGAGGTATGTAATTGTAGTGCAGAATCGGCCTGTAGGTTAAGCTCCCAAGGTGGTAGGAATACTGAGATGCTATGTCTCTAGGTATGAAGCCAAGACTTTGGAGAAATCTTTAGGTCATTGCTATACGTTACACGTTTGTTCCCTCCAAAACTTACATTTCATTGCCAATGTAACAGTATTGGGAGGTGGGGCCTCTAAGAGGTAGTCAGGCCATGAGGGCTCCACCCTTGTTGATGGGTTTAATGCCTTTTTTAAAAGGGCTTTTGGGAATAGTTTCTCTCCCTTTGCTCTTCTGCTTTTCTGTCATGTAGGGAAAAGTGTTTTTCCTCAGCATTCAGGGCATCTTGGAAATGGAGACTGGACATTCTGCAGGCACCAAGCTTGCCAGCGCCTTGATTGTGGACTTCTCAGCTTGCAAAACTATTAGAAATACATTTATGTTCTTTATAAACTACCCAGTCTCTGATATTTGGTTATAGCAACACAAAATGGACTAAGCCAGTCACAGGAGACAGTCACCTGAGATTTATCTGACGCTTGGAAAGATGTATTTGCATTCCAAAATGTTAGAAGAATGGCATTACTGTCTGTCTCCTCTTTGTCTGTCACCTATGGAGCAACTAGATACTTGAGTAGGACATTTGACCTGGCTTCCATCATTTCACTCCAGGAGTAAAATCTGGGGCAACGGTAGGGGGAGGATATCCAATTAGCTTTAGCTTTATTTACTATATCATAATTGATAAGATATTTGTCTTTGATCTAGGACATCTGGTGTGTAAGCAGTCAAAATAAAATTAATAATGTTGAATATCAAAAATTAAACACATACAGTAAAGTAAAATATATTAAAAAGAAAGACAATACTCAAATCTCATCACTTCCTAATTGTTTTACTAAATTTACTATTTCCTATGGTCTTGAATTTATGTTCACCTATTATATCTGTATGGTGAAAATACTATAACAGTGTGCCACAATGTGTATGTTTTCTCAAGTCCAAGTGTAGTGGATGACATACTGGCCATAATAAGAGTAAAGTATGGAAATTGACAAACAGTAAAAATCATAACTATTTTTTGTTTGTCGGTTGTCTAAAATTGATGTAGAAAATGTTGATAATTCTGATTAAACTCAAAAGAATATTATGTCTGCAGCTATTACATTGTGAATAGAGGGGAGAACAAAATAAAATATTCCTCCCAAATTCAAACTCTGTTTTTTAAATTTAAGAAAGTAATCACTTACAACAGAACATATATTTTTGTTACTTCACTTTCATCTTATCAATGTAAAATACCAACCAACATTAATGTCTGAACGACATTCATTGGTTAGTTGCAATCATAGATGGGTTATGGATAAAAGAGCTTAGCATAAATTAGCAAACTCATTTTATATGAAACAATTGGTTCTGTAAAATTTACCATAAAGAGTTTCATACATTATATTACTGTTTGTAAAATTTGTTCTATACATTCTTTCTATCAATATTACGTATAATAAGTATGTGTATGAACATATAAACAAACTTTTATTGGCAAACTGGTTGTTAAGTATTTACCAGGATAACACTGATAAGAAAGCATTCTCAAAGCTCACTAACAACAATAATGGAAGAAAAGTTGTGAACATGAAGGCAAACCCATATGCAAAATACCAGTGTATTTCAGTGTCTTCTTCTTGATGAAGAAGTTTAATTAAGTCAATCTGGACCCTCAGGAAACTGGGCTGCATGGGGATCTCAGTGTTGGACTCTGCTATTGTCAGGAAGTTCAGCATAGCAGTAACTGGTGAGAGGTAGTTCATATGGTTGAGTTCATGCACAAATTCTATCCCTGCCACCTAAGTAGTCCATCTGACTGAATTAGGACTACGGAAAACTAGATCAGCTCTTTAAAAGGTAGCCTATCTTCTCAGGGGGGTTAAAAAAATATTCAAAACCAAGGAATCATATACCTAGCAACATTAACCAACACTGTAATTAAGACATTAATCCAGGGATTTTCTTGCATATTTCACACTGAGTAGGATTAGACATTATAAGAAAAATGAATACAATTAAAAAGATTTCAGTGGGAAATTGACTGTCATTATCTTAGCTTATCATCTTATATAAAGAACTGAAATGATAATTTGCTGAGTGACTGTTGAAAATGTGTGGAAATGTTTTAAGAAAAGAATTATTTTTATCTGGAATGACGATTTTCTGAGCTGATATGAAGATGCACAATGCACTGATGAACTCCCTCAATGCCTCTATTTATGGACCTGCAAATTGTTCAGGTTTGTCAGAATTATATTTTAATTTTAAATTTTCTGTTAATGCTGTGGCTGTTGAGGAGGAATGCCAAGCATAGTAATAAAGATTATCTTTATTTCATAAAAGTTGTTTTAAAATCCATTAACATCTAATGTTCTTCAAGAAGAAGCATCTCAAATAAACTTAAATTGTAGAAACTAGTTGCTAATCAGAATTTAGCTCTTAATACTAACAGAATATAATCTCCCCCTTTTTACATTTTGTTTACACAACCCTTTTCTGTGGTATTCAGTTTCTCTTAGGAATTCCTGATCATCTAAAACCTCCAGTTTCTCTCATACATATTTGCATGTCAAACATACAAATAAGTGATTGATGGAAATCGGTACTTATGAATCCTTTCCAAATATTATTTTGGGAATTATTAGTTTGAACTATAAAAAGTTGTGACGTTGTAGATCAAATGCAGTCTAATATTGACAATTTCTTATAGTTCAATTCAGTAGTCCATGTTCACGTTAGCATAAGAATTAGGTTGTGTAATTATTAAGAAGCAATTGCTTTTATACATATAAAATACAGTGGTGAGCTAAATTAATGCTCCCTATAATTTAAGTATCAGACTGAGGTGAAAAGTGACAATGGGGAGGTCTTGGACTTGGATTAGGTTCAAGAAACACATAAATTTTATTATTATATCCAATGAGGTATAATCTCACTCACATTAAACAAACTTGATTAGTTAAAAAAGCACTAACAAGTCACTAAAGATGGTGCAGCTTAGTACAAATTACTTGGGATATGTGCTGAAATGTTGAAATGGTTCCTTTCTTCAAGAAACAGAAATAAATTATTGAATGCCTCTTAATTAGACACTGTGCTAGACACTTTGTACAAAGATTTTCATTTAAATGTCAATAATCCCATGATATCTTGTTCTAACTCAGAAAAGAAAAATGAAGCAAAATAAATTGCCTAAAATGGCACCGCTTTTTAAGTAGCAGACTTGAGATTTGAATCCACATCCCACTGAGTTCAGAGCCCCTGTTCCTTTTGTCATTTGCAGAAGGAATTCAAATAAAATCACTAACAATAAAATATAATCACTTAGAGAAATCCAGCAAACAGTGATATAGAGAAAAAAAAAACCCACAAACTTATTTAAGAGAATTCTTAGCAAAGCAGAGAAAATGGATTGTATCACTGAAAGTTTGTCAGAACAGAGAGAATATTTGCCTGGATGCTGTAAGCATGTTTCCCCCAATAATCAGAAGCTTACAATTTGCCCAACTGTAAGATTACTATAAATGAGAGCTTAATGACCTGCGAAATATCATTTGAAAATGAAAGTTAGCTGTAAGTTGAAAAGCAAAAGCAGGAAGTACCTTTATAATCCTCCTCCTGTATTCATTTGGAATGCAATCAGCTCAAATACTCAAGTGGCATCTTCACAAATTTCTCACACACGTGAATGTAGTCTTTGAAAGGCAAGCTTCATCTTGAGAATTACTGTTGCAGCTTGACTTACAATCTTCCCAAGAGGACACAAAAGAAAATCAAAATACTGTTAAGAATAACACATTTCTAACTTTATGAAATAATTCCAAAATCTCTGATTGCTCAGTAACATAATTATTCGTACAGTGGTATTAAACAAAATTGATTTAATAAAAATAAAACACTAATAGAAATTAAAATATCTTCTGCAGATATACACTAGGACAACTATATTTACATGTAATATTTACATTTTCTAATAAAATAAGCTTAAGAAAATAATTTCATCTTCTAAATAAAATTACAACTGTATGACTAAAGTTATAATTTGCAGCTTTTTAATTGTAGAATCCTATACAAGTACAATCAATATAAAAATGTACTTATGATTATATTGATTATGTCAGTTCAGCTACTATTAACATGGCAAATATATGAAGAGGTGAATCTTATAAATTATTTTTTATTCAGAAGATAAAAAAGTAAGTAAATATCAGAAGCCATAAATCAGAGTTACATGTTTGACCCTGCCTCTTTCAGCTATTTCTTCTTTTTTTTTTTTTATTATACTTTAAGTTTTAGGGTATATGTGCACAACGTGCAGGTTAGTTACATATGTATACATGTGCCATGTTGGTGTGCTGCACCCAGTAACTCGTCATTTAACATTAGGTATATCTCCAAATGCTATCCCTGCCCCCTCCCCCCACCCTATAACAGGCCCCAGTGTGTAATGTTGCCCTTCCTGTGTCCATGTGTTCTCACTGTTCAGTTCCCACCTATGAGTGAGAACATGTAGCGTTTGGTTTTCTGTCCTTGCAATAGTTTGCTGAGAATGATGGTTTCCAGTTTCATCCATGTCCCTACAAAGGACATGAACTCATCATTTTTTATGGCTGCATAGTATTCCATGGTGTATATGTGCCACATTTTCTTAATCCAGTCTATCATTGTTGGACATTTGGGTTGGTTCCAAGTCTTTGCTATTGTGAATAGTGCCGCAATAAACATACGTGTGCGTGTGTCTTTATAGCAGCATGATTTATAATCCTTTGGGTATATACCCAGTAATGGGATGGCCGGGTCAAATGGTATTTCTAGTTCTAGATCCCTGAGGAATCGCCACACTGACTTCCACAATGGTTGAACCTGTTTATGGTCCCACCAACAGTGTAAAAGTGTTCCTATTTCTCCACATCCTCTCCAGCACCTGTTGTTTCCTGACTTTTTAATGATCACTATTCTAACTGGTGTGAGCTATTTCAAGCTGTCAAAATATTCTCCATAATTTGGAAACACTGTGAATCTTTGCAAACTCTTTGTATTCTGAAGTGAATGTCTGTACTTCATATATACAAACCTCAAATATACAAACCTTAATCTGCGGTTCTCAACATTTTACTCATTCACCAAGGTTCAAACCATGAAAACTTTCAGCCAGAAGTAATAACCCAATTATCAAATACCAATATGCCTCTTTATTATGGTCCTTATCACCTTTTTCCTTCTATAACTATTTGTGAAAAAGTCTTTTATTATTTCACATTTGTTAAATCTTTGAATCTAGGAATATTTCCTCTTGCATATTTATGCTTACACATAGAAAATATACATTTTCTATAAATGAATGTTTTAATACATTATATGCTTTAAATATGTTGTTTTAATTGGCATACCACCCTGAACCTTATTTGCAATAATGAGTTCAAGTTGAGCTATTTATCTGTATTTTTCATTAAAATTATTCTTTATAAAAACAGTTATATTGCTTTTTAGTAATATGAAGAGTCCAGCTTCCCTCACCCTAGGAGTGATGGTAAAATGAAAGTGAGTGTCACTTTTTACTTAATACATAGGAAATTACACCTCAATAGGCAGTATAGCACTCTGCACTTGACAATACTCAAATAAAAGTATGTAAAAAGTATTATCAGTAGTAAATAGCACCAACACACATTAGGTCTGCAGTACCAATGGACCCAGATAGATTGATGATGCATATGACCTGAGCATTCCCCAAACTATCCACTATCATAAGATACCCCTGTTCCTAGGCAACAACATTTCTCATATTTGTCCCTAACATGTGGTTCTCTGCATTACTGATGAACCTGAAATGTTATATGCATATTAGTCATTTCCATTTCCCCTTTGATTGACTAAAATAAAGACATTCTCAGATATGCCAGTATTACTAAAAACTGAACTTAATGCATACTTTCTTAGTATGATATTGGGGGACTCATTAACCAAAAACCGAATGAATGAATCAATGAAAACAGAAATACAGGGGACCCAAGGATCATGGGATCTTACTCAAGAGAATAGAAAAGGAGGTGCTCAGCATGTTGCTAAAGGTAAGGACCAGGCCTATAAATGGGCAGCAGAGTTAGCAATCAATCCAAACAAGGAGACCAAGGGTGCAAGGCAGGTCTCTCCCAAATACACAGGTGGATATATGCCCTGAGGTACTTTAGCATTAAAGGAAATTTTGCCTACTCCTGGGGGTAAATTAATGATAGATTCATAGAAAAAAAGCTAATGAATAAATGAGGTATACATTTACTTCAATTGGTTAAAAAAAAAAGCTATGCTCTGATTACAAATATAATCCATGCAGCTCAAAATTAGATAGGCTACACAGTCACAATAATCAATCAAGACTAAAGTTGAATTAGTAAGTCACCATAGGGTCTGATGAAAAATAAAGAACAAAAAAAACAATAAAAATTTTTATTTGTACCATAGTGTGAAATTGTGGCTATATATATGTGTTTGTTTTTGTTTGCATTTATTATTTGTTACTTTTTATTTTTGTTTTTACTTTATTAATATCTTAAATTTTAAGTGTATGATACAGTATTGTTAACTATGATCAAGAATGTGGTGTGCTTGTTTATAATGTGTGTGAACAAATGGTTAGGTATATGGAGGAAGACAAGAAAACAAACACTCCTCTTGCATTGTAAAAAGACAATAAAACCTAATCTACAAAAAAGCTATGGAATAAATATATTATTTATTTATACTTTCATAAATTTGGAAGTAAATGTCAGAAGAAACAACTAAAGATTTGAAGGTGACTGCCTTTGAGCATAGGGAAGGTAGGCTGCTATTTTAGTTTAGTATTTTGGGATTATTTCTAAAATGTTGTAAGCACCTGTGCAGTGATTCATCTGAGATAATTCTATGAGCCTTGGTATAAAGGTCCAATTCTCCAGAGGAGATTTGCGTTTGTTCAAAGTGTTTGAAACCTAAGACCTCATTAAGTTACTTTCCTAGGTTGGATGTTTTTTGATACCACCTATGTAGAGGGAATTTAAACTCCAGTTTCACACGAGGGCAGCTTATACTCATGAATTCTCAGGAGTGACTTTCATTCTACAAACAAGTGACAAAGCTGTGGCAAATTTGCTAAACATCTCTTTTTACAGAATAGATTATTTTTAGTTTCTTTGACACTGAGATTGCAGACCTTCAGAGGTCTTTCAGTGGGGTTATTATTCTGTTTTTCTCTCTTGCACAAACACTAGATTTTAGTTGTTTTCATTGTTGCAACCATTAAAACTCCAGTTTTTTAAGGCAGATGCCCTTAGGGCAGCTACAGATTCAACACACTCTTACTAAACTGAACCGATGCTTCTGTCTTATTCTTCTCCTCTGAGGCGTGTGCTTACTTTCTCCACTTAGCTATGTATTTTAAAAAGCTATTTTTAAACATTTTATTAGCATTTAAAGTATTTTTATAACAAATTTATTGATATGATGCACATATTATCTAGTATTTTAATTGGTTTATTACAGGAATATTTGCAGAATATTTAATTTCATTAATTGTTGGAAATAGGAGACTTTAGTGTTGGATTATTTTCTTCTATGTATTTTCTCTCCTCTTCATTTTTTCTAGATTTGTCTGAAATACAACTGCCAACATTGATCCTCTAAATTCCTATCTCTTCCCTATTTTTTTTCTTCTCCTTTTCTTTTTAAACCTATCTCTTGGATTTCTTCAGCTTTTTTCTACACTCTTTCTACTCTTTTTTTTCTGCTCCCATAATTTTGATTCCAAGAATGCTTTCTTGTTTCTGAATGTTCCTTTTTATATCATTCTATTTGTACTTCATATATGCAATATCATCTCTTATATTTCTAAGAATGTTATAACCTCTGGAAGTTTTAAAAAATTTTAGCTTGCTTTGTTTGCTATCTTTCTTTGATATAAGAGGCTGTTTGAAAGATCTATGGGTATATGGTTATTCATTCACGTTTAAGTGTGAAAACCTTGAGTGAAAGAATGTGGTTTTGCTAACTTGGAAGTGGTAGTGTTAGTGCTTTAGAAAAGTATGGCAGAGCAATGTGTCTTGCCATTTTCTATTAAAAATAAGTAATTCCATTACCTGAATATTAAACTGTTTAGTTTCTCCATAGAGGAATCTTCCACTCTCTTGCCTAAATGCATAGGTCTGGTTGACAGCTTCTAGATGATGAGTAGGAGAAGTGATCCACAGTCTTGTTATATACTATGAATGTAGACATGTACTTAACTTGTCTGCTTTCAATAAGGAGACTCAATCATTGCCCTTTATTGTGACTGACATTTTAAATGAAGAATCTTCTTTTCAATTTCTCCATAGTATAAACCTTTCTTGTATTTTCAGGGTAGGATAATAGTAGTCACTTGGCTATTCAAAATGGAAAAGGCAATCTAAAATTGTCAACATATCATTCTATTTTCAGCCCTACTTTTTCCCAGTGCCCACTACACAGAAGTAACCAGGGCCTAGACTGTTGGATATTGTAGATAGGACAAGCAAATATTCTTCTTGTCAGTTTCCCCCTTTGCCACACACGTGTTTTAGCATTCCTAGCTTAAAGTCAGCGACCACTTTCTCAATTACTGTCATCCTCCAAAATTATGTTAACATGGCTCATCTAGCGGTGTGTTTTCTCCCATTCTCTTTGTTGCTGTGCACTTATACCACTGCTATTCGTTCAATATTATTTTAGTATAATTTTGCAAAAGATTAGAAGGCAAACATTTAATCAATCCACAGTGTTTAACTGGGAGTATACAAACTAATTTTCATTTCTCTAGTGGTCACATGTAGCTATTTAAGACCCATATTTGTGGTGTTTAGGTTTCTGGATTATTTCACTTAGCATGTTCTCATTCATATGTGGAGGATAAAAGAAGTTGATCTCATAGAAGTATAACAGAAAAAGTAAAACAGAAGATACTAGGGTTTGGGAAGGGTAAGGGTAAGGGGGCTAGGAATAGGGTTAGATTTGTTAAAGGATACAAAGTTACAGCTAAATTGGAGGAAAAATTTCCAGTGTTCTATAGCACTGTAGGATGACTATAGTTAAAAATAACTTATTAAATAGTTTCAAATAGGTAGGAGAAGGATATTGTGTTCCCAACACAAATAAATGATACATGTTCAAGATGATGGATATGCTAATTATCCTAATCTGAGCATCATACATTATATGTATCAAAACATCACTATGTACTGCTAAATATGTAAAACTACTGTATGCCAATTACAAAATACCCATATTTATGGTTATTTATCCTTGCCAAATTTTTAAGCTTATTACTATCCGTATTGTCTATGAGACCACAAGAATCCCAACAAACTCCCACCTCCCTCTGGTCCTCTACTATCCTCTTCACCTCCTGCTGCCACCTCCCACACACACGTATTGATATCACTCATGAGTTTTAATTCTGGATCATTACCATTTATGTGGTTGGAGAGTGAATCAGAGGTAGAGAGATGGCAAATCCTTAGCAGAAATTTGCTTTTGCTTAGTTATTAACTCACTCTTCCTTCAATTAGCTAGTGATGTCCTCCTGGATTTATGGCTCTTTTTGAGTATTTCTTTAATGAGTATTCCAAAGAAGAATTTTGTGTGATAAAACAACTAATTTTAAAAAAAAAATAAATGAGTGTCTTTATTTCAGGCTTGCATTTGAATAATATTCCAGAAATATATGTAAAATTGCAAGTTTGAATTTTTTATCAAAATTCTTTCAAATCTTACTTTGTTTTCTTCTTCCATTCTGTTCCCCTCACACTGTTCTTATGACAGTGATGCTGCTGAAAAATCTAAGTCAATGTACAGCTTGTTCCCTCATTATTTTTTTCTTTTATGGGATCTTCATGATAATTTTTGGCTTTGAAGTTTATAAGACATTGAATTTAGATATGAATGTTTTGATGTATTTGAACTAAATTTTTTTTAAATTCTCTCATTGTTTATATATTCCATGAGCTTGGGAAAGTTTAAAATAATGACTTCTTCTAATATTTCTCCTTTTTGTATTTTTATTTTTCCTACTTGTTTGGTTGGTTGACACTTGTATTTCAAATCTCCACTTTTTTTTAACTTTTATTTTGCATTTTTTTACTTGGTGACCTCCTCCTAATGCCCTCTTTCAAGAGTTCCTCAGTCTGATCTTTTAACTCCTGAATTCACTTTTTTGTTGAACTATACTGTTAATGAATTCCTCTGCTGACTTATTTACAACTTTTGTATGCAATACCTCAAGTTGATTATTTTAATGACTTCCTGGTCCTGCTTTGTTTTTCTGTTATCTTTTTTAGTCATTGAGGGCATTTATTATGCATATTTAAAAATCTTACTCTCTGAGATCCATTAATTTTGTGTAATGTCATATAATTTTAAGGAGAGAAAAGTAAGCCTCAGGGCAGTTTCTGGTGTTAACTACAGGCAAACCTCACCCCATTTCTACCCTCTTCTACTAGGTAATATTCTCTCAGGTAACTGCCCTTGATCTCCAATTCTTTGTTCTCTTCCAATAGTTGCTCTTCTGGATTTTAAAAATGTAATCTTTATAATGAGTAGAGAGAAGGAGGGAACACTTCCTCTTGGCCCCTCTGCCAGGTACTAAGTTGCCAAGGTTTACCTACAAAACTGGGAACTGTCACAAGGCTTGCAATGTGGACACAAGCGAAAGAACAAGAGCAAACTCTTCCCCACTAGCCTTTTGCTTTTCCTAGGAATCCAGCTCTCTTCATTCCCTCTTCACACTCTTAGCAGCTACCTTTGGCTTCTACAAATTTATCTCCATTCAATTCTCATGTTAGCTTGCAGGATATGTCAAATTCACCAACATTTCTTTAATATCCTCAGCATTATATTCAGAGAAGTGACTCAGCAAAAGCCTATGCTATTTGGCCATTTGTCTATGATTAAAAATGTAAATTTACATCACAGTCACTCTATATGCCAAATGATTATTTCAGACAAAGAGTGCTATAGAATTAAAAACCTAAAAGAAGTAGGATTAGCATACAATCTACATAATGCCCAATATGTCAAACTCATATCCAAAAGAGCTACAAAATAAATACATAAATAAAGAAACAGACAAACAAATGCAGGATAGGAGACTCCCTAATACTTAAAAATAACTGAGGCCGGGCGCGGTGGCTCACGCCTGTAATCCCAGCACTTTGGGAGGCCGAGGCGGGTGGATCATGAGGTCAGGAGATCGAAACCATCCTGGCTAACAAGGTGAAACCCCGTCTCTACTAAAAATACAAAAAAAAATTAGCCGGGCGCGGTGGCGGGCGCCTGTAGTCCCAGCTACTCGGGAGGCTGAGGCAGGAGAATGGCGTGAACCCGGGAAGCGGAGCTTGCAGTGAGCCGAGATTGCGCCACTGCAGTCCGCAGTCCGGCCTGGGCGACAGAGCGAGACTCCGTCTCAAAAAAAAAAAAAAAAAAAAAAAAAAAAAAAATAACTGAGAGGGCCCCAGCCAACCACATTCCTACCATGGGCTCATAATTCTAGCCACGGGGTAGCCCCTCAACCTTCATGGGCCCTGAGACTAACATAGAGAGCCCCCTTGAAAACACACTAAGGCATTGCTGCAGAGAAGAAGCTGACACTGGGTCCCCAAAATCCTTGAGTCCTTAGTAACAGCACAATGCCCCAGTGGTGGGACAGGAGCTCAGCCCCCACCATTCTGTGTCCTGCCCTGCAACCAGGGCTGAGACAGGAGCCATGGACAGCCATCCCACACGCTAACACCCACTATTGCAGAAGGGCAGCCATGCATTTTTATGCATGCGGAGGACAAATTCCACTCTACACAACCAGTGCAGACTGCCCATCTCCCTCACCCGCCCCTCCAGCTTCCTGCCTACAGCTGATCCCAGGAAAAGCAACTCTGCCCTTCATAGGAGCAGGGCCACAGCACAGCCACTGCCATCTCCACCTGAGCATTCCACCAGGGACCTAGGGCTCACCCTGCTTCTGCATACCAAGGCCAGCCTCTATATACACCACCAGGGGACCTGAGGGCGTAGTCTGGCCTGGTTCTACGCTTCCAATAGTAGCCAAGTACACCATCCACAGGCCTAGGGTTATTTACCTGTGACACCTGAGCATTCCCCCTGGAGTGTAAGATCAGACCCACTAAACCTGCTACTACCATTGCAGCTGGTATTCACCCACGTGCACCATGTGTGCACCTGGGGATAGGTCAGCCCAACCCATTGTAGTCACCACCAACACCAGCATGGACCACTTGGGTTTCAGGAAGCTTTCTCACCACTGCTACTGCCATCACTCACATTATGCCCACTGTCCAGGGGCTCAAGCCCAGCCCACTAATGTCATTCCAGGCACCTGCGCAAGCTACTTGGAAGCTCGGAAATTGGATGACATGGACCTACTAATACCAGGGCCAGCATATGCTGCCATGTGACCCAAGAACAGGTACACTGAGCTCAATGCTGCCACCACTGAGGCCCAAAGGCTGGCCAATCTGGTGACCTAGTTCCAAGAAAAACCTCACCACTGCCTCCTCTAACAACTGCACCCCAAGCCACCAGTTAAGTCACAGACACCACTGACGCTCTTTATAGCCAAAAAAGTAATACAGAGACTACACTATTGTACCAAATATCAAAGCCAAAGTGTCCTATCTAACCAGCATAATAGATGCATCTTCAGGAAAAACTTTTCCCCTATGACAGCAAATTCAAAAAACTGAACAAAGTGACTGTTATGCCAAATGTGCAGATATCAAAGTAAGAACACAGGAAACATGAAAAAGCAAGAAAATATGACATCTCCAAAGGAACACAATGATCCTCCAGCAACAGATCCCAATCAAAAAGAAACCCTGTAAAAAGATTGAAACTTTGATACTAAAGATGCTCAGTGAAATAAAAAGCATTTGGGAAAACAACACAAAAATTCAGAAAAACAATTTGGGATATTAATGAATTTACTAAAGAAATAAATATAAAAAAGAACCACGAAACCGAGAACCACAAAAAGTGCCACCAAAAAGTGAGAATATGCAATATTTGTCTTTTTGTGCCTGGCCTATTTCACTTAACATAATGACCTCTAGTTTTATCCATGTTGTTGCAAAAGAATATTCTTCTTTTTTATGGCTGTGTAGTATTCCATGATGTATATATACCACAATTAATTTATCCACTCATTAGTCAATAGGCACTTAGGCTGGTTCCATATCTTTGGAATTGGGAATTGTACTGCAATAACATACCACGTGAAGGTGTCTTTTTGATGCAATGACTTCTAATCCTTTGGGTGTATCTCAGTATTGAAATTGCTGGATCAAATGACAGATCTACATTCAGTTCTTTAAGAAATCTCCCTACTGCTTTCCACAGTGATTGTACTAATTTACATTCCCATCAGCAATATATAAACATTCCCTTTTCACCACAACCGTGCCACCATCTATTGCTTTTTAATGCCATTCTGGCTGGGGAAAGGTGGTATGTCATTGTGGTTTAAAATTGCATTTCCCTGATGATTAGTGATGTTGAACATTTTTTCTGTTTTTTGGCCATTTCTACTTCTTCTTTTGAGAAATGTCTGTTCATGTCATTTTCCCACATTATGATGGAATTATTTGTTGTTTATTTTATTGCTGGTTTGAGTTTCTTATAGATTCTGGATATTAGTCTTTTGTTGGATGCATAATTTACAAATATATTCTCCCATTTTATGGGTTGTTTGTTTACTCTAATAATTATTACTCTTGCTGTACAGAAGCTTTTTAGTTTAATTAGGCACCATTTATTTATTTTTGGCTTTGTTGCATTTGCTTTTGGGGTCTTGGTTATAAACTATCTGCCTAGGCCAATTGCCAGAAGAGTTTCTCCTAGGTTTTCTTCTAGAATTTTTATGGTTTCAGAACTAAGATTTATGTTTTTGATCCATCTTGAATTGATTTTTGTATAAGGTGAGAGATAGTAATTCAGTTTCATTCTTCTACAAGTGGCTATCCAGTTTTCCCAGAGCCATTTATTAAATAGGGTATTCTTTTTCCAATTTATGTTTTCATATGCTTTGTCAAAAATCAGCTGGTTGTTAGTATTTGGCTTTATTTTTGGATTTTCTATTCTGTTCCATTGGTCTATTTGTCTACATTTATATCAGTACCATGCTGTTTTGGTAACTATAGCCTTGTAGTTTAATTTAAAGTCAGGTAATGTGGCCAGTTGTGGTGGCTCATGCCTGTAATCCCAGCAGTTTGGGAGGCCAAGGTGGGTGAGTTATTTGAGGTCAGAAGTTCCAGACCAGCCTGACCAACATGGTAAAACCCCATCTCTACTAAAAATACAAAAATTAGCCAGACATGGTGGCAAGCGCCTGTAGTCCCAGCTACTCAGGAGGCAGAGACAGGAGAATCGCTCAAACTCAGGAGGCAGAGGTTGCAGTGAGCCAAAATTGCACCACTGCACTCCAGCCTGGGTGAAAGAGAGACTCCGTCTCAAAGAAAAAAATAATTAATTAATTAAAAAATAAAGTCAGGTAATGTGATGCCTCTAGATTTGTTCTTTTTGCTTAGGATTTCCTTGGCTATTTGGGCTCCTTTTTGCTTCCATGTGATTCTTAGTATTATTTTTTCTAATTATGTAAAAAGTTATGTTGGTATTTTGGTAGGAATTACATAGAATCTGTATATTGCTTTGAGCAATACAGTCATTTTCATGCTATTGATTCTTCCACTCCATGAACATGGAATGTGTTTCTATTTGTTTTTGTCATCTATTATTTCTTTCAGTAGTGTTTCATAGTTCTCCTTACAGAGATCTTTCACCTCCTTAGCTAAGAATATTCTTAGATATTTTAATTTTTTGCAGCGATTGTAAAAGGATTTGAGTTATTGATTTTTCAGGTTGGTTGTTAGTGTGTAACAGTGCTACTTATTTGTGTACATTGATTTTGTAACCTGAGATTTACTGAATTTGTTTATCAAATCTAGGAGTCTTTTGGAGGGGTCTTTTGGGTTTTCCAGATGTATGATCATATTATTGGTGAACAGTGATAGTTTGACTTCCTGTTTTCCAATTTGAATGCTCTTTCTTTCTTTCTCTTGCCTGATTGCTCTGGCTAGGTCTTTCAGGACTATGTTGAATATAAACGGTGAAAGTGGTCATCCTTGTCTTTTTTCAGTTTTGAGGGTTCCTTTCGGAGTTGATTTTTAGTTTTATTTCACTGTAGTCTAAGAAGATACTCGATATGATTTTTATTCTAAAAATTTATTGAGACTTGTTTTGTGGCCTATCATATGGTCTATCTTGGATAATGTTCTATATGTTGATGAAAGTAATGTATATTCTGCAGCTCTTGGGTAGAATGTTCTGTAAATATCTGTTAGGTTCATTTGTTCTACAGTGTAGTTTAAGTCCATTGTTTCTTTGTTGATTGTCTCAATTATCTGTCTAGTGCTGTAAGTGGAGTGTTGAAGTCCTCCACTATTACTGTGTGGCTGTCTCATTTCTTAGGTCTAGAAGTAATTGTTTTATGAATCTGAGAGATCCAGAGTTAAGTGCATATAGTTTTAGGAGTGTAATATCTTCTTGTTGGATGTATCCTTTTATCATTCAATAATGACTTTCCTTGTCATTATTATTGCATTAAAATCTGTTTTATCTGATACAAAATAGCTACTCATGCTTGTTGTGGTTTCCATTTGCATGGAATACCTCTTTCCACTCCTTTACCTTGAGTTTATATGAATCCTTATGTGTTAGGTGAGTCTCTTGAAGACAGCAGATAATTGGTTTGTAATGTTTTAATTCATTCTGACAATCTGTATCTTTTAACCATTTAGGGTATTTACATTCAATGTTAATATTGAGAGATGAAGTACTGTTCCAGTTATCATGCTGATTGTTATTTTATTTATTGTGCTATTGTTTTATAGGCCCTGTGAGTTTTATGCTTTACAGAGGTTCTATTCTTGTTTATATCAACTTTTTATTTCAAGATTCAGAAGTCCTTTTAAGCATTTCTTGCAGGGCTGGTCTAGTAGTGACAAATTCCCTCAGCATTTGTTTGTCTGGAAATAACTTTATTTCTCTTTCATTTATGAAACTTAGTTTTGCTAGGTATAAAATCTTTGACTGGCATTTATTCTGTTTAAATAGTCTAAAGATAGGATCCCAATCTCTTCTGGCCTGCAAGGTTTCTGCTGAGAAATCTGCTGTTAGTCTGATAGATTTTCCTTTATTTCCTTCACAGGTTACCTGATACTTTTGTCTCACTGCTCTTATAGTTCTTTCTTTCATATTAACTTTAGATAGCCTGGTGACAAGATACCTTGGTGATATCCTTTTTGTAATGAATCTCCAAAGAGTTCTTTGAGCTTCTTGTATTTGTATATCAAAATCTCTAGCAAGGCCAGGGAAATTGTCCTCAATTATTCTCTCAGATAACTTTTTCAATTTTTTTGCCTTTTCTTCTCCCTCAGGAAACCAATTATTTTTAACTTTGGCCATTTTACATAATGCTATATCTCTTGGAGACTTTGTTCATTTCTTTTGATTCCTTTTTCTTTATTTTTGTCTGACTGGGTTAATTCAAAACCCTTGTCTTTGAGCCCTGAAAGTCTTTCTTCCACCTGGTCTAGTCTATTGTTAAAACTTTGCACTGCATTCTGTAATTGCCTAAATGTGTCCTTCATTTCTAGAAGTTCTGATTGTTTTTTCTTTAAAATATCTATCTTTTTAGAAAAGTTTTCATTCATATCCTGAATTATTTTTTAATTTCTTTATGTTGGTTTTCACCTTTCTCTTGTATCTCCTTGAGTAGCTAAATAATCAACCTTTTGAATATTTTGTATTTCAATGATTTCATCTTGGTTTGGATTCATTGCTGGAGAGACAGTGTGATCTTTTGGGTGTGTTATAGAACCCTGTTTTATCATTTTGCCAGAATTCTTTTTCTGGTTTCTTCTCATTTGGGTAGACTATTTATTCTAATTAGTCTTGAACTTATTTTTTATTTGACTGTGCTATTTTAATTTAAATTTTTAACCCCTTAATGATGTGACTTTAATGTTTATAGTTTATTGTAGCCTAATTTTGTGCTTGGTGCTTTCTGAGGTGAAGACTCTGTATGAGTTCTTTGGTTACAGAGAGTATTTGTATGATGGCTTTCTCACATGCTGGCTGTAATAGCAATGTGCTCAACATGTGAGCAAGTTCACTATCTTCTATGAAGTTGGAGTGACAGAAGTCTCTTAAAGTTTATCTCGTTTCCCTGTGGTGTGCACTTTTTTATATTTATTTTTCCCCAGTATTTTATTTACTGAGTTGAATAGTTCAAGCTTTAGGCCATTAGGGGAGGTGTCTGTGGGTAGAAACAAGTTATGGCTAAAGCAGGAGGGAAAATGCAATACCAATGGTGGGCAGAGGTCCCAGCCTTGACAGAAGGGGCTTGGGGAATTCTCAGTGAATGCACCGAGGTATTATCATGGGAAAGTGTGGGAGCCACCTCAGCTCCCTTGCCCAACCAGCAGGAAAGTGATCCACTTCTTAGTCACACTCCTGAATCAGTATTCCAGCTATTCAGAGCAGATAGGCACCTCTATTATCTGCAGGAATGTTGATGTTCCAAGTAGAAGGGAATTGTGACTCTACCCTTCATGCACGCCCGAACCTGAAAGGCACTCCAGTGGGAATGAAGTCACCCTTAAATGTTACAGAAAGGCTCTCTACAGGTGCACCCATGCCAGCTTCCCATGAAAAAAGCCCCAGCTGTGTCTGCAGTGGTGGATGAGAGGGAAAAGAAGTCTCCTTCTCCAAGACCTTTCAGGACTGCCTGATTATTGAGGAAGAGCTGTAGATTTTCCCACTGAACCCAGCTCTGCACCTATGCCTCTGCTAAAAGCAACTTCCCACCAGCAGAAAGATCTGGGACTCAAGGCCTCCCATCCAAACCCTTTTGTCCCACAGGGTGTTCCCTTGATGTGGTACATTCCTCCTTCCCTTAGGAATAGGAGTCCCTGAGAGCTAGACTACTGATTACTATAAATGCTGCTGCTCATGTGGCTCTAGCTACCCAGTGGGGCTGCTACACTCCAGGCTGGTGCTGGGGAATGTCTCAGTTAGGCAGATTTTTTTCCTCCAAAATGATTATATTAAAATATTTTACATACTCTCACAATGCAAAATCTAGACAGATTAGTATTTACTACCAATTAAAATGAGTATAGTCTAAAACACATCTGAAGAGGAAGTTACCACTTTTACAGTTTCCCTCATAACAGGTAAAGTACATTCAGATTAGTAGATGTTTATTTAGAATGGCCAGAAAATGTCCTGCACTTTAAGCAGAGTCTAAAAATGTACACCATTTAATAAGTAAAAAAAAAAATGTGGGAAGAGATGCAGTCTACAAACAGAAGCATCTGTATGGGTTGAAAGTTTATGGAAACATTCACAGATATCAGTGCCCACGTCAAGGTTTGGGATTTTAAACATTGACAGACAGCCTGAATTACAGATTATGACAAAATCCTAAATTTTGTAACAAATTGTGTCATATCTGTAGGTGATTAGAAATCAGTTGAAATAACATCATAGTTTTTCTTCCTTTATTCAATTTACAATGAAAAAATATTCTATACACACATACTTTAATTGTTCTGGCATTGTCACAATAAAAATACTGTGAGTTTTAATCTGCACAAGTGAATAAGAACATTTTATATTTGGGGAAAAAGAAAGAGAAAATTGTTTTTAAAGGAGTAAAACTGCTTTTGCTGTCATTGAAAGGCTACTGATAGTTTCATTAATGGCACTTAGAAATATCTGTTGTTAGACTCTGTAAATTTTGTTAGCAAAAGAGGTGTTATCTTTTCTCCTCATCTCTGACTTCCCTGTATAAAATAATATTCCATCACTCTTTATCCCCTCTTGCCCTTTATTTTCTTTATTGCATTCATCACCAGCTCCCAAACTGTCTGCTGTCTTCTTTCCTACCCCTACCACTCCTCTGCCAAAAGTATAATCTTTCAGATGATGGAGAGGTGGTCTGCTTTGCTCAACATCAAATCTCAGCACCTTAGAACAGTGTGGTTCCAGTAGGTGCTTAATAAATAGTAAATGAATGAGTAGAAAAATTAGAACTAGAAAATTTAAAGGGCCTTTTAAAAAAAATTAAAGGTGTAGAGACTTGCAATTGAGTAATCCAAGATATAATAATAATGGAATTGAAATCTGCAATTTTTCACTATGACTTTGCACAAACTATTGAGCATCAGTACCACAATTAACTTCCTGTCCATTCATCATCATACTGTGCTATTTATATGGCTGAAATATGTAGTACAAGGCAATATATTTAGGTAACTATTAAGATGATTTTTGTTCCAGAAGGATAGACTGACAGAAATAGTAATATAAGTCAAACTCTGATCTGTATAGTATGAGCATAAATCCAGTAACTGGATTAGTTTACTAAGGTAGAAATGGTGCAGATCAAGGTAAAAAATGATTACATTCTCACGGACCTTACACTTTAAGCAGTGTTAAGAAAAACATGTAAGCTCCTAAAGCCTCTCTGATTTACTTTGAATTATGCGTCTAACTTTGTTTCCACCATTATTTTTCCTCTGGTGGATCATTGTGGGATTAAATCCAACAAGTTCGAGTGATAAGTAATTTTCCCAAAAAGAGCGTAGCCTCATAGCTGCTTGCTTTAAAAGACTTATGTTGACATTTGTGGAGAATTCTCTTAAAAGGGAAATCATAAAGTACAATACAGTTTTTAATAAACAGTGAGCAAAAAAATGCTCCAGACAGTATCAGTTCTGTAAATGTGATGAATATCATACTTATTCTGAACAGGAGGCATCTCACAAGAGCTATCTAGAAACTAAGGCTCCCTTCATTTAGGACTACATCTCTTATCTGAGGTCTCAGAGGGAGTTTTTAGGGCAGATGGAATTAATCAATCAAGGAACCAAAAACTATTAAGCCAGCAAAAGACAAATATAATTATGGTAATTAAAGTGTCAAAAATAAGATTTCTTCAACTCTCTTTCATTCTATTCCACATAGTAGATATTTGAATTGTATCATGGCACAGTTTTTCAGGCTTTCGTGATCAATTCCTTACTCAGTTGGAAGTATAAACCTCAAGAACTACTGTGTCTGGAATTGGTGGGTTCTTGGTCTCACTGACTTTAAGAATGAAGCCGCGAACCCTCGTGGTGAGTGTTACAGTTCTTAAAGGCAGCGTGTCTGGAGTTTGTTCCTTCTAATGTTCAGATGTGTTTGGAGTTTCTTCCTTCTGGTGGGTTCGTGGTCTCGCTGGCTCAGGAATAAAGCTGCAGACCTTCACCGTGAGTGTTACAGCTCTTAAGGCGGCGTGTCTGGAGTTGCTCATTCCTCCCGGTGGCCTCGTGGTCTCTCTCGTTTCAGGAGTGAAGCTGCAGTGAGTGTTACAGCTCATAAAGGCAGTGTGGACCCAAAGAGTGAGCAGTAGCAAGATTTATTGCAAAGAGCGAAAGAACAAAGCTTCCACAGTGTGAAAGAGGAACCAAGCGGGTTGCCACTGCTGGCTGGGGCAGCCTGCTTTTATTCTCTTATCTGGCCCCACCCACATCCTACTGATTGGTAGAGCCGGGTTTTGACAGTGCGCTGATTGGTGTGTTTACAATCCCTGAGCTAGACACAAAGGTTCTCCATGTCCCCACCAGATTAGCTAGATACAGAGTGTCAATTGGTGCATTCACAAACCCTGAGCTAGACACAGGGTGCTGATTGGTGTGTTTACAAATCTTGAGCTAGATACAGAGTGCCAATTGGTGTATTTACAATCCCTGACCTAGAGGTAAAGGTTCTCTACGTCCCCACCAGACTCAGGAGCCCAGCTGGCTTCACCCAGTGGATCCCGCAAGGGGGCTGCAGGTGGAGCTGCCTGCCAGTTCCACGCCCTGCGCCCACACTCCTCAGCCCTTGGGTGGTTGATGGGACTGGGCACCGTGGAGCAGAGGGTGGCGCTCATCGGGGAGGCTCCGGCCGGCCGCACAGGAGCCCATGGAGGGGGTGGCAGGCTCAGGCATGGCGGGCTGCAGGTGCTGAGCCCTGCCCCGTGGACCCGGGTGCTAAGGCCCTCGTTCCCCGGGCCAGCAGGGCGGGCCGGCTGCTTCCAGTGCGGGGCCCGCCAAGCCCATGCCCACCCAGAACTCCAGCTGGCCCGCAAGCGCCGCACGCAGCCCGGGTTCCCACTCACGCCTCTCCCTCCACACCTCCCTGCAAGCTGAAGGAGCTGGCTCCGGCCTTGGCCAGCCCAGAAAAGGGCTCCCACAGTGCAGCGGTGGGCTGAAGGGCTCCTCAAGTGCCGCCAAAGTGGGAGCCCAGGCAGAGGAGCCGAGAGCGAGCGAGGGCTGTGAGGACTGCCAGCACGCTGTCACCTCTCACTACTTTAGTCTCAAAATATACTTATTGACTACCAGGAGCACAAGTTACAGAGTAATTTTCAAATACTTGCTTTTCCAAGAGAGATGAGATCCACATCTTTACAAGGTGATTTTTATGATGCAGCCTTGAATGCCAGGGTTCAGGATACAGTAGGAACGCTCTTTGTGCATATGTTTTACTGATGATGCTATTATATGTATTTGATAATAAATAAGAGATGAATTCCACTGAGTAAGGAACTACTGTCCAGTGGGACACAGGTGTCTACGTTCCTCGTTACTGGCACATGATGCCTTGTGAACTGTTGCTACCATCTGATATTGTTTAATCCCACAGGGTTTCAATACAATTTTTTCAAGGCCAGAATTTAATTAGAAGATAGAAAAATAAGAAGATCAAAGAAGTTAGACCCGACCTTTGTAAACAATGTAGAAGATCCTAATACTATGATGCTATTTATTCACTGGTTATCTACAAGTTGGATAAGATCATGTACCCATCCATAGAAGCTTTGCTGAAATAATTTAATCAGGGCCACTTCTAGTTCTCTGTTTGGCATAGACTTCACAGCCATAAGAGTTTATGGTAAAGATTTAGACTTCTTTTGAGAATATGTCATGATGAATGTTAGCCAATTTGACCTCAAAATCTGTTTACTACTCCTTAAAAGTAAATTAGGAATGCAAGACTTGCTGTCCTTTGAATTTTACTGATCAGTTTATGTATCTCACCTGTGAAGTGAATCTGTCAGTTGCTGGCCATTAAAACAGGCAATCCACATTCACGAATAAAATCATTTCAATTCTTCGTATTGATGTAATTGAATCTGCTTTGCTGACAGACTCGGTTAGTATAAAAATAAGCATATAATTGGTAGACAACATTGATATCAATTATCTTTACCCCAGTACAAAAGAAATTGAATTTCTCATAAGACATAGTCTCTATTTCCATGGGACATAAAATAGGTCATGTGAGCATAACAGGGAAGATAATCTGTAAGACCACTAGGCAACCTCCTAGAGCTTGTTACAGATTTTTACATGTAAAACTGACCACATAATTGGAAGTAAAACATTCCTCAACAAATGCAAAAGGATGGAAATCATAACAAACAGTCTCTCAGACAATAGTGCAATCAAATCAGAACTCAGAATTAAGAAACTCACTCAAAACCACACAACTACATGGAAACTGAACAGCCTGCTCCTGAATGACTACTGGGTAAATGACAAAATGAAGGCAGAAATAAAGATGTTCTTTGAAACCAATGAGAACAAAGACACAACATACCAGAATCTCTGGGACACATTTAAAGCAGTGTGTAGAGGGAAATTTATAGCACTAAATGTCCACAAGAGGAAGCAGGAGAGATCTAAAATTGTCACCCTAACATCAAAATTAAAAGAACTAGAGAAGCAAGAGTAAACAAATCCAAAGGCTAGCAGTAGGCAAGAAATAACTAAGATCAGAGCAGAACTGAAGGAGATAGAGACACAAAAATCCATTCAAAAAATCAGTGAATCCAGGAGCTGGTTTTTTGAAAAGATCAACAAAATAGACCACTAGCCAGACTAATAAAGAAGAAGAGAGAAGAATCAAATAGATGCAATAAAAGGTGATAAAAGGGATATCACCATCAATCCCACAGAAATAGAAACTACCACCACAGAATACTATAAACACCTCTATGCAAATGAACTAGAAAATCTAGAAGAAATGAACAAATTCCTGGACACATACACCCTTCCAAGACTAAATAAGGAAGAAGTCCAATACCTGAATAGACCAATAACAAGTTCTGAAATTGAGGCAGCAATTAATAGCCTACCCATAAAAGAAAAAAGTCCAGGACCAGATGGATTCACAGCCGAATTCTACCAGAGGTACAAAGAGGAGCTGGTACCATTCCTTCTGAAACTATTCCAATCAATAGAAAAAGAGGAAATACTCCCTAACTCATTATATGAGGCCAGCATCATCCTGATACCAAAACCTGGCAGAGACAACAGAAAAAAATAAATTTCCGGCCAATATCCCTGATGAACATCCATGCAAAAATCCTCAGTAAAATACCAGCAAACTGAATCCAGCAGCACATGAAAAACTTATCCACCATGATCAAGTTGGCTTCATTGCTGGGATGCAAGGCTGGTTCAACATATGCAAATCAATAAATGTAATCCATCACACTAAACAGAACCAATGACAAAAACCACATGATTATCTCAATAGATACAGAAAGGGCCTTCAACAAAATACAACAGCCCTTCATGCTAAAAAACTCTCAATAAACCTGGCATTGATGGAACCTATCTCAAAATAATAAGACCTATTTATGACAAACCCACAGCCAATATCATACTGAATGGGCAAAAACTGGAAGCATTCCCTTTGAAAACTGGCACAAGACAAGGATGCCCTCTCTCACCATTCCTAAACAACATAGTGTTGGAAATTCTGGCCAGGGCAATCAGGCAAGAGAAAGAAAGAAAGTGTATTCAAGTAGGAAAAGAGGAAGTAAAATTGTCCCTGTTTGTAGAAGACATGATTGGATATTTAAAAAACCCCATTGTCTCAGCCCAAAATCTCCTTAAGCTGATAAGCAACTTCAGCAAAGTCTCAGGATACAAAATAAATGTGCAAAAATCACAAGCATTCCTATACACCAGTAACAGACAAACAGAGAGCCAAATCATGAGTGAACTCCCATTCACAATTGTTACAAAGAGGATAAGATACCTAGGAATCCAACTTACAAGGGATGTGAAGGGATAGAACTACAAACCACTTCTCAAGGAAATAAGAGAGGACACAAACAAATGTAGAAACATTCATGCTCATACATAGGAAGAATCAATATCATCAAAATGGCCACACTGCCCAAAGTAATTAATAGATTCAATGCTGTCCCCATCATGCTACCATTGACTTTCTTCATAGAATTGGAAAAAAACTACTTTACATTTTACGTGGAACCAAAAAGGAGCCTGCATAGCCAAGACAATCCTAAGCAAAAAGAACAAAGCTGGAGGCATCATGCTACTTGACTTCAAACTATACTACAAGGCTACAGTAACCAAAACAGCATGGTATGGGTACCAAAATAGATAGACCAACGAAACAGAACAAAGGCCTCAGAAATAATGCCACACATATACAACCATCTGATCTTTGACAAACCTGACAAAAAAAGCAATGCGGGAAAGGATTCCCTATTTAATAAATGGTATTGGGAAAACTGGCCAGCCATAAGCAGGAAGCTGAAACTGGATCCCTTTCTTATACATTATACAAAAATTAACTCACAGTGGATTAAAGACTTTAACATAAGACCTAAAACCATAAAAACCCTAGAAGAAAACCTAGGCAATACCATTCAGGACATAGGCATGGGCAAAGACTTCATGACTAAAACACCAAAAGCAATGGCAACAAAAGTCAAACTTGACAAATGGGATGTGATTAAACTAAAGAGCTTCTGCAGAGCAAAAGAAACTATCATCAGAGTGAACAGGCAACCTACAGAATGGGAGAAAATTTTTGCAATCTATCCCACTGACAAAGGGATCACATCCAGAATTTATGAAGAACTTAAACAGATTAACAAGAAAAAAACAATCCTATCAAAAAGTGGGCAAAGGATATGAACAGACATTTCTCAAAAGAAGACATTTATGCAGCCAACAGACATATTAGAAAAAGTTCGTCGTCACTGGTCATTAGAGAAATGCAAATCAAACCCAGAATGAGATACAATCTCATGCCAGTTAGAATGGCGATCATTAAAAAGTCAGGAAACAACAGATGCTGGAGAAGATGTGGAGAAATAGGAACACTTTTACACTGTTGGTGGGAGTGTAAATTAGTTCAACCATTGTGGAAGACAGTGTGGTGATTCCTCGAGGATCTAGAACCAGAAATACCACTTGACCCAGCAATCTCATTACTGGGTATATACCCAAAGGATTATAAATCATTCTACTATAAAGACACATGTGCACGTATGTTTATTGCGGCACTATTCACAATAGCAAAGACTTGGAACCAACCCAAATGCCCATCAATGATAGACTGGATAAAGTAAATGTGGCACATAAACACCATGGACTGCTATGCAGCCATAAAAAAAGATGAGTTCATGTCCTTTGCAGGGACATGGATGATGCTGGAAACCATCATTCTCAGCAAACTAATGCAAGAACAGAAAACCAAACACAGCATGTTCTCACTCATAAGTGGGAGTTGAACAATGAGAACATATGGACACAGGGAGGGAAACAGCACACATGGGGGACCTATCAGGGAATGGGGGGCTAGGGGAGGGATAGCTTTAGGAGAAATACCTAATGTAGATGATGGGTTGATGGGTACAGCCAACCACCATGGCACATGTATACCTAGGTAACAAACCTGCACATTCTGCACATGTACCCCAGAACTTCAATAATAATAATAAAAAGTAAAATTAAATTTTATTTTTCATTATTATTTTTGTTTAAATTTTAGACATTTAAATCTTAAAAAATGTTTTATATCTTGTGGGGAAGGTTTTGGAAAGACTCCACTTAGTGCTAATAAAAATGTAAAGTCACCTACCAAGGAAGATAAAAGATGAAGATCAATTCTTATTTAAAATGTTTTTTAAAAGCCTTCATTAGTAATTTTCCTGCTTCAAACTTTTTCTTTACTCTTTAATTTTAATTTGGTTTTTAATGTGTTGAATATTGAAAACTTTGAAAGGATTTAAGCTAATGCAGTTATTGTTTATTATTGGCTATCTAAAGAAATAGTATGGTTTTTGTCACTTATCTGAGTGTGTCCAGTAATCTATTTTCAGCAGACTGAGTTTTGTAGGGGTGGTCTTTGCACGAGAAATTTTCAAGTATTTAACCAGTTTAAGTTGTTGCTGATAAAGATATTTTAATTGTTTATGTTGTATTCAATCAGAGAAAGGAGGCCTCGCCACTTGAATTTAACTTACAGTACCACCCTTGAACCTTTCTATTTCCATATCCCAGAAAGGTCAGTGGTTTCCTCCGGGGAGGAGGTCAAGATGCTATGCCTTCACCTTCATGGTGCCTCTGGGAAGAGCTGCCCGCTCTCAGCGAGTTCCACAGTACATGTGAGAAAAAGGACTAACATGGCCATTAAACTTTAGTTTATCTTCTAATTACCTTTCCTTTAGCATGTGTGTATTAAAATTATCATGACTTCTTTAACATTTTAGTGTAGAGACTTTATCTTATTTGATTAATATTTCTTATCAACATTGTTGGTGCATAAGGCTAATTTAGTAGTATTTAAATACATTTTTAAATTAATAAGCTATATTTCCTAGGCCATTTATCTCAACCTTTACTACGACATTATTTGGTCTAATGAAATAGTTATATCATTTGAGTGTACCACCTAACTGTTCTGTGACTCAGCTTTACATTTGCAATGATAGTCAGTCACAGGCCAGCCCCAAAGCCTGAAGAAGTTAATGTATGTTGATGACCTTGAACAGTTCCAGATACAATGGAAAAAAACAACAAAAATATACTACTCTTATAATTGTTAGATATATATCTCGCTCTGTTTTATTTTTATATTTTCCCCCAAAAATTTAGGAGCATGGAGCAATTATTAATAATTCTTTCATGATCATTATTCTATCACTACTATTAGTTTGTATCTACTGAGTAAATTTATTAACACCCTAAAAATACTTTCTCTAAATAGGTGCAAGAATAGAGCTGATAAATAATACATAGAATTTCCATAAATCAGACTTTTTCAAACATATAAAAATTTTTTACATAACGAATGTTTCAAACTTTTAAAATTTCTAATATATAGGATTGTTTTAAGTGCTTCAATCATTTTAAAATGTAGGAAATAACCTAAACAATGAGTTATGATCATTTAAAAAGTTTTAATATCACCTTTAAAATTTCCTCTTTCCTTTACCTTTTTTTTTTTTATCTATTGATAAAGTCATATTCATTAAATTCTAGAGCGATTTTCACTTTCTTTTTTACTCTATCCCACAGATAAACCTCAGGATTTAATTTCTTCAATTCCTCTTGTCTTACAAGGATTTTTTTTTTTTTTTTTTTTTTTTAGACGGAGTCTTGCTGTCTCCAGGCTGGAGTGCAATGGCGTAATCTTGGCTCACTGCAACCTCCACCTCCTGGTTCAAGCAATTCTCCTGCCTCAGCCTCCCGAGTAGCTGGGATTACACGTATGTGCCACAACACCCGAATAATTTTTGTATTTTTAGTAGAGACAGGGTTTCACCTTGTTGGCCAGGATGGTCTCGATCTCTTGACTTTGTGATCCGCCCGCCTTGGCCTCCAAAAGAGCTGGGATTACAAGCGTGAGGCACCGCACCCGGCCCATCTTGCTAGGATTTTTTCAATAATTTTCTAAATTATTTTTAAAGCTAAAAGTTTCAGCTTTCCAATTTAAAGCCCTAATGAGAAAACTCTGTCCACTAAACTGTACATCTTAAATTCATCTACTTATGAAACAAACTGACAAATTGTGTTTCCAATGCTGTTAAAAGACTAATGATTTACCTACATTAAATTGTCCAGTCAAAATGGTTTTAAATAATAAATATCCTATCCTAAAGAAATGTCACTTATTCAAGTATTTATTACTATTCTGTTTATAATTATGCTGGACTCTCATTCTTGGCACTTTTTAATATAATTCTAGCTCCAACATAAATATTATTCCAGATACTGTCAGGGTTCTTGGAAGAATAATGGTGTAAATAGTGACATAAAATTATTTTCTTACTTCACAGTTATGAACTCCACCCGATCACACCTATCTGAGTGTCTTTCTCATTGCAGCATTTCTTACTGAGGTATGATTTACATTCAATAACATATTAGGTATTCAATTTGCTGAGTTTTGACAAATGTATACATATTTACTTGATTACCACAATCACAATATAAAATCTATCCGTTAACCTAAAAATATCTCCTTCCCCAAAACTCCCTTTCATCAGCTTGTAGATCTGAATCACCATCGCGTGAAATATACCTTCTCTAGAAACTCACCTTTTATTCTTCTAAAAATGGCGTTACTTGCCTACATTTTTGAAGGATATCAAATTCTCAGTTACATGTTTTTATTCTTCCTTTATCCTTTTGAAAAAAGTCATTCCAATGTTTTCTAGCTTTTATGGTTACTAATAAGTTATCTATTTTATTGTTGTTGTGTTTGAATAATTTCATTTTCCTTTGCGTGGCTTCAAGAATTTTTCTCTTTGTCTTTCAGGAATTTGACTGTGATGTTCCCTGCAGTGGATCCTTTGTGTTTATCTTGCTTGGGATTTGTTGAGCTTCTTGGATCTGTAAATTAATGTGTTCCACAAAATTAAGTTCTCAGCCATTATTACTTCAAGTATTTTTTTTTCTTTCTCTTTCTCTTCTTGCTTTCTGAAAATCAATTTGAACAACTATGAGTCTGGTGTCTGGTTTATATTGTCCCACAGGTCTCTAAGGTTCTGTTTATTTTCAGTCATTTTTAAATAATCTTTTCTCTCCTTCAAATTTGATTATGTTGTTATTTTACTGAGTTTCCTTATGTATTTTTCAAGAAAAGATTGTTTTTCTTCTGCCTGTTGTTTTAATTTATGTTTTTTCTTGTGCCCCTAGCAGCCTCCCTCACACATGCATAGTTTAGCTGTCAAAACTGTTTGTGTGCAATTTACATTTGGTATTTAGAAGTCATTCCTGCTATAGTTTTCAGGATGCCAGTTTTTTATTTTAAATTTGCAGCTGTTTTTCCAGCTCAGTGTTATAATCTCTAAAAGCACCAGAGATAATCTCTGATAATTATGACACTTTTAGGTGATAAGGCTTCAGTTTTTCTGATCTCTTATTTACTTGTATAGTAATCTCCTTTTATATGCAGGGGATACTTTTCAAGAGTCCCAGTAGATACCTGAAACTGCAGCTAGTGCAGAATCCTACATATGCTATGCATAGATTTCTTTTCTTCACAAATTTTGTTCCTTCTTTATTAAGTTAAACACTTTTGCCTTTCCACTTAAAGAAAATACTTTATGGCTTCTCTTTGGCATATCTGAATTGCCAGCATCGCAACTCTTGCCCTTTGGGGTCATTATTAAGCAAAATCAGGGTTACTTGAACACAAGCACTGCTATACCCTGACAGTCAGTCTGATAACTGACAGCAGGGAGACCTATCAGGAGATAGCAGGATGACCCTCTCATCAGGTCTGCTACTGGGCCTTGGCAAGTAGCTCTGAGCACTGACACTACATCCACATTTCTCTTAGGTGTTCCGGGCCAGGGGGCTCCCTCAGGCAACAGCTGCAGCAAGGAGGTAGGCCCACTTTTTCCAGGTGGGTCCTGCAGAGAGGTAGGAATGCCTTGCTCCCAAGGCAGCCCTCATGACTCACCCTTCTCTGTGCTCTGAGAGTGTGGGCTCCAATTCTGCTCAAATTCCAGCCACAGATCTCAGCCCAGCACTCCCAAGCTGTGCACTGCAGCTCTGGGACAAGCTCAGGCTTTTTGTTCCCTCCCCAACTTGTGGGCAGCAGGGGTGGGGAATGCAGCAGTGGTAATGTCAGGGGGTCTGTCAGCTGATTCTGGGTTTCTACCCCAGAGAAATGTAGAATCATGGCTGACTGGGGTGACCAGCTGGGGGTGAGGCAGCTGTTCTGCAAGCCCAAGCCAGAGGGCCCTGACTGGTGTAGGGCAACAGGGGCCACCAGGGATTGCAAGGAAGACAGGCTGGCATGTTCTTTGCAGGGTGGGTCCACACGCTGTTGATGTGCAAAAGAATCAGAGTCATTGTTTCCTCCTTAGCCTGGGAAGAGTAAGAGCCTTACTGCAGCAGTGGCAATGGCAGAGGGGTTGTCAGTTGTCCCTGAGAGCTGTACCCCAGAGAAATGCAGAGCCACCACCAACTGCAGTGATTAGGTAGGGGTGGTGGCCCAAGCTAGGAGACCCTGTCCAGTGAGGAGCAGCAGGGGCAGGGACCCACATGGAAAGCAATCTGGCCATCTTTCTGTCTAGAAGCTGCTGTGTGCAGCTCTCATACAACCATTCATTCAGGCTCTTTGTTCCCTCCTCAGCCTTAGGGCAGAAGGGGCAGGGATTGTGGCAATGGCAATCAGTGGGCCTGTTGGTTACCTCTGGGAGCCCTGTCCCAGAGAAATGCAGGCCCACAACCAGCCAGAGTGCTCAGGTAAGGGCAAGGTGGCTATTCTGAGGCCCAGACCAGTGGGCATTGCCTGGCAAGGTGCACAGGAGGCAGGGCCCAATTCCATCCACTCTCAGCACCATGGATGTGACCCCTATCCTAGGGCATGCAAAAATGCCTGGCCTACCTTGTTGGCGGGGCTATGGCAGCTGGCACCAGGGTGCTCAGGGATCCAAGGCTTGTGGCGCTCATTGTGGGCTTGAGTGGTGGCTCTGACCAAACCCTAGGCAGCCTTCCATATTGGTCTGGAAGTTGAGAGGGGTCAAGGGGACCTCCTGTGCCCAGGATTGCAAAGGTCTATGGCAGAAGTGTGGATCTCCAAGTGCTGTCACTCATTCACCTTTTCCCTGCAGTAGGGAGCCTCCCTAGCTCTGTGACAATCCCAGGTGAGTGGCTGTCCTGCCTCACTCCTCTCTGCTCTCCATGGGTTTCCATGGCTTCCTTGATGAATCCCAACATGACCTCTTGGATAATACACTTAAAGAGACAGTGTTTACTTGCCGCTCTGTCTCCTCTCCATGAGAGCAGCATGCACTAGCTGCTTCTAGTCGGCCATCTTGGCACTTCTTCCTCGTATTTTCTTTTTTCACTATCATATGTTAACATTTCAGCTGAAATATTTTAATAGGCACTATCATTTTGCCTTCATTGAGGGTACTTTTCTTCAAAAAGTATATTTACAAGATAAAATGAGCCAAATAATTTTCTATAATTTTGATCATTTAAAGTTTTATCAGATTTAGATATTGCTTAATATAGGCCTTTTGTTACATATAATTTGTTTTCTACCTTAATTTTAAAGAAATGTAGTCTAATGTTTTCATTTTTTAAGTTTAATGTCAATAATTATAATAAAAATCATCAAAAGATAAGTTTTTCTCAATTTTTGTGAATACTTAAAGATTTATAACATAGTTTGAACAAAATGCCTCCATATTTTTAGAGAAAATATTTACCAAAAAATGTTTAATGTCATTGTAGGAAAGTTAATTTACAAATAACTTTTAAAAGTTTAAATGTTCTGACCCGGAGTGGTGGCTCATGCCTGTAATCCCAGCACTTTCGGAGGCTGAGGCGGGTGGAACACCTGAGGTCAGGAGTTTCAGAGCAGCCTGGCCAACATGATGAATTTTAGTCTCTACTAAAAATACAAAAACTAGCCATGCATGGTGGTGGCGCCTGTAATCCCAGCTACTCGGGAGGCTGAGACAGGAGAATCTCTTGAATCCAGGAGGCGGAGGTTGCAGTGAGCCGAGATTGCACCCCTGCACTGCAGCCTGGGCAACAGAGGGAAACTCCATCTCAAAAAAAAAAAAAAGTTTAAATGTTCCTTTAATATAAGCAAAAAAGGAGAAATCATGTACTCTAGTATTGATTATGTATGAAGTCTTCTTTAAAATATTCTCTGCTTATATAAGTATACATCTTTCACTGCTACAACTTTTGTTTTGATGGGTAGAGGATTGCTGCTTCTTCAGTTGTGATTATATATTTCTTTGCACTAAAATTCCAAGAATATTTTGCTCAGAAGCTTCTAAAGTTGGTAAGAAAAATGTTTAGAGCATTATATTTTTTCCTTCAAATTTGTATTTATACCATTACGAAAAAAAATATTTAGATTCAACATTGAACATCTTAAATTGCAAATATCAGTCACAAAAATAGTAGATGTTTCTGACCAAAACAAACTTTCTGTTTGATTCCATATGTTGGATAAAACAAATTATTTATTAATACAATCAACTGTCTTTCTGTTCCCAGCATCTGATGATATTGACTTACTAGCACCATGTAATTTTTTGCTGAATTCTTCTGGTAATGGATCTAACACATCAGTAGCTATCATCACACTTTCTATAGTGCAAACACACACATACACACACACGGTGTCAAAAATGAACCAATTTAATTACCACTGCTCAACGAAATAAAATAAGATATAAACAAATGGAAGAACATTCCATGCTCATGGATAGGAAGAATCAATATCGTGAAAATGGCCATACTGCCCAAGGTAATTTATAGATTCAATGCCATCCCCATCAAGCCACCAATGACTTTCTTCACAGAACTGAAAAAAAAACTACTTTAAAGTTCATATGGAACCAAAAAAGAGCCTGCACTGCCAAGTCAATCCTGAGCCAAAAGAACAAAGCTTGAGGCATCACGCTACCTGACTTCAAACTATACTACAAGGTTACAGTAACCAAAACAGCGGGTACTGGTACCAAAACAGAGATATAGACCAATGGAACAGAACAGAGCCCTCAGAAATAATACCACACATTTACAACCATCTGATCTTTGACAAACCTGACAAAAACAAGAAATTGGGAAAGGATTCCCTATTTAGCAAATGGTGCTGGGAAAACTGGCTAGCCATATGTAGAAAGCTGAAACTGGATCTCTTCCTTACACCTTATACAAAAATTAATTCAAGATGGATTAAAGACTTAAATGTTAGACCTAAAACCATAAAAACCCTAGAAGAAAACCTAGGCAATACCATTCAAGACATAGGCATGGGCAAGGACTTCATGTCTAAAACATTAAAAGCAATGGCAACAAAAGCCAAGATTGACAAATGGGATTTAATTAAACTAAAGAGTTTCTGCACAGAAAAATAAACTACCATCAGAATGAACAGGCAACCTACAGAATGGGAGAAAATTTTTGCAATCTACTCATGTTACAAAGGGCTAATATCCAGAATCTACAAAGAACTCAAATTTACAAGAAAAAAACAACCCCATCACAAAGTGGGCAAAGGATATGAACTGACACTTCTCAAAAGAAGACACTTATGCAGCCAACAGACACATGAAAAAATGCTCATCATCACTGGCCACCAGAGAAATGCAAATCAAAACCATAATGAGATACCATCTCACAAGAGTTAGAATGGCGATCATTAAAAAGTCAGGAAACAACAGGTGCTGGACAGGATGTGGAGAAATAGGAACACTTTTACACTGTTGGTGGGACTGTAAACTAGTTCAACCATTGTGAAAGACAGTGTGGCGATTCCTCAGGGATCTAAAACTAGAAATACCATTTGACCCAGCCATCCCATTACTGGGTATATACCCAAAGGATTATAAATCATGCTGCTATAAAGACACATGCACACATATGTTCATTGAGGCACTATTCACAATAGCAAAGACTTGGAACCAACCCAAATGTCCATCAATGATAGACTGGATTAAGAAAATGTAGCACATATACAACATGGAATACTATGCAGCCATAAAAAATGATGAGTTCATGTCCTTTGCAGGGACATGGATGAAGCTGGAAACCATCATTCTCAGCAAACTATCGCAAGGAGAAAAAACCAAACACTGCATGTTCTCACTCATAGGTGGGAATTGAACAATGAGAACACATGGACACAGGAAGGGGAACATCACACACCGGGGCCTGTCGTGGGGTGGGGGGATGGGGGAGGGATAGCATTAGGAGATACACCTAATGTAAATGAGGAGTTAATGGGTGTAGCACACCAACATGGCACATATATACATATATAACAAACCTGCACGTTGACCACATGTACCCTAGAACTTAAAGTATAATAAAAACAAAATTGAAAAAATAAAAAATAAAAACAAGGGTTCTATAATAAAAATCTTGTTTAATTTTGTTTAAACCAGAGGAAAAAAAAAAAAGAAAAAGAAAAGCCACACTTTATACAGTACTATGTAATTGAGCTTTCTGCAACTGCCTCTGTTAAATTTTTATTTTCAGGAACAGTATCTTAAATGCCTGTTATTTTAAAAAGTACATCTGATGTTTTTGCAATAAATATGTGTCTTCTGTCTTTCATATAGCCAGTGATATCACCATATTAGTGCCCAGGGGTATTGGTAAATGTCAACAAATATTTTCAGCACTTTACACATTTATCATGTGTTTCTCAAAATATTTAAACTCAGTATATAATTTCTCATTAAATATGCACCTTTATGACCTCATTGTTGCTGAAAACGCTTATTGAAAATTTTTCAAAAAATGATTTACCAATAATATCCAGTAAGACAAAGGCATTAATTACAAATTTAAATGGCATAAGAAATGTTTTTGAGGTGAAGATGTTTTTTCTTCTCTCATTCATTTGAAGTTTTTCATTCCTAAACACATACCACCCCCCACAGACAATATATACATATAAATATATAAATGTATATATTTCTGTATTTATATATAAAAATATACATATATTTCTTTCAACGGGAATCAATTATTCATCCATCCATATAAATTTTTTACACTTTTAAAAATTAAAATACACATCAGAAAAAAGGAACAAAGTAGTTCTAAGCAATGGAAACTATAGGGAAGTTTAATAGAAAAATGTTAGCACATTGGGAGAAGATATTTTAGCAGCTAAACCTAATAAAATATTTTATATATAATTAACTCCAAAATTAACAAGAAGATAAAAAATTAAAAAGAAAATTAGGAAAATAATTTGAATATGCAATTCACAGAATAATTTTAAGTGTATGAAAATAAGTGCAATTTCTTTAGTAATCAGAAAAATGTAAATGTCAATAGCAATGAGATACCATTGTGCACTTATTGACCAAATCAAGTAGGTAAAGATGACTTACCATCTAGGATGTGAAAATAGGAGCTCACGCTTTTTTGGTGGGAGTGTATGCAGTTGCTACCATTTGGAGGCAATCTGACAGTACTTAGAAAATAAGTAAGCATAAACCCTAGGAACTAGTATTCTGACTCTCAGTTATATACCTGAGATAAATCTCTTACAGAAACATCTAAGTCTAACGCTATTTGGATTGTGGAGTGCAGAATGTAGTTACTGAGTTTTCCTTACAGAAATGATTAAATGTGGCAAGGCCCTCTTTGAGATACAATGTTATAATTTAATTAACTGTGATAGAGATACATACAACTTGTATAGATCATAAAAAATAGTTCTGATATATTTTTCAAGGCAGGACACAAGAAAATATCTACAATATGTATTGTTTAGATAAGACACAGACATTCACTATACCCAATATATTTTTCAAAGACATCTCACATCCAAGGATATAAGCCAAACACCTTTGAGTAGGTTCCTATGAGAAGTGAGAAAAGGGAGATACGATTGGAAGCAAAGGGAAAAGAGCAGAGTATGATAGACCAAACGAAACCAAGTAAACACATTGTGCCACAACACAGCACAAGTTAACTAGAGCATGGTTTTATACACATTGATGAGAAGAGTATGCTGAAATCTGAAGAGTAAAATTAATTTACTCTCATGTCTGCTCTTACAGTCCAAAACAAAATTCACACATACACACACACACACACACACACAAAATTTATCAGGAATACAGAAATACCAAAACTGAATTTTGAAATTAAATAATTCAAACAAAGCTGTTGGAACTTGAAATTATTCTGAAGCCTCGAGAGGAATGTGGCTACGTGGCCTGAGTCACACGGCATGCAGCTGCAACTTCTGCTTTATTTTTTCCCTGTAAACAATTAAGACCAAATAGCACCCAGGATAAGACCCCCTCAGATCACTTCTCCTCCTCACAAAAAAATAAAATAATTGTCCTTGGAATGTAGCAATCTGTGACTAATCAAATTATTGTGGGTATTATCTGGTTTCCTATGGAAAATGTAATCCTGATGAAATTTGTCTCCACCTTTATAAGTGAAAACTTAATTTCTCCACTTTTTTTTTTTAAACAGAGACATTGAGGGCAGGGAAATTACTCTACTTTGGAATGTTGACCCCACTCATTCAGAGTTGGTGTGTCCAGGCGGCCATCCTCAAGCTTTGCACTTGATTAAACTCTATACTTAATCGTATTTTCTGAATCTCATTATTTAAGATTGACAATAAAAAGCAGCAAGAGTAAAAGAGCTATACTTCCGGAAAATTACACATAGCAAAAGAAGTCAACTGTTGAGATTATAGTCTTTGTAAACTTGTAGAATAGAAGCCAGGTAGCCACAAATAATAAAACTGAGAATGATTCTGACAGAGAAAAGACATTTTTTATCTGAGGAATGCCAGCCCCTTTAAATGATCAGGCCCAGAGAGGTATTGAAAAGTGACAGCAGTCACACCTCACTTCCACCTTAAGCTAAGTAATATGACTGTCACCACCAACAGTCATAAATTAACCTAACAATGCCACATGCTAGACACCATAACTCAAACCTTAAATGGATGTGAGTTCAACAATATGTAGCCAATTACTAATAAATCGTTTCTGTAAAGCAATGAGAATTCCTGACGACTTTTTTTTTTTTTTTTTTTTTTTTTGAGACAGAGTCTTGCTCTGGCACCAGGCTGGAGTGCAGTATTGCAATCTCGGCTCACTGCAACCCCCGCTTCCTCGGTTAAAGTGATTCTCTAGCCTCAGCCTCCCCAACAGCTGGGATTACAGGCATGCGCCACCACACCCAGCTAATGTTTGTATTTTTAGTAGAGACAGGGTTTCACTATGTTGGTCAGGATGGTCTCCATCTCCTGACCTTGTGATCCACCTGCCTCAGCCTCCCAAAGTGCTGGTATTACAGGCATGAGCCACTGTGCCCGGCTGACAACTTTTATAATCACCTCCTCTACCGATTCATCCATTTTTCGTAAAGACTTTAGTCTTCCTTTTGTTTCCCCAGACCACTTCCCAGTGTTTCCCAGGCTGCCATCCTCAACTTTGGCCCAAATATACTCTCTATATTAATGTTGCCTCAGTTTCTATCTTTAGGTGGACAATTCCTACAGACAGCAGAAATCTTTGGGTGCATAATGTGATTTATCCCCCTATATACAGCGCAGTCCTGGATATAATACAGAATATTGTGTGCCATGAAAAAATAAGGTGAGAAATATGAAGGAGTCACCTGGGTTTGATGAAGTGGATTGGGGATATTAGCTGGAACAATTTAAGAAAGTAAAGAAGTGAAAAGCAGAAATCATAGAGATGCCTTTGAACAGCTCCAGGCTACTTGAGTGAGATTCTGTATCAGTTAAGGTAAGTGTTTGAAGAAGAGGACTACCCCAGAGACAATTGTGTTATGTAATGGTAAGAGAAGCCCAAATTCTTTGCCCTTTTAGCATCTGGTTTCTGAAATTCAGACATACAATGATTTATGTAAATAAATGGGAAAAAGTCATATTTTTGTAAGTATGTGATGATAAATTGAAAAGCAGAATGGAGATTTTCCTCTGTCTTAACCACTGTAACTCCCTTTAATTACATTTAATTACTCCTTTTCTTAGATTTAATTTTACATCTTTTACGTGCCTTGAATGAATAAATGCCAATTTTAAGTATGCATTTATTTATTATTTGAGGCACCATAATTTTACAGAGCAATTCTTTCCTGAGTTAAAATGAATTGATGTTTCCTAAATTATTTCCATTTTTTGAAAGTTAATCCTGTGCTAATAAGGGTGACGAGTCAATACTGCTTTAATTTATTTTCATATTTTCTCATGTTAAAAAAGCTTTTTATGTTCTAATAAAAAAAAAGCCTAATGGTAAAATAAAGGTTTGATGGTAGAATCTTATATAAATTTCATTTGCTTTTTTAAAAGAGACTGTGCTAGTAGAAAAGAATAATTATAAATATGTATTTAAAAGTACTATTTTTGTCCACATGTAAGTTATTTGTTAATAGGATATACTAATGATTACTAAAACATATCAATTGAATGCCAAAATAACATTTAATTTAATCTTAATTACAGAAATTAATCATATGCTCTGTAGCAAACTTGCAGTATTTTAGTTGCATATTACTTATTATTTGGAAAGTTTCTTTACTTGTTTTTAAAGGAATAGGATTATGTTCAACTTTTTAAGACAGAAAAAATGGTTGGTCTGTATTGCAGTGCTGAAATATAAATTTTGTCTACCTTAGAGAATAGATTATTTATCTGGAATCCATTGAACCGTAGGAGATTCCAGATCCTGTGTGTTCTATGAACTTCTATGCAAAATCTGTATGCATACAGGGTATATCTACATATTTTGGAGGGCTAGAAGTCTATAAATTTCAGAATGTATTTAAAGTAATCCATAAATCAAAAAAGAGTGACTACTGGTCTTGGAAAAGCAATATGTTCAAATTAAGTATGAGAACAAAATGAAAAGAATTATGTCTTGTCTGTCACTAAGTTTAAGCATGGAAATTATAACAACAATAGAAACAAATGTTAAATGCTTCAAGATTTACCAAGTATAGCTAAACACATTATTTTATTTATCTTAACAATAACCAAGGGAAGTAGATATTTTCTATCTACAAACCCTTATAGGACATATTTTACTTGAAAGACACAAAGATTGTTATTTATTTTAAGAAGAATTATCAAAGAGCAAGATGAGACTGTTTGTCCTTAGTTATTCAGGTATAGGTGGCTAAGATGACCATATATCACAAGTGTATTTAAGCCTATAGCCCTGTCCTTCTATCCTGATTATGCCAAACTAAACCAAGTTGTGGTATGGTATGGGCTGCAGTCTGTTACATGCACAAAGCTCCCAATCAATCAGTGAGGACAATTTAAAAAAAAATGCAATGAACTCAGGGGCACTGATTCAACATTAAAAGTAGGAGATGCTCATATTTCTTTATGTCAATTTCTGGGGAAAAATGTGTCAATCTTAAATTTTTGCACTGTCATTGATGATCTAAGATGAGCTAGTTATTCATAGTTTACCTAGTCAGTGGGAAAGAGTTATGTTTATAAGTAAGCTATGAATAGCCAGTTTTATAACCCAGAACTGTCTTTTTTCAGGCCCTGGGAGCTATTCCCTTGAAATGTAGTCATCAAGAAAGATAATATCCCTATCTCCCTATCCATAGTCTCTGTGGAAAGGTAGAAATCTAACTAATGCAGATTCCTTACCTCAAGATGCAATACTACCACCTGTCAGCACAATACCAGAAAGTTTACTTTTTCTTTGAATAAGGTCAACTAGCAAATACAGAGAGCCTACTATTCCCCCAACCCAAGCTCTTAAAACGCACCTATCCCTTTTTTTCTATGGAGTTGATCTCAGACTGAATTCTGGCCTCTCTCCCCTATTAACAAAGCTTTGAATAAAGCCATCCTTGACTGTTAAAATTTGAGTGGTACAATTTTCACTTTGTCACAGGCTGAATTATCTTTTTAGTTCTAATATTCTGTCTAATAATTCTATATCTGAATAGCAATATTATTTTCAAATTAGAAGTTTTTTGTTTCTTCATTTTCCATCAATATACATCTCTTTGCTGTGAAATTTTTCAAAAATGCACAAAAGTATAGAGCAAAACAAATTATGTACCTATAAAAATTATCTACATTTTGACATACTTATTTTTTATCACTCCTCACCTCATTTATATAGTTTTATAGCATACTTGAAGGCATGATATAATTGTGTAATTAAAGACAAAAATACGAGCCCCAAAATGGCATTTCCTTACATAACTGTAACACCATTCTCACACTTAACAAAATTAACAATAGTTTCTTGATATTTAACATTAATTTAATCTGCTATCCAATCAGACAATGGTCTTCAATGACGAAAAAATCTTTAGGTAAAAAAATGGATGGGTTTGACAAATTTGGAAATCTATTTGGCATATCTACTTAGCATATGACTCAGCAATTTCACTGCTACGTGTATACCAACAGAAATGTATACAAATGGCAACAAAGGATATATGCAAGAATGTTAATAGCAACCCTGGGTAATGACCTCAAGTTCAACACAATACAAATGCCTATAGACAGTGTAAGAAATATAGTGATGCATATGTACTCAATGAAATAGCATGTGGCAATGAGCACAAATGAACACATAACAATGTGGATGCATCTCACTATCTTACTGATGCAATATTTAGTGAAAGAAGCCAGACAGAAAATGTTACACTTTGTATTATTTTGTTTATATACAGTTCAAAATGGGCAAAATTAATCCATGGTGTACTACCTTTGTCAGGGTCTCACATCTAAATTAAAATATTTCAGTGTAACATGCATGTGTTATATGGATACACTGCAAGGCACATGTTAGAATTAATTTGTGATTTAAATAATAAATAAAATCTAACCTCTGCCCCAAGAAGATAAAAATCTAGCAAGTAAGAAAAATAGGTATACTATTAAAGAAAAATGAATATATTGTTAAAGAAGTACCCTAAATAAAGAGTGGTGGTATGTTATGGAAGGACACTGTTAGTGAACACAGATAATTTTTTAGTGTGATGGGCCCCCCACCAGGTTACTTACAGTGGACATACTTAACGTATGTCTATTGCCTGAACCCTGAAGGCTCAGCAGTGAGCCAAGGCCATGATGCCCAAATGAGGAGCAGGTGTCCCTGAGAACTCAAACATCCCAGAGAGTACCTGAAAGCCTACTAAGAAAAATAGTCTCATTGCTCAACCACAGTAGGCAAAGAGCCAGAATATTAGCTTAAAAGCAATTTAGAGATGAGAAGCAGCACAGATCTCTAGAACTGTCCTGCTGCCATCCAGGAAAGCCCTGTATGTAAGTCCTAATAAACTCTTCCACTCATCAAGCTGGACTTGTCTGAAGACCATTCTTTGGTCTTTCAGTTCCTTTCCAGTATGGGACGGGATGTTACAGTCCCAAATATTTCTCATAACAATTTTACTTCTTCTTTTCCAACTTGGATGTCTTTTCTTTTTCTTTCCAATTTTTTTTTGGCTAGAACTTCCACTACTATGTTGAATAGAAGTGGTGAATGTGGGTATTCTTGTCTGCTTTTTAGAAGAAAAGCTTTCAACTTTTCATTGTTGAGTACATTTGCCAAGGTTTTTTTAATATATGGCTTTTATTATGTTCAGGTATTTTCCTTTATTCCTAGTTTGTTGAGTGTTTTTATCATGAGATGGTGTGGATTTTGTCAAATGTTTTTTTCTGCATCAATTGAGGGTGCTAGATCATTTTTTTCCCACCTTCTGTTAATGATGTGTACTTACATTTATTGACTTTTACATGTTGAATCATCCCGCATTCCATGAATATATCCCACTTGGTCATGCTGTATAATCCTTTTAATATGCTGATGAATTTTGTTTGCTTGTATTTTGTTGAGAATTTTTGCATCAATGTTTATCAAGTAGATTAGTCTGTTATTTTCTTTTCTTATAGTGTCTTCGTCTGGCTTTGATATCAGGGTAAGCTAACCATATACAATGAATTAGGAAGTGGTCTCTCCTCTTAAATTTTTTAGAGAAGTTTGAGAAGGATTGATATTAGTTATTTATTAAATAGGAGAGACACCTAATGTAGATGACGGTTGATGAGTGCAGCAAACCACCATGGCAAGTGTATACCTATGTAACAAACCTGCACATTCTGCACATGTACCCCAGAACTTAAAGTATAATAATGTAAAAAAAAAAAGTTACTAGTGAAGCCATCAGGTTCAAGTCTTCTCTTTTTTGGCAGTTTATTGATTATTTCTTCAAAAAAAAAAGGAATTATTCAATCTCTTTAGTAGCTATAAAGCTATTCAGATTTTCTATTTCTTTGTGATGTAGTCTTGGTAGTTTATTTTTTTTAAGAGTTTGTTCATTTCATCTAGGTTATCCAATTTATGTACAAAGGTTCATTGTACTCTCTTACAATCCTTTACATTTCTGGAGAATTGATAGTAATATCCCATTTTCACTTCTGATTTTGGTAATTTAAATTTTCTGTTTTTTCTTAGTCCATTTAGGTAAAGGTTTGTCAATTTTGCCAATGTTTTCAAAGAAACTAATTTTGATTTTATTAATTTTCTCTGATTATTTTCTATTATCTCTTCCACTTGTCTCTAATTTTTATAATATCCTTCTTTCCACTAGTAGTCTTTTTCTAGCTCCTTAGGTTGTATGTTGTGGGTTAGATTTTCTTTTGAGTTTTAAAGTGTTTATAGCTATGAATTTCATCTTTTTCTCTTCTTCTTTTTCTTATTATTTTTGAGACAGAGTTTCAGACATTATTACTCTGTATCTCAGGATGAACTGCAAAAGCGATCATGGCTCACAGCAGCCTTGACCTCCTGAGCTCAAGTTAGCCTCCTGCCTCAGCTTCCCAAGTAGCTTGGATCACAGCACACACTGCATTGCTTGGCTCATTTTTATTTATTTTTTTTCCTGTAGAGATGCAGTCTCCCTATGTTGCCCAGGCTGGTCTCAAACTCCTGGGCTCAAGCGATCCTTCCACCTCAGCTGCCCATACTGTTGGGATTACAGGTGTGAGCACCCATCATGAATTTCTTCTTTATAAAAGCTTTTACCGAGTACCATAAGTTTTGGTATAGAGGTGCTACTTAACTTACAATGGGTTTATGTCCCAGTAAACCCACTATAAGTTTAAACTATCTAAGCAGAAAATGCAATCAATACACATCACCTATTGAACATCATAGGTTAGCCTAGCCTACCTTAAACATGTTCAGAACACTTACATTATCCTGCAGTTAATCAAAACCAATTAATGAAAACTGATTTTATAATAAAATGTTGACTATCTAATGTAATTAAATATTATACTGAATGTGTATCCCTTTTGCATAATCATAAAGTCAAAAAATCATTAAGTTGAGCCATTCTAAGCCAGGAATTATCTGTATTGTGATTTTGTTTTCATCTGTCTATATTTTCTATCTTCCCTGTTACTTCTTTGATCCATTGATTAACAGTGTTTTAACTTTCACAAATTTGTAAATTTTCTTGTTTACTTCTGTTTCAATTTCTAACATTATCTTATAATCATAGATGAAGCTTTGTATGCTATCTATCTTTTTATATCTATTGTGACTTAATTTGTGGCCTAATCTATGGTTTATCCTGGAAAATTTTCCATATCCACTTGAGAAAAAATGTGTACGTTTTTGTTGCTGTGTTTCTGTATATGTCTGATAGACCTAGTTCATTGTGTTAAGTCCTCGATTTCCTTCCTTACTTTGTCTGGTTGTTCTATTCATTATCAAGAATGATGTGTTGAAGTCTGCAACTATTATTGTAAAACTGTATCTTTCTCCTTTCAAATGTCAGTCCTTGTTTCAAGATGTGTTTCTGATGGTGTTGCATGAGGTGAGAAAATATTACTCATATCTTCTTATTGAATAGAACCTTTTATTAATATATAAGGTCGGTGTCTCTTCTAAACTGTTCTGATATAAATGTCCTAATTTATACCTCACTTTTAAAGGACAGCTTTTCTGGACATAGGATTCTGGGTAGATATTTTTTTCTTTAGCACTTCGGAAGTCAAAAGACTTCCGAAGTCTTTTGTGGGCTGATATATGCAAAGTGCTGATGAGAATTTTGCTAATAATCTTATGGAAAATTGCTTGTGTGTAATGAATCCCTTCTCTCTTGCTGAATTTAAGATTCTCTTTTTCGTCTTTGGCTTTTGAAAGTTTGATTATAATGTTTCTTGGTGTGGGTTTCTTTGAATTCATCTTACTTGGAGTTTGTTAAACTTTTTGGATGTTTATGTTAATTTCTTTCATCAAATTTGAGGAGTTTTCAACCATTATTTTTCAAATATTTCTGAGACCCCCCACAATGCATTGTTGATGGTGTCCCACAGGTGTCTTAAGTTCTGTTGCCTTTTCTTCAACCTTTTCTCTTCCTATTGCTCAGGCCCAGTTTTTATTGTCTTCAAGTTTGTAGATTCTTTCTTCTCTCTGCCTTTAAGTCCCTTTAGGGAATTTTTCATTATTGTATTGTAATTTTCAGCTCCAGAATATATTTTTGGCTACTTTTTTAGGTTTTCTAACCCATTATTTATATTGCCATTTTGTCATACATCGTTTCATTGTCTTCATCCACATGTTCTTTTATTTCTTGGAGCATGTTTTTAAAAATGTCTTTTAAAGTCTTTGTCTAAGAGATCTGTTATGAAGTCTGTTTCAGGGACAGTTTTTGTTTATTTATTTTTCCTTTTGAATAGACCATATGTTACTTTATTATTTTGTTGAAAACGACATTTGAATCTAAAAATGTAGAAATTCTAGAAATCAGATTCACTCGCTTCCACTGAATTTGCTGCTTTTTGTTATTGTTTTTACTTTGGATTGTTGTAGGCTTCCTCTGTGCTGAGCATCAGCCTAAGGTATAAACTTAAGATTTTGTCAGGTTTTTTGTGAGCCTTTTCCTCTGCATATATGATCACTTTCTAGTTTTTCCTTATATGCAATTGTTATTGAATGTCCTATACTTTAATATCTGGCTCCAAAAAGGGAAAAAGAAGAAAAATGAAGAGGAAGGGGTGAAAATAATATTAGCTCTTTAAATTCCCTGTAAATCATCCAGCCAGAAGGGAAGGGGCTTGCAACAAGGGAGGAGGAGCAATAACAATGGCCAGTCAACTCTTCTGCACCTCTATGATCAGAAGCAGCAATCAGAGCACAGATCCCTGATATTTGGAAGACTAGATTCTTTTTGCATACCCTGGATCCACCAGTGTGCAGGTTGCTGCAGGAACATAGGCACAGTTACCCCTACCTGCCATAGAGTATAAGAAGGAGAGTGCTAGCTACTACTGTGCTAAAAGCTTAAATTGACTGAAATTAAGCACAATTTAGCATCTAAGACTTTTCCTGGAACTTGCAAGTTGTCAATAAGCTCCAGAGTTCCAAAACTGTCAGACAGATTCTGCCAGTGTAATTGTCTAGATAGGGAGACAGATTTCTGGTGCTTTCTATTTCATCATCTTTCCAGAATCCTCACTTGCCTTTCTGTTTTTGAAAAATATATGTATCTAATATTGCAAAGACCATGAGCACTGTAGTCCTGTTCAATCAAGTTTTCTACACATTTCTTCCATGTCATACATTTTGCAAAGCAGTGGGCCTATAAGAATGGACTGCCTTCTGAAGAAACCTTGAAATAAGTGGTAGTATGCTGAAACCTAAAATCATATTCCAATTTTCAAGTGGTGATATAAAAGAAAGTCCACTAATGTTTCATTAGTAATACTGAAATCAAGTTAAGATTTTAGGGGCCTTTGCTCATTAAAGTCCACGGTATCCTGTTAGAATCTTATTTCATTTCTAAATAAACTAAGCATAGTCTTGCAATATGTTTAGTGTTATTTATTGTCTTTATGAAACCAGGGCAGAGAATATAAAAATAAAAGAACAAAACGTTTTAAAAAATTCATTCAATTTACATTGAATCATTCCCCCAAAAAATCCAGAAAGTGAAAGAAATATTTTTTTAGGAAAGACTATATAACCATTGAGAATTCTCTTACACTATTTTGATGGAGAGGGAGCTGGGAAGCAGAAAATGAGTATAGAACAAACTTTAATTTGCAAGTTAAGGACCTGCAGGGCAAAAATATAAGGTGCTCCTTGAAAAATGTTGGGCTTGGTACTTAAGTAGAATACAATAAAAGCCACAAGATACTGGACCATATTATAGAAATTCTGTGTTTAAATTTCTAGGCTTTTTTTTTTTTCTTGAGACAGAGTCTCATTCTGTCACCCAGGCTGAAGTGCAGTGGCACAATCTCGGCTCACTGCAACCTCTGCCTCCCGGGTTCAAGCAATTCTCCTGCTTCAGCCTCCTGAGTTGCTGGGATTACAGGTGCCCGTCACTATGCCTGGCTAATTTTTGTATTTTTAGTAGAGATGGGGTTTCACCATGTTGGCCAGGCTGGTCTCGAACACCTGACCTCAGGTGATCCACGCACCTCGGCCTCCTAAATTGCTGAGACTACAGGTGTAAGCCACCATGCCCGGCCAAATTTCTAGGTTTCTAATTTTGTTAATATATCCAAAAGTGATGGAGTTCTCTAAATCTAACTTATACTACCTAACCACAAAAATGTGAGTAAAACACATAAAAAGCCAGCTTATTGATATATAAATATAACTAAGATTGAAAAATGATGAAATTTAACATGCTTTTATAATTAAAAATATAAACTGAACACCTGTATTAAGCCCAGTCCTAGTTGTTGCACTATGGTGTGATTTCAATATACTCAAGGTTTCTGGTCACATATAATAAAAAATGCTTAATATTTATGGCAAAAGAAAACAAATGGTGGCAAATAGTTTTTGAATAATTAAAACAAGTGTTATAAAGGAGAGTGATTGGATGGCTAGTTTAAATTAGATTGTCATGAAAAATTTTCTTGAGGAGGTACTGTTGTAATTTGAGGTATAAATGTCAAAAGACAAATGCTTGAAAGGATGGATAACCCAGTTACCCTGATTTGATTATTATACATTGTATGCCTGTATCAAAACATCACATGTATCCCATAAATGTGTACACCTATTATGTAACCATAATAACTTAAAAAAATAAAGTCATTAAAACAACCATTATAAACATTGGGGATGTTTATGGAAAAATATTAAGGTAGAAACATTTTGACGTATTCATGAAACCAGAAATATCCACTGTGGCTAATGCAGAGTGAGGAAGGTGAAGTGAAGTAGACCAGGGCAGATTACATAGGATCTGGTTATAATAGGCAGTTTAGATTTTATTCCTAAGTGCAATTGGACAGCCCTGGAGAGTTTTAAGCAGGAAGATGACATAATAATGTATGTTTTTAGAAAGACAATTATAACTGTGGTGTTGTGATTTGACTGGCAGCAAGAATGGAAGCAGAGGAAACATTTAGGAGACTGCTGTTGTATTCCAAACTACAGATAACAGCAATTTGGCCTAGGGAATTAGAGGAGATGAAGATTAATCAATTCAGAATATCTTTTCACAGGAGATTTGAAAGAACATGGAGATTGTGTGTGTATCATTTAAGATACTTTCAAATTCAACAATAAAATGTCTAATTGAAAGAGGCTTAAACAATCTCTGAAACAAGAAATATGGAACCAGGGCTTTCCAGATTTACAAATAAAACCAAGGATCCAGAATTTTTCTATCTTTTTACAACTGCAGTTGTCAAAATTATTGACTTGGTTGATAGGCTTGTTCTCTCCTAATCATAAAAGACTGATACAGATACACCCCATATATATGTGGCAATTTACAGAAGATGGAAGAAGGGATAATCTTTTTCTTTCTACACTTTTTTTTTTTTTTAACTTTTTCAGACAGAGTTTCACTCTGTCCCCAGGCTGGAGTATAGCGGCATGATCTCGACTCACTGCCATCTCTGCCTCCTAGGTTCAAGCGAGTCTCCTGCCTCAGCCTCCCGAGTAGCTGGGATTACAGGTGTGTGCCGCCATACCCAACTAATTTTTTGTACCTTTAGTAGAGACGGGGTTTCACCATGTTGGCGAGGCTGGTCTTGAACTCCTGACCTTGTGATCCGCCCACCTCGGCCTCCCAAAGTGTTGGGATTATAGGAGTGAGCCAGCGTGCCTGGCTTATTTTTTAATGAAAAATATTTTTCTCCAGAAGCTACAGTGCAAACTTCCTTCCAGGACTCATTGGCTGTGACTGAAATTCATGTTTATGCTGTATGATAAAGGGGGCAAAAGCAAGGTTGACTCTGGCATTTTTAGTTTCTCTTATGGGTGATGGACTCTGCAAGACAGGATGCAGAAAAGAGAAGTAGTTATTGGGTAGATAACCAAAATTATCTGTCACAAAATGTAAGGAAAAAGTTAAGGATAACTCATAGACGGTTTATTTAATTGCAACATTGGTGGTGCTACTTGCAGAAATGGAGAAGGCTGAAGAAAGAGCTTATTTCGAAGGGAAAATCTTTTAGGCCTATTAGATATCCATGTGGATATTTCAGTTATGCAGTTATGTATATCAGCTTTGAGTCTGAGATATATATGAGAGATAAAATTTACTGAATATTGCAATATTACTTTTGAAACCACTGCTATGAATACGTATTTAAAATCCATACATTTAAGGATAAACCATGCACCATAAACCAAATGTGAAAGGTAGGTTAAAGTTTCTTAATCTATACTTTTAAAAAGTGACCATTCCCTGCCTTGTGTCTCATTGGTGTAGGAGACCAGAGAAACACTGCCTGCCTCATATGAGCATGTGATACAGTAGACTAAGCTTCCTTTCTTAAAAAATTCTTTAATCCATGATGCAACATGTGTTAGTCAATTTTTGCATTGCTATACAGGAATACCTGAGTTTGGATAATGTATAAAGAAGAGAGATTTAATTGGCTCATTTCTACAGGCTGTACAGGAAGCGCGTTGCTGGCATCTGATTCTGGTGAGGGCCTCAGGAAGCTTTTATTCATGGTGGAAGGTGAAAGGAGAAGAGGAACATCACAAGGTGAGAGCAGGAGCTAAGTCTGGGAGCTATATCAAGGCTGGAGATAGCATTCAAAACCACAGGACTACGTGAGCCACCACGGGAAAGCTTATAGATTATGAAGATAAGAAGTCCCATGCCAGAGCCTTGCTATATGACAACACATTTACAAGTCAAACAGAAGAAAATGATTCAGAAAACGAGACCAAGGAGTCCTGTCATAGCCAGTTACATACCTCAGGGCACCTCAAATAATAGTTAAATTTTGATAATCATTTCTAATAAATTTACTTTAGTGCTTATGAATGGTTATGTTTATTCTTTATTGCTTGCTCAGTGACATTTTATTTTAATCTTTCCTTTTAGAGTGACTTTTTAAAAAGTGATTATAAAACATAACCCTAGAAATGATTACTTAGAAAATCATTATCATATGTATTAGTTAGAATGATATTTGGGAAGATGTAACAGAAAAACCCAAAGAAGCTGTGGTTTACAAAGGATTGAAACTATGTCTCTACATATAAATAAACATAGGCAGCTCAGAGCTGATCTGATGGCTACAGGATTATCAAGTCCCAGGTTTCTTCTGCCAATTTTAGTGGGTCACCTCATACTTCAAAAGAAGGAGAATAATGGTAAGAAAAGTAGCATGTTGTAAAAATACTTCCACGCTGGTCAAGCGCAGTGGCTCATTCCTGTAATCCCAGCACTTTGGGAGATGGATGCCGGCGGATCACTTGAAGCCAGGAGTTTGAGACCAGCCTGGCCAACATGGTGAAACCCCATCTTTACTAAAAACACAAAAATTAGCCAGGCATGGTGGTGCATGCCTGTAATCACAGCTACTCAGGAGGCTAAGGCACAAGAATCACTTGAAACCGGGAGGCAGAGGTTGCAGAGAGCCGAGATGACACCACCGCACTCCAGCCTGGGTGACAGACCAAGACTGTGTCTCAAACAAAAAAACAAAAACAGAAACAACAACAAAAAAGTCCACTTGTTTCATACCACTGGGCAGAAATTAGAAATCATGCCTTCTCTCACTGTAAGGAAAGTTGGTAAGTACAGTTCTTTATTTTGAGTGGTCATGTGTACAACTCTAAGTCTCTATTCCTGAAAGAACTGAGAATAGATGGGGGGAGAACAAGCCTTTGCTGCTTCATCTAATGACAGCTCCCTAAATAACCTTAAAGTATTTCTTAGACCACCTTTCGTACATGAAAATCTGAAATGTTAAGTTAGTAAAGTGACTACTGTCACAGTAAAGTCAGAGGTGAAGATGCTAATCAAACATTTCAACTTATATGTTCACCTTGAAAATCCTATGATTTTTCTTTCTGTATTACGTAATAGTGAAACTTACCTGCTTACGGAATCTCATTTGGCTATATAATTGGTAAAATATTCAACATCAAATGCTGTCCTGAAACATTTGTATATTACTAGACATTGTCTTTACTCTTGCTTCACATCAGTGCTTCTGTAAGTTAGGGAACTGTACCTGTTTATCTCAATGTAATCATATAAAGAAAGATGAAAAGTTCCAAATAGTGTTAAACTATTCCCATATCCACTATCCAAAGGTAGAGTAAACAAGCACTTTTTAATATTAGTGAAACATTATATATAAATGTATTCAATATGAATATATGAGGTCTGAATACCTATAACTATTGTATATTGTTATATAAATAATATATAAAGATGCTTTATATGTATGTATATACATAAAGATATGGTGCTTATTAAATGGCATATAATAGTTGACAATTAAAAATCCAAGAAAATAAAAAAATACACACATGATGGCAAACTTTGGTCAGAAAGTCTGATTTAGGCTTTAACTACATAGAAATAATTTATCAGGCAAAAGCAACTTAAAGAGTGTTTTAGGGTCAAAAATTCTATAGATCATCACATCACTTAACACTTATAAAGTGTACTGTAGCTGAGTCACATCCTTCATGCAATTACAAGAAAGGTTGCTGATATTTCTAGCAAATAGGAAACATCTGCTTACAAAATATCATTAATATAAATATTTAAAGTAAGTGGCAGAATTTTAAAGAATGTTTTTCTTCACAAACATCATTTCCCAAAAGATGACTGCTAAGATATAACTCTGACTTAAATGGTATTCAAATTATGACACGTCTAAACAGAGCTGATTGATGAGTCAATTAGTAGATGATGACAAAATAAATATTCCCCAGAGTGAGAGGTCTCCTACCTAACCCGGATCAAGTTTGGACAGAGGAAGATGGCTTATTTATAGACTGTAATCAACTTTGTGATTATTTGAATGCTGGATAGAGGAAAAATATAAATTTAAAATCTATTTGCCAGCATTGTACTAGTATACTTTCAATATAGGGGGAAAATCCCATGATACTGGTTCTGGAAGATCCAGCTTTCAATGTGTGTGGGGACATTACCACTAGTTAACTTCTGTAGATACCTGTAAAAGATGGAGGTCCTTTTTTATTTTTTTTCTTGTACTGCTCTGGAACTAAGAATATGGATGCAATAGTAGTCAAAGAATAGTTAACTCTTTAAAAAAATCAAGAAAAACAAAAAGACGAAGAGGAAACTTTTAAACTGCTCAGGAGGTCTGATTCGGATGCCAGAAGAAGAAAACAAGACTGAGGTGTAAACTGAATTTCCATGTTCACTGTTACCCATGTATTTACTGCCATAGACTGTATTTTTAAAATTATTTTCCCCCAAAATAATAATAGTAATAATGAAAACACACTAAACACACACATTTGCACTCATACCTCTAAAAGTAAAAAAAAATAAAAATAAGCAAAAAAGCTAGCTCCTGCCTTTTAAACTATGCTTGTCTTTTAAAACCGTGTATTTAAAAGATAACATTTTTCCGACTGTGAACAGACGTGCATCTCCATACGGTTTCAGTTGGTTATCCTCAATTGCTTTTACATTCAAACATTATAAAACATACCTTTACTGGTAAAATAATAAATAATATTTCCCATATATTTAATGATAAATGTTTTCTTGATATGCTGTGCCAAATGAGCCAGTAGAATTGATGACAGAAGTATTTATTTTCTTGAATCTGAAAGTACCCTGCTGTTCAGAGATCAAATGCAAAATGGGGACCTGGGGACTCTGGACAGTGGAGTTACTTGTTTAGTCCTTTTTTTTTTTTTTTTAACATGAGTTCTATTATTGCTGCCACACTCTCACACACCTGAACAAGATCATCACAGTTCTTAGATTCTCACCCGCAGAGTAATTTCTTGAAATATTTCTAGGCAAAGGTACTTCGTTGCAAATTCAGTGTTTATTGTTTCTGAATATTTCCTCTGTAAAGTTTTAACTTCTATAAATTAGACTTAGAAGACACACACTTTGAAAAAGAATCTTTACATTTTTTATATTAAATTAGCACAAGAAATCAGCATTGCCAGTGGGTAACGACCTCCTTCTCTTCATCTATTGATTATGTTTTCTGGTTTATTTTCTCTCTCTTCAATATCGTCTAGCTAAATTGACCTTCCCTTACCTCAAACTTATTTTTGTTGAATAAGTGACCTTGCTATTATTTCTTGGGGGCATAGGGACTTTTTTCATCTCTGTAGATTAAAATAATATATATATATATACACACACACACATATATATATATACACACACACATATATATATACACATATATATACACACACATACATGTATATATGTGTGTGTGTATATATATGCGTATATATGTGTATATATACACATATATGTATATATACGCATATATATGTGTATATATATATGCGTGTGTGTGTGTGGGAAAAACAGCACTTCCAAGTGTTTTTGCTCCTATAAGATTGAAACTGCCTTTGCAAAAATTAGGACAGTGAGAGAAATCTGACATAGAAAAATTATGACAGTGAAAGAAATCTGACCTAACCAACTCCATCTTGCTTCTGATCTCCAAGCTATTTTTGTTTATTTCTGGGCATAGGCCAAGCTAGTTACTATGGGAGAAGTTTCGTTTATAGTTTAACTTTAAAACGTATATAATAACAACCACTTCCTGAAACTAACCCCCAAGCTCAAGGACCCAAACCACTTTTGTAGAACTAACAAATTAGCCACAAAGTTAAAATTATGGTTCAGGAGTCATGTAGCCAGAGGTCACAGGATTTGTAGTCTCTCCAATTGCTCCTATAGATAACATCACTATTTTAAAACCTAAAATTGGTGTTTGAGTTATTTTCCAGACCCTGCATTCCAGTGGACCAGCTGATGCCACTTGGACTGGTAACCCATACCAAGAAACTAGCTGGTTTGGTCTTGTGATCCCAACCCAGGAACTGACTCACTGCAAGAAGGCAGCTTTGATCCCCTATGATTTCATCCTCAATCAAACATCCCCCACTCCCTACCCACCTGCCTGCCAAACTCTCCTTGAAAAACCCTAGCTTCTGAGATTTCAAGGAGGCTGATTTGAGTAATTTCTCTCATCCTTCTGCTTGGCTAGACCTGTGATTATTTAACCCTTTCTCTACTGCAATACCACTGCCTCAGTGAAGTGGTTTTATCTGTGCAGCAGGCAAGAAGAACCCATAATTTGACTTTAATTTATATGAATCCATCTCATAGTTTCTTTATGCTATGGAAAAGCTATCCCTAGATATGTTTTCCTATGCTTTTAAACACTGAAGTTTAGCTTTTCACTGTTAGTCTCTGATCCAATCCATCTAGAATTCTTTTTGTGAACTAAGTGAGCTAAAGTTATCATTTTATTATTTTTGCATGGTTAGAAAGATTTTCTAGCACAACTATCTGATTTAATGGGAATACTGAGGAAGTTTAAAATAGGGCCCATCTACAGAATTTTTTCTAGGAAAAAAGATGGTGTCCCAAATGTTTAAACATATTTGGGTTTAATCCTCTACCCTCTGAAACAATGTTTGGACACACTAGTCCTCAGTAGAAGTTTATCTTTCCTTCTATCATTGACACAGAATAAAAAGGATCTTGACTTAACCAGACATCCTTGCTTGAAGAAAAAAAAGTTTATCTCTAAGTCAATATATAAAAGTCACAAGCATGAGAAAAGGGAATGCTTATATACTGTTGGTGGGAATATAAAATAGTTCAGCCTCTGTGAAAAGTAGTTTGGAGTTTTCTCAAAGAATAAACAATAAAATTACCATTTGATCTAGCAATCTCATTAGTGGGCATATACCCAAAGGAAAATAAACTGCTCTACCAAAGAGACACCTCCACGCACATGTTTATTGCAGCGCTATTCACAGCAGCAAAGACATGGAATCAACCTTGGTGCCTATCAGTGGTGGATTGGATAAAGAAAATATGGTACATATACATCATGGAATACTATGCAGCCATAAAAATAACAAAATCATGTCTTTTGAAGCAATGTGAATGTAGCTGGAGGCTATTATTCTAAGTGAATTAACGCAGAAACAGAATACCAAATACCATATGTTCTCAACTGTAACAGTTTAATGGGAGCTAAGCTTTGAGTACAAATGGATATCAAGATAGGACAAATAGACACTAGGGACTCTGAAAAGAGGGAAGCAGGGAGTGGGTGAAGAGTTGAAAAACTACCTACTGGGTAACACGTTCACTATTTAGGTGATAGGACCAATGGACGCCCAAATCTCAGCACCATGCCATATATCCATGTAACAAACATGCATGTGCACCTCCTGAATCTAAAATAAATAAATACAGAAACAGATCCAAAAAGTGATAAGCACTTCTCTTACACTCTGTACTAATCAACATAATCTAACCTGTAGAAAAATTATGCAAAAAGTGGTTATGGTGAATTCCAAACGTTACTTATTCTGTACTAATGCCAAGACTTGGTTCAGTAGACAGTTTCAGGTACAGGTGGTGGAGCAATGAGTAAGACAGTCAAAGTCCCTGAACTCTAGCACCAAAAACAACAAAGGAAGAAAGACCAAACAAAATTAGGTACATTAACAAATAAGACTATTTTACGGACTGACAGTTTAAATAAGATAATACTATTGAAGTGCTGGAGAATAATGTGATGGGCATTGGCTACTTAGATAGGGTGAACAGGGAAGAAATATTTCAATTGACAAGAGACCTGAGACCTCAATGATCAGAATAAGCCTGGCATGCTAGACTTAAACAAAAAATTCTTCAGGTTGAGGGTGTTGTATATGCAAACAATGCGCTTAGATGTGCTTAAGGAAGAATGAGAAGCCTAGTGTGGCCAGAATTCAGGAATCCAGGAGATATGAAGTCAAGAAAGCATATATATGTAAGAAATACTAATTTTATTCTAAGTGCAGTGTAAACACTTGGATAGTTTTAAGTAGAAATGTGGTTTGCTTTGGTTTAAGTTTCAAACGATTCTTCTGAATGATGGGAGACAAAGTTGGCCTAATAATGACCAATTAGGAGGTTGTTATAGATTTTATAGTACCCTAGGCAGAAATATTTGAGTCTTGGACTAAGATTAATTGTACTAACAGATTATTATGTATACAATACATATTTATAATATATATTTGAGAGAATATATGTATATTAGTATATATGTACACAGTCAGCCTTTCATATCCATGGGTTTTTAATCTGTAAATTCAACCAACCACAGATTGAAAATATTTTAAAAAGTTCCATGTGTACTAAACATGTACAAATGCTTTTTATTGTCATAATTCTCTAAACAATACAGTATAACAACTATTTACTTAGCATTTACATTGTATTAAGTGTTATAAGTAATCTAGATATTATTTAAATATACAAAATGAAAGAAAGAAAGAAATGAATACAAAAAAACTTGCATAGGTTATATGCAAATACTACACAATTTTATAGAAGAAACTTAAGCATCTGCATATTCTGGCATCTATAGGAGGTCCTGGAACCAATCTTCCATGGAGACCAAGGGACAACTGTATATATATTTTATGAAGATGACTTACTAATAAAGGCAAGAGAAAAACAGAAACAGGCATTGATATTTTGACATGTGTGTGTATCAATGGCCTTTTTACAGATATACATCTTATAATTAAAATTCATATGGAAATGAACAGGAGTCAGAGTAGCCAAAAATTTAAAAAAGAGGAATAAAGTTGGCAGATGCACCCTTCTGAATTTCAAAACATATAATAAAGCTAAAGTAACCAAGACAATGTAATTTGGTATAAAAATAGATATATCAATTAATGGATAAAATTGAGCCCAGAAATAAGTCCAAACATCTATGTTCAGTTGATATTTCACAGCCAAGATCTTGAACTGGGAGATAATAGTTCCCTCAAGTAGGTGCTTAGACAATTGAATACACACATGCAAAAAAAAAAAAAAATAGTTAGATGCCTACCTCAAAAAATTTAACTCTAAATGGATCAAAGACCAACTATAAGAGATAAAACTATAAAAATCCTAGGAGAAAATATTGGGATAAATCTTTGTGATAGTGAATTTCGCAATGCTTTCATAGATGTGACACTAAAAACGAGAAAAAGAGAAAAGTTAGATAAAAATTTGTCATCAAAATTAGATGCATCATTACAATTAAACACTTTATGCATTAAGGGCACAATCAAGAATGTGAAAAGACGACTTGTAAATGGGAGAAACTATTTTCAAAGCATATATTTGATAAGACACTATTATGAAGAATACAGTTAAAAACTCTTACAATTCAACATTAGAAGACAAATGATAATGAGCCTATGGTTGAATAAATATTTTACTGAAGAAAATGTATAAATAGGCAATAGGCATATTAAAAATTGCTCAACAGCATTTGTTATTAAGGAAATGAAAACTTAAACCACAATGTATAATAAATAAAATATGCCCGAGTAATAAATACAAAACTTGTATGTATTATTCATGTCCACACAAAACCTTGTACATATATGTTTAAAATAACATGATTTATAATAACCAAAATGTGTAAATTATTCAAATGTCCATCACCTGATGAATGGATAAATATGATATATTCATATAATGGAATGTTATTTATCAATACAAAGCAATGAAGTAATAATTCACACTACAGCATGAATGAACATTGAAAATGTTACCTAAGTGAAAGGAGTCAGTCACATAAAATCACATACATGAATTCACTGATATGCAAAGTCTTGAACAGACAACTCTATATACAGGAAGAAAGTAGGTTAATGGTTTCCAGGAGCTGAGAGGTCAGTGATTTGGGGGTGCATACTAACTGCCACATAACTTTCTGAGGAGACTAAAATTAGACTGTATGAGGGTTTCACCATTCTATGAATATACTAAAAAAATTGAATTTTATATTTCAGATGAGTGAATTGTATGGCACATGGATCCTATCCTAATAAACCCACTAAAACATACAAAGCAAAAATAAAGCCTGAAAATAAAATAAAATCTGAAATACAAATATTCTCTATACAGAATTGTTTATATTTATTAGAAACATGGCTACATGAAGCCTTTATACACCTTTGTATAATGTAAGACAATTTTTCACAAAGAATATTTTATGTAATAATACAATTTTCAGTATTGGTCGTTTTTAGATACTTCCCTTAAAAGAAGACATTTTTGCAGTCAACAGACAAATGAAAAAATGCTCATCATCACCGGCCATCAGAGAAATGCAAATCAAAACCACAATGAGGTACCATCTGACACCAGTTAGAATGGCGATCATTAAAAAGTCAGGAAACAACAGGTGTGGAGAGGATGTGGCGAAATAGGAACACTTTTACACTGTTGGTAGGACTGTAAACTAGTTCAACCATTGTGGAAGACAGTGTGGTAATTCCTCAAGGATCTAGAACTAGAAATACCATTTGACCCAGCCATCCCATTACTGGGTATATACCCAAAGGATTATAAATCATGCTGCTATAAAGACACATGCATACATATGTTCATTGTGGCACTATTCACAATAGCAAAGACTTGGAACCAACCAAAATGTCCATCAATGATAGACTGGATTAAGAAAATGTGGCACACATACACCATGGAATACTATGCAGCCATAATAAAGGATGAGTTCATGTCCTTTGTAGGGACATGGATGACGCTGGAAACCATCATTCTCAGCAAACTATCGCAAGGACAAAAAACCAAATACCGCATGTTCTCACTCATGGGTGGGAACTGAACAATGAGAACACTTGGACACAGGAAGGGGAACATCACACACTGGGGCCTGTCGTGGGGTGGGGGAAGGGCGGATGGATAGCATTAGAAGATATACCTAATGTAAATGACGAGTTAATGGATGCAGCACACCAACATGGCGCACGTATACATATGTAACAAACCTGCACGTTGTGCACATATACCCTAGAACTTAAAGTATAATTAAAAAAAAAAAAAGAAAACCACTTCTGATTTTTTGAGACAGTCTCACTCTGTCGCCCAGGCTGTAGTGCAGTGGGGCGATCTCCGCTCACTGCAAGCTCCGCCTCCCGAGTTCACGCCATTCTCCTGCCTCCAGAGTAGCTGGGACTACAGGCGCCCGCCACCACACCCGGCTAATTTTTTTTGTATTTTTAGTAGAGACGGGGTTTCACCGTGTTAGCCAGGATGGTCTCGATCTCCTCACCTCGTGATCCACCCAAAGTGCTGAGATTACAGGCTTGAGCCACAGTGCCTGGCCTGATTTTTTTTTAAGAGAAAGAGATCTGACTATTGCTGCGCAGGCTGAAGTGTAGTGGCTGTTCACAGGTACATGGTAGTGCGCTGCACTGCAGCCTTGAACTCCTGGCCTCAGGCCTTCCTACTTCCTCAGCCTCCTGAGTAGGAGTGCACCCAGCTTTTTACTTCCAAATTTGAAAGTAAATGCAATGAAAAGGAGGTGAAATTGAAAATTAATATGTGATTCTTCTTTTACTGCTTTGCCAATAGTCAACCTTATTGACACCCCTTCTTCATATATTAATATTTCTCTATGGAAAGCCTTTGTTTACAAATAGTCGACGACATACAGGTACACTTAATATCTAAAGATTAATATAGCTTAGTGATTTAAAACAGTTCTCAAAGTCACACAGTGTGGAATAGATTCCTGTCCACCAGCTACTAGTTTAATGATGTCGGCAAGTGACTTATCTTTCTTTTTGTTTTCCTCAGCTATAAAAATGAATAACATAACCTCTTTTTATTTTGAGAAGGGGAAGATAAAATGTCACAGTAATTAAGCCATAATATAAAATAGTGATATATAGAAAAAATAGACAACTGCCTCTTCTGTCATTTGAAGGCTTTTTATTATGCCTGCCATACTAATTTTCCTATTATTTCCAAAATTGTCAGCATTAAGGCTACCTCTTTAACCTCCCTAGCATAGTACTAATTTTATATTAATTAAGATATTATGGTTTCTAACAGTCTTGCATTTAGCTAGATTAATTGCCACCATAGTTTTTAGTAAAGAGACAGGACAGCCCTTAGCGACTCTTCAGGTTTAAAGTCCAATCCACCCTACTCCCTGGTACGAAGTTAAGGTGTGAAGTAGGTAAACAGGCAGCTACCTCTATGAGATGGCTTCAGGAACACTCTAAACAGAAACCACCAGCATCTACTGTGTCTTATATATTCTAGAACTCTGCCAAACCTTCTCTATAATATCATTCTAATCCCCAGAACAACGTATTGAGTTATATATTATTTTCTCTACTTTACAAATAAGGAATTTGAGTCCCATAAACATAAGCAATTTTTCGAATTTACAAAGCAAGTAAATGCTAGGGCCGAGGTTTAAAATTAGCTCTATCTGACTTAGTACTTTACACTACATTTACCATTTAGTCAAACGTATCTTTTTAACAGCTGGGTTTGTTTTTCTTTTCTTTTCTTTTTTAAGTCTCTCATTGAGTCTGAAATTTCATACACTAACTTCACTCCTCTCAAACACACATTAAAGCAGAAAACTGTCTTGAGAAAATGTTTTAAAGTGCATATTCTTTTAAAATATCTAATATTGCTTTACTTCCAAAAGAGAGATAGTAATTGTTTTGTAAAGAGATTTTTCTTTATACAGTGTAACATATATCTTAATTTTTTTCCTTTTCTTTTTTTAATGAAAATTAAATTTATACATAATTATGAAATACAATATGATGTTTGTAGACAGATTCAATCAAGATAATTAGTGTATCCATCACTTCACCAACTTAGCATTTTTTTGTGGTAAGAATATTAAAAATCTATTTTTTAAGCAATTTTGAAATATTTGATATACTACTATTAACTGTGATCACCACATAGTCCAATAGATCACTAAGAAGAATTCCTCCAATCTAGCAAATTTTATCCTCTTTGATTATTTTCCCTTTCCCTGTCTCTAACCTTCATTCCTCTGCTAACCACCTTTCTACTCTATTTCTATGAGACAGACTTCTTTAGATTCCATATGTGATATCATACAGTATTTACCTTCTTGTACCTGGCTTATTTCACTTACCATAATGCCTCCAGCTCCACCCATGTTATCGTGAATGACATTTTCTTCTTTTTAAAGGCTGTATAATGTTCCAATTTGTAAATATATCACATTTTCTTTATCCATTCATTCACTGAAGCTCATTTCAGCATTATCTACAATAAAACAATATATGTAATTCTACCTCATCATTCTTGTTGCAGTAACTGTTTATAACACTTAATTGAAATGAAATGAAATGAAAGGCTTTTTCATGGAGGATACACTATTATGTAACTTTAATAACATTTAACCATCTGTTTCTATCAAAATAACAGTACTTTAATAATCAATGCAAAACCACCAAAGGTAGATAGTAACAAATGGGAATTGTCTCCTGTTAAATGGTTGTCTACTGTCTACTGGCATTGTGCAACTTAAATTCATGAACCATGCTTTGGGAAAAATTTAAAATCATATTGTCATTATTGATATGTAGGGCATTCACAACAGATATCTAATAATTATAATTACAAACTATTTTAGAGAAAAAAATTTGTGAAGAAATATCAAAATGATTCAGCTTTCGTGTTCTATTCAGCTTTAAAAAGTGGAATATCATTGACAATAAAAACATTCAAATCTCTCAGCATTGTTGGGATTCAAAGTTAATAACAAAAACAATTCCAAAAATAAAATGCTTATTTAATTGCATCCAAATTTGAAGTACAAAATTCAGCAGGTGCCAGATTTGGGCTTGTTACTGCTTTTTTATTATTCAATATTATAGCTGGAAATTGTACACAAAGAAGATAAATTCCAGTTGGCATCATTCACCTACCCTATGTGTTTTCCCCTTCTTTTCTATTACCTTGTGGTAGAACTTTCTAAAATTTAAAAATAATAAGTTTTAACCTAGAGAGCCAACAGATAATTTCAAACTTTCTTTTATGATTTTCATATAAATTATTCATAGAGAAATTATGTGCAGAACGAATATGATTGGAGTACCTACTGCTTATTTTATTTGTACTTATCCTGTTTATAAGGAAGTTCTGAGAAATTAGTATTACTCACAATAATGCCATACATATTCATAAAGTCACATTAAAGGATTATTTTCATGGTGTCATTATTTACCATTTATGCAGAAAGGCTTAATGGCCTCTGTATCTATAAATATTCTGAAAATTGCAGCCTTTGGTGAATAAATTAAGTCATTTAAAAAGAAAACTGAAAAATTAAGAATATACAGAATATGAAATGCCATATTTTTTAAGTATTAGACTGTGACTCATATTGAGAGGAGAAATGCAATTTTGCACATTCTCTATTTAATTGTATTTATCTTCCTTAAATATTGCTATGTCAGAATATATGTGTGTTGAGGAAAAAGATGTACATTCATTTCAATTAAATAACAAAAACACACTTCTAAACAATTCCAAAAGATTTATAATTACTTGCTCTCCCAATACCTGTCAATTGTATTTATCTTCCTTAAATATTGCTATGTCAGAATATACATGTGTGTTGAGGAAAAAGATGTACATTCATTTCAATTAAATATCAAAAACACATTTCCAAACAATTTCAAAAAATTTATAATTACTTGCTCTCCCAATACCTGTCAAAATACGTTGCTATCCCAAACAGACATTGCATTTGCTCATCTAAAATTTCTACTTGAATACAAGTTGGTTGACTAGAATAAGCTTGCTTATTAAAGGTAAATACAATGAATAGTAGAAATATCTTTTAAGTGTAGTGAAAATCTGTAAAATGTTTTAGTTGGTGGAAGAATTTTCTCTGAATGCTCCCCTACTTAGCACAATTGAGATATGCAACATATGGGATAAAATGAGATTCGTGATATATCTTGGTAACTTCAGTAACTTCTAGTTTGCTTAATATCCTAGTTATCCTATGTATTTTATGCAATGCAAACTTATAGTAATAATAATGGACCAATATATTTTAAGCCTCAAACATATCACTGACTTATTAGATAGCAGTCACCTGCTATATTTCTACTCACTTCCCCTTCTAACCCCAGTCTGACTCTTCTTTCACTTAAGCAGAACATCCAGCTTTGATCCTACTAGACTTCCTCTTCCCTTCACCATGCCTTATCTCCTTACTTTTCTCCTTACCCAGCCTAAATTTTAAGATTCTGTTTAAAATCACTCAGCAACCTCAAGATTGCTGGAATTCAACTGTTTACTTAACCTATGCATCCATCTAATAGCAGAACATAACTGGAAAGTAATAGATAATCACATTAGGTCTTAATCATTTTAAATTCTTGGCTGCCACCCTCAAATGAGCTACAAATGCTGGTTGCTAATCAACCTATTACACTAGTCCAATTACTCTTCTTGATGACTGTTATATAGCTTCCCCTTTCTCCTCAAATATGTATATTCTCTTCTGCCCTCCCTCTTGATGATGGTGTTACTAAATATTTGATTGTGAAAATGGGAGGGGGTGAAGGTTGGACATGGTGGCTCATACTTGTAATCTCAGCACTTTGGGAGGTAAAGGCAGGAGAATCGCTTGAGCCCAGAAGTCTGAGGCCAGCCTAAACAACATAGTAACATAGTGAGACCTCATCTCTATTAAAAAAAAAAAAAAAGCCAGGCATAGTGACACACACCTGTACGCCTAGCTGCTTAGGAGGCTGAAGTGAGAGGATTCCTTGAGCCCAGGATTGTGACACTGCACTCCAGCCTGGGCAACAGAGTGAGCGCTGTCTCAAAAAAAAAAAAAAAAATAAAAATAAATAAATAAATAAATAAATAAATAAGGTTGTTGGCAAGGGGAATTAAAAGAGGACTTCTAGTAGCTCAGACAACCACATCTACCTATCTGAGTCTGGGACCACACATTCTGCCTTCCATCCTGTTACTATGGTTAAAATGTGTATACCCACTAGGTCTCATTTAATTTTTCTATAAAACGTCTGGGGTGTTTTTAAGTTTTTTTGTTTGTTTGTTTACTTTTTACTTTTTCCTCTGATGTCCTCCTTAACTATAATTTTGGAGGAAAGGCAATGGAACTGTGGAAAAAATAATTATTGGATTTTACTTTTGTAAACGGGCTTCTAACTCTCTGGGCTTTGCAGATATTTCAAACTTCTACCCTGGAAAACTTCCAAGGCTCTTCAGAAGTCTCCAGCTGTGCTCTTCTGACTAAAGATCCTTTGATATGCCTGATACCTTCTTCAACTAACACTTGTATTTCAGTCCCACACTCAGACACTAACTGCAGCGCTTTTCTACCCTCCCCGTTTTGGTTGGTAGGACATAGCTCTTCAACTTAGCCTACCTATGGTCCAAGGAAAATGGTCGTGTATCTTCTGTCACCATCAGGAACGTTCATGGACTGTTGCAGCCCTCTGGCGTCTCCCTTCAGCTCTACTGCCGCCATTTTGGCTGTATCGGTTGTTAGTCCTGGGTCCTCCACCTGTAGAGAATACATTAGCAGGCTACAGGTTTCAGGTGAAGCCGCAGGCTGTTTCCACCTGACTCTCATTATACTCGCAATGTAGTGTTCTGTTGTAGTTGCACCTGCTGTGTAACCATTTTACAACTTAGTGGTGTAACAATTAATTTTATTGTGCTCACAAATTCTGTAGGTCAGAAATTCAGACAGAGAACAGTGGGGATGGCTTTTCTCTGCTTTAGGATAGCTGCGCCCAGGGCAGGAGGTGACTTGCTCCCTGGGGTCTGGAATCATCAGTAAATGTTTTTAATATCTGTGTAGCAGTTGATATTGGCTACCAACTGGAATCTTAACTGAAGCTTTAGAATAGACACATGATTTGGGATCTTCTGGTGGCCTCAGAGTAGTTGGATTTTATAGATGGTGGTTTAGACTCCAAAATGAGTATCCCAGTTAACTCAGTGGAAGTTTCATTATTTTTGTGGCATATCCTCAGAAAACATATAGCATCACTTCCACCACTTTTATCTGCTACAAATGAGTCATAGTATTACTCAGATTCAAGGAGAGAAAATTCAACTTTACCTCTAGATGGGGAGTGTCATGGTTCTAAAAGGGAATATGGGAAGGGACATACTGTTGTACCCAACTTTGGAAAATACCATATACCATAGATTTTCTCAAAGCAATTTCACTAACTAAATTATTCTTTCACAGATGTTCTGGCTTTTTAAAATATGTACATATAACCTTGATCCAACCGAGAGTTCCAAGAGTCAGGGAATACATTGTTATGCATTTTCTTAGTAAATTATGCATCTTGAAGTGTCACTGCATTTTGGAATGCCACCTCTTGTTATAAAATTTTAATATCTTGTTTTAGAAAAGAAATAAGTAGCTCTTCTACTGCCCTGTAGCATCAGTCACCTGGTATCAGTGACCTAGCCCCAGTGCCCTGTCACCAAACTCTAGACATGAGAGTAGAGATAGCCCAGATGACACAAAAAATGGAGCTACCTTTCTCAGCCATAAAAACAGAAAACTTTCCTTCTTGCAGAGTTTTTAAATTATAAAGGAAGAACTTACTCCTTTGATCTGAAACTTCTGATTATGTTTTAGTCCTAAAAATTTTATGACCATAACAGGAAAGTTACAACATATAGAGATACAAATATAATATAATGTTTTAAGTATTTAAATAGTATTTTTAATATAAAATATACAAAATAAAGTAACAACTTGATACAGTTTTAGAAACATTTGAAATACTATGAAGCCAAAAGACCTGGACTTTCTGTATGATCATTTAAAAGACCACCTCTAGTTAAAAAAGGGTCACATTTCTCCTAGGGAAAAGCTTTCCTTTTAAGTATGGATTTTATATCAATCACACTTGTTCATTTTGATCTGTTTTTTGAAAGAGTGTGTGTATGCGTGCTTGCAAGTGTGCATGTATGTGTTTGTGTGTGTGTGCCTGTGTGCAAATTTGTGTGTGTGTATGTGTGTATGTACAGCATCCTATGAAAGTAGCAATCTAAAAGACTGCAGAAACAGTTAATAAAATACTCCATACTCGCTTATGTAAGGTCAAAAAATGAAATGTCTGATAATGTCAAAAACTCTACCTAGACTATAGCACTATTACCCTATATATAGTATTGGTTAACAGCTAAACAATCTAATTTTCAGAAAATATAAGCATAATATATGTTAATGAGGTTACAACTTTAAAAGTTGTAAAACCAGACCATCCTTCAGATCTCTCTTGAAAGAAGCATATATTGTTACTTTTATTTTTCTTCAGATAGAAGATCTGAAAATGGAAAACAAGGTCTCAGGAGATACAGCTTATCTTAGAGGAGAGATGTCATGATATGAATATCCCCTCCAAAAACTCAGGTTGAGATTTAATCCTCATTGCAGCAGTATTGAGAAGTGGGGCCTGTAAGAGGTGATTGGCTCATATTAATAAATATAAATTGATATTGTGTTCTTGGAAAAAAAAAGAAAAGACACCTCTATATGCAAGGATTAGAAACATTTCTATACATTTAAGTGAAATAAGCACTTTGGAGATCAGTATGTATTGTATAATCTTACTTTAAAACTGCCTATATGTATAAACACAAATATATATGCAAATACATTTGAATAAACATAAAACAGTCTGAAGGGCACACCACTAATGATGGTAGCTAATGTCTAAAGGTGGAGAGGACAACTTTCACTTTTTAATTTTTTTGCTTTCACAGCTCTTTACGTGCATTTATAATTATCCAAGGGCATAAATGCTTTCTAAAAATTAAGTATTTTCAACATGCACACAATTTTTTAAAGACAAAGGCATGTACTTTGAAAATAATAAAACTATATAACTAAATATATGTTTACTAAACTTCGCAGTGTTAAATCTAAAAGTGCCTAATAGCATACATAGTTAAGTATCTGTATTGTACGTAATCCTAGAAACGACTTATCTGCCTGAAAACTCTGTTCACCACTGTATCCTTCAACTTAAACAGTTCCTAGAACTTAATATTTGTTTAATAAATATTTACTGTATTTACAACCACAAAAAAACTAAAGAGGTGATTGGCTCATGAGGGTTCTGCCTTCATGAATGCATTAATTCATTCATGGATTAACCAGTTAATGGGCAAATAGATTAACTCATTAACCCATTAACTGGTGGTTTTAGATGAAGAGGAATAGAAACCTGAGCTAGCACTCTCAGCCTCCTCACCATGGGATACTCTGTGCTACCTCAGGACTCTTCAAAGAGTCCCACCAGCAAGAAAGCTCTCAGCATACATGGTCCCTCAACGCTGGACTTCTCAGCCTCCGTAATTGTAAGAAATAAATTCCTTTTCCTTAGAAATTATCCAGTTTCAGGTATACTGTTATAATTTACAGACAACAAACTAACACAGGGATACGTCATGCTTTTCTCTGCCCTGCAATGTATTTGCACCCACACCCTAAACAGTGTAGCTGTGATTAAGGGCATTTTCACCCAGGAAAGGTGAGCTAACAGCAGCCACAGGAGGTAGACCAAGATCTGGGCTGAGAGGTACCTTTCCTGAACCTCCTGAAATGTAACACTGGATCTGAGGGAGACCATAATTAGAAGCAGCTAAACCTTATCATCTCTGTAATAAAGCCAATTGGTTATCCCAGGTCTTGTTAAAAGATTGGCTTTTATTAACTCTTACTCTCTTACAGAGTCTAGGGAAGGGTCTCCCCTCAAACACAGAATAAAGTACCAAGAGGAAAAGAAACAGAGGCCTTGAAAAGGTGGGCCAGGCACTACCGAAGTTGATCTGAAATCAAGTGTTCAACAGCCTGTTGGTAAACTGGAAAGCCATTGTTTAGAGGTTGCTTTTTGGTCAAAGCAAGTGACAATCAAGAAAGATTTAGCTTAACACATAGAATTTTTAAAGATAAGCCTCTTAAACCCTTCCATTTTCCCTTTTTTTCCAAATTTTAAAACTTAGTATAAAATAAAAGCATGGTCTTTGGAGTTATGGTTGCAACTGCCAAAGTAAATAAAGGAAAAATACCTCTCTAAGGTAAGTAGAATGGTGATTCTAATTTTTATAACAAAGTTAATATATTGCTTTTGTAATAATAAAAATTAAGCACAAAAGTACTTTACACAGCTTAACTTGATATGCAAGGTGATGAGACCAGGTGACATTTGAATTACATATATTTGATATGCAGAAGTGAGAGAGGAAAGAATCAGGCAGAACAAACTCAGGAATGGAATTGAAGAGAAAAAGTATATATTATATGTGGGGAAAAAGTGAGTAATTCAGGGTTTTAGACCATACTGTGTAAAATATGAAAGTGAGAGATGGTATTGGGAAAGTAGAATGGTGCTCAATTGCTAGTTTAAGGAATATTATCTTCTCCAATAACCATAGGATGGACATTGACTGTTATTAGGCAAGGGAGTGGCATGCTTAGCAATCTTTTTTAGGAAACTCAAACTGAAAACATTAGGTAGCAAGATTTGGAGAAACCAGAGAAACCAGAGCAGAGATGCTATATATATATATATATATATATACACACACACACACATATATATACACACATATATATATACACATATATATCTACATATATATGTATCTACATATGTATATATCTACATATATATGTATCTACATATATATCTACATATATATGTATCTACATATATATCTACATATATATGTATCTACATATATATCTACATATATATCTACATATATATCTACATATATATGTATCTACATATATATCTACATATATATGTATCTACATATATATACACACACATTATATATAAAACATGAAGTAAAGTAAATGGAGGCTAGTTAGAAATATATTTTAATCATGAGGCAAAGTAAATGGAGGCTAGTTAGAAATATATTTTAATGATGAAGTAAAGTAAATGGAGGCTGGAATATGCTAGAGAGAGTGAAGAGTTGGATATAAGAGCTATTGTAGCAATACAGTCAGCTAGACTGGATATCTGGAATCATTTAAGACAAAGAAGAGAATCAGAAGTAATGCTGATCTTTTACAGCTAAGTACATCGAAAACTATTGATTCCAAAATAGCAACAGAAAACAGAGAAGGAAGAAAGATTTGGAGAACAAATAGGAGAGGTAGGAAACCACTTAACTTTGTGTATTAGATTTTGAGTTTCTGGCAGAAAAACCAGATAGCAAGGGTTGTTTTTTTCACTAAAAGATTGGAAATGTGAGTATAAACCTCTTTTATGTACAGTGTTTTTCTTGCAACAAAATACAGAATTTTGGTTAACACGTTTAATAGCCATTCTAAATGGCTGGGAGAATGCAATCATTTAAAAAATAATATAAGCAATTGCTACTCCTAATGGTTATTCTGGTTAAGTATTAAAATATCTAAAATAAATGTGTCACATAATTTTATTTTACCAGGTATCTGTGTCTGTGTTCACAGCACTATTAAACTAAGTTAGCCAATATTCCACTATGGAAAAATAAGACTCCATGATACACAAAACTCCCCCAAAGCAACAAGTTTTAGGACATTCATATTAAAGGACAATTGCTAATACACACTTCAATGAGACTCCTGATTTTACATATAAAAGATCTTTGATTCATTTATCCTTTCTAAATAAAAAAAAAGTCATTTTCTTGGCCAATGTTGCTATCTATATACTGTTGACTTCTAAATTGCATATCTAGTCAGGACTCCCCCCTTGCACTTCCTGCACACCTATCCAACTGCTTATTTGAAATGTAAAATTGATATCTAAAGTTAGGGCATTTATATATTATTATCTGAACTAGCACTTTTAAAAGTAAAAGTGGAGCTAAAAACAAAATGATAAAATCCAAAATTTAGAAGAGTTTAAAATCATTCAGTGCTATTAAAGGACATAAATTCAGCTGGGCATGGTGGCTCACTCCTGTGGCCTCCATGGAGGCCGAGGCGGGTGGATCTCCTGAGGTCACGAGTTCGAGGGCAACCTGGACAACATGGTAAAACCCCGTCTCTACTAAAAAAAAAAAAAAAAAAAAAAAAAAAACACACACACACAAACAACAAAAAACAAATATTAGCCACGTGTGGTGGCAGGTGCCTATATTCCCAGCTACTCAGGAGGCTGAGGCAGGAGAATCACTTGAACCCAGAAGGCAAAGTTTGCAGTGAGCCAAGATCACACCACTGCACTCCAGCCTAGGTGACAGAGCGAGACACAAATTCACATACAAAATAATTATTCAGAGGCTCAAATATTTCTAAACAGGTAGAAAAGAGAAAAAGCATTGCTATATTTGAAGATTATTTTTTATTCAACACCAGCTTTTACACCAGAAAAATAGAACTGCAGTCATACTTCCTATGTACCATAGAGCTGGTGTGTGTGTGTGTGTGTGTGTGTGTGTGTGTGTGTGTGTGTGTAGAGAGAGACAGAGAAATTTAGCTTCTATTTTTATTGGTAAATTGGATGAAGCTACAAATTATGTGTGCACCACATCAAATTCCAAGTTTTTAATTTAGTAAATCTTCTGTTTTTACCTCATAACTTTTCTGCATTTTCTGCAATAAAATTTGTTTTCCTAACATCATGTCATCTTATCTTAAATGTTTGACCATTTAATTAAATTTATAATAAACAGTAATCACAATATTGTTAAGTATTTTACTGGACCAGTACAGATGTCCAAAAGTTTTACTTTTATTTCATAAATCGAATGGAGACAAATTGAGCCATTATTGGGATTAACTGTTTTTCTATTTTTAGCATTTAATGGCTTTGATATAAAACTAGCATCATGTAACTGTGAAGTCTTCTGTTAATGGAGCTATAACTTCATTTTTGTATGAACAAAAAAATCCTTGAAATCTAAAATGAGCAAAATTATTTTAGAAGAACAGTAATTTCATCTAAATGAAAAGCCAAGCTTCAGAAAGTGATTAATTAAACACAACTATAGCAGCTGCATGCATTAAATTATTATCATTGGGTAAAATCTTTTTAAATGGCTATAAATGTTTGAACTAGATTGGTTTTCTGATTTTCACGTGGTCAGTGGAATCACTTTGACTCACTGTCTTCATCAGCTCAGGTTTCCATCACAAAATACCACGGATTGGGTGGCATGAACAACAAAAATGATTTCTTACAGTCCTGGAAGCTAGTGAGAGGTGACAGCGTGCTGGCAGTCCTCACAGCCCTCGCTCTCTCTTGGCGCCTCCTCTGCCTGGGCTCCCACTTTGGCGGCACTTGAGGAGCCATTCAGCCCACCGCTGCACTGTGGGAACCCCTTTCTGGGCTGGCCAAGACCGGAACCGGCTCCCTCAGCTTGCAAGGACCTGTGAAGGGAGAGGCGCCAGCGGGAACCGGGGCTGCCCCCGGCGCTTGCAGGCCAGCTGGAGTTGCGGGCGGGCGTGGGCTTGGCGGCCCCGCACTCAGAGCAGCCGGCAGGCCCTGCCGGCCCCGGGCAATGAGGGGCTTAGCACCCGGGCCAGCGGCTGCGGAGGGTGTACTGGGTCCCCCAGCAGTGCCAGCCCACCGGCGCTGCGCTCGATTTCTCACCAGGCCTTAGCTGCCTTCCCGCGGGGCAGGGCTCCGGACCTGCAGCCCGCCATGCCTGAGCCTCCCACCCCCTCCATGGGCTCCTGTGCGGCCCGAGCCTCCCGGATGAGCGCCACCTCCTGCTCCACGGCGCCCAGTCCCATCGACCACCCAAGGGCTGAGGAGTGCGGGTGCACAGCACCAGGACTGGCAGGCAGCTCCACTTGCAGCCCTGGTGCGGGATCCACTGGGTGAAGCCAGCTGGGTTCCTGAGTCTGGTGGGGACGTGGAGAACTTTTATGTCTAGCTCAGGGATTGTAAATACACCAATTGGCACTCTGTATCTAGCTGAAGGTTTGTAAACACACCAATCAGCACCCTGTGTCTAGCTCAGGGTTTGTGAATGCACCAATCGACACTCTGTATCTAGCTACTCTGGCAGGGCCTTGGAGAACCTTTATGTCTACACTCTGTATCTAGTTAATCTAGTGGGGACGTGGAGAACCTTTGTGTCTAGCTCAGGCATTGTAAACGCACCAATCAGCACCCTGTCTAAACAGACCACTCAGCTCTACCAATCAGCAGGATGTGGGTGGGGCCAGATAAGAGAATAAAAGCAGGCTGCCCCAGCCAGCAGCTGCAACACGCTGGGGCCCCCTTCCACGCTGTGGAAGGTTTGTTCTTTCCCTCTTTGCAATAAATCTTGCTACTGCTCACTCTTTGGGTCCACACTGCTTTTATGAGCTGTAACACTCACCACGAAGGTCTGCAGCTTCACTCCTGAAGCCAGCGAGACCAGGAGCCCACCGGGAGGAACGAACAACTCCAGACGCGCCACCTTAAGAGCTGTAACACTCACTGCGAGGGTCCGCGACTTCATTCTTGAAGTCAGTGAGACCAAGAATCCACCCATTCCGGACACACTAGAAGATCCAAGACTGAGAGTGCCACCAATGAGAGTTCCCTTTCTGGCTTGCCAATGGCTGCCTTTTTGCTATGCCTTCTCCTGGCTTTTCCTTAGTACGCATGTGAAGAATGAGAGGTAAGGAGTGAGAGACAGAAAGAGAGAGAGAGAGACAGAGGGAGACGGAGACAGTCAGCCTATTTGTATAAGGCCACCAATCCTAGTGGATTAGGACTACACGATTAAGACCTTATTTAACAGCCAGGCTCCGTTGCTCACCCCTGTAATCCCAGCACTTTGGGAGGCCGAGGTGGGTGGATCACTTAAGGTCAGCAGTTCGAAAGCAGCCCGGCCAACATGGTGAAACCCCATCTCTACTAAAAATACAAAAATTGGTTGGGAATGGTGGTGCATGCCTGTAATCTCAGTTTACTTAACAGCCAGGCTCAGCGGCTCACCCCTGTACAGGAGGCCGAGAAAGAAGAATCGCTTGAACCCAGGAGGCGGAGACTGAAGTGAGCCAAGATCACTGGTTGCACTCCATCTAGCCTGAGCAACAAAGTGAGACTGCATTTCCAGAAAAACAAATAAATAAAAAGACCTTATGTAACAAATAACCTCCCTAAAGACTCTATCTGTAAATTTAGTCACATTGGGGGTTAACATTCAACACATAAATTTTATAGAACACAAATCAGTCCATAGCACATGCATAATACATACATAATAGATTTTTTAAATGTCTCAACATATTGTACAAGTACATGCTTATTATGAACTTTCTTCAAAAAAAAAATCCAATGATCTATTTTTGGTTAAACAATCATTTTCATTTATTTGAGCTCATTTCTGTCAAATGGCTTATTGCATTATCAAACAATAAAACAAATAAGTATTTGCTTGGACTTAGATCATAAATAATAAAACCACTATAGCAAGGATAGTCAGACAACTCCCTCTCAACTCTGTGGTAGAACTTCTTGGCTCCTATTTCCTATACCTATTTCACGTACACTTGGCTTATATGTACCCATGCTTTCCACTAACTTGGCTCACCATAGGCCTGGGGTTTTGTGCATGTTGCAGGCACAATCATGTCATAGCACATCCAGCATTGGGTCCTCTCCTACCGCCACCACCAGGTCAGAGGGAGTTAGTTGCTGCTACCTACATACATTTTGTTTTATCTGTAAATGTCCTGCATTGGTCTTTGAAAGGGAACTATCAGTCATATGCAAAAATGAAAGGTCAAAAACAAATGACAAATTATTTCTGTCCTTCTCTCAGATTTAACCAAGTATTAAAGTGAGAAGTCTATTCACTTCCCTGCATACCTTCCACACTACTAGTCAAAGCCATGACAGAAGCTGCAAGCACAGAGTGGAGGTCCACCACACCAAAACCAAGCTGGTTTCAATGTAACTATTTGTAGTGAGTTGATGCCACTCGCCACCAAAAAACAAAACAAAACAAAAACAAAACAAAAAACCTCCAATCAAAACCTGTGTAGGCAAATTTATTTAGAAAAAAATGTGTTCATAAATATAATCAAGGATCTCAGGATGACATCATCTTGGATTGGAGTGGGCCCTAAATTCAATTAGTGTCTTTAGAAGAGAAAAGATACACAGAGAAGAAGGGCATGTGAAGAAGGAGGCAGAAATTGGAGTAATGTATCTGCAAGTGAAGGAATGCCAAAGATTGCCAGCAGCATCAGAAGCTAGAATGAAGGCATGAAAGAAATTTTCTCTCGGGACTTCCAGAAGTCCTGCCAACACCTTGATTTCAGACGTCTGACCTCCAAAACTGTGAGAGAATACAGTTCTATTTGATTTAGCCAGCCAGTTTTTGGTAATCTGTCAAGGCTGCTAGAGGAACATAATACACTACTAATACTAATATTATGTTACATTATAAAATAACAACAGATGGCTGGGCGCAGTGGCTCATGCCTGTAATTCCACCATTTTGGGAGGCTGAGATGGGAGGATCACTTGAGGTCAGGAGTTCGAGACTCGCCTGGCCAACATAGTGAAACCCTGTCTCTACTAAAAATACAAAAGTTAGCGGGGCATGATAGTGGGCACCTGTAATCCCAGCTACCCAGGAGGTTGAGGCAGGAGAGTTGCTTGAACCTGGGAGGTGGAGGTTGTGGTGAGCCAAGATCATGCCACTGCACCACAGCCTGCGTGAAAGAGGGCTATTCCACCTCAAAATAATAATAATAATAATAAATAAAATAACGAGAGACATGCTGTACAGCATACAACATAGACAATAGGCCTAAACCAGGACTTTTCAGAAAAACTAAGCATGTCTCAAATTTGCTATGTTCAGCTGAACCTTTCCTCTTCTCCTTCTAGACTCAATTTTTAAATTTTTTCCTTCTTAGATAAAAATCCCAGGTTTTTACTTGCTCAGGCCAAAATTTTGAAATTATTTATACTGCTCTCTTTTAAAGTTGCATTGTAATCTATTAGTAAATTTTATCAGCTCTACCTTGGAAATATATCTAAATTCCACCACTTACCACCTCCACTGTTCCCACCTTGGTCCAAGGCTGTTGTCTTCTATCACCACCTCCCAGTTGGTCTCCCTGCTTCCAACCTTGTCTCTATTTAGTCTTTAATCAGAGTAGCTAAAAAGATCTTTTCAAAATCTAAGCCAGATAGTGTAACTGTTTTTTTTGTTTTTTTTTTTTTTTTTTTTGAGATGGAGTCTCACTCTGTCACCCAGGCTGGAATGCAGTTGCACAATCATAACTCACTACAGCTTCGACCTCCCTGGTTCAAGAAATCCTTCCACTTCAACCTCCCGAACAGTCGGGACTACAGGTGTGCAACACTATGCCTGGTCAGTTTTTAAATTTTTTTGTAGAGATAGGATCTCACTATGTTGCCCAGGCTGGTCTTAAACTCCAGGGCTCAAGCAATCCTCCCACTTCAGCCTCCCAAAGTGCTAGGAGCCACCGCTCCCAGCCTATAAATAATTTAGCAAGTTGTTCATAGATTAAAAATAAGGAAAAATTACTTTTAAAAAATCCCACCTTTCCTGCAAGATTGTGCCTGTTGAAGTATTTTACTTGTAACCTCTTTATGTATTTTAACCTTAATTGGCCTTACGAAATTTATGAATATATGTTTACTAAGCATTTTTCTATTTAACCACCTCTGTAGCCAAACACACACAAACACACACACACACACTTCTACATAGCCCTTTGGAACGACTTTCACAATTTTACTAATAAAAAGAAATATACCCTTAGAAAACCAATAAAACATGTCTCCTTCACGTTCAAGCTAGACTTTGTCATATAACTTCTAAACCAAAACTCTCTGGCTTCCTATGCATGAAGGCTTAAATTATTATGAAGAAATCATAATAGTCTGGGACAGCTATGACAAGGACCTGAACCAAGAAAATTACAGTGGGGAACACATCACCAACAAATAAGAAACAGTGTCACTATTACTATATCCCCTAAAAAGGTATGATAGAGGCGTAATAATACTTCAGATAGTGATCTTATTTGGAAATAGGGTCATTACAAATGTAATTAGTAAGTTAAGATGAGATCATACTTGGGTAGCATGAGCTCTTAATTCAATGTGACTGGTGTCTTTATAAGGAAAGAGAGACATTTGCGGAAAACACCATGTGATGGCAGAGGCAGAGACTGGAGAGATGCAGATACAAGCAAAGGAATGCCAACAATCAGTGGTCACTATTGGAAACTAAGAAGAGCCAAGGAAGGACCCCTCTCCTAGGCCTTCAGAGGGAGCGTGGCCCCGCTGACACATTGACTTCTGTCTGGCCTTCAGAACTGTGACAGAATACATTTCTGTTGTTTTAATCCACTCTGATTTCGGTACTTTGTTATGACAGTCATAACACAGCATGTCACCCTGAGTAAAGCCAGTATTAAAATGACCTACTTGGCTTTTTTATACTTTGGTTCCCATCTTGTTCATACTCTCATCCCCTACTACTTTTTTTGCTTGTTCCTTCAGCTCTAGCCACTTTGGCTTTTTTTGTGTGTTTCTCTTATATTCTAGGCATCCTCTTGCCTAAAGGAATTGGCATTTTCTGTTCTTTGCTTGGAAAACTTTACCCTTAGATGTCTGAACTCACCAACTTTGGGGCTTAACTCATAGGCTACCATCTCTGTTAGACTTTCCCTGGCTACCATGTTTATAATTAAAACTATATTCCACTCTTGGCAGCGTGTGGTGGCACACACCTATAGACCTAACTACAAGGAAGGCTGGGATGGGAGAATCACTTGCACTCAGGAGATCAAGTCTACAGTGAGCCATGATTGCACCATTGCACTACAGCCTGGGGGAGAGAGCCAGAACCTGCCTCAAAAAAAAAAAAAAAAAAAAAAAACACCACCACTATAATCTTCAAATTCTCTATTCCAATTTCTATATTTTTTCCACAGCACTTTTTATGTGCTATTGATATACTGATTTATTCTATATATCAATAATATATACATATTTTGTTTATTTTGATTACCACTATGTCTCTAGCACTTAGTATAGTAGTTGGCAAACAGTAGGTACTTAAGACTTATTTTTTGAAACAATGAATAAATTTAAAATGTGGCATAGTCAAAGAAATGTGCATAAAAATTGAGTATGGCTGGAGTTGGTTTTTGCTTTCTTGGCAGGCTATGAAGGATTAAAAGATCATGCTAAAAATAATCAAAAGCTATATTATAGATGATAGTGCATGGTATATCAAAAATTTGGACTTGATCTTTTAGCTCAATTGTTTTCAAAATTGTTTGGTTGGAATTTGCTATAGTTGCTTATATGGCAACACATCATACAAACAAAATCTTACCCACAAAAATATGTAAAAACGGTAAAGTTAAATTCCTCAGTAGGAAACAAGATAAGGTTGCCAGGATCTTGCCCTCTGTCTGTTTCTTTTCCTCTTCATCACACCTGAAGGTCACAGTATTTAAATCAAGATTCCTAAGAGCATAAGTTGAGAAGTATTGCTTTAAGCTATAGAAAACTTCTGAAGGATTTAAGCAGTTACATGATGAGATTTGCATTTTTTAGACTGGGGCAACAATATGAAGGATGAAGCAGAGGTTTGCAAAACTGAAAGCAGAAAGGCAGCAGGTTGGAAATCATAATCATCCAGAAGAGCTATGACAAGGACCTGAATCAAGAAAATAACGGTGGAGAACATCACCAACAAGTGAGAAATGGTGTCACTATGACTTGATTAATTCGTTAATATGTAGAATGAGGGGAAAAGAAGAGGGGGACTTCCAGGTTTCTACATTGGATGCCTAGATGAAAGATGGTGCCATTTATTAATACAGAGAATATAGAAAGAGAAACAGTTTGACACTAAAGACATTCAGCCTACAAAAGTCTTGATTCCACAAATTCCACACAATTAGCTTCCACAAATACCACAAAAAAGGAACTGTGGCATTTCTACCTCCTACTTGGCCTCAGGGAATCCTGGATGAATAATGACTAGGTGCTACTAACCAGGTCACTCATTTGCCAACCTCATACCTCCGTGTTCCCTATCAGAATGTGTCTCAAAACCTGTGGAGATTAAAAACACGAAGCAACAATGCAAGCACCCTAGAAATCAATGGTAAATTGCCCATCTGACTGTGGCCATCTGCTTCTCAGCTGGCATATCCTTGGAGATGCCTTAGTATGGATGTTTACGATTGCTTCAGTTTCTGTAATCATAAACTATTGGATGGCCCCCTATAGAGTCCAACAACATGACAGTCATCCTCCATAACAGAAGAGAACTGGGGTAAATGAATTCCTAGGAAAAAGATAGACAGAAAATGTCTAAAACGCAGATCCTCCTTTTTACCATCCCTGTTGAGTAGCACCTTTTTTTAAGGAGATGAGTTTCTTGAAACTCAGCAACATTTGCCCATCACAGGTACTAATATTAATATTCCTCAGTTTAAGAACTGAAATTTGTTTGATCTTGAGTCTGGCAGCATTCTAAACTTTTTAAAATTTGAACTTATTTTCATACTATAATTATGACCACAGTTTTTGAATTAAAGAAATAAAGAAATAGGGGGTTTCTAATTTGTTTTAAAAAATGTAAAGGTCATAACTGGAATTCAAATTCAGTTGCCCATCAAGAGTATGCATAATGCTAAAGTATCTCACATATGAGCAAAAGTGTTAGGCTCCATATAGTTTTAAGTATAACATTTCAAAAAATTTGTTTTAGTGAATAATTTATATATAAGACATTCGGATAATATTATAATGGCTAGAAAAAAAATTGACTATAATTGATATTTCCTCAACAGAACCAGAGATATATTTCGGTGTTTCAAACACTATTTTTGTTGTTGTTAAGGAAAATTATCTTCCTGCTATACAGATCACTAATGGAAACTTTTGGTTTAGTTCTTGGCTAAGACAGACTCTTCATTTACTTAGTAAAGTTTGCATCTAATAAAAGATTACACAAAATACATACAAAATATCTGGAAATGTATAGAATAACTTCATTATCAATTTTTTATCACTTAAGCAGTTTTAGAATATATATACTTTAGATAATTTAAACAACAAAAGATAATATAGTATTATCATACTAGTTATGTATTATTAATTTAATTGTACATTTTAAAATAACTAAAATAGTATAATTAGATTGTTTGAAAAACAAAGGATAAATGATTGAGGTGATGGATACCCCATTTACCCTGATGTGATTATTATACATTACATGCCTGTATCAAAATATCTCATGTAACACATTTAAATGAATAAATGAATGAAGCAATCAGTTCAGTCAATATTTAACAAGTATTTCTGACTCGCTCATTATGGGAAGGTGGCCATATATTGTATTGCCCAAACGAAATGTTGATATTGAAGATAAGTGCTAAGCTGGGGCAATATGCTTAAAATAGGAAAAGCCTGGGAAAACTGAGATGTGGTCACTGTAATTAGGAGCAAGTAGCTGTACTGTACACATAATAGCTGAATATTACAACCTATGCTGATTACAATGGTGAAACAGCAGATATGATCTTTATTTTCATCAAATAGCAATCTAGTAGGGGAGATGCATTAAACACATACTCATTTTAGTTAATGCACAATTATAAATTGCATGTGTTTTACATCAAAAGGAAAATCATTCCTCAAGAATGAATATATCTTAAACTGAGACTTAAAGGAGGAATGGACCATTGTAAACAAGAAAACACTATGTGTGAAGTCTGATTAGTGGGTAGGACTAGAGTGATCATTAAGAGAACCAAAAGGTCACTATGCTAGAGCCGGGAAAGTAAGTAGTAGAATGGTTCAGATAAGTCTAAAAGGATAGCTGACATTTTGATCAGGCAGGCCTTTTATGTATGATAATGGCTTTTGTCTGAAATCTAAGGGAAATGAAATTTATTGAACTCAGAGAGATAGCAATAATAAAAAAATGGCAGACAATATGAAGATTAGTTAATTGGCCAAATTAAAGGAAGTGACTCATCATATAAGAAATGTAAGAAAAGGAGGAAAAAAACTGATTAAAAATCTTCTTAACTGTTTATGAGAATTCCAGATTTTACTCACAAGCAACATCATGTAATATTTCTTGTATTTTAGAATACTTTACGCATGTTATATTTTTATTTAAATGTTAATAAAACTTGAAACTCCTTACTGATGACTGATTATTCATGAGGAGAAACTTTAGTTTACAGAATATTCAAACATTTTGTGTCTTTCCTCCCTCCCATAGTATTTACTTTATTACCAATTTGGATCTCCTTTCAGATGGTTTGTCAGATCAAAAATAAAAGAGAAATTGAAATTCTATTTCAAAACATTTTCCTTGTGTAAGAAATAAAATATTTTAGGATATCAACCCAACTGTTAAAACAAAGAATTTTATATTCATTATAATTTTAACTTAAGGTTACAATAAGAAGTTCTTTCTTTAATATTATCTTAGCAAAGACCACCACAATGGCCTAAATTGTAGTAATGGCTTAATTGGTGGTATCCTTAAATCTTCTTGCTTAAAAAATGTATTTGATCAAAGGTTGTCATTTCTTATCTGTATTTTAAGTGAGCTTTTTTTTGAAAACTGAAAATACCAACTGAATACAACCACCTAAGGCTACAGATATCAGAAAAAGCTCTTTGTAAAGATGAATATTCAGGTTTTATTTAAAAAGGGGTATGAATCAGAAGTTTCCCATCTCAACTGATTTGTGCAAATATTTTTATCTATTGACTATTTGTTCATAAAATGCTTTCATGAGTATTAGTTTGTCATTCTTATCAGGTCCCCCTTCCCAAATTAAGCAGGAAAACACACAACTTAAACTTTTAGAGTTTCAAGTGAGAATGATAAAGAGATATTTTGGGATAGGCAAGACTATGACTTAATTTCCTATGTGAGTGTGGCCCTGAATACATGAAGCAGAGATGATGAATTTTCCACCATAAGTTTTGTTCCTCTTTCCATAGTACAGTGATATAATTGAGAAATAGCTGCCCTGCCAGGGACCACATGTTCAGATGCCTTGAATCTATGGAACTTTTTGTGTATATTATCTATCCTCTATTCCCCCATCTGCCAGCTAACTGCAATAGATTCTGAAACCCTACAGGATGGCAAAAGTACAGAATGAAGGAGCCTGAGTCTCTAATCAATCACGAAGAGTAAAGCTAGTGTTCAACTAAGAGCTTCCATGTTGACTGTTACATGATCAATAAATAAATTTCTATTGGCTAAAGTCACTGAAATTTTAGCATGTATTTACATCAGCAATTAGAACCCTAATATACTACCCAACAGTGGTAAACGGGTATTGCAGCAAAGAAAAAAAATAGAAAAAAGCTACACTTTCCTTTAACAAAGTAATGTTTTGCCTTCTTAATTTTGTTAGATATTCATATAAATGTCTGTTTTAAAAAGTCTTTGAGATGGTTAATATTATTTTAATCCACAACCCTTTTTGCATTCTCAAAGACATTTCCTTTTTCTTAAAGAGTTCAATCATTTTGACTTGAAAGTTAAAGCTTATGATATGCTGGACAAGTTGCCCTTTTCAAATAAAACTCCTAATTTTCTTCATGACTAAAGGAAAATAAAATCACTAGTATTTAATTTAAACTTACCTGTTATTTGTGCAATTTATATTGTATTAATAGTGCAAACTCAGTCTCTTGAATTTTAGAAATATATTTATGCAGGATCTATTTTTAAAGACACATTTCTGCAATAATTTAGACTCCCGTTTTGTAACATAGTACCATCTGGAAATAAAATATAATGCAGATAATTTCCCTTTTATCACCATAGCACTTTTGTGCTAGGCAAACAGCTCTATATCTTCTGCTTTTAAATGAGTTTGTGCAGGTGTGCTTAAAATCTTTTCTCAATAATTTGTCTGACAACCTTCATAAAAATATTATGTTTCCCTAATCACTCCTTATGCATTTTGACATGTTTTAGGAGAAAATAAGTACAATTCAATAATTAAAATAAGGCATGATGTAATTATTGCATTAAATCATTATAATGTGTTTTATAAACAATAAGAATGTAGCCTTGAAGTTTACAGGTTATTTATTTATTCAACAAATATTTACCAAGTGTCTGAATGTATCAACTGGGTACTGTAAATAAAATGATACGTTATAGTTTTTGTCATCTATTAGAAAAATCACAACTACATATAATGAGGATAGTGCTAAAAGTAAGAAAATTAAGGAACTTGCTCAATTAGAACAATAATGGTGAGTAAATACTAAGACCTACAAAATTAATTTTAATTCCAGAAATGCTCATTTGGAATATAAAACATTGTACTCACCACTCTGTTGGATACAAAGATAAATTTATATGAAATCGTGTCTCTGTTGACTCAAAATTTGGTTGCAGTAGTTCGTGAGTGGGAAGAAATGTCTCAGTCTGGGTACACCACACTGAAATTACAGTGGGAAGGATTGTCATCTGTTGTGCTGCTTTATCACTCATCTTGATGCAGCGTAAGTCTACAGCTTTTGTCAAGATTTCATTTCAAAGATGAAGACATTTAGAGAAGATATTTTAAGTCAAGGAATAAGATCTACAGAGTATACATATGTTAATAAAAATAATCAGATTAACCTGAGACAAATAAAATTTAGGTTCATGAGTTTATAGTTACCCATGCTATGTAACTCCTTTTAACATAGAATTTATATGTAGTTATAGTTTTAGTGATTGTAGTCCCATTTTGGAGGCATTTAATTATCCTAAATTTCATTAGGTCATATTTTGTCTCTGTTAATTTAACATCGTTATCTGTAACTGATAACTTAATCACTGATAAAGAAGTTTAAAAGATGTTTAGATAAGTAGAATGAATAAATGAACATGACATGGTGCTAAATGCTGTAAATACATTATCTCATTTAATTTTCGTAATGATCTGGTAAGGTAGACACTATTACCCCTGTATTTTTTCAAAGGAAAAAACTGAGGCTTAGGGTAAGTAGCTTGTTAGATTACATAGATATTAGGAGCTGGAGTTATATGAAAATAGAAAAAACTTTGTTTTCTCTATTTACACCATCATACATTTATTCTAGCAAAACAAACAAACATCTTGAAATATAAAACATAACAAATTATATTGGAAGGAATCAGAATGAATAGATATCAGAAATTTGAACTCCACATTTGAGTTTAGGATTTCTAGAAGATAAAAAAAGGTAAGATAAATCTGCATACTTGTTTTTATTCTCCACAATAATAAATCATAGAAAACCACTTACAGAAGCACGCCTTTTGTAGTTGCTGCTGTGCTTGTTCGATATATTTCTAGGAAAAAAGAAAACCAGATTTTTATTAAAACAAACATTACATGATAGGGTAAACCAATTTTCAATCATGAAAGTCACTTTAAATAGTTATTTCTTAAATCTATTAGATATACAGAAGTAGAGACTGTATCTTTATATTATGCTTAGAAAAGATAGTTTTTAAGTAGCTGCTGTAGTAACTATTGAGTACATTTCACTCTGATTTTTAAAATATATATTTGAAGAATTCTTATTCAGAAGATGAAAATGGTACAAATTTTTAACAGATGCAAATCTTAATCAATACCAATCAAATTTGTCATATTTTTAAGGCATATAAACTGTATCATTGGTTGAAATAAAATATATATTTGAGCTACAAAATTTTATAGAAGCAAAAGATATTTTAGCAAGCATCTGTTTTGCTAATTTGATTTACTTTTTTTGTGTTCATGCCCAAAATTTCTTTCTTCTCTTCCTTTTTTATGGATCTATGACTGTCCATCACATGATCTTATTCCTCCACTAAAAGAAGAGAAGATACAGGTTGGATAAACTATTCACACTTGAAACAATAAAATACAGGGACTCTCTACTGGGTTGAATAGTGTCTACCCCAAATCCATGTTCACCCAGAACCACAGAATGTGACTTTATTTGGAGATAAGGTCTTTGCAGATTGAATAGTTAAATCAAGATAAGGTTATACTGGATTAGAGTTGGCGTTAAATCCAACGAGTAGTGCCATTATAAGAAGAAAGAGAGAGAGAATCAGACACAGAAACTTGCAGAGGGAAGAAAACAAAGAAGCTAAGGAGTGTCCATGACCACCAGAAGCTTGAAGGCCTGGAGGCATCTTCCCTAGATCCTTCAGAGGGAGAATAGTCCTGTGGATATCTCAATTTCAGATATTTGCCTCCAGAACTGCAAGATAATACATTTCTGTTATTTTAATCACCTAGTTTGTGGTAATTAATTATGGCAGACTAGCAAACTAATCAGGACCCTTTGTTGGGGTGTGATTTGTTCTTTTGGGCTTTAGAGTAGGATAATCAGGTGGGAACTATGTCATTTTTGGGGTCTTCTTATTCTCACCAATATTTTGCTGGGGTGATGGGTCTTAAGTGTGTGTGTGTGTGTGTGTGTGTGTGTGTGTTTATGGGGCGAGGGACTGCAGTTGTAATAACTTTGGCTGTCAGTGTTCTCATAATACTTAAGGTAAAGAAGGCAGGAGACTTATTCCTAGATGGACTCTTACTTACTCCTCCGGTTTTCAGTTTTGGGGAGAACAACTCCCCTCTTTCTGTAGTGTCTAGGGGGCAGAAGAACAGAGCCTGTTTTGTTCAAGTTCTTCCACCAATATGCCTCCTTTCTCCTGCCAGAGTAAGAGTGATACTCACCCAGTTTAGTGAATTTGGAGTGACAGTCTGTCTAATTACTTCTTAATCAAACTATCTCCAACCTATTTTCATAGTTACCTAGTGCCTCTGACTGTTTCCTTTTGGGCATTTTGAGATACAAATTAATTTGTTTTGTGGTGGTCTTTCTACTGCACGGTTGTAAGTTTTCAGCTTTCTGTATTTAGCTAATTTATTTATGATTCATCAATCTATTTTTTGCAAAATTGTGTTGATCTCTATTCTTTGGTGTTACATCATCTTTCACAATCACACTCGTGGGTTTATAATATGTTTATGTATTCATTATAATTCAGTGTAATTTCAGGAAGTACTGGTATGAGCTCATGTGTTAAAGCTACCACATTTAACTATATTATTCTAGGTAATTGTTTCCTGGGTTATTTATCCATTATTTTCTGTCAGACCTTAAGCTTCTTGTCCAAGAGACAAGTCAGAGGAAAAAGAAAATGAAATAAACCTTCAACTTATTTGGCATGCCTCAAACTCAAACTCTAAATTTTTTTCTGGGGAATTGTTGTTTAGCATATTTAGCATTCATTTTTTCAAATAGTTTTATTAAGTACTTCCCATATAAGATATCAAGCTTCCACAAACTTGTCCAAAATCTGAATAATTTTTGAAAAGATAAGCCATAATTTTCAATAACAGATGTTGCCTAACACACATAACATTAATATATGCTCAACTTAAGAATGATAGGATACAAAGTAAATGCAGCACTTTGTCTATGAATAAATTGTAATGTAAGTAAGAATATTTGTGGTTTCTACTAACACAGGTTGAATAAAGTATAAAAATTATTTTCCTAATTGAAAAAGTCCTCAATATTTAAGTTGTCTAGACAGAAGCAGATTGAACTAACATGGTGGATAAATGTACTAACAGTACTACAGTAACCTTTCTGGAATTATTCATCATTTTCATTTATCTGTGCAGCATTTAGCCATCTGTCTCTTCAGGTTTATAGATCTTAAATATGGAAATACTCCAAGATATAACTTTAATAAAATACTGCAAGGGACAAGATTAGTACATTGAATACTCAATTGTTACTTAGATAACATTGTGAAACAGAATTTATTTTAAAATATGCCTCTACTACTTCCAAATTAGTAGACATATAATTTCTCAATATTTAGATGGCATAAGATCATAATAACTTAAGATACTTAAAAGCAACTACAGACCTCAATAAAACTCTGTTTCTATGATCCTTTAAATACAGGTTCTTTCTCCTTTACTTTTGTAATTTGTTTCATTTTATGTATGGAGACATTAAAATATTCCACCATAAAAGTAATGCTTTTTAAGAAAAACAAAACATGCACCATAAAATAAATTGAGATGAAGGTGTTTTTGTAGAACTTGGTCTTTTAAGAATTGTTTGTGAAAATAATACCCCCTTGTCAGATATATATTCCTTGTGGGGGAGCAAGATGATTAGAAATTGTTCCCTGGACAATAAACTGTAGAAAAGTCCTTTCTCTTGATCTTCTCTGATAATCACCCATGTCTCAGACCGTGGCTTAATGACATTCAAGGACAAACTTTTAAAAAGAAAATTTATATATAGAAAAGAAGGATAATTATTGTTTCAATAAAAATACCTTGGAGTTTCCTGTACCTACATAATCTCTTGGTGTTAAGCAGCATTTATGAAGTAATTTAATAAATTCAGTTTCTAACCATTGCTTAATGATTACTTAAAGGTCTTTCAAGTGTGCAGTGTACCCGTCCTCTCATTTGCCACAGGGAATTGGGTTTTTGAAACAAATGAGTTCTGAGATAGTGACATATTTTACAGGAAAATAATAGTGTGGTCGTATTCAGAATTTCCTTCCTTAATTAGCTCAGCGCTGAAGACGTGACAGATAAAATGAGTCAGATAAAATGTGAAAAGCAGAGAAGGAAAAGAAATTTGATCCTCTTCAGTGTGTCAACCCAGAAAAGATGCCACAGGTGACTTATAAAAAGTCCCTGCAGCACTTCAGCCTTTGTATCCCTTCATCATTTCTCAAGCTCAAGCAAGTTTTCTAGGCTCAATGTTTCTTTTTTTTATTTTTTCTATTTTATTATTATCATACTTTAAGTTTTAGGGTATATGTGCACAATGTGCAGGTTAGTTACGTATGTATACATGTGCCATGCTGGTTCTATCCAGAATGGGTTGAACAGAAACCATAGGTTCCATATCAGCTGTTGCTTTCTTTTCAGTATTGGAAAAACTGTCAACTTCTCATTTGAAATGATGCTTTGTTTTGGCTGTCTGCTTGAGTTGATTTGGTATACACCCTGAAACCTGTTCTTTGGCTATCATGCAGCTCCACACAATGCACCTGTGGGCTTCTCTCACCCAGATCATCAGAAATCCAGTCCTGGGTCTATTCTTCCCTGAGAAATGAATACGCATGTGCTCCCCCTTCATTTTTGTAAAATAAAGGACCTCAGCTTCTTTCAAACATTCTTGGAGGCCTGAACAAAACATGTTTTGCTCATATGGTCATAGAACCTGAAAGTGTGAATTGATGATATATCTGGTGTGTACAGATGCAATTGGCAACTGAATAGTGATGAGCTTCCTCCATACTCTCATATTGTACACTGATGTTCATTTCCAAAATATGAGAAGTGAGGTAGGCAAAACATTTCTTTCTTAGAGGGAATGAAGAAATCATGTAGCCCAGTTTCCTCTGTTTAAATATAAGGAAACAGAAATATGATATTTAATTAGCAATAATTGTGCCTTGGATAAGCCTAATTGGTTACAATGCTACCACTGCACAAAGCTTAAGATATTTAAACAACTTGTTCACATCATCAGCAGAGATGGCCTTAATGGCCACTGCAGTGTATGGTATAAAAATCACAGGTTCTGGAGTCAAGCTGCCTGTGAAAGAATCTCAGCTATGCAATTAGCTAACTGTGCAACCAAAGCGATGTTGCTTAACCTCCATTTTTTGCTTTTAAATTGGGAAAGACAATTGTAACACTTGTTCCTTGAAACCTGTGGTTCCCACATATTAGTCCGTGAATTCTTTGCATCTGAATTGCAGGGGATTTTTTTTTAAAATACTGAATTCTGATGACCAGCTTTTGAACATGTGGATTTGGTACATCTCAAATGTGGTTTGTAAACTCCTATCTATATTTTTAAGACAATTCTCCCTCTCTGCCAAAAGGGCAAATATAAAAGGATTCCCACTCACCATAATATAACCTTCTTGATAGTGATAGTTAGATCATTTTGTGCATAACAAAAAATTAGGGGTGGAAGGGATGTGCTTTGCACATAAATTAGTTCTTCTCTAACACAGCCTACAAGACTCTGCCTAATCTGGCCCTAATCAAACTCATCTTGTCCTTCTCTCCCTTAATTCTCAGTGCTACAGCCTTGGTAGTTACCTTTGAACGCCTTACATCATTTCTCGTACTAAAGAAACTTTGCACAGGCTGTCTCTCCAGTGGAAAATGTATCTCCCACGGTCACCTTACCTCGTTAATATGCCTACCTATCCTTCTTATTTCAATTCAAATTTAATTCCTCAGGAGCCTCTAGGACTATGTTGACCTCAGATTTCTCCCCAGCGTTTCACAATTTTCCTTTACAGCACTTTGTCGTAAGCATTTGACTTTATGTCTGTAACCTGCCAGGCTCTGCTTCCATGTGGGTGAGAATTTTTACTGTTTGAGCTCACCATTGTATCCTCAGTTCCATACCTGGCACAATATGGAAACTTAATAAGTTTTATTTTAACGAATAAAACCTCTATAAGCCATTTTGATATAGTTGTGTTCATTGTTTATCACTTCTTAACACAATACCCCAAATTTAATGGCTTGAAACAGCAACGAGTGTACTTATCTCTCATGAGTCTGTGGGTTGACCAGGCTTGGCGAGGCAGTTCTGCACTTCCCACTTCGATTCTCTGTGTGGGTGCACACAGATGGTTGTTGGGGCTAGAGTGATTGGGAGCTTCCAATTAGCATTGAGATGGTCAGGCTCTCTACCTTTTATATATTGTCAGACATTCATTCTCCATGTGCCCCTCCATTAGGTCTTTCCAGTAAAATAACTGGATATTTTTTTTGTGGTAGCTCAGGAATTCCAAAACAGCAAGAGCAGAAACTGCCAGTCTTTCTTAAAGATGCCTAACCTCTTCAATCCTGGAGCATTATTTCTGTCCCTCTCAGTTGGCTAATTTGTCACAAGCCGGTTCAGATTTGATGTGGGGGGTTGGAGGGGAGTCGACACCAATGAACATGTTTTATTAATATGTACCAGCACAGCACTAAATGCTTTACACAGGATTCAAATAAGACTGTAAAGTAGGAAATAATAGCCTCATTTTTTAAATGAGGTTACAGAAATAAGCAAATACAAGCAATTTATGTAAGATGTTACTGTTAGGTAGTGAAGCCAGAATTCAATCTCTGCACTTTTTTAATCTGAAACCTGTATTGTTTGTTCTTATTATTTCCATGTTCTTCAGAAAGCCAAAAGCTTCTTTGCTGTCTTAGAAGTGTTTTCCTTTAGCTTTAACATTTATAGCTCACACATATTAAAATTAACAAATATTGCAGCATATCCATTAATTTCATGTAAAAAGATATAAAATGGAATTTTCAAATTTATTAAAAATTAATTTATTATGAATGAGAAAATTACAAGCAACATAAACACTTAAACTTTGTTATCACTAAATTCATCTGTTGGCATTTTTAACTGAAGTACTGAGGACTTTAAAGTGGTATTGAGTAATACTTACCTGAAAGTTGCCAAATGCTTTTGTGAGGCCTCATAAGAGTCAACACAACTAATTAGTATTGTTGAAATGTCTGATCTATTTGATCTCTTACTTCCTTTGGATTGAAACCTGATATATATATTTTTAAAATTCTAGTTTAGGTTCTTGAAAATTATTTCATGTAGTCTATTATCTGATCATATAGCTGTGGGGGGCTTTAATATTCTGGACATTTATTCACTGATGTTAGAATCATCACACATATCTGAAATTTTAATCTTGAAACAAGAAATTGAGTATTAAAAAATGAGAACCACAGGATATCAAATGTGAAGAGATTATGCTCCATAACATGTAACCTAAATCAGAATACTGGTTGGTGGTTTTCTGTTTATAATTCCTTGTTCACTTAAGAATATTGCATATTTTCTCTGATTCACGAAGTGTTATAATTTCAGGAAGATATACCCTTATTTTAAAATACATAAGACTGGAAATTTTTTCAATTAAAAAATTACAGCTTTGCTTTTGAATATTTTTCAAGTCAGAGAATGATATTCATCTATTTTATGAAAAGTTGTGAAACTACTGCTATGGTCTGAATAATGATATATCCTCCAAAATTTGTTTTGAAACTTCATTCCAATGCAACTGTATTAAAAGGTGTTGCCTTGGGAATTATTATCCTTATAAAATAATTGAAAGTTGAAGAAAGCTCTCTTGCCCTTTTGTCTGTTCTGTCATGTGACGACACAGTGTTCCTTTCCTCTGGAGGATGAAGCAACAAGGTGCCATCTTGGAAGCAGACAGCAGCCCTTACCAGGCACCAATCCTGTTGGCACCTTGATTTTGAACTTCTCAGCCTCTGGAACCATAAAAAATAATTTTTATTGTGTATAAATTATCCTGTCTGAGGTATTTTGTTATAGTGTCACAAATAAACTAACACAACCAGGTAGATAGGGTTTTTTTGTATATCCCGAGGAATTCCTGATATGTCATCTCTTAGGAAGAAGCCACTTGATGAACTGCCAATATCGAAGTATTGAATTTACATTTCTACTTCCCTTCAACCTCACCAGCATTTATTATTAATACTGTCAAATTGTGTCAATCTGTTGAAAGCAAAATGCTGGGCCATTATTCATATTCAGGCTTTATGCATATTAACAAGACTGCCACATTTATTTTTTGCTATTGCTATTTCCTCTTCTGTGAGTTGTCTGTTCATATTGTTGCAATTTTTGAAATGGGCCATGTAGCTTTTTCTTATTGATTACTAGGGTTCTGATTTCATTTTCCTTCAGAAATGTACTACAAATATCAATATGCAAATATTCTGCCAATCTATGACTTGTTTTCATTTTTGTTGTTGCTTTGTTTGTGTATATGTGTGTTTTTGTACATATTATTACTGGTGTCTTTGTAATACATAAGCTTTAACTTTAAATAGGACTAATTTCTTTTGCAACTAATGCATTCTATGTTTAGTAAAAGACTATTTCACAGAAGTACTTCTTGTATTCTCAATTTGGAATCTGAAGTAGTTCTCAATCTGGAATTTGTCTTTGTGTACAGCATGAAATGGAACACTAGATTTGTTGTACTTCTAGGAAGATAGCTAATTATTTCAACATGATTTATTAAATAAATTATTTCATTATTTCCTCCTCCCAAATGATTTGTATATATCAATGACATATTTATGTGTGACTGCTTCAGTTCTCAGTTCTCTTTCATTGATCTATTTGTTTAATCTTGTATAAAAACCTCTATATTTTAAAACTGCAAAAGTATTATATATCCTGATATCTGGTAGAATAAACCTTCACATTCTTCTACTTCAAAATTGCCTTAGTTCTTTTTGACTTTGTAACATTTCTATATGTACGTCCAAACCAGCTTTTTAAGTTACATACATGCAAACACACACATAGATAATTTTAATTTGAATTATAGTAAATTATTTTAAAAGAGGGGATTGACTCTTCCAACAAATTAAGTCATCACATCCATAAACACGGAACATCACTACAGATACCTAGTTTTCCTTTATCTCTTTCTATTGAATTTCATAATATTTAAAATGTCTGGAACATAATTTGTTATATGCATTTTTAGATACTGTATGTGTTTTATGCACATTGAATAAAAACTCATTTTCTCTCCTCATATTTCCTAGCAACCACCATTCTACTCCCTATTTTTGATACCTAATATAATTGGGATCGTGCTCTATTTGTCTTGTTAAATAATTATTTCAATTTGCTTAATGTCTTCTAGGAGGCTCTGCCACATTCCTAGATACAGTATCTAGGAATACATATAACAAATTATGTATGCAAAAGTATACACTATCTAGGGGAGCATAGTGATGTTATGGTGAATTTGAGTTTTTCTGGTAAATTACAATTTTCTACAGATGCCCTTGAATTTTCTATCATAATGACACAGTTCATTTTTTTCCAATAATTACTTCTTTAATTTTTCTTTCTTATTGAACTGAGCAGAACTTCCAAAACAATGCTGAATAAAAAGAAAGATAATAATGAAGGATAACATTTGTTAATATGTTATGTGCAAGTTTCCATTCAAAGTACATGTGATAATTTATTTAAAACTGACAACATGCCAAATGAGGTAGATAATATAATTATTTCATTTTTTTTCAGATGAGAAAAATGAGATCGAAAGAAGTTGAGTAAGTGGCTCAACCTTTTGCAGCTAATCATAACAGAGCCAGGATTCCACCTAGCAGCCTGCCGTATAACTCATTTCCTTAGCATGGTCTCTCAAGTACAAATAACAGTGGCAGGCCAGTTTGTATGTATCTGATTTTAAAGGACTACCTCTGATTATTTACTACCAATATTTGCTATCATTTGTAATAGTACTCTTTTTGTCTTAACAGCTTTATTGAAGTATAATTAATACACACAAAATTGCATGTATTTAATACACATGGATGTGTTCAGTTGTATGCTTGCACCATAAAACAATCACCACAATCAAAGTAATAGATATCTCTATCATCCCCAAAAGTTTCCTCATGTGCCTTTGTGTGTGTGTGTGGTGGGAGAGAGTAAAAACACTTAACAAAGGATCTACCTACTTAAAAAAATTTGGCTGAGCGTGGTGGCTCATGCCTGTAATCCCAGAACTTTGGGATGCTGAGGCAGGTGGATCACCTGAAGTCAGGAGATTGAGACCAGCCAGGCCAACATGGTGAAACCTCCTCTCTACTAAAAATACAAAACATAGCCAGGCGTGGTGGTGGGCACCTGTAATCCCAGCTACTCAGGAGGCTGAAGCAGGAGAATCGCTTGAACCCGGGAGGTGGAGGTTGCAGTGAGCCCAGATCGTGCCACTGCACTCCAGCCTGGGTGACAGAGTGAGACACCATCTCAAAAAAAAAAAAAAAAAAAAAAAAAATTTAAGCAGCCAGAGCTGTGGCTCATCCCTGTAATCCCAGCACTTTGGGAGGCCGAGGTGAGAGAATCACTTGAGGTCAGGAGTTCAAGACCAGCCTGGCCAACATGGTGAAACACCATATCTAATAAAAATACAAAAATTATCAGGGCCTGGTGGTGCACAGCTGTAGTCCCAGCTACTTGGGAGGCTAAGGAAGGAAAATAGCTTGAGCCCGGGAGGTGGAGGTTGCAGTGCACCCAGATCATGCCACTGCACTCTAGCCTGGGCGATGGAGTGAGACCCTGTCTCAAAAAAAGAAAAAACAACATTAAGTGCACAATACAGTATGGCTTACCATAGACATGTTGTATAGCAGATCTCTAGAATTCATTCAATTTGCATAACTTGAATTATACCCACTGAATAAAAACTACTCATTTGCCTCTTCCTACATCCCCTCACAACCACCGTTCTACTCCCTAGTTTAGATAACTAATATAAGTGGAATCATGCAGTATTTGTCTTGTTACATAATTATTTAAATTTGCATAATATCCTTTAGGTTCTGCCACATTGTTGCATATGGCAGGATTTTACTCCTTTTTAAGGCTGAACAATATCCCATTGCATGTATACAACAAATTTTCTTTAACCATTCATCTGTTGATAGACATTTAAATTGTTTTCATATCTTGTCTATTGTGAATAATGCTTCAATAAACACGGAAGTGCAGATATCTCTTCAAGATCCTAATTTCAATTCTTTCAGATAAATATTCAGAAATGAGATTGTTGGATCCTATGCTAGTTTCATTATTAATTTTTGAAGGAATCCCATAACTGTTTTCCTTAGTGGCTGTATCATTTCAGATTCCCACCAACAGAATACAAAGGTCTCAGCTTCTCCATAAACTTACCAGTATCTATCTTTTTTTAAAAAAGAAATAGACATGCTAACAAGTGTGAAATAATATCCCTTTGTGATCTATATTTGTATTGCCCTCAGCTTAGTGATGTTAAGCACTGTTCTTATCTTCGCCATTTATATGTCTTCCTTGGAGATATGTCTATTCAAATCTTTAGTTCATTTTTTAATTAGAAGATTTGTATTTTTGCTGTTGAGTTCTAGGAGTTCCTTATACATCTTAGATATTAACCACTTATCAAACATATGGTTCCCAAATATTTTCTTCTATTCCATAAGTTGCCTTTATATTCTATTGTTTCCTTTGCCTTGCAGAATAATTCTACTTTGATATAATTCATTTGTCTATTTTTGCTCTTGTTGCCTGTTCTTTTGGTGTAATATCCAAAAAATCATTCCAAAGACTAATATCAAGAAGATTTCTCTATGTGCTTTCTTCTGAGTTTTATATTTTCAGGTCTTAGGTTTAAGTTTTTAATCCATTTAGAGTTGATTTTTGTGCATGATATAAGAATAGGATCAAATTTCATTCTTTTGCATGTAGATGTTGAGTAACAAGATTGCATTAGTAATTTATTTAAAAAAAGAAAACTCAAAAAAATACAGCCCAGGACCAAATGGCTTCACCAGTAAATTCCACCAAAAATTTAAATAATTAATCCCAATCCTTCTCAAGCTCATTCAAAAAAAAATAGGAGGGAATACTTTTGAACTCATTTTATGAGTCCAGCCCACTCTGATACCAGTGCCAGACAAATACACAAGAAAAGGAAACTATAGGGCAATATCCCTGAGAAACATGGATGCAAAAATCCTCAACAAAATACTATTACCAAAGAAAGTTCAACAGCACATTAAGGATAAATTACCATGACCAAGTGGGATTTATCCCTGTGTTGCAAGGATGGTTCAACATTTGCATCCTGAGGCATAGGGAAGAACGTAGATGAGTTGAGAGTAGACCTGGAAAGACAATGGCTATTATTAAAACATTGAAAAATAAACATGCTAGCAAAGTTGTGGGGAAAAGTGAATGCTTATCAACTGTTGGTGGGAGTGTAATTTAGTTCAACCCTGTAGAAAGAAGTGTGATGATTCCTCAAAGACAAAAAAAGAATTACCATTTGATCTAGCAATCTCATTACTCATTATATACCCAAAAGAATATAAATCATTCTATCATAAAGACACTTGCATGTGTATATTCATTGCAGCACTATTCACTAGAGCAAAGACATGGAATCAACCTAAATGTCCATCAATGGTAGACTGGATAAAGAATATGTGGTACATATACACCATGGAATACTCTGAAGCCATAAAAAAGAATGAGATTATGTCCTTTGCAGGAACATGGGGGGAGCTGGAGGCCATTATCCTTAGCAAACCAACGCAGGAACAGAAGACCAAATACTGCATGTCCTGTCTTGTGAGTGGGAGCTAAATGATGAGAACAAATGGACAGAAAGAGGAAAAACAGACACTGGCGCCTACTTGAGGGTGGAGGGTGGGAGGAAGGAGAGGATCAGAAAAAATGTGAATCTGATTCTAGTCCTAGTACCTGGGTGACAGAATAATCTGTACAAGAAATACTTGTGACACAAATTTACCTATATAACAACATGCACATGTACCTCTGAACCTAAAATTAAAGTTTTAAGAAAACATTCTTAAAAAACTATAAAATTCTGATAAGTTAAGATTAAATAATTCAAGAGATAATCTGTAAATGAACTTTTTAAAACAAACTAAATTTCCTCTCTCCACCAATGAATTTCAAACTTTCTGGCCATCAGTATGGGGAGCTTATTTTCTAAATTCCAAAGTTAGGTAATATTTCATAACATTTGTAGATGTATTTGTGGGGAAAATACGAACACAACATCTTCGTAATTTGAACAGTCCCATAAAATACAAAATGGAAACTAAATGTTTAAGACATAAAATTATCTTGGATCTATAAGAACCATTTGTTGGTATCACAAGATCTAATATTAAACATGCCTCTATAAGGCCTATAATGTATTTTCACTAAACTATTAATAATGTTGCTCCATCAGATGTGTCTAACAGACCAAGCTAATTTATTACCTTGAATTAGGGAAGGGGTAGAAACTATGAATCACAGACTGTGAACTATGAACCTAGAACGTTGAATACATTTTCCATTTAGTCTCAAAAACAAACATTTTAGATAAGTAAAATTACTTCAGTTAATAATAAATAAGACCAAGATTAAGAGGTATAAGTTGAAGATCATATGGATGTAAAATAGGATGTAAATGCATCTTTTATTTTTATTTCAAACTTGTATTCTTTCCATGATGTTAGACCTACTTGTTTTTTGTTATGATCCTACATACTATAATATTCTATTTCATATATATGCACATATATATGTGCATGTATATATATATATGTAGGAACACATGCATGTATATATGTGTTTTCTGTTCCTGCATTTACATATATAAACATATATATGCATATATGTACATGTATGCATGCAAATATACATAGATATGTCCATATGTATATATGTGTGTATATATACACATATGTACAAATATGTATGTGTATATTTATATAGTCAATTCACTGAAATAAACTTATGACTAAAATATAACACAAATATTTTAGCAACTAATTTAATGATAAATTTATAACAAATGTTTTTCTAGAGATAAGTAGTCAAAAATATAACAAATTATTAGGCAGTACAGTTCAATGGTTGCAATCACAGTCTCTGGAATCAGATAATCCTAAATTTCTACTATGCCACCTTTTAGCTGTGTGACCTTGGAACAGCCAATAATTTATCTGTACATTATCTTAAAATAGTAATATTTGTATCTACTACTTTGATAGAATTAATTTCTCTTCCCCAAATCTTCTCTTTCCTGTAATATATCCACATTCTTGCTGTGGCTTCAGGTTGATTTTAGACTCATCCTCATGGTTTTCTTTGGCCAATGGAATGTGGTAGACATGACTTAAGAAGGATGATAAATGTGTTTTATACTCAAAATGAGAATATGGCCTTGGTGTACTGATATCCCTTCAGCTTAGAAACAAAAACAAAAACACATGGAAAGACCTGAGGCCAAACCACACAAGGCCCATGTCCTGTCGATACATAAGGTGAATCAGAGACACCCAAAAGACACCCACATTATCATATTCACAATTCGTTTACAAACCTATGATCTTAAAAATGCTTATTGTTTTAAGCTGTGGAGTTTTAGAATGGTTTGTTACTCAGTATTTTGTAAAAAATGGCAACATACACATTAGCTGAGTGTGTCTCAATGTGAAAAATGAATTGATTTGAAATCTGATTTCTACCTGATGTATCCCTACATCCCAAGGCAATGTTCAAGCCACAGTAGGTATTCAAGAAATATTTGTTGACTTTTGAATAAGTAAAATAAATATGAACTTTCACATAGTAAGTGCCAAAAACAAGCAGTTGTTTTTATGCACTACTGTATATAGTCTCTTGTCTGCTCGTAATGAAAATGATGTGAACTTTTGTGACATCAGATGATATAATATTCACTGAACTTTCTATTACATTTATTTATAATGAGTATAACTGAATGAAGGAATTTAAGACTAATTCTTTAATAACAAATATTTTATTCTGTTCATGACTCAAGTTTGGCTCCCTGGGTGTAGGCATCAATTTATCAATATGTTCAATGGTCAGAGAGGAGTTTTTAGAAAGAATGGGGATAATTAATTCTGACAAAGAACATTCTTAAATTCAAATGACAGAATGTAGTTTCCAAATGTGAATTTACAAGTTGTGAATTTACAAGTTAAGAATAACTTAAACAATAGAAAAAATAGCTATATTTTTACATTGACATATCTAAAATGAAAAAGCAAAGGGTTAGTATTTCTTGGTTTGGAATGTTTTCCGTTAATTAAGCAATAAACTATTCAACTATTTCTCAAATACCTCTCAACTTATTGTTATTATATCTGTTTTACTTTAGTTGTATTCAAATTCTCTCCTCCAGAAGAAAGGATAGGAATGTAGATTTGTGAAGCAGAGGGCTTAGATTATTCAAATTGCCAGGAGTTATGCAGGATTCGAGTTGGTGGAAAGAAGGTATCTTATCTGATCCTGCAAGACATGCAGATATAAAAGAAATACTGAAACCCCGAAAACAAATGTGAAGGAAATACACAGAATTTCTTATAAAGTATAGTCTTACAAAGGGATTACACAGAAATACCGTACATGTGCTGATTACCAAAACTTCTATCTCTAGTTCTGCCCATATCTGACCAGACACATTATCCCACAGTCTATTTAACACCTCCTTTTGGACTACTGTTTTGTACTTAACATGTCCAAAACAGAATTCTTGTTTCTACTGCTAATTTTCTTCCCTGGCTTCTTCCAAATTCAGAAAATGGCAGCAATGTTTAAACTCTGCTCAGCCCCCAAATCACAGGTGTTATCTTTACCTTCTCTTCTTTTCACCCTAAATCAGCCAACCCTTTTCGGTCTTTGAATACATCCTAAATTTCAGCCTTTCTCAATATTCCACTAGTCCCACACTAATTCTCACCAGTACCTCTTTCCCATAGACAATTACCTGCTGTCTTTTTAGGATTCCCTGATTACGTTCATATCTTCCTACTGCAAATTTTATGTAAATTATATGTAAGTATATAACCAGAGTGATTTTTTACAGATACAAATCAGATTATGTCACTACCATCTTCAATGCTCTGTGGTGGTTCCCATCTTAACCAGAATAAAATCCAAACATTACCCTGGCCTGCTAACTACTACGTAATCTTGCCCTGCCCTCTCTTCCTCTGTCCTCATTCATCACACTCTTCCCATTTTGGTTTCTTTGTTCTTCTTCAAATTAGCCAGACTCCTTCCTGATTCAGCTTTTCTTTACTTGCTCTTTCCTTTGCTAGAAATGTTAGACTCCAAAGTCTTTTTGTAAAGTTTATTTTAATTTTTTAATTGGCAAATAACATTGTATGTATTTATTGTGTATAACATGATGTTTTGAAATATGTACTTTGTGGAATGACTAAATCTAGCTAATTAACATATGCATTAACCAACATAGTTATGATTTTTGTGGTGACAACACAATATTCATCCTCTTAGAATTTTCCAATAATATATCATTATTAAACACAGGCACCATGTTTTGCCATAGATCTCTTGAACTTCTTCCTCCTATTCAAAGTCTATACATGGTGCATTCTCATTTAACTCATTTTTCTGCTAAATATAATTTCCTGAAAAGGCCTAACTAGCCACTTAAACTTAAATAACTTCCACTATTAAATCCTTCTCTCTTTACTTGCTTTATTCTTCTAAAGAGCATGTAACATCATATTATATACTGATTTCTTGTCTGTCTTCCCTACTATAATGTAAATTGCATGAAGGCAGGCACTTGTTTCTTTCTGTTTATTTTGCAGTACATATATAATGCCTGGAATATTGCAGATTTCCAATAAATATTGATGGAATAGATGGATAGTGGAGTGGTTACAGGAAATGGTCTTGCATTTAAAGATTTGGGATAGGTAGACAATTTTAGGCAGTTTTATTTCCAGTATTGCTCTCCTTTCCCAACCCTACAATACTCATTACATCAAAATAAATATTTCAAATTTCTAAATAAAATATATTACAAAAACACCAAATATAGAAATGATTCTTTAACCTAGTCTAATTTCTAGGAAGACTAATCTAAGTTAAAATAAACGTCTCATTTTGGAAATTTTTCTTTTTTAAGAAATATTTTTATCACTTTGAAGTTTATGTGTGACTTTCTATGTACTGCTGAATGAAGAACTTGTAAAATTTTTTGATACAATTTGTGTTCTTAAAATACTTGCACATTATGTTATTAAGTTTCTCAATAATATTTATTTAATATGAAAACAAATGCCTGACATCATTTTTACAAAATGTTTACTGGAGATGGCTGATTTAAAGAGGTCTTTGTTTTATTTATCTTTTTTATAATTAGTTTATTGTTTACATTGTTCTTAATTTGGTAAATTAAATTCCATTTGTTTATTATACAAAGCACTGATAATTTGATAATTTTATAAGTTTCATAGAACTGATAAGATTTCCCTAATTTACCTGCAGAAATTATGTAACAATTTTTAAGCTGTTGCTTATTTTTTATTTATACCTTATATGTAATTAAAATTCTTGTTTTTATGTCAATATTTACAGTCGTTTTTGATATTTATGATGATTTATCAAAAGAGAAGTAATTAACCTGTTCACACATGGTATTTTGATTGGTCAAATAGTTTGACTTGAATGAAGTGACAGAAGGTTATTGCACACCTTAATTGTAAAGTATTTTGAGCATTTGTGAAACAAACAAAATATTTGGTTGAGCCATATATAGTGAGGCATTTAAGGGTTTCATTGAGCAAAATAAAAATTGCCTTTGCCCTAATGTTATATCAGATGTAACTCTGAATGTAGTATATATTTAAGCCGGCTTTCACCAACATAACAGTTACTTATTACTGACATAACATATATCCTACAGGATTTTTACACCTTTTTTCCTTTATTTTATACATTTTCAAGAGTTAATCTTGGCAAAATTTTTGTTCTTTATACATTCAAACCCCATTACAGGAAAATTAATAAATATTTTCTTTTATACAGAGTATATAATAATCTTATAATCATTAAAATTGTGTGTCACTTATGAAATGAAAATGCTTATAATTTCTCTTTCTTGCTCAGTAATTTTGCATAAAACGACCAACAGAAATTACAATCCTATAGAAATAAGACACAGCATTTTATATTAATGTGGAAGACTTAGTAATTATTAAGTATTTGTTTTGTGTTAGCAGAGCTAAAATCTAGACACCCACATCTAGACTTAGGCCTAGTCATAAAATAAAAGTAAGCTCCTATATATATATATATATATATATATATATATATAAAACTAAAGAGAAAATTTATCATTTTAACTCACTTGTCACCTACACATATCACATAAATGTAGGCTTTTAAGGCAAAAAAGAGAGTGATTTGACAGGTAAGCATGAAGTAATCAATTTGCAGTCCAAAGAAACTGAAAATTAGGTTTTATTCCTGGATTTGATAAAATCACATATTATTTTTAGAACATTTGGATAAAGTTAAATTACCTAATGTAGTATGTAAAATATTTAATGCCAAGACTATTTTTGTTTTCTGAATATTCTATTTTAAATCTTTCTTTTATGTGTAATTTCCTACCTTCTCCTGTTCATTTCTCCCTGACAGCCTTTCCATTCTATCAACATCAATAAAGAAATCTGTGGCCAGGTGCAGTGGCTCACACCTGGGATCAGCACTTTGGGAGACAGAGACAGGAGAATCTCTTGGCCCCAGGAGTTAGCCTGGGCAACACAGCAATACCCTGTTGCTATTAAAAAAAAAAAAAAAAAAAAAAAAGTCTGTGAGATTCTTGTTTCAGAAGGATTCTAGAGATGAATGAATTAAAATTCATTGGCTAGAACAGAAATTTAGATATCCTTTTAATTGAGTAACATATAGCATACCCAGATAGAAATAAAGCAATTGAACTGGTTAAATAAGCTAATTTAACCTAAGCCTCATCAGCCTATTCAGTCAGAAAAGCAGTAGAAACAGAAAAGTGAGACTTGCAATGTGTTTACTTCACCTGCTTCTCCACACCCACATTCACTGTAAAGTGCCGAGCATATCTGTAGACTCCAGAAAGTGTCCCACCTGTGCTTACAAACAAGGTGGGTGTTGAGGGTTCTGCCGCTGCTGCACTTTTGTGGGGCCAGTCTCCTGCTGCATCCGATAAGGATCTGCAGGTGAGCTGAGAAGCCCTCCTCCATTCACCCAGTGTCGCTGTCTCCCCCGAGATTCCTGGTTGGCTCTTCCAAGGACTCTCCCACCAAACCATGGTGGTCACTTGCAGAGGCAATGAGTGTTGGCTGGGCTTTTAGGAAACTCCAGGCTTACAGAGGCTGAGCATGAAAGTGATCACCCGTCTGCCAACAGCCAGCTGAGTACCTCTAAAGGCAGATATTTCAATTTTTATATCTGTAAAATGGAGTAATAGTTGCTTCTCCCTCAAGATTTTTGTGAGCTTTGAATTAGATTGTTTCTGACATTGAGTATAAGTAACGCTTTATTTAGTACACTTGGTGAGGTAGAAAAGGGACTAGGCAGCTTGCTTAGAGAGGGGATTTATTTCTAACAATATAAATTTTATCCAATTTAGGCCAGCTTATCTGATGCTCTCAGATAGCATCTGATGTGGTCATGGATAGACATATTTACTCAAAAACCTCAGGTCATATTTTAGAGTATGCAAAAGTATGTCTTAGAATATATTCAAAACCATGGCTATTTTGGTATGACAGAATTCATGAATTAATATGATAACTGATATAGGATTGGTGGAAAGAAGTAAACAGGAGACTATTTTGATATGCAGATAAGAGCAGTTATACTTTACTCATGGGAATAATTAATCATTATAGTGCTTTGCATATACTCCAAAACACATAAAATTATGAAAACTGCATTTCTTTAGACAATTGCATAAAAACTGAATATATCACAGTCCGTTAATTCCAGTTTTAAAGAAAAGCCAATATGTGATTAAAAGTATTAAAAGTGTCAAGCAAATGAAGTTCATCAAGTTGTAAATTGACGAATGTGTTTAAATGACCCACAGGAACACCTTGTATCTTTCACTAAATATTATTCAATTCCATTTTTGACTGTGGTAAAAGTTGCTGAATTTCTCAAGGAACTCAAACATTTTTAGAAGAGTATATGAATTTATTATTACAAAGGATACTCACCATGACAGCTATTTAAATATCATTCATTTGAATTACCTTATTTATTTATTCTTAATCTAACAAGTATTCATTGAGTGCCAGGACCAACTAATTCACTTGAAAATACATCACTGGATACCACTGTCTGGTACTCACATGCTAGATGCTAAGTATACAAAGATGAGTAAGGCTCCATTTCCACTCACATACAATCTTATAGAGGAAATAGACACAGGTATGGCAAAAGACAAGTCAAATAAGTAATATTCTCTATTGACAAAAAGGATACAGAAGAACACAGAGGAAATGGTCAAACCCATGGTGTTGTGTGGTTGGAAGAATGTAGTCATTAGAGACAGATCTCAATTTGAACCATGGATTAGATCCTTACCAATTTAGAGTGTTTTTCACATTCCAGAATTCACTTACCTTTCTTCAGGTAACTGTATCTTCAAGCTCCTTTTACCCTCACTCTTTTTTTTTTTCTTTAAGTTCTGTGATACGTGTGTAGGATGTGCAGGTTTGTTACATAGGTATACATGTGCTGTGGTGGTTTGTTGCACCTATCAATGTCATCTAGGTTTTAAGCCCTGCATGCATTAGGTATTTGTCCTAATGCTCTCCCTCCCCTTGCCCCCCACACCCTGACAGGCCCCAGTATGTGATGTTCCCCTCCCTGTGTCCACGTGTTCTCACTGTTCAACCCCCACTTATGAGTGAGAATATGCGGTGGTTGGTTTTCTCTTGGTTCATGTCTTTGAGTTGGGATGACTGCCTACTTCTACACTCAGGTGTAAATCAGCAACATGAAAGCAAAATTCAGGACCGGATAGTCTTTCAATCTTCCTAGTCAAATGCCCTACAAAACCCCTCCTCTTAGAATGAACAATTCATAACATTTTCCCATATTTGCTAAATTTTGGCTGAAATATTTTTAAATAGATTAAATACTCTTTTGCATTTTATCCCTAAATATCTTAGTATGTATCTCTAGAAAACAAGCTTGCTCCATTTTCACTACATGCAATTAAAGCATTATCATACCTAAAAATTAGCAACAATTGCTTAATGGCATCTAGTATATGAAATTTTCCTTAATTGGTCAAAATTGGTTTAAAGAATTCAATTAAAGACTACAAATTGCATTTAAATACTATATCTCTTAGATCTCTTTATATCTAGAATAATTCACCCTCTCCTAACTTGTTTTCCTATGACATGTATTTGTGGAGGCTGGGTTAGTTATCCTGTAGAATATCTCATCTTTTGAAGTTATCTGAATAGATTTATCATTATTTCATTTTCCTTTAACTCTTACCTCTATTATCTGAATGTCATATAAACAGAAAATAAAAAGTTATCAGACACAGGCTAAACAAATTTGTCTAGAATAATTCACAGGTGACAATGTTTAATGACGACTCATAATCTGTTTTTTTCTAATGTTAGTAATAAGATTACTCATACTAACTTTTCCTCTGCTGATTTTAGCACCCGTTGACCTTCCTTGCTTCAGTCAATCATTTTGTTAGGGTTGCAAACTCTCAATTACTTAATGATATTTCTTCTATAATTGTTAGTTGATATTCTTCTGTAAATAAGTCTTCCTTTATCAACTCTGGCCTTTTTGATTACACAATATAGTTCTCATTGTACTGTTAGGAGATGTGGTTAATATTTACCTTTAATTATCAATTTTCAGTAGAAGTTATTTGTGTAATAGTCACTTCCAGGGGTGGTCAATGAGATTTTTCTTATGCTGTTTTATTTCTTTGGATCTTAATATATTTACTTGAAATATTACTTTAAATATTGTGTATAGGTAAATAAACAGAGTAAATTGTTGCAGTTACTCACCAATATTTCTGCTAAAACCTCTTCTTCTGAGACTATGAGAGGATTGCATTTCCCCACTTCTTTTATTTATTTCTTTATTTTTTAGTGGGGAACAGAGTCTAACTATGTTGCCCAGGCTGGAGTGCAATGGTGTGATCTCGGCTCACTGCAACCTCCGCCTCCTGGGTTCAGGCAATTCTCCTGCCTCAGCCTCCTGAGCAGCTGGGATTACAGTGCATGCCACCACTCCCAGCTAATTTTTATATTTTTAGTAGAGACGGGGTTTCACCATGATGGCCAGGCTGGTCTTGAACTCCTGACCTCATGATCCACCCACCTCAGCCTCCCAAAATGTTGGGATTACAGGCATGAGCCACTGCGTCCAGACTTTCCCCACTTCTTTGATATAAGAGATGATCTAATCATATGAGACGTTTAGGTCAATAAAATACAGTTAAGAAGTGCTGTCAAATCAATTCTTCCTGCTTTCTTTTTCCATAGCCATAAAAAATATTATTGTTCTAGCTGGTGAAGCTTCAGCTCCTGGTCCCTAGATGGGGACTTCGAGGAGTAGACCCCATGTGACCTTTGAGTGCTATGTAGTAAGAGTGAGACATCTTTTCTTGTTGTCGTTGCTTTAAGACATTAATATATTTCAGTTTCATTACAACATAGCCTTCCACATCCTGACATATACAGTGAGATATTGTATAATATCTTACAGAAGAGTTTTAAAATTACAACTTTGGAATTTGCCCATCACTAAAATATCTGCATGCAATATGGGAGTGTTTTCAAATATTAAGATATTCCGTGCTAAGTAGAGACAACTCAGATAACTCTATGATTTTTACTTTTCTTTCAAATGTTCTCACATTAGGTACATGCTTGTGGTTAGAATGTGCCAGCTCACTTGGTGGCAGAAGATTTGAGGATCCTTTAGATGCATTTTACTTAAATAGATCATTGTAGTTTATCACCAGATTGAAGGAAATGGCAGAGAGCTGGAAATAAGAGTCATAACAATTGTTTAACTGAGAAATGATTACCCATATGTGGCTACAGGGCTTGTGAGAAATTGAAAAGGCTAAATTGCTACCAGTGCCTCCATTCAGCTCCTAATCCTTTCTCAGCATGTTCATGTTTTTCAGCTTCCTGACTTTTTCTCAGACTCAATCTCTATATCACACCCAGTGCTATCACACCATATGCTGCTTTCTGCCCTTTTACACTTTCCAAGAACACTTGAAAAGCTAAAAATCTACAATCTAGTCTGGAAAGTAAGAAATGCTCAAAAATAACTGTACCACAAAGGAGAGAGTGATAAATGCCATTGAAGACAAACAGATAAAGTGCTAAAAAAGTAGGCACAAAGATTGTTTCCAGCTGTGTGTGATATGAGACGTGCTTTTTTAATACAAACCTTGAAAAGTAGATAAACTATGGATATGGGGCTCTGAGGGGGGAAAGAGGCATTCTGATCAGACTGTGGAAAAAACCCTGGTTAGTGGAGAATCTTAGTGAAGGCTCATCAAGGAGTTATGTTAGGGAACACAGCTTCTTTCACATCTCTGTACTGAAATATGTGCCCTCTTTCCCACATGAGGGAATAGACCCAGCTGTTCTTGATCCCTAGAATTCTATAACTTAGCCACTACTTATGAATATTTTTTATGAACCCTTAAGGTCACTAATTCAGTGTCGCTTCGTTCATTGAAATCTTTAATTCCTCTCAAACCAGCTTAGATTCTCTGGTTTTAATTGTCTATTGCACATGGGCCTTTTCTTTGGTTGCACTTAGTGTTTCAGAAAGTTGTTACTTTGCTTTATATTCTATTCCCTCATCAAATTTTGAAGTCCATTAAACAAGGAATCATTAGTTCCTCATCACTGTGTACCTAGTGACCAGCTCGGTTTCTGGATCATAGCACATGCCTCAGACATACTTGTTGATTAAATCAAAGCTAGAATTCTTAACCAGTTAGGCCTATAATTTTTACATGAGTTAGGGGCCAAGATAAGTTAACAAAAATATACTTCAAGTCCCTAAATAAGAGAAGGTTATTGAAGATATCTGTACTAGTTTTGATGCCTGCTATAACAAATTATTTCACATTTAGAGGCTTAAAACAAAATGCATGTATTTTCTTACAATTATGTAAATCATAAATCTGGGCTTCACTGGCCTAAAATTATGGTATAAGGAAACCTGCATCCCTTTCTGGAGGCTGTAGAGGAGAATTCATTTTCTGGTTTATCCTGGCTCCTAGAGGCTGGTTGCTTTTCTGGGCTCATGGTTTCTTCCTCCATCTTCAATGCTGGAAACATTGGGCAGAGGCTTTCTCAAGCTACCATCTCTCTAACTTTCTTCTTATTTCTTTTTCTACTCTTGAAGACTCTTTAATTACCTTGGATTCACCTGTGTAATCCAGATTACTCTCTTCAATTTAAGGTCAACTGATGAACAATGTTAATTTCATCTGCAACTTTTATTCCCCTTTGCAACGTAAACTAACGTATTCACAGGTTTCAGGGATTAGGATGTAGATATCTTCAGAGGGTTATTATTTCACCTACCATTTTATCTTACCTAAATATTGGAGAAAACTCACAAATCAGAGCAATTTAGTCTGATGAAATTACTGATGAGATTCTCCTTGTGACAACAACTAAATAATAATCCGAATTACTCCTTAGCATCAGAGCAAATAAAACCATGTGACCAGAATAGAAAAAGGGAGGACATCAGAAAAGGCACCATGGATTAAAAACCATATAAATGTGCACTATTAACAAGAAAAGTAGGGACCAAGTGGGATTTTTTTTTACCACTGTCTGTCCCTACAGGGTATCATCTCTGATTTAACCCTGCCTGCAGTTTTGGTTTTACCACATATCCCTTTTTCTTTCTTTTATTAAAACTAGCAATTAACTTAAAGTATAATAAAAAATAAATAAATAAATAAATAAATAAAAATAAATAAAATGCTCCAGTTCTTTGCCTACTTAAAAAATACATTAAATATTACTGAAAATCCAAAAAAAAAACAAACATTTTTTTCTCTTTTTGCTTGGCTACAATACAATCTAAACACATATATTTTAAATGCAATAAAATTTTCCTTCTAATTGTTTCCAGCTTTCCTTTTCTTCTCTTCTCTTACTAGACTACAGGCATGTTCAGAGAGTGAATTTTTTAAATTGTCATAAACCCTGAATTTAGCTCCGTGATTGTCACATGTCAATCAGCTGTTCAGTAAATTTCTGCTGACTGAATACAGTGAACGAACGTGGACAGGGAGCAAATTAACCAACCAGTTGAATCACATTATTTAGAGATAAATTGGAAAGAAAGTATTCTGTGATCCAAATGTACTTGAAAAGCACTTAGAATAAGATCAAATCAGCCACTAAGCTGTCACTATCAATTCTAATTTTAGCAGAATTATAGGGACATAGACTACATAAAAAGGATTATTAGCATATTTATATTACTGTTGCATAGTTCAGTTCACAAATATATATGTGCATTCTAAAAAGTTGTTAAATTTGCTGCCATGATCATTTTATGTTGCTTTTAAGTAATATTTTATATGTAAAACAACAAGATTCAGGAGTTATCTCTATATTTATTTAGGGAGCTAGGGATTGATGGCTTTACAGTATAATCCAGCAATGGGCTAGGCACCAGGGGAAGACATAAATAAATGGTCCAGCACTGGGCTAGGCACTGGGTGAAAACATAAATAAATTGTAAGTCCCATCTTAAAAAGAAAATGAGATAGTTGAAGAGGTAGAAACAAAATAGTTTCAAATACAGCCTGTAACAATACTTACTAGTTATGAAACTTACATAAGAACTGACATAAAGTAACCTCATGCATAATTCACCAGTGTATATAAAGCTCATTATTTCCTGTGGGGGAAATAAAGTACAAAAAGGAATACTAGGTAAACAACATGAAATAGTCTTTCTAAGTTAGAAGATCTGAGACACTAAGCTATAATCAGAAGGCAGTTTTGTAATTACTGGAAACAGAAAGGTGAGATCAGTTCTCTTACTGTAACTATCTTCATAATATAGACAGACCTGCAAAATGTCCATGTAGTCATTTATACAACCATGGATGGAATCTAAGTACTCAGACTAAGGAATGAGAACTGAATTAAGAAGTGTGGTGGCTCATGCCTGTAATCCCAATGCTCTGGGAAGTTGAGATGGGAAAATTGCTTGAGCCCAGGAGTTCAAGACCAGCCTGAGCCACATAGTGAGACTCTATCTTTATAAATAAAAAAATAAAAACTTATCCATGTCTGTTGGTGCACACCTGTAGTCTCAGCTACTTGAAAGGCTAGGGTGGGAAGATTGCTTGAGACCAGGAATTTGAGGCTGCAGTGAGCTGTGATCATGCCTGGGTGACTCCAGCCTGAGTGACAGAATGAGACCCTGTCTAAAAAAAAAAAAAAAAAACGAATAATCCATGATCCAATCAAATTGAGCCCTGGCATTACCCCATAGCCTGATCCAGTCAAATCACACCTCCTAGCATCGTCTCATGCAATATCCAATCAGATCACACCTCATCATCCTCTGCCTGCAAAACCTATCCTAGCCCCAGCTTAGAGGGACAGATTTGAGTGTTACCTTCTTTCTCCTTGCCAGTTGACTCATAATAAAGCCTTTCTTTTCTCAAAAGCCAGTGCTGTAGTGTTGGCTTCTATGCGCATCAGTCAGTGAGCCCACTGCTTGCTGAGTAACAGTACTTGCAGTGCTCTGCGACCCTTCCTCAATAAGATCTTTTGCCATCTATTCCCACGGAAAAGGCAATGTTTCAGCTATAGCTAAGGCCATGCCTAAAATAAGACTGTGTAGTAAATAAAATATTTTTCCAGCTCTTAACCTATCTTACCCCTAAAAAACACTCACATGTAAAGACTACATCATATTTTCATGTATTTTTTGTGGGAGTACAAAGTAATGCTACTATTTTTTAAAGTATTCTAGCAGTTTCTTATGTAACTAAACATGCACATACACTAAAAACCTCAATTCTACTCTTAGATATTTATCTAAGAGAAATAACAGCATATATTCACAAGAAGAGTCATAAAAGAATGTTCATAGTTTTATTCACAATAGCTAGAACCTGGTAATAAGCCAGATGTTTATTAGTAGGATACATAAACTATAGCATACTTATAGAAAGGGATACTATTCAACAATAAGAAGGAGCAAACTACAGATGTGTGCAAGATGGATGAATATCAAAATCTTCCTGATAGTGAAGGAAGCCTTACCAAAAAAATGATAAATACTATATCATTCCATTTATAGGCAGTTTTAGAGCAGATAAACTATTCTGTGGCTAAAAAAATAATAATGCTAGTTGCCATTGGGACAGAAACTTACTAGGATGGACCATGAGGAAAATTTATTTGATTATAATAATGCTGTATGCCTTGATAAGGATTTATTTACACAAATTCATGCTTTCATCAATATTTAGTGAGTGCATACTTAATATTTAAACATCTCATTTAAGTTTACAATGAAAGATGTAAATACTGAATTCCAATTAATGGTACACATGTTGAAGTATTTAGAAAGATATGTATCCTGATGCCTACAATTTATTTTGAAAAGCATCAAAAAATGTGATTGATGGATGGATATAGAATTAAGTAGTTGGATAGAGAGGAGATAAAACTGATATAGTATAATGTTAATGATAGATTCAGAGGCAGATAGATGAGTATTCATTGTATAATTGTTGCAACTTTTCTGTATGTTAGAAATTTTTCATAATTAAATGTTAGTGAGGAAATCTAACAGTTGAGGAAAATACGGAAGATATTAATAAATAAAGGTGGAGCCCACTGAATGAGATGTGCACTCAATTTGTCCCCAAAGAAAACCTTGGAGCAAATTCCAGAGTGGAGTCAGAAACACAATAAACTCCTAGATGAATTTTGGGATCTTAAAGAGAATGTACCTTTTACATCAGGACTGCCTAAGGCACAGAGAAGTGGCCAGTTCCATGGGTACAGAAAAGCTACTATAAGATAGAAGGCTACATAGGTCTGAGAGGCTCCCAGAGGTTCTCAAAGTTTAAATTGTTTCAGACATTGATCCTGAGAAAAGCAGAGGCATGGTAAAATAAATGTTACAGCTTCACTAAGTTTTCCATGGCTTCCATTCTTGCTGCTGTGTGTGAGGAATAATGTAGCAACATTCTTTGCATATGAAGAATCAAAGGCATTTCTGGTTGTCCTGTTCCTGTAATGAACACCAGTGTGGGAGGAAGACAGCCGGGCAGCAGGTGAACTACCCCAATTCCTTGTCCTGCCAGTATTTGAGTCCTGCAGAACAGGGCTCCAGGAGCAATGGTGGGAGGCCCCAAAGTGTTAAAAATTACACAGAATTGACTGAGATTTAGTTTCTACTATATAGTGGAAATGTGGTTCCAAATAGTAATTAAGTTGAGTTATTTAAAACTAATGAAAGTTATATTTCTTGCACACTTACTTATGTGGCTTGAGATTTGAAACTACTAAACAAAGACTTAGAAATCAATCAAGTTCTGCAAATAATTGGGAGTATATTGAAAAGAGTATACATGGATATAAAGACAAGGGAATCTCACAGGATCCCAGGACCTGCAATATGCCAAGGCCTTTCAGAGACCAAAATGTAATTTAGAAGCTGAAGGATACACAAAACTCTGGGGATCAGGTTATCTCTCTGTGCCCTCAATAGCAAGAATTTATTACTCTTCTTTGTGGCAACTCAGCCACTCTCTCTTCCTATTTCTATTGTGTTGACATCTAACAACCACTGCACACTCTACTCTCCCTCCATTCTTGACCTTTCATCATCTGTATTTTTATCATTTTTACTTATAGCTTCAATTAATAGTCATAAGCTCCTGCTTTTCATACATTCATCTTTGTATTTTCAGCTTCTTCTCCCATTTCAAATACACTGATTCAACTTCTATCTTTTCCATTTCAAATTCCTGATAGAATCTGCCTGGCCCAGTTAGTCATCTTCATGTCCATTTGGACCAGCTTCATGGTGCCAATCGCCCCATAGATCATGGATTTCCTAGATATCTCATAATTCAGATGCAGCACCCATGTGAGAGATTTTTTTTGGTAGTGTTTTTGATTTGTGCCTCTTCCATAGAATTTATTGTAATAATTAAAATGTGTTGGCCAGGTGTAGTGGCTCACGTCTGTAATCTCAGCACTTTGAGAGGCCGAGGCAGGCAGATTGCTTGAGCCCAGGAGTTTGAGACCACCCTGAGCAACACGGTAAGACCCCCATCTATGAAAAACAGAAAAATTAGCAGGTGTGGTGGTGCACACCTGTAGTCCCACTGACTTGGGAGGCTGAGGTCAGGAGATCATCTGCACCCAGGGAGTTCGAGGGTACAGTGAATTGTGATGGCAGCAGTGCACTCCAGCCTGAGTGACAGGGTGAGACTCTGACTCAAAAAAAAAGAGAAAGTTTTAATGTATTACTTATTTGCTTGTATGCTTTTAGCATATTTCTTCAGACATAATAAACATGAGGTATTGTGCTAATATGGTGTGTACCTTATAGAACATACTAACCCAATAGAATTTAAAATGTTAAAGAAATTAAATACAAAAATGACCTTTATTTCTTTCCCCTAATTTCAAAATAATTTTTTCTAGGGTAGATTCAACCCCCTTTGGATACCACAATAGTACAATAAAAGCCAATTGGGCTGACTGATTCTCATAATAGTAGTATTGATAGTAAAAATAAGGATAGTAATGATAGTAGCACTTGTAGTAAAAGAAATAATGGTAATAGTAACAGTATAATGGTTATAGTAGTAAGAGTAGCCACAGAAAACATTGATTGCGTGCTTGTCAGTTAAGCACTACTAAGTGTTTTACATATGTTAAGTGTTTTAGATACATTATCTATTTTCATCTTCATAATTCTTTGCTGATATACATAAAACTATATTTATATTTTACAGGTAGGGAAGCTAAGATTACTGGAACTATATGAGTTGATCATTTAAAGTCAAATAGCTAGGAAAAGGCTTCTCAGGTTTCAAATCTGTTATAGTTTATTTTCAGCCAGATACCTTATGCTTTAAACATCACCTATTCTGTGTTGCACATCGATGCCTTGGAGCTTATGTCATATACTGACCAGTAAAGTTCAAAACCAAAAAAAAAAAAAAAAACAAACAAACAAAAAAACTAAACCTCACTTGACGGTAGGGAAGAGTTTTTGTAGTAGTCAACAGGGCTTGAATATTAGTTATTGTTTCAAAGATTGAACTGGCTTAATTGTAAATAACAAATTTGGAAAATCTGCAATTGGACTAGACAAGGCAAAGCAAGGGCTAATATTTCTAGTCAATTGTTTCTTTAAACAGTTTTTATTCCCCTTTCAAAATAAGAATATTGTCCTAATTTGTTTGATCATTATTTCATAGATGCAAAATAAGTTTTACTCTACTAATAAAGCAATAATAATTAAAATTTATCTAAGTTGTAGCTATCTCAAACAATACTGCTATTAAGTTTCCTTGAATTATGCAGATAAAGATATGTCTTCCCAGAGGTATTCATTTGCCTATTCTTGGAAAAATACCCTCTTCAAAATTCAATTGTGTAGTGTCAAATGCTTATCTAAAAATCTTCTTAGTTTGAGGAAATTTCACTTCTTCTGAAATGCCTTTCCTGACCACTGTTCATCTGTTACTTGGTTACTTGTCCCTTAATACACTCTCTCCCAGCACCTAGTGCTTCTTCAAGTGTAGGGTCCATTAAACGGAAGTTACTTTTCTCATTGCTCTAATTCCTAAGGACAGAAACTTGGTTCATATTTCTCCCATGACCTAGCGTTGCACCTTGCTCAAGTAGGCATTATCTAGATTCAGTATTGTCAAGTGAATGAAGTGACATCATGTCAAATAAATTAGAAAAGAGCAAAAAATAATTATATGAGCATAATTATAAATTTTCTTAAACCTGAAATTATAAACATCTGAGCTAAAATGTTGATAATAAGAGAGGGGGAAATGACATCAAACGGTCATTCCATGTATTAATTAACTTGACTTAGTGATCAAACAAGTTTAACAAACCAGGAAAGGATAGAATATAACACAATTTTGTTTTTAGATTCTAGCTGGGGCAACCAGAATGTCAATAAGAGAAAGAGAAAAGTTAAAAATCTCCCCTTAAAAAAAAGAATGAGTTCATTTTCACACATGTTCTTATAGAGCCAATGGATAGCTTAGTGAGTTAAAAGACTACAAGTACAGTTCTCGAAATCCTTGGAACTACAGAATTGTGTGCAGTGCTCAAGAGTTCTCTTACTAGAAGAAGGATTTAAATTTTAATTACCTGTATTTTGGTGTTCAATGATATTAAAAATTTTCTGATGGTTTGAAGTAGTCTTAACTCTCAGTTAAGCTGTCCTGGCATGGTAAGAGTTCCTTGAGAAACATGACTGAACATGGGAATGCAAAGTAAAGAGCTGGAACATTGGGAACCTAAGTATGGGTCACCATTGATTAGGGTTAGGGTCAGGGTTAGAATTAGGTGGTCTGTATCAGTAAAGGTATACTTACAACAATAACCAGACGTTTATTTGAAATGTAGGGCCAATTTTAAGAGTTGCGAACATAGTAAAAGTCAAGAAACCACAGTCTACTCAAGGAGTGACTGCATTTTTCAGTTTTCTCTCCAGAAACTGTGTGTTAGGAAAACTAAAGGTGGAAGTAGGTATTTGTGAGTTCAAGTTTACTTCTGACAATACTTGTGTAGTTCTGGATAAATTAAGAAAAGAGTAAAGATCCCTAGAGATTCCTGTTACAATCTGGCATACGGTTGTTCAAGACAGTATCAGTATGAAAAATAAAAGAACTATGACGGTATTTTTACCCAAGTAGATGAAAATTATCATTTGGAACAATGAGTAAGTTTTATGTGGTGGAGAAAGAAGTGTAGAATAACGAGCAACAATTTCACTTCAATGCAATTCAATAAAATCAGATAAATATATAATGGCAGCCATTATTTTTTATTTAATATAAAAAAATCTATTGAGTGTACTATAAAAAACATATTTGTATAATTTTAATTGTGTACTTTGTTGAAAAAATAATATTAATAAAAAGTAGGTATAATTCTTTAGCCACTTAAATTTCACTTTCTGGATATATTTATGAAATACTAACATCAAAAAAGTTCTTTGTGGCACTATATGAATTTGAGGAACAAAAGCATAGAGTTCCCAAAGATATTTCATTCATATAACAAATATTAATAACCTCCTACCATGTGCCAGGCAGAGTGACAGTTCTGTGAGTTTTCTACTGTGCAAAGCAGAGCTGGTTTTTCATTTTTTATAGCGTCAGCCTATTCAAAGTGAATATAAGCTTTCACATGTGTTGTCTGACTCTATCCTCAAATCAGCTCCATGAGGTAAGAAATCATATAATCCATAATTTATTTTTCAATAAACTTAGAGTAGTAAAAGTCAAATTGTTATTTTGCAGGAAAGGCAGGACTAGAATTAATTATTAAACTGAATTCAGTATTTGTTGGGGATTCATTCTATGATGGTAACATTGAGAATGAGAGAGAAAAAATGTCCCAAATTTCTTTCATTCTGGATTCTTGCACTCTCTCTAGTCCAGCAGTACTAAGAAGTTGGCTAAAATGACTGTAAGAACCCTGATTGGAAGTTTCCATCTTCATAAGAGTGATATATCTGCTAGTCCTCAGTCTTCTTGAGATAGGCCCTGCCTCCTTGGAACCCTTAATTCTAGATTCTAGCACTGCAAAGCAGCTCCTTTTCCCATCAGTGGGGGTGGAGGAGGCATCAGTGAAGAGATAAGAAGACAACATAGCGCATAAAGTGATCAAGAGTAAGAAAGAGACCAGCAATGTTTCAAGAGAAGATTCCTGTTGAAGAAAGCAGAATGGAAGATTATAAACATATATTTTAGGAAATAATGACATGTAAAAATCTTGAAATCCAAAACCAACATGAGGCCAAGTCCTTAACTTCAAGTTCATTCTATGAAGACATACAGAAAGATGTTGATTGAAAAGAAAATGCTGAATTATTATTACACTGTTACTTTTTAGTACACAGCTATTTTATATCAAGGTTCTTTTAGTTGGGGATCAGTTAAGCAGAACCACTGAAGAGTTAAGGGATTGCTTCTCTTTACTAATGACTCATTGAGGTGTCATTCTTATTTCCAGCACACACAATGGCACCTGACACATAGAAGCCACTCAATAAATATTAGTTTAGCAAATGAACAGAGTTGATTTCAGCACACATATAGAGCTAACAGCTAGCACTGATTGTGTGTGGAAATTCAATTGAAAGCAAAAACTTGATGCCCAAGGAGTAATAGAGGATGCCAATTTAATCCTTTCAATTGGATTTCTATACAGAAAGTGTTTTTTTGTTGTTGTTGTTCTTGTTTTGCTTTGTGTTGTTGTTTTTTCCTGGCATATTTAAATCATGGTGTCTTTCTCATATGTGCTCAATACTTATTGATTCAACAGAATTGAAATTTAAATATAAGATGCTATCCACCATAGCATGTACAGGAGTTTAATAAACTTATGTATTTTCTCTGGCTTTTGAAAATAGGCGCTCATGTGGAAATGCCCTCATAAACACATCAGTTATTTTTCCATTTTGAGAAAATGATATGTAAAGGAAAGGAGATTCCTACTGATCTACCAGGACAGTTGTAGGTACCAGCCCATATATACATCCTCACCTGGTTGTAATAGTGGGGAAAAGGAAGGATCTTTCCAAAGGCAAGAAAATGGACTGCAGCTGTGCCTGCACACTGCAACAGCAGCAGTTTGATGTGCTAGGGAGAAAACATAGTCAAATTCTTTTCACAACCATATAATCTATGTAGACAAGTCAGACAGTTTGTAAGAAATATTGTTTTTCAAAGCTGTCTTTTGAAACAGTGTAGACACAGTCTAAATTGCTTGGATGGCAGGCTTCCAGTTCCCGGTTTTATGATATGATCCATGTCACTGAGATGAAAAGGCACTCTCTCAGTAGCATGTTTGTCAACAGAAGCAAGCTGACATTCAACTCCAAAGGATTTAAGGAAAAAAGACTTACTTTCTTTCATTATTAAGCAGGTTATCAGAGAAGAAATGAACCACAACTTTATGGATTATCACATTCACAAAACCTTAAATGGCAGCCAATTCAGCCAATTTGAGAATCAGGGGAAAAGACTGAAAGCATTTAAAGTTTTTTCTTTTTACAGTTTACTTTTAATCTGAATCATATAAGAATTATTTTTAAAATGTTTTCACAAGAAGGGTCTGTAATCTAATGGGAATCTAATATAAAACAGAAATAAAGATGTTATAACATGTATGACTACAGAAATAACTCACCATATTTTTGTTTATACTTACTATTTTACTTGAATTTTTCATTAGGTGGGCCAAAATTTTATAGCATATAGGAGATACAGGCTGGTGTGGAAATAACTGTGGTTTTTGCAATTACTTTTAATTGTGAAAAAACACAATTATTTTCGCACCAACCTAATGTAATAACCATGTGGAAAAAATTCTAATTCATTCCTTTGGCATAAAACTTTTTAGTTGAAAAACTTTTATGTGGGCTATTTTCCCTACGAATATCTTCACTTCTTCTGAAGGGTTTATGTATTTACTTATTTACTTATTTTTCTTAAGGAGGTGAGCAGAAGACAAGAGATGTCAGGGGAGGGGTTTCCCTGGCTGTCTCTCTATTGGATCATAAATTGTTGGATCCTTCGGCCAAAGTCCAAAGCCCTTGCAAGTGGCTTTCTCATGTTTCTGATGACCACTCCCTTATTTTGCCCTTTCAGGCTTAAATAGTGTTCTTGTTAGCCTTTGGTACCCCATTAATCTTTTATTCGTTTCCCTAAATCCTGCTTACAGCTTTGTAAATAGCCCCATTACAAAATTCTATTTAAATTGCCCAGTTTAAATTTGCCATCCTATCCTGCTAAGACCCTACCTGATACTTTAGGCAGCATTAACCCTCTTCTGTGTGAAAACCATGTGAATCACTGAGCATGTGCTTTTTCACACTGGAGATGATGTGTTTTAATGAATTTAACAAATCCAGAATAAAGGATAAATGAAGCTTTTTCATGAATAGATTTAGCTTCTCTCAATTCAAAAGACATAATTGATGTTCCCTAAATGAGAGCAGAGACACAATAATTAAATGAAGGAAATAGTACGAGCTATTATACATATGTATATTATACATATACATTTAATTACATATGAATTAAAAGATATTCTGTCAAAAGGAACCTGAAAATACAGTTTCAATTATTTCTAAGCCGCTAAAAATTCCAGAAAATGGGACGAGTCGATCTCATTGCAGCTCGCTACTCTGTGGGCCCCCAATTCTGTAGCCATTTCCTATCAGGGTTCAAACTATTTGGTGATATTTGATTGCAAGCTTCCATAGTAATTTAATGGGGGTACATTCTAAGTGCATGTATTTCTATCCTACATAATATCTGAATTGTATCACAAAAGGAAACAACACACTAGTGAACAATGCAGGCTTTGCAATCATGAAGGTTTTGTTTTAAATAATTTTACTAATTGCATAGCTTTGGGTAAGTCATCTATTTAAGGGGATGTCTTAGGAATAATTAAGTGACAAAAATGTACATAAAATACCTGAGACATCAAAAAAAGAATATATATATGTATATATATATATATATATGTATATATATATATATATATATAACCATTCTTTCATTGCTATAAAGAAATACCTGGGGCTGGGTAATTCATAAGGAAAAGAGGGTCAATTGGCTCACAGTTCTACAGGCTGTGCCAGCATGGCTCTGGCATCTGATTCCAGTGACAGCCTCTGGAGCCTTACAATCATGATGGAAGGTGAAGCAGGAGCAGGCAAATCACATGGTGAGAGCAAGAGAAAGGGAGAGAGGAGGGAGGTGCCACACATTTTTAAAAAACCAGATCTCACATGAACTCTGAGCAAGAACTCACTCACCCTCAGGAGACGGTGCTAAGCCATTAGTGAGGAATCCATTCCCATGGTCCAAACACCTTCTACCAGGTCCCACTTTTAACTTTGGGAATCACATTTTAACATGAGATTTGAAAGGGACAAATATTCAAACCTTATCAATTAGAAAGCAGTTTCTTAAGTTGCTTTGGTTGGATAATTTAGAATATATACACACATACATACATATATAAACTACATATATTTATACTCACACATATACATTTAAACGTAGAATTCTCCAGTTATAGGTACATACTACAGATGCTAAAGATATGACAACTGTTTGCCTTTCCTTGAGTTCTAGCCACTTTCCAGTTTGAAGTTATGGCATCATTTTATTTTCCCCCAGTGATTTCTCTCTTTTCTTTTAATGATATCTGGGGCTCTTTGTTTCCACATCTAAAGTGCTTTTTTTTTTTAATTATACTTTAAGTTTTAGGGTACATGTGCACAACGTGCAGGTTAGTTACATATGTATACATGTGCCATGTTGGTGTGCTGCACCCATTAACTCCTCATTTAACATTAGGTCTATCTCCTAATGGTATCCCTTCCCCCTCCCCCCACCCCACAACAGGCCCTGGTGTGTGACGTTCCCCTTCCTGTGTCCATGTGTTCTCACTGTTCAATTCCCACCTATGAGTGAGAACATGCGGTGTTTGTTTTTTAGTCCTTGTGATAGTTTGCTGAGAATGATGGTTTCCAGCTTCATCCAGGTCCCTACAAAGGACATGAATTCATCTTTTTATGGCTGCATAGTATTCCATGGTATATATGTGCCACATTTTCTTAATCCAGTCTATCATTGTTGGACATTTGGGTTGGTTCCAAGTCTTTGCTATTGTGAATAGTGCCACAATAAACATATGTGTACATGTGTCTTTATAGCAGCATGATTTATAATCCTTTGGGTATATACCTAGTAATGGGCTTGCTGGATCAAATGGTATTTCTAGTTCAAGATCCCTGAGGAATCGCCACACTGACTTCCACAATGGTTGAACTAGTTTATCTCACACCAGTTAGAATGGCAATCATTAAAAAGTCAGGCAACAACAGGTGCTGAAGAAGATGTGGAGAAATAGGAACACTTTTACACTGTTGGTGGGACTCTTCAGATTGCATAAATCTAAAGTGCTTTGAATTCTTCTTCATCTTACAATGGCCATGCTCACAGATCCTATGTTTAATCACACTCTGGTCTTCTTCTTCTAACTGCTCATACTATTTTTCCTTTATGGCTACTTCATTCTTTTATTACTTTTTACATGCACCATGTGATACAATCCTTGATTTGGAAAGGCTTTCAATGGAAGATAATTTCTTTCAGTGAGTTAAAAAACAATTTCCTCTTCTTAATGATGATATTTGTTTTTCATTCACTTGCAGGTTAAATAGTCATTTTGACAAAAATCATAGAAGCGTAAACAACTCACTCATGCAATTGTATCAATGTTTGTGTTCCTTCCAAAACATATGTCAAAACTTATGTTAAAACAGTATTAAAAGGTGGTGCCTTTAGGAGATGATTAGGCCATGAGGGTTCTGCCCTCATAGATGGTCTTAGTGGTCTTATAAAAGGGCTTGAGGGGCTGGGCACAGTGGCTCACACCTGTAATCCCAGAACTTTGGGAGGCCAGGCAGGTGGATCACATCAGGCCAGGAGTTCAAGACCAGTCTGTACAACATGAGAAAACCCCCATCTCTACTAAAAACACCAAATAAATAAATAAACAAATAAATAAATGGGCATTTTGGCAACACACCTGTAATCCCATCCACTTAGGAGGCTGAGGCATGAGAATCATTTAAACCTGGGAGGCAGAAGTTGCAGTGAGCCAAGGTCACACCATTGCACTCTACACTGGGCAAACAAACAAACAAACCAAAAAAACAAAAAAGGGTTTCAGTGAATTTGGTCCTTTTTGCTTTTCCACCTTCCACCATGTAAAGATAGCACATTCAAGGTGCCATTTTGGAAGCAGTGACCTGGCCTTCACCAGACACCAAACCAGCCAGAACCTTAATTTTGGACTTCTCAGTCTCCAGAACTATGAGAAATACATTTTTATTCTGTATAACTGCTCAGTCTCATGCACTGTGTTATAGCAGCACAAATAGACTAAGATAGTTCATATCATTCCTTGAAGTATGTTCAATAAAGCACATCTGCATAACACTTAGATTTTATTTTTCTTTGAAAAGATTAACTTGCAAGAATTCCATATACTTCTTTTGGAAAAAAAGGAAATATGGAAAAAAATAAGAATAGGAAAACAATAATAAAAGAATATTACATTTTTTTCTCCCCATTTAGCTAATATAGTTGACCATTGAACAATATGTATTTGAACTGTACTTTTATGTGGATTTTTGTCACCCTTCCTTTTCCTCCTCCTCCTCAGCCTACTCAACATGAGGATGATATGAACTCAACATGAAGATGAAGACCTTTATGATGCTCCATTTCCACTTAGAGAATAGTAAATATGTTTTCCTTATGATTTTCTTAACAACATTCTTTTCTCTAGAATACTTTATTGTAAGAATATAGTTTATAATATATATAACACTCAAGATAGATGTTAATCAACTGTTTATATTATCAGTAAGGCTTCTGGTCAACATTAGGCTGTTAGTAATTAAGTTTGGGGGTGAGTCAAAAATTACATTGTGAATTTTCAACTGTTCAAGGAGAAAGCGCCCCCAACTCCCTCATTGTTCAAGGTCAACTGCATATCCCATAGTCATCTGAAGTCTTTTTTTAAAGTGTTAATTAATTCATTGAATTATTTTTTCAAATTTTAAAAAAGTTATCTTTATTATTTACAGGCAGGCTAAGTGTAAGAGAGAAGACAGTAAATTAGGAAAAATATCTTTTACTTCATGCTTACATTTTAAGCATGTACATTAGCAAAGTGAGAGCCAAAGATAATTGTTATTCACTGTTCTTCAGAATTAAGCAATTTTATGTCACCTTCTGTAGAGTTGAAAAATAAATTCCATGGATCTACAATGTGGATTTGAACATTAAGGATTTTCCAACCCTTGTCTTGGTGCATGGGGGCTTAGTAAAAACCAGGTTATTCAATCCTGCAGGTGAATATGAAGGTGACACGGTCCCAATTTTGGGATTTGGAGAGGATTAACAACTGGGATAGACCTAGGGCTAGATAGTAAAGGGATTGTGGGATCCAAATATTGTTTAAATGTTTAATTTGGAGACAGTCTTCGGGTATCACATGGATTGTCTCTCATATGCGCTTGGTCTTCTTGAGGATAATAATGTTTCCCAAGGTACCATATCAGATTTTAAAAAATTAAATTCTTCTAGCTACTCTATGAATCACAATTATTGAAGTTACCACAACCCCAACTATTAATTCTTGCTCTGTGCTAATAAGGACTACACATCAGGTCTTCTGCTAAGTACTGGGGATACAGTGGTGAAGAAAGCAAAACCAACTTTGCCCAGAAATAACAGAGTCTATTTAGTAAAGACATTTAAGTAAATAAGAAATTAAATTACAATGACATAGATGCCATGGTAGGGATAGGATAGGGTATTTTAAAAGCACATAGGAAGGTCACAACCTTGGAAAATTTTCTCAGAAGATGGTGTTCAAACTGACAAAGTATAAAAATTAAAAGATATAGGTTTAGGGGTGAGGTGTGAAAAGGTAATGTGTTTCAAACAGAGGTAAGAGCATGCCCAGTGGATAAGAAATGAGAGGCTTTGGGTAAAGAAAGAGACCACCGATGCTAGGAAGAAACTGCATCAACTAACGAGCAAAATAACGAGCTAACATCGTAATGACAGGATCAAATTCACACATAACAATATTAACCTTAAATGTAAATGGGCTAAATGCTCCAATTAAAAGACACAGACTGGCAAATTGGATAAAGAGTCAAGACCCATCAGTGTGCTGTATTCAGGAAACCCATCTCACGTGCAGAGACACATATAGGCTCAAAATAAAGGGATGGAGGAAGATCTACCAAGAAAATGGAAAACAAAAAAAGGCAGGGGTTGCAATCCTAGTCTCTAATAAAACAGATTTTAAACCAACAAAGATCAAAAGAGACAAAGAAGGCCATTACCTAATGGTAAAGGGATCAATTCAACAAGAAGAGCTAACTATCCTAAACATATATGCACCCAATACAGGAGCACCCAGATTCATAAAGCAAGTCCTTAGAGACCTGCAAAGAGACTTAGACTCCCATACAATAATAATGGGAGACTTTAACAGCCCACTGTCAACATTAGACAGATCAACGAGACAGAAAGTTAACAATGATATCCAGGAATTGAACTCAGCTCTGCACCAAGCAGACCTAATAGACATCTACAGAACTCTCCACCCCAAATCAACAGAATATACATTATTCTTAGCACCACATCACACTTATTCCAAAATTGACCAAATAGTTGGAAGTAAAGGACTCCTCAGCAAATGTAAAAGAACAGCAATTATAACAAACTGTCTCTCAGACCACAATGCAATCAAACTAGAACCAGGATTAAGAAACTCACTCAAAACTGCTCAACTACATGGAAACTGAACAACCTGCTCATGAATGACTACTGGGTACATAACAAAATGAAAGCAGAAATAAAGATGTTCTTTGAAACCAATGAGAACAAAGAGACAACATACCAGAATATCTGAGACACATTTAAAGCAGTGTGTAGAGGGAAATTTATAGCACTACATGCCCACAAGAGAAAGCAGGAAAGATCTAAAATTGACACCCCAACATCACAATTAAAATGAACAAAAAACCAAACACTGCATATTCTCACTCATAGGTGGGAATTGAACAGTGAGAACACATGGACACAGGAAGGGGAACATCACACTCTGGGGACTGTTGTGGGGTGGGGGAAGGGGGGAGGGATAGCACTGGGAGATATACCTAATGCTAGAAGGCAAGTTAGTGGGTGCAGCGCACCAGCATGGCACATGTATACATATGTAACTAACTTGCACATTGTGCACATGTACCCTAAAACTTAAAGTATAATAATAATAATAACAATAATAATAAAAAGAACTAGAGAAGCAAGAGCAAACACATTCAAAAGCCAGCAGAAGGCAAGAAATAACTAAGATCAGAGCAGAACTGAAGGAGATAAGAGACACAAAAAAACCCTTCAAAAAATCAATGAATCCAGGAGCTGGTTTTTTGAAAAGATCAACAAAATTGATAGACCACTAGCAAGACTAATAAAGAAGAAAAGAGAGAAGAATCAAATAGACGCAATAAAAATGATAAAGGGAATATCACCACTGATTCCACAGAAATACAAACTACCATCAGAGAATACTATGAACACTTCTATGCAAATAAACTAGAAAATCTAGAAGAAATGGATAAATTCCTTGGCCCATACACCCTCCCAAAACTAAACCAGGAAGAAGTTGAATTCCTGAATAGACCAATAACAGGCTCTGAAATTGAGGCAATAATTAATAGCCTACCAACCAAAAAAAGTCCAGGACCAGACTGATTCACAGCCAAATTCTACCAGAGGTACAAGGAGGAGCTGGTACCATTCCTTCTGAAACTATTCCAATCAATAGAAAAAGAGGGAATCCTCCCTAACTCATTTCATGAGGCCAGCATCATCCTGATACCAAAGCCTGACAGAGACACAACAGAAAAAGAGAATTTTAGACCAATATCCCTGATGAACATTGACGTAAAAATGCTCAATAAAATACTGGCAAACCAAATCCAGCAGCACACCAAAAAGCTTATCCACCATGATCAAGTGGGCTTCATCCCTGGGATGCAAGGCTGGTTCAACATACACAAATCTATAAACATAATGCAGCACATAAACAGAAGCAAAGACAAAAACCATATGATTATCTCAATAGATGCAGAAAAGGCATTTGACAAAATTCAACAGCCCTTCATGCTAAAAACTCTCAATAAATTAGGTATTGATGGGACGCGTCTGAAAATATTAAGAGCTATCTATGACAAACCCACAGCCAATATCATACTGAATGGGCAAAAACTGGAAGCATTCCCTTTGAAAACTGGCATAAGACAGGGATGCCCTCTCTCACCACTCCAATTCAACATAGTGTTAGAAGTTCTGGCCAGGGCAATCAGGCAGGAGAAAGAAATAAAGGGTATTCAATTAGGAAAAGAGGAAGTCAAATTGTCCCTGTCTGCAGATGACATGATTGTATATTTAGAAAACCCCATCGTCTCAGCCCAAAATGTCCTTAAGCTGATAAGCAACTTCGGCAAAGTCTCAGGATACAAAATCAATGTGCAAAAATCACAAGCTTTCTTATACACCAATAACAGACAAACAGAGAGCCAAATCATGAGTGAACTCCCATTCACTATTGCTTCAAAGACAATAAAATACCTAGGAATCCAACTTACAAGGGATATAAAGGACCTCTTCAAGGAGAACTACAAACCACTGCTCAATGAAATAAAAGAGGACACAACCAAATGGAAGAACATTCCATGCTCATGGATAGGAAGAATCAATATCATGAAAATGGCCTTACTGCCCAATGTAATTTATAGATTCAATGACATCCCCATCAAGCTACCAGTGACTTTCTTCACAGAATTGGAAAAAACTACTTTAAAGTTCATATGGAACCAAAAAAGGGCCCGCATTTCCAAGACAATCATAAGTCAAAATAGCAAAGCTAGAGGCATCAAGCTACCTGACTTCAAACTATACTACAAGGCTATAGTATCCAAAACAGCATGGTACTGGTACCAAAACAGAGATATAGACCAATGGAACAGAACAGAGCCCTCAGAAATAATACCACACCTCTACAACCATCTGATCTTTGACAAACCTGACAAAAACAAGAAATGGGGAAATGATTCCCTATTTAATAAATGGTGCTGGGAAAACTGGCTAGGCATATGTAGAAAGCTGAAACTGGATCCCTTCCTTACAGCTTATACAAAAATTAATTCAAGATGGATTAAAGACTTAAATGTTAGACCTAAAACCATAAAAACCCTAGAAGAAAACCTAGGCAATACCACTCAGGACATAGGCATGTGCAAGGACTTCATGTCTAAAACACCAAAAGCAATGGCAACAAAAGCCAAAATTGACAAATGAGATCTAATTAAACTAAAGAGCTTCTGCACAGCGAAAGAAACTACCATCAGAGTGAACAGGCAACCTACAGAATGGGAGAAAATTTTTGCAATATACTCATCTGACAAAGGGCTAATATCCAGAATCTACAAAGAACTTAAACAAATTTACAAGAAAAAAACAACCCCATCACAAAGTGGGTGAAGGATATGAACAGACACTTCTCAAAAGAAGACATTTATGCAGCCAACGGACACATGAAAAAATGCTCATCATCACTGGCCATCAGAGAAATGCAAATCAAAACCACAACGAGATACCACCTCACACCAGTTAGAATGGCGATCATTAAAAAGTCAGGAAACAACAGGTGCTGGAGAGGATGTGGACAAATAGGAACACTTTTCCACTGTTGGTGGGACTGTAAACTAGTTCAACCATTGTGGAAGACAGTGTTGCGATTCCTCAAGGATCTAGAACTAGAAATACCATTTGACCCAGCCATCCCATTACTGGGGATATACCCAAAAGACTATAAATCATGCTGCTATAAAGACACATGCACATGCATGTTTACTGCGGCACTATTCACAATAGCAAAGACTTGGAACCAACCCAAATGTCCAACAATAATAGACTGGATTAAGAAAATGTGGCACATATACACCATGGAATACTATGCAGCCATAAAAAAGGATGAGTTCATGTCCTTTGTAGTGACATTGATGAAGCTGGAAACCATCATTGTCAGCAAACTATTGCAAGGACAAAAAACCAAACACTGGGTGTTCTCACTCATAGGTGGGAATTGAACAATGAGAGCACGTGGACACAGGAAGGGGAACATCACACACTGGGGCCTGTCATGGGGCGGGGGGAAGGGGGAGGAATAGCATTAGGAGATACACCTAATGTAAATGACGAGTTAATGGGTGCAGCACACCAACATGGCACATGTATACATAGGTAACAAACCTGCACGTTGGGCACATGTACTCTAGAATTTAAAGTATAATAATAATAATAATAAAAGAAACAGAGAATCATTTAGTATAGCTTGAGATTAGAATGTTTCCGGAAAATATACATTAAGAGAAAAACAAATGTAAAGTCATGACTGGCATAAAATGTCAATATTATCCTGAAAACAATAACAAAATATTTTTTTGTCTTGGAGTGATGCAATCATTATTTTAGTGACATAGCCTGCAATTCAATATATCCTCAGTTTAGAGAAAAACAAACAAATGAACAAAGAAAAATAGAGTGAAAGCATACAAAAGACCCAGGAAGGTTGTGTGATAATCTCAGTGAGAGGAGACTGTGGCATGCAGTAACGTAATGACAGTGTATATGGAGAAAATTTTCATATTCAAGAAATAGTAAGATGAGGGAATCCAACAAGAAAATGTGATTTGCTGAGTTGGGGTAGTAAGAAAGGAGTCAAAATGACACTTAGGTTTCTGGATGTGGCAAATAAGTGACTGTGTCATTTAACTGAAATCAGAAACAGAATGAATAGGTTTGGTGATAATAGTTCACTTATAGAAGCATACAGATTGAAAGCTTTGTGAAATGTTCAATAGGGCAGTGATATATGAACTCAGAATTCAGAAGAGAGATCTCAGCTATTTGTTTTATCACAAGTAGACAACAATGGACAGATACAACTGCATAAAATTGCCCAGGTGGAATCATTTAAAAGGACAGAAAAAAAAGGTTTCTAAAGAACCTAAGATTATTAATTTGAGTGCACTTCTATGTAAAAATATTTAAAAAGAGAAAAATCCAGAAGATTGAAGAAACCATGGAAGATCCAGGAGAAAGTCAGAAGAAGGATACCATAGAAGTCTCAAGGGCAGGGGGTGAGGAAGAAGTGTCAATAATCACAAATATCCCCTAAGGGATTAACTATGTTAAGGACTACGTATTTTCTATTAACTGTAGTTACAGGTGGTCATTTCAGCAAATTTAAACAGGTATTTCAGTGGAATGTTGAATGTGATACTCAGGTTTGAATGGTCAATAGAAGTGAGGAATAGAATCTGTATGTGTACAAAATTCTGTCACGTTTGTCTACATAATCAGAGGATACAGACAGGCGTAGTATTCGAGGTTGTTGGAGGGATTTTTTGTTTTGTACGCTCTTAATATTGTTTGTAGCTGACAGAGACTTGGACTAGTTGAGTGCTAATAGGTAAGGACACAAAACAAAGGAAGAAGTTGAAAAGAGAAGACAGAGTTATCTAACAGAATTCTAGGGCACAAGTGGAAGAGAGTGATTTTATATGCCAATAAAAAGTCAGAGCAGGGGGTAAAGCCACAGGTGGAAGTATCGGAGTATCACATTTGTTCATACGAGATAAGAAGAGTGGTATCCTTAAAGTGACTTTGGGATAGAAGAGAAGATAGAGTTAATAGCTTGTTCTCTATCCTAAAATGTGCAGCATGTAATCAAACAGAAATTTCTACTTGAGAAGGATACTGATGTCCTACTGTCTTTAAGCCACATGCAGGTTATGATTGATGTATTATCTGGCCATAATTGATTCAAGAAGATGGAAAATAACTTTGGTGAAAAGCTGAAAGAAAGTAAGTGGGTTAGCCCATTTTTTTGTGTTGCTATCAAGGAATACCTGAGACTGGATCAGTTATAAAGAAAAGAGGTATAATTGGCTCACAATTCTTCAGGCCGTACAGGAAGCATGGCACCAGCATCTACTTGGCTACTCTGAGGCCTTAGGGAGTTTCCATTCATGGTGGAAGGCAAAGGAGGAGCTGGCATAGGACATAGTGAGAACAGGAGTGAGAGAGAGTGGGAGAGGTCCAACATATTAAACCACCAGATCGCGCATGAATGAGAACTCACTTACCATCAAGGGAATAATGACAAACCATTCATGAGGGATCGGTCCCCTGTGATTCAATCACCTGCCACCTCCAACACTAGGAATCACATTTCAACATGAGACTTGAAGGGGACAAACATCCAAACCATTTTAGTAAGGCAGTTTCTTCACTCCACACTTCTTATGAGCATATTTAAAAGATTTTAGAGGTTGGACTAGGGAAGAGGAAGCATCAAAGTATTAAGAATCTGGAGGAGGGCGCCTGTAGTCCCAGCTACTCCGGAGGCTGAGCCAGGAGAATGGTGTGAACCTGGGAGGCGGAGCTTGCAGTGAGCCGAGATCGCACCACTACACTCCAGCCTGGGCAGCAGAGCAAGACTTCGTCTCAAAAAAAAAAAAAAAATCTGGAGGAGGAAAAACTAATGTACAGATTAATAATAGAAGTAACATTATGTGTTTCCTAATAGTTTTGGCTGGTCATATTTTTGTTTATGTTTTTATTTTTGTTTAAAAATTGGTCTTAGGACTCCCTCTGAGAATTGAAGCACTCAGAACTTTATTCTGAGGGACCTCTAATTCTAGCCGACAGGCTAGCAATAGCTTATCTTATTTCATTCACGCCTAGACACATACATGTTTTCACATTATAATATCTCTGAAACTGCAATGCACCCTGTCATCAGTAATAACATAAAATCAGCCACATGGTAATTATCATTTGGTGATCATTGCTTATGCATGTAGAAATTTCATCATGGCTATTGATGTTGTCAACATTTTGAGTTATGTTCAAATAGTATTAAAATATATTCCCAAATTATATATTGTATTTTAATATTGATATAAAAATTACTGAAGCAAATATTTGTCATTAGAGAAGCAATCAACCACAGTGTACACATTTTGTTGTCACCACCAGACATCAGGATTTAAGATGAGAAGATTGAAGAATATGATGCTGTATTACATTTTTCATTGAGATTTTATACATATGCATCTATGTATAAAATTCTATTTGTTTCCTGGTCTCTTATCACCTTTGGTGATTTGTGTGAATTTAACTTTTCCAAATTGGTCAACTGCACCTTGGATTGATATTACCTCTGAAAAATACTTCACTGAAAACTCTGGACTTGTGTGGATATGTACAGCCTATACCATGCCAAACAATTCAACTGAAGGTAGAAAAAATTACCAAATATCTTAGAATAGATGAAAACAAATGTCAAAGCATGAGAGGCTGCTGTGATCAATGCATTCACTGCCCAGAGCTATCAATAAAGCATTGTGTCACAGCTTAACTTGTCTTTCTAAGAGGTGCACAGAATAATGGTACATCTTACAATCAATGCGGTCTTAGTACATAAAATACTTGTATTTGTTTCCTGATCTCTCACCACCTTTGGTGATTTGTGTGAATTCAACTTTTCCAAAATTGGTCAACACATCTTGGATTGCCATTACCTCTGAAAAAATATTTGTCTATTTCACTGAAAATTCTGGATTTCTGGAAAAAAAAAAGTGAAGTCTAAGTCTTGATTGATTTTACTCTGGATGAAGAGGCGTGGGGAGTACTAGCTTGCAGACTCCTGTGAGAATAAAATGCTTTCTTGTCACTAAGAGTAGCACAGGAGACTAGTCCCTGAACGATATTCTGCGTGTGTGTGTTCAATAAGAAATGTATTGTAAAAGCCCCATCTAGAAAAGAGAAACAAATATTACCCTCTAGCCAGTAACATACAAAGGAGTGGCCATAACCTAAATGTACTAGCTAAGAAGTGCATCACAAAATACTCCATCTTAAAATACAATGGTCTTTGAGGATTTTATAATTGAACCAAGAAAATGTAAGAAACTATAAAAAATTGCTAAGTTCTAGTAAAGCTTTTCACTCTGTCTCTCCTTATAGGAACCTGACAAGCAAATTACCATCTTTCTTAGTAGATCTGTTTAGGAATAGGGGTATGCAAGGCAAAATCTTTTTTTAAAAAAATCCCTCCTTGTTTTATTTAATTAATGAGCCTTTCATTAGCAAAAACATGTAGTTTGGAATGGCACAATTGACTTTCCATTCATCCTTTCTGGCAGCATACTGTGAGCAAGGCAAAATTAATCTGGTATCTTGAGCTATTTTTCACTCTTCAAGAGCAAAGTTAGAACATGTTTCATTTACGTATATGGGCCTGTCAGTTCTCTGGGTGAGTTACGTAGACTGGCCCCTCACCAAAAGCATTAAAATAAATTTTACTAATTTGACATCTACTAAATATATCGGAGATTAGGGCAGCTACTGGACTCTTTAAAGCTTTATTGGAACTGAACTAACTTATAGTGAGGTAAAAGTATTATTTGAGGCTTGGGTTATCCATCCAAAATTTGAATTACCCTAATCTCATTGCTCTGAAAAATAAAGAGGTGTCAGAGTTCCACATTTCACACAAAAATAACTTTAACATAAATATTACTTATATTCTGATATATTACTGAGTGCAGCATTTATTATTACATTTAGATATTCTTTCTTTAAGGCTCTTTGAAAAGTCTTGTGTTGGTTTCTAGAACAGTCTAAGGACAAACTACTCTGGAATGCCTACATAAATAGTGATTTGTCCCAGGATCTACTAAATAAGAATATCTGATTGAGTCTTCTGAATTTTAAGTAAGGTCTTCAGGAAAGTCTAATGACAATAAAATTGTCTCTGGCATGACAGTTCTACAGAAAATTCCCACTAATATGACCACTTAATTAGTATCAATAATTGAAACATATTATACTAGTATTTATGCTTTTTATAACAAAGGGAGAGTTTAAATAAGATTATCTGTATTCGTTTCCTGTAAAATAGTATTATTCCTGCTGAGCATGGTGGTTCACACCTGTAATCCCAGTACTTTGGAAGGCCAAGGCAGCAGATGGCTTGAGTTGCAGACAAGCCTGGGTAACATACCAAAACCCCGTCTCTACTAAAAATACAAAAAATTAGCCACTTGTGGTGGTTTGAGCCTGTAGTCCTGGCTACTAGGGAGGCTGAAATGGAAAGATCACCTGAGCCTGGGAAGTCAAGGCTGCAGTGAGCCATAATCACATCACTGCACTCCAGCCTGGGGGACAGGATTGAGATCCAGCCTCAAAATTTAAAAAAGTATTATCCCTCCATTAAGAGCACTAACACACAGTTTAGTAATTACTGATCAATTATACCTCCTTTTATGCATTGCTGCCCCATACTTTTCAACTACCTGGATCATTGCATTGGCACAATGCAAGATGTTTTCCCTGATAACTACCAGTTCACTCTTCAGCAAACAGGCTGCCACCTGGTTCCAGAGACAATTCACATGCCACATACTATTTGAGCTGTAATTTTGCTTGTTACGTATGAGGAAACCACATTTTTTTTTCTTTTTTTGAGACGGAGTCTCGCACTGTTGCCCGGACTGGAGTGCAGTGGCATGATCTCGGCTCACTGTAACATCCGCCTCCTGGGTTCATGCCATTCTCCTGCCTTAGCGTCCCGAGTAGCTGGGACTACAGGCGCCCACCACCACGCCCAGCTAATTTTTTGTATTTTTAGTAGAGATGGGGTTTCACTGTGTTAGGCAGGATGGTCTTGATCTCCTGACCTTGGAGGCAACCACATTTTAAAAACTGTCTTTTTGGACTAGTCCAGGTATCAACTGTGATTATTCAGGTCCTCAAACAAACAGTAAAAAACAAAAACAAACAAACAAACAAAACATGCCTTTGAATAATAAAAGAAAGATGGAGTAAGAGAAAGCAGGGAGCACTCATGTATGACACTCATGAAAAGAGAAGGGGATGGAGGGATGATTGAGCAGGACTGAAATACTGCCATAAAAAAATTAGATTGATGGGAAGCCCCATGGGAAGGAAAACCTACTCTTTAGAAGAGTCTCACACTGACCCAGAAGGACCCTGACCTAGTAATCACATAGTGCTTGGTCATAGGCTATGAATAGTCTGGTGAAAATGTAGCCTCAGAAGGAATGCTATGGCAGATGCAGCAGCAGGAACCTCTTAGCTTATCACATTTCTCACAGCTGTGTCTCTCTTGAAGGGAGATCTCATCACCCTAAGATGAGCTCTTAACCCATAATCTATGTATGAAAGAAGGAATACAAGACAGAGACTTTCGATTAGCTTGGATTCACTATCATCTACAATGTCCTACAAGGTGCTGTTGGTCTGGCTCTTTCTATCTCTCCAGCTTATCTTCCTATTCTCTTTCCTTTGCTCTCTGTGCCAACCCCAACATTTAGTTTTGAGTTCTTTCAATGTGTGTTTTTTCTCTGGTACCAAAATATCATTTGCATGTTTGAAGTAGGTTGAATAACGGCCATCCAAAGATATCAAGTCCTCAGCCCTGCAAATCTAAAATATTGCCTTATTTGGAAAAAAAAAAAAAGTCTTTGCAGCTGAGATTCAGCTACAGATCCTGAGGTGATGCAATTACTCTGTATTTTCCAGCCCTAATGCAATTCCAAGTGCAAGGCAAAGAGCAATAACAGACAAACAGAAGAAGACAACGTGAAAACAGAAGCAGGGATCAGAGTGATGCAGTCACAAATTCCACAATCCCAGGGCAGCCAACAGCAGCTAGGAGAGGCAAAAATAAGAACCCTGATTCTTCCCTGCAGCCCCTGGCAGGAGTGTGGTCCTACTGGGGTTTGGACTTCTAGCCTCCAGAATTGTAAAAGAATAAATTTCTGTTGCATTAAGTCCTCAAGTTTGTGGTAATTTGTTACCTCAGGAAGCTAATACAATATTTTACCAAGGATGTGTTTGCGTGGGGTGGGAGAGAGGGAGACAGTTAACTTAGACATCTGATTGATGGAGAAACTACTGTAAATTAAATGTGGACCCTGGAATTTAAACTGGATAAAGCCTGGAAGGGACTTTGAGGTGTGTCTCTCAGAAAAGGGTTGAATTGGGTTTAATCTGTGGAAAAAGGCAGCAAAGCAGAAAAGCAAACTGTGGCAAAGGCAGTATTCATCAAATATTTCCTGTCCTATGTTCCGTATCTCAGCTACCCTTAAAGTTAAGTTGGGTCCCCATGGTAGTTTTGACAAGGAATTACAAAAGGAAGGGATGTACAATTTCCTCACCAACAGTGAGAAGTCATTGTCCTTTGTCCATTCCTTTCTTCTCTTGACTCAGAAACAGGAAGTCTCCTGTTAAACAAAAACACATGATAAAGATTCCTTGCCTAAAAAATGAAGCCGGGCTGTCTGACCAGCCTTGGAATTTGCATGTGTAAGAGAGGTTTGTTAAGCCATTGAGCTATTGAATTTTCCTTGTGACTACAGGATAACCTGACTATAAAAATAACTTAATATCTTTAATGGGAAAATGAGTTACATGAATATCTGTAACAAAAGATTTAATAAAGTATGTGCCAAGAGAGGTGTTAACAGTGTACTGTTGGAGTTTGGAGAAAATGAATGTTTACTTATGTAATATTTTTTACTCTTGTCTGTAGAATCAAGGTAGCATTTAAACAGAATTTGTAAAAGGGCCAGATTTCTTTGGATAGAGATGTTAAGAAAGAAGCATTTCTGGTGTATAGAATGATGTGAGCATATATGGCAAAGTTTGTGGCATGTGGGGTGAATGTAAATAAAAACAAAACCACAATAATATAATTATACCTAGTATTTATTGAGCATTTTCACTGGTCATGCAATATTTTAAAGGCATCACTAGTATTTACCTATTTAAACTTCATAATGAGCCTAAGAGTTAATTTGTTACCCCAATTTTCACGTCAAAGCTGAAACTTGGAGATAAACAACTTACAAATGTTGAATGCCTTGTAAATGGTGCAGACTGAATGTAAACTCAGGCATCTGCATTTTTGTGTAAAACCATAATATAGGACGAGTCCCTGTCAGTAAACTTTCATCTACACATAATAGAAAACTCAACTAGTTTCAAAAACACAATATTGTTTTATATGACAAGAAGTTTATGAGTGGGGCTTCTCCAGGAATGGTATTGTCAGGTCTCTGAGCCCAAGCTAAGCCATCATATCCCCTGTGACCTGCACGTACACATCCAGATGGCCGGTTCCTGCCTTAACTGATGACATTCCACCACAAAAGAAATGAAAATGGCCTGTTCCTGCCTTAACTGATGACTTTATCTTGTGAAATTCCTTCTCCTGGCTCATTCTGGCTCAAAAGCTCCCCTACTGAGCACCTTGTGACCCCCACTCCTGCCTGCCAGAGAACAACCCTCCTTTTTCCTTTACCTACCCAAATCCTATAAAACAGCCCCACCCCTATCTCCCTTCGCTGACTCTCTTTTCGGACTCAGCCCACCTGCTCCCAGGTGGAATAAACAGCTTTATTGCTCACACAAAGCCTGTTTCATGGTCTCTTCACACGAACACAAGTGAAATTTGGTGCCGTGACTCAGATCGGGGGACCTCCCTTGGGTGATCAATCCCCTGTCCTTCTGCTCTTTGCTCTGTGAGAACGATCCACCTATGACCTCAGGTCCTCAGACTGACCAGCCCAAGAAACATCTCACCAATTTCAAATCCGGTAAGCAGCCTCTTTTTACTCTCTTCTCCAACCTCCCTCACTATCCCTCAAACTCTTTCTCCTTTCAATCTTGGTGCCACACTTCAATCTCTCCCTTCTCTTAATTTCAATTCCTTTCATTTTCTGGTAGAGACAAAGGAGACACGTTTTATCTGTGGACCCAAAACTCTGGTGCCAGTCACGGACTAGGGAAGGCAGCCTTCCCTTGGTGTTTAATCATTGCAGGGATGCCTCTCTGATTATTCACCCAGGTTTCAGAGGTGTCAAACCACGCAAGGATGCCTGCCTTGGTCCTTCACCCTTAGCAGCAAGTCCTGCTTTTCTGGGGGAGGGGCAAGAATCCCAACCCCTTCTCTCCGTGTCTCTACCCCTTCTCTGCTTTTCTGGGGGAGGGGCGAGAACCCCTCAACCCCTTCTCCTTCACCCTTAGCGGCAAGTCCCGCTTTTCTGGGGGAGGGGCAGGAACCCTGACCTCTTATCTCTGCACCCTGATCCCTCATTTCCGTGCCCCAACCTCTTATCTCTGCATCCCAATCTCTTATCTCTGTGCCCCAACCCCTTATTTCTGCCCCCCCGACCCCTTCTCTGCTTTTCTGGAGGGCAAGAACCCCCCACCCCTTCTCCATGTCTCTACTCTCTTTTCTCTGGGCTTGCTCCTTCACTATGGGCAAGCTTCCACCTTCCATTCCTCCTTCTTCTCCCTTAGCCTGTGTTCTTAAGAACTTAAAACCTTTTCAACTCTCACCTGACCTAAAATCTAAGTGTCTTATTTTCTTCTGCAATGCCGCTTGACCCCAATACAAACTCGACAGTAGTTCCAAATAGCCAGAAAATGGCACTTTCAATTTTTCCATCCTACAAGATCTAAATAATTCTTGTCATAAAATAGGCAAACAGTCTGAGGTGCCTGACATCCAGGCATTCTTTTACACATTGGGCCCTCCCTAGTCCCTGTTCCCAATGCAACTTGTCCCAAATCTTCCTTCTTTCCCTCCCGCCTGTCCCCTCAGTCCCAACCCCAAGTGTCCCTGAGTCTTTCTAACCTTCCTTTTCTACAGACCTATCTGACCTCTCCCCTCTTCACCAGGCTAAGCTAAGTCCCAATTCTTCCTCAGCCTCCGCTCCTCCACCCTATAATCCTTTTATCACCTCCCCTTCTCACACCCTGTCCAGCTTACAGTTTCGTTCTGTGACTAGCCCTCCCCAACCTGCCCAGCAATTTCCTCTTAAAAAGGTGGCTGGATCTAAAGTCATAGTCAAGGTTAATGCTCCTTTTTCTTTATCCCAAATCAGATAGTGTTTAGGCTCTTTTTCATCAAATATAAAAACCCAGCCCAGTTCATGGCTTGTTTGGCAGCAACCCTGAGATGCTTTACAGCCCTAGACCCTAAAAGGTCAAAAGGCCGTCTTATTCTCAATATACATTTTATTTACCCAATCTGCTCCCGACATTAAATAAAACTCCAAAAATTAAATTCCGGCCCTCAAACTCCACAACAGGACTTAATTAACCTCGCCTTCAAGGTGTATAATAATAGAGAAAAGTTGCAATTCCTTGCCTCCACTGTGAGACAAACCCCAGCCACATCTCCAGCACACAAGAACTTCCAAACGCCTGAACTGCAGTGGCCAGGCATTCCTCCAGAACCTCCTCCCCCAGGAGCTTGCTACGAGTGCCAAAAATCTGGCCACCAAGCCAAGGAATGCCCGCAGCCCAGGATTCCTCCTAAGCCATGTCCCATCTTTGTGGAACCCCACTGAAAATCGGACTGTTCAACTCACCTGGCAGCTACTCCCAGAGCCCCTGGAACTCTGGCCCAAGGCTCTCTGACTGACTCCTTCCCAGATCTTCTCAGCTTAGTGGCTGAAGACTGACGCTGCCCGATCACCTAGGAAGCCCCGTAGACCATCACGGACGCCAAGCTTTAGGTAACTCTCACAGTGGAGGATAAGTCCATCCCCTTCTTAATCAATACGGAGGCTACCTACTCCACATTACCTTCTTTTCAAGGGCCTGTTTCCCTTGCCTCCATAACTGTTGTGGGTATTGACGGGCAAGCTTCAAAACCCCTGAAAACTCCCCAACTCTGGTGCCAACTTGGACAATACTCTTTTATGCACTCTTTTTTAGCTATCCCCACCTGCCCAGTTCCCTTATTAGGCCGAGACACTTTAACTAAATTATCTGCTTCCCTGACTATTCCTGGATTACAGCTACATCTCATTGCTGCCCTTCTTCCCAATCCAAAGCCTCCTTTGAATCCTCCTCTTGTATCCCCCCACCTTAACCCACAAGTATAAGATGCCTCTACTCCCTCCTTGGTGACCGATCATGCACCCCTTACCATCTCATTAAAACCTAATCACCCTTACCCCACTCAATGCCAATATCCCATCCCACAGCACGCTTTAAAAAGATTAAAGCCTGTTATTACTCGCCTGCTACAGCATGGCCTTTTAAAGCCTATAAACTCTCCTTACCATTCCCCCATTTTACCTGTCCTAAAACCAGACAAGCCTTACAAGTTAGTTCAGGATCTATGCCTTATCAACCAAATTGTTTTGCCTATCCACCCCATGGTGCCAAACCCATATACTCTCCTATCCTCAATACCTCCCTCCACAATCCATTATTCTGTTCTAGATCTCAAACATGCTTTCTTTACTATTCCTTTGCACCCTTCATCCCAGCCTCTCTTCGCTTTCACTTGGACTGACCCTGACACCCATCAGGCTCAGCAAATTACCTAGGCTGTACTGCCGCAAAGCTTCACAGACAGCCCCCATTACTTCAATCAAGCACAGATTTCTTCCTCATCTGTTACCTATCTCAGCATAATTCTCATAAAAACACATGTGCTCTCCCTGCTGATTGTGTCCGGCTAATCTCCCAAACCCCAATCCCTTCTACAAAACAACTCCTTTCCTTCCTAGGCATGGTTAGTGCGGTCAGAATTCTTACACAAGAGCCAGGACTGCACCCTGTAGCCTTTCTGCCCAAACAACTTGACCTTACTGTTTTAGCCTAGCCCTCATGTCTGTGTGCAGCAGCTGCCACTGCTTTAATACTTTTAGAGGCCCTAAAAATCACAAACTATGCTCAACTCACTCTCCACAGTTCTCATAACTTCCAAAATCTATTTTCTTCCTCCCACCTGACGCATATAATTTCTGCTCCCAGGCTCCTTTAGCTATACTCACTCTTCATTGAGTCTCCCACAATTACCATTGTTCCTGGCCCAGACTTCAATCTGGCCTCCCACATTATTCCTGATACCACACCTGATCCCCATGACTGTATCTCTCTGCTCCGCCTGACATTCACCCCATTTCCCCGCATTTCCTTCTTTCCTGTTCCTCACCCTGATCACACTTAGTTTATTGATGGCAGTTCTGCCAGGCCTAATCACCACACACCAGCAAAGGCAGGCTATGCTATAGTACAAGCCACTAGCCCGCCTCTTAGAACCTCTCATTTCCTTTCCATCGTGGAAATCTATCCTCAAAGAAATAACTTCTCAGTGTTCCATCTGCTATACTACTACTTCTCGGGGATTATTCAGGCCCCCTCCCTTCCCTACACATCAAGCTCGGGGATTTGCCCCCACCCAGGACTGGCAAATTGGCTTTACTCAACATGCTCCGAGTCAGAAAACTAAAATACCTCTTAGTCTAGGTAGACACTTTCACTGGATAGGTAGAGGCCTTTCCCACAGGGCCTAAGGAGGCCACCACAGTCATTTCTTCTCTTCTATCAGATGTAATTCCTCAGTTTGGCCTTCCCACCTCTATACAGTCCAATAGCAGACCGGCCTTTACTAGTCAAATCACCCAAGCAGTTTCTCAGGCTGCTAGTATTCAGTGAACTAATGGTCTTTTAAAAACACACCTCACCAAGCTCAGCCACCAACTTAAAAAGGACTAGACAATTTCCCTTCTCAGAATTCAGGCCTGTCCTCAGAATGCTATAAGGTACAGCCCATTTGAGCTCCTGTATAGACGCTCCTTTTTATTAGGCCCCAGTCTCATTCCAGACACCAGACCAACTCGGACTGTGCCCCAAAAAACTTGTCATCCCTACTATCTTCTGCCTAGTCATACTCCTATTCACTGTTCTCAACTACTCATACATGCCCTGCTCTTGTTTCCACTGCCGGTTTACACTGTTTCTCCAAGCCATCACAGCTGATATCTCCTGGTGCTATCCCCAAACTGCCACTCTTAACTCTTAAACAAATAATCTTTGCTGGCAGGACTATGCTGAATCTCCTTAGGCACTCTAATTAGATGTCCTGGGTCCTCCCAATTCTTAGACTTTTAATACCTGTTTTTCTCCTTCTCTTATTCCATTTAGTTTTTCAATTCATATAAAACTGTATCCAGGCCATCACCAATAATTCTAAATGACAAATGTTTCTTCTAACAGTCCCACAATATCACCCCTTACCACAAAATCTTCCTTCAGCTTAATCTCTCCCACTCTACGTTCCCACGCCACCCCTAATCCCGCTCAAAGCAGCCCTGAGAAACATTGCCCATTCTCTCTCCATACCACCCCCAAAAATTTTCACCATCTCAACACTTTACCACTATTTCATTTTATTTTTCTTATTAATATAAGAAGACAGGAATGTCAGGCCTCTGAGCCCAAGCTAAGCTATCATATCCCCTGTGACCTGCACGTACACATCCAGATGGCCGGTTCCTGCTTTAACTGATGATATTATCTTGTGAAATTCCTTCTCCTGGCTCATCCTGGCTCAAAAGCTCCCCTACTGAGCACCTTGTGACCCCCACTCCTGCTTGTCAGAGAACAACCCCCCTTTTTCCTTTACCTACCCAAATCCTATAAAATGGTTCCACCCCTATCTCCCTTCGCTGACTCTTTTCGGACTCAGCCCACCTGCACCCAGGTGAAATAAACAGCTTTATTGCTCACACAAAGCCTGTTTGGTGGTCTCTTCAAACAGACGCGAGTGAAAGGTATTCCATTGGCTTAACATTCCAAATATTTTTGATTTTTGAGATTATTTTCCAACTTTCAGAGTATTTCATTTTCTCAGGCAAGCTCCCTCCCTACCCCACCCAGTTGTAAAAGGGCTGCCATATATTAGATGTCATAATTAGACATAAAAATGTCCAGCAGACATAAGATTGTTGCTGTGTTTTTTATTGTTGTTTTTTGTTGGTGTGTTTTTCTGTGTGACTTTTTTTGATTAGCTAGGAAAACTTTCCCAATAATGACAGCAGGCTTTCCCTCTTGGGATAGGACTGATTTACAAGCAAATCATTGGTAAAGGGGATAGTCGAAACTTATACACTTTCTGGATTAAATTAATCAGGGTTTTCCCGGTGTCTTTGGAGATAGAATTGAAATAGGGGATCTGTTAGCAAGGAAGAATGGGGGAATGGCTGTAGGTAGCGTAAGGTCCACCATGGTCGAGTCATTGTGACCCCTGTGACCCACACATACAGGTCTCCTGGAGTCACAAAGCCTGGAGCAACAGGAGAACCACTACAGAAGAAACAGCTAGTTCCTGCCATAACGGATTAACCGACCTTGAAACGTTCCACCATTGTGATATGTTCCTGCCCTACCCTAACTAATCAATCTACCTTGTGATATCGTGCCTTGTGGCCTCCCCCCACCTGGTGACTATGCACCTTGTGACTTTCTTCCCCTGCCCGAAAAGCTGCCCCTAACTGTAACTTTCCACTACCTACCCCAAACCTATAAAACCAGTTCCACTCCCACCACCCTTTACTGACTGCCTTTCCGGACTCAGCCCACTTGCACCTGAGTGAATAAACAGCCTTATTGCTCACACTTAGCCTGTTTGGGTAGTCTCTTCAATTAGGCATGCGCATAACAGGTAGGTAAACAACAGTGTGCACTAAAGAGTGGGAATGTTTCAAAAAGATTTCAGAATAATTCAAATTCCAGCAGAGAAAGTGGGAATTTAATTGACACAGAAAGGCATGATATGTATTTAGACTAGGGGGTGATTTTAACAAGGTTGTGTCTTAAAAATTAATCTTACAATTCTGCATAAAATATATTTGAGGTTGGCAAATTTGAGTCAAGTCTATTGCAATAGTCCAAGAATAATTAAACTAATATGTTGAGCATGAGAATATCAGAAAATTCTTGCAATAAGTTAGGGATTAAAGAGATCAATTCAATATGATAATATTGTTGAAAGGAGTAATTAGACAAGCTAGATCTCAACTTTCTAGCTTGGGTTGATCTGGTGATGCTATTAACATAATTAGAATAACTAAGAGTTTCATCATAATGTATGATAAATTTCAGTTTAAAAAATACTGAATTTGAAAAGCTAGAACACCTATAGTCAGAAATATGCAGAAGATAGTTTTCAAGATATTTCTCAAAATGGTGAGAGTTGATGAGATAAAAGCTGTTGACTGATAAGAGCTTGAGCAACTGGGTATGGTGGCTCATGCCTGTAATCCCAGCACTTTGGGAGGCTGAGGAGGGCGGATCACTAGGTCAGGAGTTCAAGACCAGCCTGGCCAACATGGCGAAACCTCATCTCTACTAAAAATACAAAAAATAGCTGGGCGTGGCGGCAGGTGCCTGTAATCCCAGCTACCTGGGAGGCTGAGGCAGGAGAATCGTTTGAACCCGGGAGGCAGAGGTTTCAGTGAGCCTCCATTGCACTCCAGCCTGCACGATGGCATGAGACTCCATCTCAAAAAAAAAAAAAAAAAAAAAAACTTGATATTTAGGAATCATTTACAAAGAAGTGAACATCAAAATTACAGCAATAATTAAAGCAAACTGAGGACAGACTAGAAAGGCCAAAAGATAGGAAATTTAGAAATACAGAGGAAAAGATGAAAGCACTCAGTAAAGTGAAGGAGTCTTCTGAAATAGTTAACAATATAGTAGCTTAATTGGACAAAAGGTGTCTGATAAAAATGGAAGCAATACAAGGTAAAACAAAATGTTGACTAACAACCAGAAACATTGAGATGATGTAATATATATTTGTAAATAACTCAGGCAATATTATTTCTTTAATTTATTTAACAATAATGAATAGTGCCTAGTTGGAAAGAATGAGGGAGAAAGCTGATGAGGATTACATGGACTAAGTAAAGTAGAAGGTCAAGTATAGTAGAGGGTCAAAGAAAAAAAATGTTAAGGTACAAAGACCACATTTTTTAACTAAGCAAAAAAGTTATGTTTTCGATATCCCGGACAGAATCATAATTGGGTTGGTTTGGACAATACCCTAAATTATTGTGCAATTCTTTTCTTTTTTATTTTCAGATTCTTTCTTATTCGTAAGAAAAATTAAACAGCAAAAACTGCTGTTTTGAGTTTGGTAAACTTCTTCTCTAGATGATTAAAGTTCTTGAAATATGCATTTCCCATGAAGCCAAAGGTAACACATCTGTATACCGCTTTAGCTATTTGCTATTCAAGGAAAGTTAAAACGGGATGCAATATTAAGGAGCTGAAACACAATAATCTTTCTCTGCCGAATTCTTTCCATTACGAAAAACTAGATTATAAAAATGGTTTCATTAATAATCTCTCCCTCCTTTGTCTAAAGAGATAGTTGCAATAAGTTGCCTTTTTATATAATGCCCCTAATAACTTCAAGAGATTTAACTTTTCTTGTTTTCATAAAATATGAAAACTATTAAAGTTTTACATTTTTATTTTTTCTGAATTTTATATTTTGGTTAGTTTTTGCCTGAATAAATCACCTAATTTTTTCCTTGACTTTTAAGGCAGTTTGTTTTATTTGACAAATGACAGGTTGTTTATAAGTGAGATTTATACATTTTTGAAAAGGAAAAATGGAACATGGTATTGGACTAAAGCAATAGAGAGTGACCTTGCATCTTGCTGTCGGTTATAGTTTACAGTGACTCTCATAGATGCATTTCCATTCCAAAATAAGTTTTTGACTCTGCAATTCTTAAACTATTCTTTACAGATGAGAAGGAATTAGAAATATTTCGGGAGCTCGCAAGTGGTTGATTGTATCTTTGTTGGATAAAACCAAACTCCCAAGCTGGAAGGCTTTCTTAGGAAATTGCCAAGCTTGTTTTTCTTGTCTTGCCTTACCTTGTTTTGTCTTTCCTTGTTTTGTCATGTCTTGGTTCAGTCCTTAATGGAAAGTCACCAAAGCCCCATATCTCTCCCTTGGCCCTCCATCATGTTGGACCTTCCTAGATGACCAGCTGTTTCTCAAGGAAAAAGGATGCTTGGATGCTCCCTAAGGACACAGAGCTTATCTTAACAAAAGCAATATGTGTACAGGTTTCTAAACCTGCTCAGACCACATATGTATAGCTTAAGGGCATTCAACAGCTAAAATGCCCCTTCTATCTGAAGCAATCTACAGATTTAATGCAAAACTTATCAAAATTCCAATGACAATCTTCATAGAAATAGAAAAAATCTGAAAATTTGCATAGACTCACAAAAGATCCTGAATAGCCAAAGTAGTCTTGAACAAAGCTAGAGACATCACACAACCTGATCTCAAAATATACAACAAAGCTATAGTAATCAAAACATCATGGTATTAGGATAAAAACAAACATAAAAACAATGGAATAGGACAGAGAGCCCAGAAATAAATCCACACATTTACAGTCAATTGATTTTTGACAAAAGTGCCAAGAACACGTAATAGTAAAAGGACAGTCTCTTCAATAGATGGTATTGGGACAACCAGATATCCACAAACAGAAGAAACAAATTAGACCTTACCTCACACCAGCTACAAAAATCAACTCAAAGTGGTTTAAAAACTTAAATGTAAAACCTGAAACTATAAAAATAGGAATAAAACAGGGGGGAAAGCTCAATGACATCAATCACTGTCATTTGATGTCATTGAGCTTAAAAAATGATTTTTTATATATAAACCTAAAATCAGAGATAATAAAAGCAAAAATAAATACATGAAATTACATCAATCAAAAAAGCTTCTGCACAGCAAAGGAAACAAGTAAGAGTAAAGGCACAACATACAGATTTATAGAAAATATTGGTAAAACATACATCTGATGGAGGGTAAATATCCAAAATGTATAAGAAACTCCAACAATTCAGTAGTAACAAAACAAATAATTAAAAACAGGCAAAATATCTGAATAGACATACTCAAAAGAACACATACTAATGGCCAACAGGTATATGACAAAATGCTCAACAACACTAGTCATTAGAGAAATAGAAATTAAAACGAAAATGAGATATTATCTTACACCTGTTAGAATGATTATCACAAAGTCAAATGATAACAAGTGTTGGCAAGGATGTGAAGAAATTAGATCTTTGTGTACTATTGGTAATATAAATTAGTATAAGCATTATAGAAAACATTATGGAGATTCCTTAAAAAAATAAAAATAGAATTACCTTTCTATTTTTGCCTTTCTAGTTTTATTTTCCATCCAGAAATCTCATTCATGGGTATATATCAAAAGGATTTGAAATCCACATGTTGAAGTGGTGTCTGTACTCCTGTGTTTATTGCAGCATTATTTACAATAGCCAAGTTATGGAATCAACCTAATTGTCCATCAACAGATGAGTGGGGAAAGAAAATGTGGTACACATACGCAGTGAAATACTAGTCGTTATTACAAGAGAAGAAAATTCTGACATTTGCAACGACATGAAAGAACCTGGAAAACATTATGCTAAGTGAAATAAATGAAACTGCTCTTCAACAGTTTCTTTGTAAACCAGGCACCAAAGGAAAAATACCACATGATTTCACTTAATGTGGAACCTAAAACAATGAAACTGATATATGTAGAGAGTAGAATGGTGGTTACCAGAAGCTGGGTGTGGAAGGAATGGGGAGATGATGGTCAAAGGGTGCAAAGCTTCAGTTAGATAAAGGAATAAGCTTTTGAGATTTATTGCCCAGCATAATGACTATAGTTAATAATAATGTATTGAATTAATACATTTCAAAATCACTGAGAGTAAATTTCAAGTGTTCTCACAACAAAAAACGGTATTTGAGGTATTTGATATATTGTCTTGCTTTAATTGTTCCAAATTGTATACATGTATCATAATATCACTTTTTACCCCATAAATATATGCAATTATAGTTTGTCAAATTACAATAAAATTTAAAAATATTTTAATTACTGAATTTTAAAACTTCATTCAGTAATTAAACAACCACACGTTAATCACTGGGAAAGCGAAGATGAATAACACATTATTCTGACCCTGTGAAATTTCAATCTTGTCTAAAGATAGTTAATAATCAACTGATGGAATGCATTTATAGTAGTTAATCATATAAAATTTTACAGACCCACTGAAAAGTAGTTATTTTGCCTCAGTGGAGGTGTCTGCAAACTTGATAAAGATTTACTGAGAAGGCAGAATTTGACTAGGATCACGAAGAAGAAATCAAATTTTGAAAAGAAATGTAAACAGTGTATGCAAAAACATTGAATTGGTTTGCAATTGTATGAAAATGCTACTTGTTCAACAACCTCATTGTGAACCCAAGATCACTTTCCAATCAGATTAATTAATAATCAATACAATATTTCTTCAAGATTTCACTGGATATCTTTACAGAATCTGACTTGTTCATTTTTTGAATTAGGAAATATTTTCTAAGCTAAGTTTTGCTTTCTGTGCTTTTACTCCATTCTTTTTTTCTCAGATATTGACTCAAACTAAAGTGAGATTTTATAGTTATTTACAGCTATTGTTTGTCCCATTTCTGCACTTAGCTCAAACATCTTCAGAACATTGTTAAAATGGATAATTTTCATATATTTTCAACAAACTAAACAATTTAAAATTAATACAATGGTCATCCACAAGTGGTTGACCAAATACTATGTAATACTTCAAATACTATGTAATACTTCAAATATTTGTTTAGAAGAGCTAAAAAAAAAGAATAAAATAATAAAATTATGAGTCAAACACAAAAATGAAAACACTTACCTGAGCTATATTTTTATTCTTATAGTTCCTGCCTTTTTTCTTTCCTCAAATATGAAGTTGATGGGCTAAAATTAATTAATAACCAAACAGGTGATTGTGCAATGTTTATTGTGTGATTACTGCATGCTTTCCACTATACTTGGATCTCTAGGAAATATATAGTAATTATACATATGTGTGTATGTGTGTGTATGTATTACAGGTAATCTTTCCTTGAGGGCTTTTTAAATCTATATGTGCAAACAAGACCAGTTGAATAGCAATTGGTAAGCTTGCTTATAACTGTTGCATTGTATTGTGGCTGTTTTTTAGAACAAAAGTTGTCAATGACCTTTAAGAATTTACCTGATAAAAGTAGATGAATAATTTAAAGTGTTTCTGCCTACTTGTGAATGTTTATGACCCTGGTAGAAGAATCTTACCAGACAGGAGGCAAAAACAAAAACAAAAACAAAAACAAAAAACTGACAAAATGACCTTAACTTTGTCCAGTGAATTTAAAATTTGCTCCTCAGGATTCTTGAGCTTTGATTCTAGTTTCCACAAACTTTCAGGCTCTTGGGGCTATAGTTGGATACAGCTTCTAATGCTCTGTTACACAGTGTGATCTGTCTCTTTTTCCTTGAGCAAAGTTGAAATAGGTTGATATTAACAAAAACAAAATCTCAAAAAAAAATCAAATGTTAAAAAAATATCAAGGGAAAATAGAAGAACAATATAAAGTGCAAATGTAACAGTGTGAAAACATTCCAGACTAGTTGCTTCTGAAGAGAAGTTGTCTTTAGTGTTCACCTGTCTTACCATCTTCTTTTCATATTTTGCGTATTCTAATGGACAACCCAACCGCCACATTTAGCTCCTGCAATACCATTTAAAAGTGAATTCCAAATCAAAATTGCTCTCCCAATCCCATGCTTTAAATCCATGATCCAGATATATAACTACCTATTTGAGATAGAAGTGAATCCCAGAAACTCAATTACAACTGAACGTAAAACCTCCTCTCCTATGTGAATCAACTTGAATGTTTTCTCTTGTACTTTATTTTGGCCAGTGTTAATTGTTTTCCATGGTGTTCTTTAGCTGAAGGACATTGATGCTGGCACATTTAATGTCAAGTAAATGAAAATAGTTTGTGTGAGATGAGAAAAATTATACTCAGTATTAAAGTACATATCAGTACAAAGAAATAAAATAAGTTTTAAGTAATTTTTAATTCACTAAAAAGTTGACATTGGTTAGTTACTAACGTGCTTTCCAGAATAAATGTAGAAATTGATGAAGAAAATTGCCTAGAGAACACTGATGGGATATTCATCTTAGAGTCACTTATCATTTCATTGTTAGGATATTTCCAAAAACTTCTCCCTATACAAAGTTGATATAATGGATATCAATAATAATAGATAAATACAATAGGTATTCTTGATGAAGAATAGGGAAATTTCACCTAGGATTCTAAATTACATCTAGAAATCTATAAGTTTCTCACATCAAAAACCTTTGCATAAGATTTCAATTAAAGAATTATTCTTAGTTGAGCAAATTTTTTAAAATAGCCCAATTATTTAAAAAACACAAAGCGTTTGAATTCTTATGTAATTTATATCAATATCATTATTATTAATGTGATTTCTACCTTAGTTTATATTTCCCAGAAAATATTTTCAAGAATGGTTACTATGTATCCTTCCTGAATATTGTATATCATTAACACAAATAAAGCAGAATAATTTTATAAACTGAATCCTTGAGTAAAGAGAGGTACTTTATTAATTCAAAGAACATTTATGTAGCCTATATTTTATGCTAGTTACTATAGAAAAAGATATAAATACCTCTTTTACAGAATTCCTACAAAAATGTTAAATTTATATTTTAATTTTATATAGAATACTGAATACATGTTTACTTCACATCTTCCCAGGTAAATGATGGATATAAATAAATATTCATCTTTTCTTCTGCTTCAATTCCAGCCTCCTTCACTGGAGTGAGACACAAACATAAATTAAGATTAAACCTGGCCGGGCGCGGTGGCTTCACGCTTGTAATCCCAGCACTTTGGGAGGCTGAGGCGGGCGGATCACGAAGTCAGGAAATCGAGACCATCCTGGCTAACACGGTGAAACCCCGTCTCTACTAAAAACACACAAAAAAATTAGCCGGGCGTGGTGGCGGGCACCTGTAGTCCCAGCTAGTCGGGAGGCTGAGGCAGGAGAATGGCATGAACCCGGGAGGCGGAGCTTGCTGAGCCGAGATCACGCCACTGCACTCTAGCTTGGGTGACAGAGGGAGACTCCGTCTCAAAAAAAAAAAAAAATGGTTTAAACTTGGAAGGGTCCACACAATTTAAACAACAATCAGAGATTGCATCACATAAATACATTAATATATTAGCTATAATTAATGTAGATAAGAAGGATTATGAGACCATAGAGGATAAACAAACTTGCTTTGCTTAGAAGATTGAAAGCTACTAAGTAAGGCTAGTTGGTGAAGAGGATGAAATAGTACGAAAGAAATGTAAAAAGAAAATATGTTTCTGAGCAGTTTCTCTTACATATGATTCTTTGCCAATAATATGCACTTAAAGTAAAATATTATTTCCTGACTGTCCTCTGAAAGATGGCTACTTATTTACTGATACGTTGTATATTTTCACCCAGTCACCTTTGTGAACTACAGTGACTAGGGTGGCAGAATTCTTGTCCTGTAACTAATGCCCACATACTGTACCAAAAAAAATTGGTATTTGTGAAAAAGTATTATTTGACTTATAATGTGTTATTCTCTATGACTGCATATATTAAACATGATATATCAATCAAGATTAATAATTTGTGTGAAATATTTGCTTAGTTGAAATATTTGGTTAACTTAGAGAAAAGCTAACATGTGGACAAATTATAACCCCAAATAATTATATGCTTATATATATATCTTCCCAACATGCCAAAGGTGATATACACCTTTTCTTTTATTCTACATTAAATTCTAAGAAATGTTAGCAGTCTATGTAATGCTACTATGCTTTCCATAGTTAAATGTTTTAGAAAATATTTCATTTTTATTTTTATCTTTGAGAGTCACATTATTATGTTAAATGTTTTGACAATTTCTTGGGGAAAAATGCTCTATTCAAGGTTTTTAAAACTATTTTTGGTCCAGTAATGTTTTTTTGTTTCAGAAAAACATCTGTTGAGTATTTTGATCCATATTGGTATCCTGTGAAACATTATGTGGGAAGTGCTAGCATAGAGGATTAACAATACAGTGCATATAACCTCTTAAAGTATTGAAGAAATCATATTTATCTAATGTGTATTGAAAAGCATATTGCAAAATGGTAACATTAAAAGCTGTGAGAAAACATCCAGTGTCATTCATTACAAGTGGGAGTTTAAAATGTCACAAACCTATTTTGTAGGGAGATCCTGCAGTCCTATCAAACTTTCTAATACATCACACGCTTTGCCCTAGCAATTTTAGTTCTAGAAATTTAACCCATGTATATATTGGCACATGTACAACATACAGAAGTTCAAAGTCATTTATTACATTATTGTTTGTAATAACTTGAGATTGAATTGCTAATGGAAATCTTCATTGACAGGAAACTGTTTATATATATTATACTATATAAACATTCAATAGCATGAGAAAGCTTTCTGTGTTTTAAAAAATCTTCAAGATACATTCAATAAAAAAAATGAGATGCAGAAAAGTATGTGAGAAGAGAAAGGTAATGTTGGTAAACACATGAAAGGAAATACTCCCTTCTGTACACACAAAACTATCTCTCCAAGAATAAAAAACGAATTAATAGGACAGGTTTATGAAAATTAATGAATATGGGGACAGAAATAGAGGAAGAATTTGTACTATATCTTTTTAATCTTTCTAATATTTGAAAAATGTGAATGCATTAAAATGGAAAAACTTAAATAATTACATTCAGTTCTGCTCTAATATGGTATGTGTGTTACTAAAAAAAAAATCACTGTTGGCAGGACCATGCAATAATATCATGCTATAAGGAACTACGACGTTTGTAGGGAAAAATAAAGTTAGGGGCATAACAGTTAAGAATTTTGTCACTGGCTGGGTGCGGTGACTCACGCCTGTAATCTCAGCACTTTGGGAGGCTGAGGCGGGTAGATCACCTAAGGTCGAGAGTTTGAGACCAGCCAAACCAACATGGAGAAACCCTTTCTCTACTAAAAGTACAAAAAAATTAGCCGGGCATGGTGGTACATGCCTGTAATCCCAGCTACTCGGGAGGCTGAGGCAGGAGAATCGCTTGAACCCGGGAGGCGGAGGTTGCGGTGAGCCGAGATCGTGCCATTACACTCCAGCCTGGGCAACAAGAGCAAAACTCTATCTCAAAAAAAAAAAAAAAAAAAAAAAAAATTGTCAGTGGCACATGAAACAAAAAGAACAAAATCTAACAAAAATGATAGTACAGTTTTGCACATGTTAAACACTTAAGGAATGCATAAATATCACAATGATTATGGAACTTTATCTTGAGAAAAACCTCAAGTGTGCTTTTGGAAGTGTATATCAGAAGGGTTGCGGCTTGTGAGTTATTGTGTAGAGGAGGAACAAGGAGGATCTGAAATCTGATGGACAGTTGTCACAGTAGATGTCAATGGGTGTGTCCCCTGACATGCATGGTGAACTGAGGTAGCTGGTAGGATATTTGCATGTGAGTATTTTTGCATACTTCTATTCAGCTAGATTCAACAGAGTACAGTTGTCTGAGTTCACATTGTCTATGGTTGGGAGAGTCGGGTATAAACAAAGGCAAAATTCCACTACACTCAAACTGTTGCCTTGAAATGTCAATCACATTGGAACGAATTCAAGTTTTCAAAACAAGTGTTATTGAAGAGCTATTAATTTTCGCCATGTAATTTTTTTCACATATTAAACTTGTGAAAAAATTTTACTCTGTTGATTCATAAAGATTCTTAAAATTAGCATTAACGTTTCACACTTTAAACTCGTTACACATGAATTTGACTTTCACTCTCTAAATATTTGTGTATATCATTGTTACCTACACAGTGTCAATTGTGTTCTGAGAGTTGGAAATGAAATTGCAATATAAACAATAAGGTATGGCTGGATTCCATTACTAGAATAGTGTACCAAATCCTTTATACATGAAATTTGAGGTGTACTTTCCCAAAACAATTGCTACTAGAATTTGCCATTACCTACATGGAACAGTGGATAGGGATGGAGGGACACATGAACACCAAAAAAGACTTTAAATAAAGAAACCACTTATTAAGTTACTATGTTACTGGGTCAATGTTATGGTTTCTACTTTTTTATAGTTCTAAGAAATACTTAAAACTGTCACTTAATAATGATGCTTGTAATTAGTTACATGGCACTATCCAAGGTAAAAGTTCTTGAACTACATCTTAATAAGAGAAAATGAAATGTAAAAAAAAAAATAGATTGGATAATGTAATTGCTTTGAGGAAAAAGAAATCGATTAACTCCATAAGCTCAAAGCAATAATAATAAAAAAGCAAACTTCTGGTCAGATTTTTTTAAGGTTTTAAAACATGTTCTATAAAGTAAAACATCTACCATTACAGTTATTTGGAAAGAAAATTATTTTCTAAGACATATAGAATAAACATATAAATATTGACTAAATTCTTCTTGGTACTTTAGTTACATTTTTAGAGGAAGTTTCATTTGCAAGGGAATATGATCTGCTTGGCCAATATTCTTATTCTAGGCAATTTTGATGTAATGCACGCAACAAAAGTAAAATGAAACTATACTGATATTTGACAAAAATCATGGATTAGTCAATGAATTCATCATTTTTTCTCAATTTTTTAATTGTTTAGACAATTTACTGTATAGAGGTATTACCTCTTTTAATCTTAGGGGTTTTCCTGTGTAAAAGTCTTGAAACGTTTAAAAACTATTTTGATTGTTATCATATTGATTATCTACAAAGATACAGTTCATATAGGTGTCTCCTGAACTCAGGCTCTTTAACTATGACCTGCAGGGCTGTATATTCTTCCAAGCAAAGTTATCATCATAGTAACATCTTAATTTTTAAATTTAACACTATTTGATTTTTTAAACTATTGTTTTTATAATGAAATTAACAGATATACACTCTGAGGGGGGGAATGAAAAATTAAAATCACACTTCTGATAATATCTAACTACTACTTACACTTTATTTTTTTTTTTTTTTTTTTTTTTTTTTTTTTTTTTTTTTTTTTTTTGAGACGGAGTCTCGCTCTGTCGCCCAGGTCGGACTGCGGACTGCAGTGGCGCAATCTCGGCTCACTGCAAGCTCCGCTTCCCGGGTTCACGCCATTCTCCTGCCTCAGCCTCCCGAGTAGCTGGGACTACAGGCGCCCGCCACCGCGCCCGGCTAATTTTTTTGTATTTTTAGTAGAGACGGGGTTTCACCTTGTTAGCCAGGATGGTCTCGATCTCCTGACCTCATGATCCACCCGCCTCGGCCTCCCAAAGTGCTGGGATTACAGGCGTGAGCCACCGCGCCCGGCCACACTTTATTTTTTGATTGAAGATACTTATGTTTGTATGCGTGTGTATTTGGGAGATACAAAAAAGAGAGACAAAGACAGAGAGATGTATAGATACACTGGGGTTTTTGGTTTGAACATTGAAGTCTCCACACTGTTAAACTTTGAACCTAATTTTCAATAATTAGTGATTCATTCATGGTGATTTATAATGCAATCCGAGATCAGTGAATATCTATGTTGCTCACACATTGGTGTCTAGTGATGTATTTTTCACGATATGCAAACAACGCATAATTTGAAAAGCCAAGTTAAATACTCATCTGTGATTATTTCCTTTGGGTAGCATGTTAAGTAGAATTACAAAGCCAAAAGGAATACTGATTTCCCTTATTCAATAGATGGCATATCACTAAATATAAATTTGGCCTTTGTCTCACTGTCTTATCTCATTGATTTTTATTGAAATTGTAGGTGCATTTTTTTTCAGTTTAAGTGCAAACGATGTTTTATAGAGCAGATATCAACTAATAAAGATTCCTAAGGGAATATATACATATGAAATGAAAGGATAAAGTATACATTTCCCATTAAAATTGTGAACACCCTATGATTATTTTGTCAAGAAATATCCAAGTTTTTCATGATATTAGAGTCATCTAACATGCAGTTTTCATAGTAATTCATTCCATCAAATTCTGAATATTCTGAAAATATGTATTGATGCCACATAGCCCAAACCATTTTTATGCCCCTTAATTATTAGGCTAAAATAAGGTAGTGCCTCATTCAACAGATCAAAATTTGTCAAGTTTCTCTATAATTCATAAAAGTTAATTTTAATTTATAGAAAGTAGTGAAAGCACACATAGACATACATAGACATCACATAGCTATTGTGCGGCACCTTAATATACTTTAATAATTTTTGTACCTTAAAAAGACATCAAGTTACAAGTTGAAGGATAAGATCTATGTGTTTTATTTTTATTTTTATTTCTATTTATTTTTTGAGACGGAGTCTTGCTCTGTCACCCAGGCTGGAGTGCAATGGCGTGATCTCAGCTCACTGCAACCTCCAACTCCAAGGTTCAAGTGATTCTCCTGCCTCAGACTCTGGAGTTGCTGGGACTACAGGAATATGCCACAACACCTGGCTAATTATTGTATTTTTAGTACAGATGGGGTTTTACTTTGTTGGCCAGGCTGGTCTCAAACTCCTGACCTCAGGTGATCCTCCTGCCTTGGCCTCCCAAAGTGCTGGGATTACAGGTGTGATCCACCAAGCCTGGCCATGTTTTTTTTATTTTTATTTTTTCAGTATCCATTACACCTTATAGTACACATTTAAAATGAGAAGATATTTGTTATTGTCAATAAATTAATTGACTAATGACATTTTGCTATTTATACCCACTCCTTCCCATTTGGAATTTAATCTTAGAGTTCATTGCCTTCATGCTGGTATTTGGTAACTGATATAGTTCCCCACACAAATTTCATGTTGAAATGTAATCCCCAGTGTTGGAGTTGGGGCCTGGGGGGAGAAATTAAATCATGGGGGTGGATTTCTCATGAATGATTTAGCACCATCCTCTTTGTATCGTCCTTGCAATAATCAGTGAGTTCTCAAGAGATCTGATTGTTTAAAAGTGTGTGGCACCCCACTCTTCCTTTCTCTCTCTCTTGCTCCTGCTCTGGCCATGTAACATGCCCACTTCCTGTTCACCTGCTGCCTTAATTGGAGTTTCCTCAGGCCTCCCCAGAAGCCAAGCAGATGCCAGCATCAAGCTTCCTGTACATCCTGAAGAACCATGAGCCAATTAAACCTCTTTTCTTAAAAATTACCCAGTCTCAGGTATTTCTTGATAGCAATGCAGGAATGGCCTAATAAAATAACCAAGCTTCAAATTAAGCCCTCCATTTTGCTGTCCAGTAGCATAAGGGAGCAGACTACATCTTCTTCCCTGCCCGTTTGCTATGTACTTGTAAATTTCAACCTACAAGGCAGGGTTCCTATTCTGGTACACAGATATAATTCAGTTTGTGATCTTGAAATAAAAAAAGAAATTACACCTTTATCTTCACTGATCTACTAAATAAAATATAGTACTTTTTTCAACCATAAAGATAGGCATAAATAATTTCTGATTTTGTCATTAATAAAAATCACATATATTTTAAGGTCATGTTTAAACGTTATGAATATCTCATAATATTGCTTATAATCACTCCTTTTCAAAATTACCAGAATTAATTAGCCCCCTGCTTACTTAATTATTCAGTAATGTGTATATATGTATTAGTGTATATTAATGTACATATATGTATATTATTATATAAAATATTTTAAAATATTTTGTAATTATTTTATTACAATTAAGTTTCTGTGTGCTTCATTTTATACATTTAAAACCATCTCTGAAAAAGAGGCCATAGACTTCAAAGAAGTCCTGGATTTCTCTACTGACTTTCTCTTTAATTAGCTTAGTGTTAATTTGCTAATTGGGATTACAAAGTTGTTATATTCCCCAGATAACATATCTCATTCTAATAAATTCTTTCTGGAGATACAAAATCTTAACTCAAGGTGGTGAGGAAGACACTTGCAGAATAGAAAAACTTTAGGGTTCCCTTTAATTTATACCATATTATTCTATGTAATTGTTTTTATATATTTATCTACATATATCTCACTGGTCTTGCCAGAGCACAGAGGTTCATTGCTATTATGACAGGTATGCTAATAGTGACAACAAACGTTTGGATCTGATGAGAGTTTAAACACAGGTTTCTTGTTTTGTATTTTACAATACAATTCGTAGCTATGAATTTGAATGTAGAGGATATATACTTTTTTCAAGACTAATAAAATTATTACACATGGGGACTTATTAAAAGTTGGAAAAGTATCTGGCAGGTGTTCACTAGTTCCATTGTTCTGTATACTGAAGAATGAAATCTAATGTCCAGTGGCTATTTCTGTTCCCCAGTAACTTCTAAATCTGTTCTGAAATTACTTTAGAACACCAAGTTCATGAAGGTGATGACAGAAAGATATTTCTTAGATTTTACAACATGTATATCTTCTCAGATCAATATTCCCTTATCTCCAAAGTCATCCTAAAAAAAGGAAGCAAGTCAATATTTCTTTCAGCCAAAATTCAAACTACACATTATACATTCTTTCTTAGCCTCATGTGCTTCTATAATTCTATAGAAGAGCTTTTTAAAACCTCGCTTCAACTATGCCTGCTTTTAATTTATAGATATTCACAGATTAATACTTTGACAGGCGATACATTCTCATTTCCTTTTAAAAGAGAGTATTATCTGGTTATTTTACTGGCTCTTTTAGACAATGTTTTGCCCATTCCCCACCCCCCCTCACTTGTAAGTGAAAAGGACAAATAAGATAAATCTTGCCTATTGGTCTATTTCCACAATCACTCATCAGGCTCCAGTATCAAGAGACAGTGGGGGGAAGCTACATCTTCTCCTTAACATTCTTAAACGCATGGGAAGTGCAACGAGCCTTTTAAGGCTCTTTAAAATTACTTTCATTAAAATTGCTCCTCACTTTTGAGAAGACTAAGGATAAAAGGAAAAGAAAAATAGCAAAATAAAAAATAAGAATAAAAGACTAAAAAGCAGACAACATATAAAAGAAAGACTATTAAGAAAAGCAGTGATGAGAGGGTTACGGAGAAGAGAACACAGTAAAATGTGTGAAAGTGGTTAAAATACAACACGACTATCTTCAGCAAACTACAACTCTTAAATGTGAAGTGTTGAAAAATTAAATGATCTCCAAGGGACAGGGCAGAAGATGTATCCAAAAGCTTTAAGTTCAAAGACATTATTTAATTAACAAAAATATTTGAGATTCCCAGGCAAGGTGGCTGAATAGGAACAGTTCAGGTCTACAGCTCCCAGCGAGACCAATGCAGAAGGCAGGTGATTTCTGCATTTCCAACTGAGGTACCCAGTTCATGTCATTGGGACTGGTTAGACGGTGGGTGCAGCCCATGGAGGGTGAACAGAACCAGGGTGGGTATCGCCTTACACAGAAAGCACTAGGGGTCGGGGAACTCCCTCCCCTAGCCAAGGGAAGCTGTGAGGGACTGTGCCGTGAGGGACGGTGCTATCCAGCCCACATACTATGCTTTTCCCACGGTCTTCACAACCCGCAGACCAGGAGATTCCCTAGGGTGCCTACACCACAAGGGTCCCGGGTTTCAAGCAAAAAACTGGGCGGCTGTTTTGTAAGACACCAAGCTAGCTGCAGGAGTTTTTGTTCATACCCTAGTGGCTCCTGGAATGCCAGTGAAACAGACCATTTAGCTCCCTGGAAAGGGGGCTGAAGCCAGAGAGCCAAGTGGTGTTGCTCAGCAGATCCCACCCCCATGGAGCCCAGCAAGCTAATATCCAATGGCTTCAAATTCTCGCTGCCAGCACAGCAGTCTGAAGTCGACCTGGAACTCTCAAGCTTGGTGGGGGGAGGGGCATCTGCCATTACTGACGCTTGAGTAGGCGGTTTTCCCCTCACAGTGTAAACAAAGCTGCCAGGAAGTTCAGAGTGGGCAGAGTCCACCGCAGCACAGCAAAGCGGCTGTAGGCCAGACTGCCTCTCTAGATTCCTCCTCTCTGGGCAGGGGATCTCTGAATGAAAGGCAGCAGCCCCAGTCAGGGGTTTATAGATAAAACTCCCATCTCCCTGGAGAGCACCTTGGGGAAGGGGCGGCTATGGGTGCAGATTCAGCAGGCTTAATCGTTCCTGCCTGCCAGCTCTGAATAGAGCAGCGGTTCTCCCAGCACAGTGCTCGAGCTCTGCTAAGGGACAGACTGCCTCCTCAAGTGACTCCCTGACCCCCATGCCTGCTGACAAAGAGACATCTCCCAGCAAGGGTCGACAGACACCTCATACAGGAGAGCTCTGGCTGGCATCTGGAGGGTCTCCCTCTGGGACAAAGCTTCCAGAGGAAGGAGAAATCTTTGCTGTTCTGAAGCCTCCACTGGTGATACCCAGGGAAACAGGGTCTGGAATGGACCCCAGCAAACTCCAGCAGACCTGCAGCAGAGGGGCTTGGCTGTTAGAAGGAAGAGAAGAATAAAATAAACACAATAAAAAATAATAAAGAGGAGATCACCACTGATCCTACAGAAATACAAATTACCATCAGAGAATACTATAAACACCTCTACACGAATATACTAGAAAATCTAGAAGAAATGGACAAAGTCCTGGACACATACATCCTCCCAAGACTAAACCAGGAAGAAGTCGAATCCCTCAATAGACCAATAACAAGTTCTGCAGTAATTACTAATCTCCCAACCAAAAAAAGCCCAGGACCAGATGGATTCACAGCTAAATTATACCACAGGAGCTGGTACCATTCCTCTGAAACTATTTCAAACAATAGAAAAACAGGGACCTCCCAAACTCATTTTATGAGGCCAGAATCATCCTGATACCAAAACTAGGCAGAGACACAACAAAAAAAGGAAAATTTCAGGCCAATATCCCTGATGAACATCCATGCAAAAATCCTCAATAAAATACTGGCAAACTGAATTCAGCAGCACGTCAAAAAACTTATCCACCACAATCAAGTTGGCTTCATCGCTGAGATGCAAGGCTGGTTCAACATACACAAACCAATAAATGTAATTCATCACATAAACAGAACCAATGACAAAAACCACATGATTCTCTCAATAGATGCAGGAAAGGCCTTTGATAAAATTTAACACCCCTTCATGCTAAAAACACTCAATAAACTAGGTATTGATGGAACATATCTCAAAATAATAAGAGCTATTTATGACAAACCCACAGCCAATATCATACTGAATGGGCAAAAGCTGCAAGCATTCCCTTTGAAAACTGGAACGAGACAAGGATGCCCTCTTGCACCACTCCTATTCAACATAGTATTGGAAGTTCTGGCCAGGGCAATCAGGCAAGAGAAAGAAATAACGGGTATTCAAATAGGAAGAGAGGAAGTCAAATTATCTGTGTTTGCAGAAGACAGGATTGTATATTTAGAAAACCCCGTTGTCTCAGCCCCAAAACTCCTTAAGCTGATAGGCAACTTCGGCAAAGTCTCAGGATACAAAATCAATGTGCAAAAATCACAAGCATTTCTATACACCAATAATAGTCAAACAGAGAGCCAAATCATGAGCAAGCTCCCATTAAAAACTACCACAAAGAGAATAAACTACATAGGAATACAACTTACAAGGAAAGTGAAGGACCTCTTCAAGGAGAACTACAAACCACTGCTCAAGGAAATAAGAGAGGACACAAATGGAAAAACATTCCATGCTGATGGATACAAAGAATCAATATCGTGAAAATGGCCATACTACCCAAAGTAATTTATAGATTCAATGCTATCCCCATCAAGCTACCACTGACTTTCTTCACAGAATTAGAAAAAACTACTTGAAATTTCATATGGAAACAAAAAAGAGCCTGTATACCCAAGACAATCCTAAGCAAAAAGAACATAGCTGGAGGCATCATGCTACCTATCTTCAAACTATACTACAAAGCTAGAGCAACCAAAACAGCACGGTACTGGTACCAAAACAGATATATAGACCAATGGAACAGAACAGAGGCCTCAGAAATAACACCACACATATACAACCATCTGATCTTTGACAAACCTGACAAAAACAAGCAATGGGGAAAAGATTCCCTATTTTATAAATGGTGTTGACAAAACAGGCTAGCCTTATGCAGGAAACTGAAACTGGACCCATTCCTTACATCTTATACAAAAATTAACTCAAGATGGATTAAAGATTTAAACTTAAAACCTAACACCATAAAAACCCTGGAAGAAAACCTAAGCAATACCATTCAGGATATAGGCATGGGCAAAGACTTCATAACTAAAACACCAAAAGCAATGGCAACAAAAGCCACAATTGACAAATGAGATCTAATTAAACTAAAGAGCCTCTGCATAGTAAAAGAAACTATCATCAGAGTGAACAGGCAACCTAGAGAATGGGAGAAAATTTTTGCAATCTATCCATCTGACAAATGAGTAATATCCAGAATCTACAAAGAACTTAAACAAATATACAAGAAAAAACAAACAACCCCATCAAAAAGTGGACAAAGGACATGAACAGGGACTTTCAAAAGAAGATATTTATGTGGCCAACACACATATGAAAAGAAGCTCATCATCACTGGTCATTAGAGAAATGCAAATCAAAACCACAATGAGATACCATCTTACACCAGTTAGAATGGAGATCATTAAAAAGTCAGTAAACGCAGTGGCTCATGCCTGTAATCCCAGCACTTTGGGAGGCTGAGGCAGGCAGATCACGAGTTCAGGAGATCGAGACCATCCTGGCTAACATGGTGAAACCCTGTCTCTACTAAAAATACAAAAAATTAGCCGGGCGTGGTGGTGGGCGCCTGTAGTCCCAGCTACTCAGGTGGCTGAGGCAGGAGAATGGCATGAACCCGGGAGGCGGAGCTTGTAGTGAGCCGAGATCGCGCCACTGCACTCCAGCCTGGGTGACAGAGCAAGACTCTGTCTCAAAAAAAAAAAAAAAAAGTCAGGAAACAACAAATGCTGGAATGGATGTGGAGAAATAGGAATGCTTTTACACTGTTGGTGGGAGTGTAAATTAGTTCAACCTTTGTGGAAGACAGTGTGATCCTTGATTCCTCAAGGATCTAGAACTAGAAATACCATTTGACCCAACAATCCCATTACTGTGTATATACCCAAAGGGTTATAAATCATTCTACTATAAAGACACATGCACTGTTATATTTATTGCAGCACTATTCACAATAGCAGAGACTTAGAACCAACCTAAATGCCCATCAGTGATAGACTGGATAAAGAAAATGTGGCACATATTCACCATATACTATGCAGCCAGAAAAGGAATGAGTTCATGTCCTTTGCAGGGACATAGATGAAGCTGGAAACCACCATTCTCAGCAAACTAACACACAGGAACAGAAAACCAAACACCGCATGTTCTCACTCATAAGTGGGAGTTGAACAATGAGAACATATGGGCATAGGGAGGGGAACATCACACACTGGGACCTGTACAGGGTTGGGTATCCCAGAACTTAAGTATAATAATAATAAAAAAAAGAAAAACAGCAGAAGAGAGAAATTAAAAAGTGGAAGAAAAAGGAAAAGTAAAAACACAAAGAAGAATTAAAAAAAGATGAAGAACAACAAGTGAAATATAGATGGGAAATGAGTGAAAGGTGGAGGTAACAAAGTTAACAAAGAGCTACAATTATATCAAGAACCATACATTTCTAAAGCTAAAGTGTAATAAACAGAGATAGACTATACATGCTGGAGTTTGAGGTTCTGAAAATATAAAGACACTGTGTTTTGTAAAAAAGAGTTATCTAATAAAATTGAACTTAGTAACTTGTAAATTGAATTTATAGAAACTTAGTAAGTTTCTTGAATACAGATTTTTACACATTCCATTTATTTGTGGAAATCCTCCGTCCTGACAAAAATGTATTTGTTTTTGAGTATTAGTTTAATCTATTCAAAAAGTTTTGAGTTCATGTCTATAGAGCATGCTAATGTACCTCTATGAAAATATACTACAGAAATATTAGAAATCATCAGATGTAACTAAATTTAGACAGTACTGTTAAATATTAGCATTTAAGGAAACTTCTAAGATGAGGTTCTTGTTCTTTTTCTAGAAAACCATTCACTCAACATAAGATGAAGTTCTTATGTTACTACTATATTTACTTGGAATCAATTTTCCCAAAAGTGTCATAGTTGAGGAATTACGGAATTTAAAGAAGAAAAACACTCATATTTCATTATTATGTTGCTAACTAAATGTATAGAATATGCAGTTTGGGAACTTTTAAAAACAACAAATAAATGTGCGTTGTTCATTCCTTTTACTAACCTGAACAGTTGCAGTTTATTTTTGGAAAAAAAAACACATTTTACAAAAGCAATTATCCATTTTTATTTTGTTTACATTGCACTGAAAATTTACATCATACTTTTACAAAGTTTCTTTTCATAAAAATATACTTCTTTACAAAAGTGTATGCATTAATATAAGAGGAGTAGCCAGTTGCAGAAGAAACATTGTTTAAACAAGATCTTAAATGTATTAGCCTTAACATTAATGAATGAATCATTGTTATTGCAGTCATTTGAATAAACAAGAATAAATAACTGATGGCATAAAATTTAAAACTGCATCCTGCCAGTAGAGTACCATGTTGAGAAAATTGTATGAATTTCCAAAACAATGTATCTCAAAGTGGTTTACAAGAAATTCATTAAATGTTGTAGAGATAGAGCCAAGCAGCGCTCCCAGGTGCAAGGGTTTCTCTTAGGCACTCTGTCTCATGATACAAAAAGTCAAGACTGTTCACAGAGTTATCCATATTTGAAAGGGACAACAACAAAGAGTTAACACTGGGTACATGATCGTATTCAATGAAGTAAAACAGCTATAAAAGGAAGACGATGACCTATTAAATAAAAATGCTGGCATTACTGTATGATACAGTTTAAATGAGCCACCAATAACTTACAAATACATATCTTAATTTGACAATGAAAGAAACCTCTTGTATGTGAAACTTGGTGTTTAACAATAAAGGTACAGAAATTTAAAAATATATAAAAATATGATAAGTCCACAATTGTAGGCAATAAATTTATATTGGTGATTTATAATAATAATTTTTTTCAGTCATTATGTTTAGTGGCTAGACCAAAATATTTTTCTAATCCATTGTTAAATGAAAATTAAAAGTGTCAAAATAATGCTAAATTTGAAGACTCAGCTGGAAGGAAATGTAGATATAAATAGAGTAGATTATTAGGACATTTTATTTGGTCGATCAAAAATATTGTAAAATAAAGGATGGTAAGTTTGGTGTCTCAGATAACTGCAAAATAATAATTTTTCTAGATAATTTCTGCCAGCCAAATGGTTTTTGGGTGAGGAAACATACTGAAGCTACTATCACATTTGGGATTAAAAAATAATAAAAATAAATAGGAAAAAACCATATTGAAGCAAGGAGTGAAACACTACCCCATAGCTCACTGAATAATACTGGTTACTCCATAATGGGGGAATTGGGAGGGTAGCACAATGAACTTGCCCTTTGCAGAAACTATGACAACCAGTCTAAAAGAAGAAGAGCAATATGATGCTAAAGAAATAGAAAGATTCAAATTGGAATGGGAAACCTTATGTCTTCCGAGGCATAAACTAGCTCATAAACATTTAAAGTCATAACTCAATCTTAAATAAAGAAAACAATGCCTCATTTAACAAGAATGAATGGCAGATAGAGTGGTATGAAAGACAGATTTGTGGGCGTGATGTAGCTCAGGACAGTTAAAGAGAAGTCAGTGATCTATTGACTCTTGTAAGTATAGCTCTTATTTCTACCCTATATCTTTTTTTTTAAACCCAGTCCCTCTAATATAGTTTATAAAGCACAGAAATACTGATAGTGGATGCTCCTCCAATATATGCAAATAAGTTTATATTTTAGAATAATCTCCTTTTTAAAAAAAGCAAATAAACTGTGAGTAAGCACTCTCAGAGTGCAGCCAAATTTCTGTAAAACTCTCCATGGTAAACATGAAGAATTATGGTCCAGTTTATGAAAAAACACTCTTCTGTATCATTCCTCAGGAAAAGGTGACCCAGCAAGTCCTGAAAAGTGTGCTTTAATTTGTTTAGCAGTGAACTAAATGTGCACTGTTTTGTGTGTCGATTTCCAAGCTTCTGAAGAAGGCAAAGGTTGCCTCGTTATACCATTGTGCAAACCGTGTTCAAGTTGGGATCAAATCGTACCGCCTTCCCTTCCACTGACTTTGCGTTGGTGTCATACATGGGATTTTCAAAAGCTGCTTGGCCATTGTTATTTTCATGAACTGAACATCCTGTATACTGTGTTTTAGGTGCAGTCCTGTTGATGAGAACATTGATTAGCTATGTGTTAACTTTCTTCCAGAAACAGCAGACTACAGCTCAAACATAATGTACATCGTTAGCAGATAATGTAACTTAAAAATATTAATTGAGACATCATAAACACACTAAGTCAACTTGAACAATTTCCTTGTTACTTTAAAAACCTGAGTGACTTTTAATTTTACATATATTACATATTTATGTACAGCATCAATATTAGTAACATAAATATAAATAAATTATATGATGGCTATAATAAATTTTCTTACAAAATTAGAAATTATTATGACTTATCATTTATAGTATAAATAATAATGATGATGGATTTAAGTCTCATCACTATTTATTTGTTCACCAAATATTTACTGAACATCTATTATGCGCCAGTCATGATTCTAGGCATTGGGTATATCATTTTTTTAAAAAAAGACTAGTCTTTACTTTCAGGGAGTTCACATTGTAGTGATAGAAAACAAGAATAAATTAAAATAAATAAAACCAAAAATAGTAGGTAATGAGAATTGTTATGATGAAAAGGAAAATGGTTAATATGAAAAGTAACTGGAAGCCACTTTAGGAGAGGTAATAGAACAAAGCATCTTTTAGGAGGTAACATTTAATCTGAAACCTGAATTATAAGTCGGTTCCGCACAAAAAGAGAAGGAGATTCCCTGAAGAGTACACAATTAATGCTGAGGCCTAATTTGGAAAGGTACTTTGGAGTATCCCAAAACATGAATGCTCAATTTTATTTTTTAAATGGTATACATTAAAGCATGCAAATTCAAAAATTCAAAGAAGAAATGGCTACTCTCATACTCAAGTCATGAAAATAATTTCTAAAGGACTACTAACAATTAGTTAACCAGACACATGAATTCTGGGTTGGCTGGTAGAGGATGCTGGTCTTGAAATTCTGATTCATTTGTTTATTTCTTCCACCTTTGACTAATGCTAATCTAGTTTATCTTTCCCACGAAGCATGTATAACTTGCTCACATTTGTAATGGAAAAAAGGCAGACTTGCTGCTATCTGTTTCTGGGGCCTAATTCCTAAAAGGGATATATCTTAAAATAAATTTGTTTCTCAACTCTATTGTTTATACTGAACAATCGAATTTCAACTATTAATTTTATTATAATTTGTAATTGCCATTATATTATTTTATTATCACTAATGCATTTTTCTGAATTTATCTATATTTCAAAAATATTAGGTGATTTCTACGATAATAATTGTAAAAGAAACTATCTTAGGTTTATTGGGAGAAAGCTAATAACTTGCTCTTACTAAGTGTGTCTAATACTATAACTCTACTGGATCATATTTTTTTTCCAAACTAGATTTAAAATAAAAACCAAAGCAACATCATTGCCTTCTAATTAGGTAATAATCATGAAGATACAAAATAATTGCCCCTTCTTAATATTCAACAACTTGAAGGAAAATATTACCAAGTTTTAAAAATTCACACCATGAATAAAATTTAACTCAAAATGAATCATAGCCCTAAACACAAGAGCCAAATTCATAAAACTCTTAGGAAAAACACATGGCCTTGAATTTGGCAATGGTTTCTTGGATTTGACATCAAAAGTACAAGTAAGAGGAAAAAAAATAAATTTAACTTCATCAAATGGAAACTTTTGTACATCAAAGAACACTCTCAAGACAGTGAAAATACAACCCACGGAAAGGGAGAAAATATTTGCAAAACATATATCTAATAAGGGCCTAGTGTCTAAAATATATAGAGAACTCTTACAACCAAATAAGACAAACAACCTAATTTAGATATGAACAAAGTATTTGAATAGGCATTTCAACAAAAATGGACAAAGGGCCAACAAGCACATAAAAGGATGCTTAACATCACCTATAATTATGAAAATGGAAATCAAAACCACAGTGAGATACAGCTTCACATGCACTAGGATGGCTTTAATAAAAAACAAAAGACAAAGCCCCCCAAACCTGGAAAATAACAAGTGTTGGTTAGGCTTTGGACAAAGCAGAACCTTTATCCATTGCCGATAGGAATGGAAAATGCTGCTGCTGCTGTACAGAACACCTTGATGGTTACTCAGTAAATTAAACATAGAATTGCCACATATTCCAGTAATTTCATTCCTGGGTATATACTGAAAAGAACTGAAAATGAGTGTTCAAACAAAAACTTATACACAAATGTGTACAGTAGCACTATTCACAGTAGTTAAAAGGTAGAAACAACTCAAATGTCCATCAATTGATGAATGGACACATTCATCCATACAATGGAATATTATTTAGCCATATAAGAGAATGAAGTACTGATGCATGCTATAACATGGATAAAATTTGAAAACATTTTGCTAAGTTTAAGAAGCCAGATACAAAATGTCACATATTGTATGATTCCATTTACGTAAAAAATATGCAGAATAAGCAAACAGATTTGCAGTTACCTGCAGCTGGATGAGGGGAGTGAGGAGTGACAACTTAATAAGTACAGTTTCCCTTTGGCATTTTTGGGGTTCCAAAATATTTTGGAAATATACAGTAGTGATGGTTGCATGGCACTCTGAATGTACTAAATGCCACTGAATCGTAGTCTTTAAAATGGTTAAAATGATAAGGTTTATATCATATCTATTTTACCACAATTTTTAAAAAGTTGACTTAGGTTGTCCTATAAATAAATTTAGTGATGATTATTCTTTATCTATTAATAAAATCTGATATTGACTAGACCTAAGTAGCTGGTAATTCACACTCAGTACACATTTATATAATATTAAATAAATCATTCTTAGATGTTGCAGATTGACCCCAAATGAAAATATCAATTTTGCGGTGGCTCACACCTGTAATCCCAGCACTTTGGGACGCCGAGGCGGGCGGATCACGAGGTCAGGAGATCGAGACCATCCTGGCTAACACGGTGAAACCCCGTCTCTACTAAAAATACAAAAAATTAGCCGGGCATGATGGCGGGTACCTGTAGTCCCATCTACTTGGGAGGCTGAAGCAGGAGAGTGGCGTGAACCTGGGAGGCAGATGTTACAGTGAGCCGAGATTGTGCCACTGCACTCCATCCTGAGCGACAGAGCAAGACTCCGTCTCAAAAAATATATATATATATCAATTTTGGAGGAAAGGCATTTAGGTTATAGTCATTTAATTATCTGGCTACCCACATATTTTTTCTTGATAAGGGATTGTCCCAAATAGTGGGATATAGTAAAGCACTCACCAGGATTTGTAATGGACTGAGAGAACAGGATCTACTAATAATATGTACAGCTATATATTAGATCTATCACAAATATATTAATTGCAATTCATCAAAAAGCAACAGAAGATGAATGAGAAGATTAGAGGATTTTGCCATCTGTCTGCCTGGGTAAAATCAGTTAGTATTTTTGTGTGAACTAAGAGGTTTGGACACAAGCTCCTTCTTAGTTTTCTAAACATATCTGGCAGCAGATATTACCTCTCCAATTTAAACTTTAACCTAGATTTTCTATCTCTAAAGTCTCATTATAGATAATGTAGAAATAACTTTTACAATTAGGTCCATGCCAGGAAATTGACAGGCAAAAGAAAGGTTAAACTGAATGCTTGTGCAATTTAACAGAGCACTTTTGTTATGTTGTATGTAATGTTGCAGGGGTGGTTAGGGGAAATAAATTTTTCAGTGTCTATGACAATAGTTAGCACACAGACATTTCAACAACTCAGAAGAAAATTTGAAATTAAGATTTGAGCTAGAGCAGTAGAAATAACATGAAAAACAGATTTGGGAAACATTTTGTAGTTAAAAATCAATGAGCTTACCTTTGTTTATAAAGATAAAATCCAAATCCTGCAAATATAAGTGCAAAAAAAGGCACAAGAATAGCAATGGCTACAGAACTACTATTTGTACCATGAGGTTGATTTGAAGAATTTGAACCTTCTGACATATTCAGTCCTACAAAATAAAAAATAAATTATAAATACACAACTCTTTTATCATAATTAATTTCTACTCCCATGAATCAATTAATTTCTTCTATTCTCAAGATATCTACCTGGAAATCACATAGTAAACAAAAATAATTCATGAAACTCCTTCAACTCATTTCACATATGTTTGCACAGTGCCTCTTAGAAGATATTTTTCCAGGAAAGGGTACAGACAAAAAAATAGGCAGAGCCCCGAACTAAGGAGTTTATACAATAGTGGGAAGACATATGGAGTATATAATAAGTGTGTATATCAAGCATGAATAAATGGTCAATGTGCTTTAGAAAGGAAAGGAGTAATTCTGGAGGATATACAACATAGGCTTGGCTTGAAAAATCATCATGAGGCTAGAAATGGGAAGGTAAGTGGCTTAGGTAGTGGATGTGACAAGCACTGACATGAAATAGGAGTGGGAGGTTAAAAGAATAAACTATGGCTAGACTCTAAAAGGGAATAAATATCATTCTGACGAACTCAAACTTTTTTTTTTCTTTTTCTTTTCTTTTTTTCTTTTTTCTTGAGACAGGGTCTCACTTTGTCACCCAGGCTGCAGTGCAGTGGAGTGGTCGTGGCTGACTGCAGCCTCCACCTCCCCGGCTCAAGCGATCTTCCTGCCTCAGCCTCCCAAGTAGCTGGGACTGCAGGCACATGCAACCACACCTGGCTAACTTTTGTATTTTTTGTGGAGACAGGGTTTCACCATGTTGCCCATGCTGGTCTTGAACTCCTGAACTCACGTGATCCACATGCCTAAGCTTCCCAAAATGCTGGGATTACAGGCATGAGTGATGGCACCCAGCCAGAGTTACTATCCACCTCAGTGAGGAACAACTGAAGGTGTTTAGAAATAAAAGACCCAGTGATATGACATGAGATTTAGAACATAGCGGTAGTAGGATGGACTTCAGGGAATACAGACTGGAATCAGGTGTAGTTAGAAGATTGTAGTGACAGCCGAGATTAAAAAAAAAAAAAAAGGAATTAAAATTTAAACTAGAGAAATAGGAAGTGCATGGGACAATAGATTTGAGGAAGATTTCATAATGAAAATTAGCAGAACTTGTTTATGTGGATGTAAGAGGCAAGAAGACACAGGATTACAAGTATTCTACTTGAAGCTCAGTAAATGCCGATGGCATTCGCAGAGTTAGGAAATAAGAAAAGCCAAGCTTGTCGACACATTTGCACAGGAATGAGGGAAAAAGAAATACCAGTTCTTTCTTAAAAGGAAATAGTTCCTTTTTTGTGGGTTCTGCTTCAGACTTGTAGTGTTTGAGACACTTTGGAGAATATTACATGAAAATATTCAGCACTAAATTATACAACTGTGTAAATGCACTATGTTAATGAGTGTTTTTACCTGTTTTTAAGACAAACACAGGTAGGATGTGATGTAAATGGCATCTTATTACTTTTCATGTAGAGAAAGCTAATTTCTCTTTTTGACAAACAGTTACATTTAACTAAACCTCATCTTTGTCCAGGTTAAAGAAAATTAGTATCTTATTTTTTACCTTATTTTTCCTGTGACTTAGTACTGCTATGTAAAAGTTCAAAATTTTTTAAAAAGTTCATTTTTGGCTGGGCATGGTGGCTCACACCTGTAATCCCAGCACTTGGGGAGGCCAAGGCGGGCGGATCACCTGAGGTCAGGAGTTTGGGACCCACCTGGCCAACATGGTGAAGCCCTGTCTCTACTAGAAATACATAGCCAGGCATGGTAGCTAATTCCAGCTACCATGGTAGTGTGCATGGTGGTCTGTAATCCCAGCTACTCGGGAGGCTGAGACAGGAGAATCCCTTGAACCTGGGAGGAGGAGTTTGCAGTGAGCCAAGACTGTGCCATTGCACTCCAGCCTGGGTGACAAGAGCATGACTCTGTCTCAAAAAAGAAAAAAAAAAAGTTCATTTCTTAAAAGATAAATGTCAAATAATAATTTTTAGAGCCTGAATTTATTCTTTGTGTATCCCTGTCACAGTATAATAATGGGAGACAGTGGATCATAGGAGAATTATACACCAAAAGCTATGTGTATAAACACATTCTTGCCAGACCATTAAAGGTTTATATACATATAGAAGAGTTGGAAATAAAAATGACAAAATTCTTTGCTTCCCACTGCAGAAAATTTACATATTTGAAGAGAACCAAGTCCCCAAAAGGGGCCCATTCCTCAAAGTTATTTTCTCTTTCCAGACTCTGTGAGTTTCTCAGAGTGTCACTACATTTTCAGAAGAATGAAAACTGCGACAATATTCAAACTGAAGAAAAGTAGTACAGTTCTCATGAGATACAATAAACTAATTTACAGTTTAATATTTTCTTTTTTATCTATATCACTTTTTCTCCTTTTTATGTGCTTAAAGGCAAGCCAGTTTGTCATATTTATTAGAAATACCATGAAAATCTAAACACTGTACAGAGTTGGTACATAAAGATCCAGTATTTTGAAGAATGTGATTATTTAAAAGGGCTATCAAAGGTATCAATGCATAGTTCTGGCAGTACAGAATTTATAATGCAGTAAGTGTACCTAATGTACAGAATCCACAGTCTTTTTTTTATGATGTCTGGGATAATAACAGAAGTTCGTGAAAATCAAAATGAATACATTACCCAGTCTTTGTAGGCCAAATTGTCCATAATCTTTGCCTTGAATAAATCCTTGAAATACATAAGTAGCTCCATCAGGCTCAGCAGAAACCTAAAAATATTTAAACAGCCAAATATACTTGAATACTGGCCATAGCTATATTTTCCCAGCCTTAATAAATACACAATTTTATTCTGAAAGAAATATTATCACAAGTTCCTTTCTTCTATATTTTTCTCCTTTGCAAAATATAGCACATTGTGAAAATTTTCCATCATTAAAAGCAAAAGTAAATTTTCTAATTTGAAATAATTATGATATACAAAACAGAGATTGGTTATTAATGTATGATATAGACATCTGCTGTCAATAAAAAGCAATGACATGAGGAAATACAGTGATCAATTAAAAATTAAAACATAAAAATACTGTACTTAGTAAATTCTATTACTGTTCCACATCCCCACTCTCCCAACCTTCATGAGAAGAGTTTACTCCCTATCTCATTTAGTTGGGCTTGGTCCTGTGACTTGCTTGGGCCTATGGAGTGTGGGGATTGGGATTGACAATAGTTAAGTTGCAAGCCTAGGCCTTAAGAGCCATACTTCCCATCACACCAAGTGGAAGAAGCCAGCCACAAAAGGCCACATACTATATGATTCCATTCATATGAAAGTCAGAACAGGGAAATCTATACAGACAGAAAATAGGTTAGTGGTTACTCAGAGCTGATTTGAGAATGTAAGGCAGGGGTTGATAGCTAAAGGCTGTGGAGTTTCTTTACAACATGAAGAAAGTATTGTAGTCTAGGTGAGGTGGCTCACGCCTGTAATTCCAACACTTTGGAAGGCCAAGGAGGGCAAATCACTTGAGGTCAGGAATATGAGACCAGCCTAGCCAACATGGTAAAACCCCCGTCTCTACTAAAATTACAAAAATTAGCCAGGGGTGGTGGCATGTAGCTGTAATCCCAGCTATTCAGGAGGCTGAGGCAGGAGAATCGCTTGAACCTGGGAGGTAGAGGTTGTAGTGAGCTGAGATCATGCCACTGCACTCCAGCCTGGGCAACAGAGTGAGACTCTGCTCAAAAAAAATGAAAGTATTTTATAATCAGCTATGATGAGGGTTACATATATGTGCACATATATTAAAAACCACTGAATTGGACATTTTTAAATGGGTGAATTGTAGGATACGTGACTTGTATCTACATTGAGCTGCAAGAAAAAGGCATAGGTCAATGGATTTGAGCTTATTTGAGAATCACAGCTTATTTCAGAACCACTTGCCCCTCTGAGAGTTTTGGACTTCTGACAAGAGAAGTACATGCTCTAGGCAGCAAGTGCCCTTTCAGACTCTGCCCCAAAATGAGATGATGAGACATGAAGACCTGGACTTAATACCACAGCCTCAAGTAGTGCCTCCACAGCTAACCCATTACAAATGAGAAATAACTAAATACTTATTATTGTTTGACCCAGAGGCTTCATGGCTATGTCTAATGTTGCCAATGCTAAATACTACATGCACCTTACATTTGTATACAATATTATATTTAAAAAATACTTTATATGCATAATGTAATTTGATCTTATAAGTAAAATAGGAAATGTTACATTTCAGCAATTCCTACTACTAAGTAGTAAAGTGATATATCCTGAAGTTTGTGTTAATTAATGGCAATTAGTTACCTAAGTCATGAACATTATCATAAAAGTTGTAAGAATCTTGAGTCCTCACTCTAAAAAGCAAAGGATACCAAACCACCCATGCAAGTCTGACATTTCACAACAACTGATTTATTCTTTATTATCAGACATTATACTCTGGGTATGGCCACCCTAAAAAATAAAGTACTTCTAAGAAGAAGCTCAAACTCCATCATTTTAATGAATCAATTCACTTTGTTTCCTACATAAAATAATACAATTAAACAATCTGAGTGCATTGAAGATTTGACTCAGTTCCCAACTCCATGAATACAGAATGCAGAAATAGGATAAACACTTTTTTTCCTCAGGAACCAAACTTATTGAAGCCTACTAGATGGTAGGCTTCTTGAACTTATTGAAGGCTTATTGAAACTTATCGAAGGCTACTACATAGCAGCCTATGATCCACTACAGTATCTTCTTTCCCATTAAGTTTTCCTTATGAAAAAAAGGCTTGGTACTTGAGAGGATACAGTCAGATCTCTCATGCTGACTCTTCAGCAAAGACTCCTGGCCCTTGTGTTTTCCACTGTCAGTCTTAACACTCCACTCACATAAATCACTTAATAGGAGTGACTCCATGGTGAAGCTACAGTAACTATCTCCCCATAGGAAGCAGCTCACATAAGTTCCTTTTCATGGACTTTATATATAAAATAGTCTAAATTCATGCTTCAATATAATGGGAGTATTTAATTTTCTGATGTACTTTGTAAATATGTTGCATATTCCTTAAGTAGTAGTGGTTCCAAAGATTGAATTATATTTTATCCAGATTTATTTATCATAGTGCTGATTGTAGATGGAATATATTTGATGAAATCAGTGAAAAACTAAATGCAGATCAGCACACACACACACACATACACACACCCACATCCACCCATACCCTCCCCCACACACACGTACACCCCACCACCACACACACACACACACGACAAAAGTAAGCAAAACACATCAGAATCCAGTATTCCTAGGCTTGTACTTTAGAATACTAAATATTTATATTTACTAATATATATGTATGTGTATGTATTCATAATTAGCTAAATTTAGAAAACTCTCCTTTCCTGGACAAGCTACAAATTTATCATTAAAATCAGCAGCAGATGTTAAAATAACTATACTTACAAAGCCATCCATTGCCCAATTTTCTTCCTTCATTTTCTTCACAGAAGCATGAGCAGGTACTTTAATAAGATATATGCGTAACATTAGGCGAGCTTCCTGGCTTTTATATACCCCTGTAAAATGCAAGGACATTTTAGTCTACTTAACTTTGTAAATAGTTATACTTCATTTTATTATCTATCATTCCTTAAATAGATTATGTAAGATATGTAATTAAAAAAAGAAATAAAACAAGGGCAAGTCAAGGATGGCTTAACCTATAATGCTCTTTGCAAATCCTGTAATATACATTGATTTATCTGTCTTCTGAAATCCTCAACTTATTTCTTAGTTGTGGGGTTTAAATTACCTATGCTATCACAATTAAGCACTAGTGTTCTTAATAACATCATTCCATGATATTGAAAACAAAATGATTTCTTCCCACAATCAGATTCTAAAATTTTCAAGCATACAAATCCAGTGTTAAAATTCCTGATATTTTCCTTAATAACAAATTAGTTGCCAACTCAGTGAAAAACAGTATTCTAGGTGCTGCTTGAGCCACAAAGATGAATATATATTGTTCCTGTTTTTAATAATTTCCAACAAAGTAGGAGGTATAAGTAAGGTACACAGCTAAATCAAACACATGAGAGAATGTGATAAATTAAAAGCCAGAGAGAGATCATTTCACACTAGAATGATCAAGGAATAGTTATCAAGGAAAAGCACTGGAGGGCCAAGCATGGTGGCTCATACCTGTAATCCCAGCACTTTGGGAAGCCAAGGCGGACAGATGGTCTGAATCCAAAAGTATGAGTTTAGGAGTTCCAGACCAGCCTAAGCAACATGGCAAAACCCCATCTTTACAAAAAATACTTTAAAAAATTAGCCAGCCATGGTGGCACGCACCTGTAGTCCCAGCTGCTCAGGAGGCTGAGGTGGGAGGATGGCTTGAGCCCAGGAGCCGGAGGTTGCAGTGAGCCGAGATGGCACCACTGCACTCCAGACTGGGTGACAGAGCAAGACTCTGCCTCAAAAAAAACAAAAAACAAAAAACAAAAACAAAACAACAACAACAACAACAAAAAACAGCATTTGAACTGGTTCTTAAAAATAAAGTAGAATTTTTAGTTTGGGAAGGTAAATACAAGCAATGACATAAGGAAGAGAAGCAAAAATATATACAATGATTTTTACATGGTAAGTGTTCTAAGGGTAGCTGTAAGCTGGAGGGAAAAAATTGTTTAGGGAAATAACAGAAAATAGGATCTAAGAAAAAATCTGATTAACTGTTGTTTAAAACTTGACTGTATTCATTCATTCTAACTTAATTGTTCACCTATGTAATAGGGCACCATAATATGCAGGAAATGAAAAGATAATGAGACATAGGTGCTAAGGTAAATTATAATCAATAGGAGGAAGATATAAAAGTAATCGATAATATTGCTGAAAAATTGCTACAATTGGTTTATATGGAGACAGTAAGTGAAAGCGAATTAATCTAATTCTTTGTCTTTCCATATATATAGAAAACTCTTGAGTTTATCTAGATTAGAATAAGTATACATTTATTTTGGGCTCTTTTATAGAAAATAAAGAAAAACTTTGTTAACACATCAAAGTTAAATAAAGCATTAGTCACAATTTAAATGTATTTGTCTCATTCATTTAAAGTTTCTTTCGATTAATATAAGGTAATTATATGTATTTTTAAAATTATACTACATATTAACTTCTAATATTTTTACTTTGTGTTTAACGGAGGATCATTCAATAATAAGAATGACACTCAAAATTCATTCTAAAATTTATAAAATCAATGAATATAATTTTATTTTCAATTTTTTACAGCACAAATTATTTCATTATTAATATTTATATGGGTTATATCTATACAGACAAGAATTTTACAGTTTATATTTCATATTTGCAATATCAAATATCATAGTGTCTCATTTTAAAAAATGAGAGCAATTATAATTCAAATGCATTAATTTGAAAATATTTATTGAGGCCTATTTTGTTTCAGATGTTCTGCTAGCCTCTGGGAATACAATATTAAGTTGGAAGGCAAAGAGCTTTCTTAGAATTTATTTTATATTGTTAGAATATAGACACATAATGAATAATAAATATAACAAATATAATTTCAAATATTGTAAAGAAAAAAACAGGGTAAGGCTGCCTAAAACTAAGAATATGTCTGACAGCATTTGTAATACAAAGTTTCCTTTAGGTCAGGTCATTGGGAGTATTGCTTGAGGAGGTGACTTGTGAGAGAATATCTGAGTGTTAGGAAAACCAGTGCAATCAAAGATAATGAGAGATGTGTGTACTGGACACAGAAAACAGAAACTTAAGAAGATTGACCAGGTTTTGGTTCCCTTATGCCTATTTAAACAAGTGTAGCTCTATCTTTATTTGTCTTAAATATTGGATGTCCATCTATAAACATGGTCATTTGAAGAAATAGCTTTGTGGCCACAGAATAGTTGAGAAATCAATGATTTGGTCTCCGTGGTTTTATGAGAATAGAGAAAGATTTAGTTGTATTCATACCTAAATTAAATGTTATGATCTAATATATGACATCTAATTCTAGCTACCAAAAATTATTTAAATAACTTATTTTAAAACTAGTTTTATATTTCTGTAGTAATATTCATTCATCAATCCAAAAACCAGAAAACCTTGGTTCTGAGTGAATATGAATGTCATCAAAAGCAAATGTATCAAAATAAACATTTCACCATATAAAAAGCATTACTAAAAATGATGAAATCATAATAGAAATAAAGTCATGAAGGTATATTTCGCTGCTGTTTTTATTGCGATACCTGAAAGTAGCAGCTCCATGTTGCTATTGCTCAGTGTTGCGTTAACTCTCCCAGTGGAAGCATTGAAACTAGTAACTGTTAAGGTCATGGGTTGTTTCCTTCCTTTGAAATTGTAAGAGCCTTTCCATATATAATTTTGGGCAAATACATCATCAGGAACTGTGAATAGATTAAATATACCACACATTAATTTTACAATGCCATATAAATATAAGCATTAAATAGAGTATTAGTTTATTGAATAATGATGTATTGCTAATACACAATAATGTTGAATGTGTGTTACAAAATTAATTCTTCATATAAAAATGTTTCCATTTTTTAGAATAAATCCACATTGTAATAATCTAGATTTGTTCATATGTTATCGAGAAGAGAGAAATAGAAAACACCAGTTAAAGATATTAGGTTTATTTTTAGAACCCAGGTAAATATAAACTTCACTTATCTTTGGTCTTTTATGCAATATATTTCTTTCTGAAGGAAAATAAAATGATTTCACAGCACCATGGCAGTAAAACTATACCCAAGTCCCAAGAGGCCTGCTTTTTTTCCAGCAGTGGGAATAGATTTTTAAGAGGAATAGCAAAGAGAAAGGTCCTGCAAAATTATCATGAGACAGTGCTTCTGTGTTCCCCCTTACAGAATACTGAGTTTAGTTCTTCTAATAACAGGTGCTCCTGAAGAAGAACAGGGCTGCACCATATTGATAGCTTTGAGGTATACAGGTATTTTTAGAAATTGTCACTAGTATTGTTGGACTCTCAAGGATGAGAGATGAATTGTGGTAGAATCAAAGAACATTCTAAAGCTTATAAAATTTTCATCTAAAGAAAAAACACTATTTTAGATACTAGCCAAAAAGACTTATTGTATTTATATAAATTATTTATGTAATTTAAAGTTATATAAATTGGTTATGTCAAAGTCTACACAGCTCCTGGGCAGCAGCTGAGAGAAGCTGAGGTATAGGATTAATCCTATACCTCACAGCACAGCACATCCCTAGAAATCAGCTATTCAAGGTACCCAACCCTCTTTGGATGAATGACTGAATGAAGTGGATTTAGGAAAAAGTCCTTTTTTTTAATTTGTCTAACAAGTTATTGATGATTTTTCATCTGATATATGCATGTATCACACTTCTTACCAGTCAGATCACAGGGATTGCCATGACAAGCTGTGTATTCCCTGAATTCTATTAAACCAAGAAAGCAAAACCACTGTGGCAGATCAGCATAAAAATACCCTAAGAGTTGAGTTTTTACTGAATATTTCAGTAACAACTAAAATTTCTATTTCCATGATAATTTATAAGCAATATAGCTCCTTACTTTGATACCACTGCCAACTTCCATTCTTATCACTTTGGAGTAATGTAATCACTGTGTCTCATTCATGATTTTAAATGAAATACTGCTGAATGTTTTCTCATATAACATGCTATTTGCCATATAATTTTTATAAATAATTTTACTAAAATTTAGAGTTTGTTAAGAATTTTTAAAAATTATAAATTTTTAAATTTATAATTTAAAAATTATAAGTGTTGAATTTGATCAAATACTTTCTTTGCAAATATTGCAATTATCATAATTTTTTGCACTTTAATCTCTTAATGTGATACATTACTTTTAAGGATTATTTAAAACTAAAACATCCCTGCATAGCTATGAAGAATCCAGATTGGTTCTGATGGGTGTTAAAGCAAACTAAATATGGCCTGAGAAGGACTCCATAGTTCTATATTTGAGTCCTTGTAATGAACTTCAATCTAACTTAATAGGTAGACAAGATTGAAAACCTAATTCAGGAGTATGCACCTGTAACAATAGCTGAGCCTTGGCCAATCCCAGCAGCTGTACTTCTACTACTCGTACACTGCTGAGTGTTCAAAATGTGTTCAAATAAGGCAAACACAGAACTGTAACCAATCTAGTTGTTTCTGTCTCTCCCTTCTGATTTCTGTACGTCACTTCCCTTTCTTTGTGTATAAATTTGTTCTGACCATGAGGCATCCCTGGAGTCTCTCTGAATCTGCTGTGATTCTGGGGTCTGCTTGATTCACAAATTGTTCATTGTTCAATTAAACTCCTTTAAATTTAATTCAGCTAAACTTTTCCTTTTCGCATGGGTTATCTTTACTACAATGTTGAATTTGATTTGCTAAGATTTTATGTAAGATTTTCTCATTTATAATCCTGAGTCAAATGGGCCTGAAATTTTTCTCCCTTTATAATATCTTTATCCGAGTTATTAGAGCTATGTTGAGCCTAGAGAATGAATTTTATTGTCCAGAAGAGTTTTTATAAAACTTGAAAGATCCATTCTGTTCCTTTAAAATGTGGTGGAACTTACCAGTAGGGCCACATAGACCTCATTTTCTTTGTGGAAATAATTTTAACCAGTTCTTTATTTGCTATAAAATTATTCACATTTTCTTTTATTAGTTCTAGTAAGATGTAGTGTTCTAGTAATTTGTCTGCTCTGTGTAAATGTTTTTAAATGTTGATAATTATTGATAGTTTTCCCTTAACATATTTTGAATTTCATTAATCTACTCTCTATGTAGTTATGCTCACATTTTCTTTGTTATCTTATTTTTACCAGAAATTTTTCTACTTTGTTTCTGAAAAGAACGACATTTGGTTCTGTTGAGATTCTTCTACTGTTTTGGGCGGTTGCCTGTTTTTATTATTACATTGATTTCTGCCCTGCTACTCTGTTACAGTCTTAATATTCTCTTAATAGGGACACAACTAATTAATTCTGAGGCTTTTCTTTTCAATAATGTAAGGATTTAAGGCTACAAATTTCCCTCTTAACTTTCCTTTTCTTATAGCCCTCAAGCTTTGATATTTCAATTTTTCAAAATAACTACATTCTAATATATTTCTGTGTTGATGTCTTCTTTAATTCATGAGTTATTTATTATTACTAATTTTGCTCTGAATTTCCAAACATACAGGAATGTTTTAAATTACATATTTCCTCATTGAACTTTAATCACATCCTAGTCAGATATGAGCTATGAAGACTAACTTTGCGTTTTAAAATTTGTTTAATTTAATTTATTATTTAATATATGAGCAATTTTTTTACAGATTTGATGTGCTGGAGCTATTATTCAGAGTTTCCACCTGGTCCCAAATCAAGCATTTCCCTTGGAAAATTTGGGGCATTGATGGACAATTATGGTTTTCTGACTCCATTGCAAACAAACTCTGCCTTACTTTTATGTATTCTTTGATTGCCTCAATGGCATTCAGCATGTTTTCGACAAGTGTTGAATGTATCAGTATAAGTCACAGAGCTTGGTGGTCCCTCCACTTTTATAGCATGTACATGGAGCACTTCTAAACCTCACTAAAATTAGATCCTAATGTAGTTCTTGGCCCAATACAACTGAGAGAAATCTGTTTCCAAGGTGAAGATCAGATATTATGCTCTTATTGGCAGCTTTTAAATAGTATCACATAAACAAAATACTAATACTGAATAAGCATGATATGGTTTGGCTCTGTGTCCCCACCCAAATCTCAACTTGAATTGTACTCCCATAATTCCCACATGTTGTAGGAGGAATCTGGTGGGAGATAATTGAATCATGGATACTGTTCTCTTGGTAGTAAATAAGTCTCACAAGATCTGGTGGTTTTATCAGGGGCTTCTGCTTTTGCATCTTCCTCATTATCTCTTTGCCCGCTCGCATCCATGTAAGACAGGACTTGCTCCTACTTGTCTTCCTCCATGATAGTGAGGCTTCCCCAGCCATGTGGAACTGTAAGTCCACTTAAACCTCTTTCTTTTTAAATTGCCTAGTCTTGGGTATATCTTTATCAGGAGTGTGAAAACGAACTAATACAAAGCAATTCATATATTGAGCCCTTACTATGGGCTACGCACTCTGCACTTCATTTGCATGAAGCTTATTATATAATTATTTAATTATTATTTCTTTTGGATAGAAAAAGATATGGAGATTCAGATATATAAAATAATTTTTCCAAGGTCACAAGTCAGAGAGTATATAAAATGAGATACATCAAGGTTGTAGGGCTTTAAAGTTTATGTTTTTATTGATTGTGCTAGGTTTTCTAATTTGCTTTTTAAATCAAATAACTGAAAATAAACTAGTCAATTTCTAGAAGTTACCGATCTTTATTCTCATACCAAGTGTATTTGGATCCTTTTAAAAACATATACATTTAAAAATGTTAAATAAGACCTCATTTTTATTTTAATATTTTAAATGACAGTATTGCCATTATGCTATAGTCATTTACAGATACTCTTCAAGGGAAATTTTAATATTTTTAGCAGACGGAACTATGAACAATACTTTTGGAATACTAACATGTCACTGTATTACATTGCTTTAAATTCAACATCTTGTGAATTATCAAATTCAAGACAGTCATAGTTTTTTATACTTAAATATATTTTTTAAATACACAGTTACTATGCCAAGAAAATAGTAGACCATTTTTAGAAATAATGAACTCTAGAAAAACAAATGACATTACTAACCACTTAGCTTTGGGCTGGGTGTTCCCAGTGCAGGTCTAGGATCTTTCACCAATATTTTAGAACCAGCTATGAAAAGAAATAAAGGTGTTTACAAAAGTTGATGCAATTAATTACATACACATGCGCACACACACACACGCACACACACACACAGTGTGATGCACTGTCCATTTTATTCTCTGACATTTCACATAGATAGTTTTCTCTAAAATGTTCCGTTCATCACAACATCTCAGTCCCCTACTCAGCACTCGTTATGCAACTAATGATTTCAATAATTATTCCCATTACAGTCTATTGGCACAAGGGGCAGATTTGTGTTGCTTTATCATCTTGGGATGTCATTTCTTATTTTAGAGGCATAAGCCAAAGTGGAGACAGTTGCCTCCAACATGGAAGCTGAGAGCTGAGAGTTGTTTTTGTTGACAGAAAGCAAAAACTATTTGGGTAGGGTTTACATTTAAAAATCAAAGTTTGTTGAGATAATTAAAGATGTCACCAGAAATTGGATAGACTTAAAGGTGAAATCTTCCAGGTTTTAAACCAAAACCAAAGGTAGTCCAAAACCAAATAAATCATGTAGGATGTAGAAGTGACTGGAATATTATAGGAGCTATGACATGAATGCCTTGTAAACTATGTATCCTAAGAACAATGTAATGTCTTAAAAGACTGTAAAGGGATGTGATTTCGGCAAATGTTGCTCTGGCTGCAAAACCAAGAAAACTTTGGAAAGCAGCAAGTACGGATATGGCTAGAGAAGTTGAGAGACACTGCAGTAGTCCCAGTAGAGATAATACTGAGTTAGAGTATGATAGCAGTGACAATAAACCAAAAAGGGGAACAGACGAAAAAGCTATTGAAATTGTGGTGACTTGGAGGGATAGGAAAATATCTAAGGAGATTACTAGATCTCATGTGTAACTATAGGATGGTAATATCACTGAGATAGGGAATACCAAAGGGAAACTATATAGATAAAAGAAATGTATGAGTTTAGTTTTGCATGTATTGAGTACTGAAATGCCACTGAAGAATTTCACTAGAGATATCAAGCAAACAATTGAATATGTAAGTGTGAAGCTAAAATAAGATAAATAAGCCAGAAATATTAGTTTGTAAGTAATCTACATAAGGACAGCTGTTGAAGCCACTGGTTTGAATGACATCACCTAAAAGTGAATACGAGATGAAAACAAGAGATGGCTAAGTACTGCATCTTTAGAAAATCATAAGTAGAAAACAATCAGTGTATAAAGGAAATGGAGAATGGATACTTAGAATTAGGAGGGAGTAAAACATTTACTCATTCAACAAATATTTATTGAATGCTTTTCACATGTAAGGTACTGATTTGTGTTAAAATTACAGTTGTAAACACTTTGAGTGAAGTCTCTCATGAGATTATATTCTAGTTGAAGAGGGGTAGATAGGAGGACAGGAGAGTGGAAGCAGATAATTACAAGCAAACAAACCAAAGAATAAGATCTTCTCATACTACAGCGATTTCAATCATAAAAAAAAAATAGAAAGAAAAATAGCAGAGGAATGTTCTGATAAAGAAAATGAAAACATTTCAAGTAAAAGAAAGTAATTGTCATTTATGACAGCTGCATTAGATAAAACATTAGGTCTTACAAATAGGTTTTTTGGATATAAGGAAATGGATTTTGTTGATGACCTTACCAAAAACACTAGAAAAAGTTCCTTTACTCCTTCTTCTGGCATTATAACCCTTTTCCAAATGGAAATTGTCCTGACCGAGCAGCAATCGGTGGACACTTCACCCAGATCTGGTCCAAATATTAATACCATATCACCCTGGCTGAGTAATGGATTTGGAGATGGGATCCATTCAAAATTGTGGCAAATAGAATCCCAGATAGTGCTTTCCTGACCAAAACTTTGGGAAGGACTCTTTCTACTAGGGTTACTCTGGCAGAGTAATCTAGGCATTAGGGTAGCAATTCTCCGTACTCTAATGAATAGTGTACCCACATAATTTATGTTCACCTGGTACCTCTATGACCTTATTTGGAAAGAAGGTCTTTGCAAATGTAATTAACTAGAGATCTTGGGATAAAACAATCCTGATTTTAGGCTGAACCCCAAATACAAGGACTGGTATCCTCATAAGAAGAGGAGAGGCCACACAAAGATACACAGAAAAGAAGGCCATATTGAAATGGGGTAGAAATTGGAGTAAGGCTAGGAGCCAATGAATACCCAGGGTTGTCAGAAGCTATGAGAAGATAGGAAGAGGCAAAGAATGGTTTCTGCTTAGAGCTTACAGAGGGCACAAGGTCCTGCTGACACCTTAATTTTGGACTTCTGGACTTCAGAATTGTGAAGGAATAAATTCCTATTATGTTAAGCCGCCCAGCCTATGGTACTTTGTTATAAAAGCCCTAGAAAAATAATATACCTACCTGAAGAGAGAATTTGAAGATAGAATTAAGGCAAGAAGTAACATTCTCATGGGAAAAAAGCTATGAATAGACTCATAAAATTTATATGCCTCTGGATCCAGAAGTGTTTACATTACTCCTAGACTTGGAGTTAGCCAACAAATTTCCCTTGTTCCTATGCTAATTTGAGTTGAGTTTTTGTCTGGAGCAAAGGAAAGCAATAGTGCAATCTCTTGTGTTAAAAAGATTCTATAGAGAAAACTTACCTTCACAAATGGGAACTTTTCCAGTCCAGGTGTTATCGGATCTACACACTCTATGTTCTGTTCCACCTGCTAAGAAGAAGCCAGGCTGACAGGTATAAATCAGTGTATACCCATGAGATGGAAGGTCCATCCCTACGACATTTGCATGAGCAGGAGTTTCTGGCTGTTTACAGCTGTGGGCTATATTAAGAAAAGAGAACAATGTAAATTTTCTATAGATATGTTAAGAAAAATTTGAGACAGGAGTCACAATATATTTCAGATATACTTCAATGCCTTTATATACATATATCTTAGAATAATTATTCTAATAAATCACAAAAATGTTTCAATGCAAATATACTTATTGATTTCATACTTTAGCATTTCCTAATCCACCATTTGTGGAACACTAGTAGATGTTAATAGATGTTAAATAAATTGAGAAAAAAAAAGACATTGTCAACAACTAAGCTCAGAAATGTATGCTTTACCATTTTAGAGAGTCACACATTCCAGAGAGTCACAAAAACCAGCATTTTAAAGGATCTGTGAAGTTCTGTGGTAAGATACCTTTTAATGTTTGTCAAGCTCAGGTTTTCTATATGAGTTTAGAAAATATTATTTTATAAATTTTAAATGTATTATATTTATTTTAAATTAAAAATCTATTTTCTATTGTTAAATAAAACCACAGCTAATTATATTGCTCTGGTATTAATACTTCCCAATAAAAGTACATTTTAATAATTTTTTTACATATGGAATTTTCAGGCCATATTTGGATCCATATGCTAGAAGTATCATTTTGTTCACCTAACTCTCTCTCCTTTTCTCCATGTTTCCTTCCACTCCTAATTCTCTACCTTGATTACACCATATCTTCCCCTTATTTCATCGGTTTTATGTCTTATAAAGACCATTCCTTTCTCCGTCAGAGATAAATGCTACAAGAAATTTTTCCCCTGAAACAGATAGCATTTTTTAATTATTTGTTCATAGATATACATCCATAAAAGTGATCTCTGAAAAAAGTGTTCTGTGGATAAATAAAAAAAAACAATATTTTTCATTTGTTTCTTAATGGAGGTCCATAACAGTATAAATAATAGCTAACATTTTTTTACTCCGTGTGCTAAACATTGTGTTAAATGGTTTTTTGTTTTTGATTTTGTTGTTTTTGAGATAAGAGTTTCACTCCGCTGCCCAGGCTGGAGCACAGTGTCATAATCTCAGTTCACTGCAGCCTCCACCTCCGGGGTTCAAGCGATTCTCCTGCCTCAGACTCCTGAGGAGCTGGGACTACAGGCACCTGCCACCACACCCAGCTAATTTTTTATATTTTTAATAGAGATGGGTTTCGCCATGGTGACCAGGCTGGTCTCGAACTCCTGACCTCAAGTGATCTGCCCACCTCGGCCTCCCAAAGTGCTAGGATTATAGGCGTGAGCCACCGTGCCTGGCCTAAATGGTTTATATTTAATATATTGCAGTTAGTGAAATGTAATCCTCATGCAGTAAGTATTGATAAGGAAAACTACAGTCTGTCTCTACTGCCATCTTAAGCCCTATGTTATGGACACATTAGAAACTTTGAGATGCTTCACAGTGACAGACGCTGTTTAACTTTATTTAAACTATCATATCCCAACTAGAGGACATCAAAGAACAATGGTTTACTGTGAAATACCTAGTTACAGCCCGCACAGCTGTTTTAAAGTACACATTCTGAGGAATTCTCCTTTAAGGAATTTTCCATATTTAAATATAAGCCAACAAGGCACATAACATGGCATCTCTGTGGAGTGTTCTCCTGCTTTAAAGTAAGCTGCTGGTCCCTAGGTGCCCCCACAATCATTTGGATGGTTCTGAACAGGGATAGAGTAAATTCACAGGGCTTGTGTATGCTTCAGCAAATCCTAAAAGCTAGATACCATCCTAATAAGTGTTTCCACTCCAGCTTACTTTTTTCCATTTTTCACCAAGAAACACAATTGAAAAGATAAGGGAAGAGATTTTTTTAAAAGGCAACTGGAGAGAAAGAAAAGCCAAATAGCTGACCAGCTAGAATTCATTTCTAATTGTATGTCAGAAAAAGTTATTTAGTGGCCCCAGGCTTTGTTCTTATTTAATCTGTATAGCAAGTGCTCTCCACTGAGGATCAGAGAACATATAAAGGAAATTCTAAAATTGTTCTCAAATTTTTGGCCAAGTGCCCATGAATATTTCCTTTCATAGATGTTGTTAGTTTCCCCAGATTCTCAGATAATATTTTCACAAGCGATTTTTAAAAATTAGAAGCTGTTAGATTGGTTCCTCGGGTATTTTAGATTACTTCAGACTGATAGATGCAGATCTATAAACTAAAACCTAATCATTACCTAAAATTACCAGGTGGCAAAACTAAACATAAGGTCTTTACAAAAAGAACAAAATTGTGCCTTGTGCTTTCTGACTTACTTAGAGAGTGCTTCCCAATGGCCATGGGTTTATGATACAGTAATAAAATTATATGCATATAATATGTTTTATAATCTAAAAGTCAATTTGATACACATATAGATGTAAATGTATTTGAATACTTGGGAGAAAAAATGCATATAAATTCTTACCCATGATAGCATTATTTCTTATCCATAATACTTACGTATGCATTCAGGCTGAATCCCACTCCACGTAAGATCAGGGAGGCAGGTGCGTGTTGTAGACCCTTGGAGAAGGTGTCCTTTTTTGCAATGGAACTGTACAACACTTCCTACCTATAGCAAATTAAAGAGAGGAAAAAAATATTCCCCTACAACTTCAAATATGGCAACAAACAGAGCTTGAGTGAGAAAATGTTATCAAGTGAAATTCCGTATGGTAAAGTTGGAAGAAAAAAATAATTGAAATCTGATTTAAAATAAAATGGGAAAAATTCAAAACTAAAAAATAAAATCCTGGCTTTATTTGTTTACATATCATCATCAAATAGTTGGGTCCTTAGTACATACATAGAAACCAAGCTTTTTTGCCATGGGAATTTGAAGAAAATATTTAAGACACCAAAAAATCCAACAAGCTACATATGAATACAAGATAGAGAGATAGATAGTTAGATAAAGATAAATAAATGAAGCTTGATAAAAATATATATGGAAATAAATATAGCTAACCACATAAGAAACAAATAAATATTGAAGGTGAAAAATGCAATATGAGATTAGAGACAAAGGTGGTTACTGAAGGTGGTGGTGATAACGGAAATATACAATGGAAGATATACTGTTTGTACTAGCTTTTAAGGGTATAGTAATTAGGAGAATATCTAGGACAATGGCTTTCAAAGTGTAGTCTCTAGGCCAGTAATATCAATGTCTCCTAGGAATTTGTTAAAAATGTCAGTTCTGAGGCCTTACCCCAGACACACTGAATCAGAAACTGTTAGGTTAGAAAAACCAATAATCTGTTTTAACAAGCCCTTTGGGTGGTGGTAATAAACACTAAAGTTTGCAAAAGACTTACAGAAAAATGGAAAAGATAATAACATGATGAGAAATGTATGTTGGTTACAATATATATCATTTGCTTTAGGGGAAAACAGTATATTAGATTGATTGGCATTTATTGTTTACAAAGTGAGCAGGGTAGGTAGAGGTTTGGGATAAGTGGGAAGCAGGGGTATATAGTAAACAAGAAAACAAATCACCAGAGTAATGTACATGTAGTTTTAATTCTGGATCTCACTTTACTTGAATAAGTCATATCTCCTATCTCCTCTTTGAGACCTAATTTATCATTTATAAATAATGATGATAATATTATTTGTATTGAAATCTGTTTTAAGGATTAAATGAAATAGAATTTATACTCCACTCCACCCCAGGATGACACTCAAGTTTTAAATAAATTATAGGCATGATGACTAAATTGGAGACATAAGTAAGAATTAGTTTCCGAAGGGTCTCAAATGGCAGGATATGGTATTTAGAAGAATAGTAGTAATTCTAATTATGAGGCTGGCACTGCCATTTTACATTTGAGTGGATAAAAACTGTACTAACTTGTGGCAGTAAGCCTGGGGAAAAAAGTCATTTCCTCAAAACAATCACAAGAAAAAAATCAACAAGATTTATTGGATGATTAGAGGTGGAGGATGAGATAAGGGATATTTAGGGTCTGCCACTTTGTACTTCTCCAGCAATTGCAGTCTGAGAAGGCTCAATCACAGTTTTAGGACTTATCACTCAGATCCTTTTTTCTGCCTTCCCCTTAATTCCTACCCCCTCTTGAGCGGACAATAAGAAGCTAAGCTTAAGATGATATAATTTGATACCAAGATTCCATTTGAAACTTCAGACTCTGAATTCCACCATTTTTCATATTGTTATTATTACCCAGAACTATACTAGGCCAGAAATACTAAATTCCAAAATTCTTTATCTGACAACAACCTTTTTTCTTTATGTTATCTCATGCTGTGTCTTCCATGAACCCTCACCTTTGCCTCTAGAAGATCTCTTATCCCTGGATGCCCCATTTTCTCTAGGCTGTTACATGGATTGATTCCAAGAAGCACCATTTGCATTTTATTCCTTAAAACCAGAGTCCCCTGACTTGTGCTCCAGAGCACGCCTTTCACATTCTTTCTGAAGTTGTGCAAAATGGTGGTACAGGTTTTGATTTTTCAGTATGGGCTAGATTATGTTATATACAGTTTGCAGTTCTATTCTTCAGTCAAACCAGTTCTACAAAATCCATCATCTCTATCAATCCAGCAATCCTTCTTAAGGTTAGAACCCAGTTAATAGTGTCACTTGTCACTAATAAATTTTCCCTTCATTCACTTCACCACCAAAACTGGCAATTTTACCTTCTAAATCCTTTTCAAAGTATCGTCTTCCTTTTTTCTCCAGTTTACATCCAGTTTTACTCCCCAATATCTTTTCCATAGGCTTTGGTTCTCACTTTAGCAGACATCACAATCACCAAAAGGACTTTATGAAAACAGTGATAGCTGAGTACCCCCCTCCAGAGTTTCGTACTCAGTGGATCTGGGGTAGGTCCATGAATCTATATTTCCAACAAGTTCCCAGGTGAAACTGCTGCTGCCGGTTAGGCGCTACACTTTGAGAACTACACAATAGACAATTATAATAATCTTCTAATTTGTCTCCATTTCTCACTTCATGATCCACTATATTTATTTTCTGCCTTAAAGTCAGAGTGATCTATGCAACACGAAAGTTTGACCTTATTATTCACCCATTAGGATAAAGTTACATTGAGCTAACATGACAAAGGCCTCCATAACTGAGAATCTATCTAGCATCATCATTAACAGCTTACTTTACTCAAATTCTGTTCAATTAACATTGAACTTTTGTATCCTGAAATGCATGCATATTTTCATGCTATTCCTACTGCATGGAATGCCTCTCCCAACTTTCCTTTCCTAGCTCTTACACTAAAAGAATTAGCTCAGCCATCATCTGTAGAAACCCTTCCCTGCAGCAAGAAATTAGAAAAACCATCTCTGTTAGAAATGTTAGCCTTTCTAGGCCGGAGACTGTGTGTACTCATCCTTGTGCACCTTGAGCTTAAAAATGTGATTTGAAAATGTTGGAGCAATGGAAGGAATGGGGACAAAATAATATAAAATTACTTGATTACTTAACTTTAGAATATTTAACGTCTATCAGTTCTTAAAATGCAGTGATATCATCTCTATACTTTAGATAATGTAAGGTTAGATCATTCTGTTTTTTTCTTTGAAGGGTATATTTGGGTTATTTCATCAAACCTTTATATTGGTCAGGTATAAGAAATATGTTGGACTACATACACTTTGTTTTTACTTGTAAGACATTTTTCTTCAATCCTGTAAGCTTTTCAAAATCATTATAACAACTGCTTTAAATATTAACCAAATATTATAGAATTAAAATAAAATCTGTTTTAATATTTTTCTGTGTATCACCAACACATCTAATAAGATTTTTGTCAAATTCACAAATACTTATACCTAATATCTAATAAATATTTATAGATTTAATAATTGGTTAAATTGTTTATCCAGAACTTGTTATAGTCAAATCAACAAAATTTTCTCTAAATATCAGTGCATTAATAAATAATTTTGTCAGTGATGAACCCACTTAATAGTGTATTTTAAATAGTTCTTTATCCTTTCCCAATTTGATATATCCTTCTGACTGAACAACTTCCAACATGCATAGTATAATTTGCTTATTTGTAGAAAAATAGGCAACAACATTCTAAAAATTTATATTATCAAATTCAAAAAATTCTTGGAAAAATAACTTATGTACAATTTTTTCACCAATATTTACGAATAAAAAGTATTATTTGTATATCAAACATTGCAATAATTAATATTGAAAGTTTTTATAACAAGAATTAAAAACAATCCATATCAAATTTTAATTGCAACCAATGTTTAAATAAAAATCACTTTAAATTGATTTAAAGTACCATGTTGTGTATAAATGCATTATAGAATTTTAAGACATGTTTAATCAGTAAACATCACTTATGTTCTTTAACACCTTATTCTCCTATTTTAAATGTTATATCTTAGTTCCTAAATCATAAAATTTATATAGCAAATAATATAATAGACATTTTGTATACATTTTGAACATTCTCAGTAAGCTCTATTTTCCCTTCCATGAGATTTCATGGCAAATAACACTTGGCATGCTAGAATTTTCATCAATGCATTTATTTGAATCTGACTTCTAATATCACATGTTTGTTTAACTGGAGTATCCAGCATGGGTCTTAAGAACTTTCAAAATTTATTTATTATTAAGGTCTCAAAAACGTATATGCTTCTTTTGCAATATATATTTTTAAAAATAAATTTACGTTTTTCATTATGTATTTATACAAAACATTTTACTCAAGAAAAATTGAGGTAGCTTCTAATAAAAGATATATGTAAATTAAAATAAATAAAATTGACACAGAAAGGCAAGATCATAAAAAATGAAGGTATAACAGATGTGCTTCAGATGCAAGTAATTTATGCTGACTGAGCATTAACTTTGGTCCTAGGCTTCCTGGTTCAAGAAAAGTTTAATTATTATTATTTATATTCAAAACAAGAAGATTTTAATTGAAAGTAATTTTTTTTTACTTTCAGAATTCATGCCACTGTATTTATCATTTAAGGTAATAAAACACTATGAAACATATATTTACCTCATTCAATATACTAAGATACTAATTTCAATTACAAACTGAAAATCATATATAATCACTATGGTTAGTTTGGTAGGGTTAAATATTTTATGGTTAAATATCTTGAGGCTAAATATCTAAAGAGCCGGATTAAAAACTTTTCATATTTATAATAACTTTATGTAACAAGCCCTAAATCCAAATAATGTACTTTCCATTGCCCAGAGCTCAGTTTAACAAGTGATACAGCAGTGTGTATGTGTGCTTGTCATTTACTCCATGGTTAATCCTGATGTTGCATCAATTATTTTGACAGCTATTCTCTTCACTATCAATTTTTAGTAAAATTATTCCAATTTACAATATTTTAATACAAAGACAAATTATGTTGAATACTTTTTTCAATGATAGAGTTTTCATCATCTCTAGCAATGAGTAATATATTTTGTATGTTAATAATTATTGATGTCCCAAAATCTACTATATAAATCTATAAAGAAAAAGAGAGTGAACAAATGAACACATTAAAGAGAAAATTAAGAAAATGATCTGAGTGCCTCTGTAGTTCATAACTTTCTCTTGCTCTTCCCAAAAATGGGCTTCCTAACAGCTGTGATTTTGCGTCATAACTCACTACCGGCCACCTAATGAAACCAACATAAATACGAAAGTTGGGACATTCTGATTCTCCTTGGAAATCTGGAATTGAGATTGAGATGATCACTTTCTGTATGTAGCTGAGATGTAAATAGAAATGATTCACTCTTGGCCATATGGCCAATCTGCGGAGAGAAAATATGAAGTAGATAAACAGAAAGTAGTATAAAAAACTGAGTACTTGAAGCCAGTACCTACACTCTGGGTTTGATGAGTCTCACATGGATTCTTTCTTTGGGAGTCTGGACATACCTGCACAGTAATGCCTTTAGGCTTTAAGTAGCTCCAAACAGTTTTTTTGTTACTTGCAAGCAATCGTTTTTCTCAATGGCTCAAGATGCCTTTTGCATATAAAACCATATTCATTTGGAATTCATCAATAAATTAGTATTAATTAGAATTATATAACTATTTATTGTGTTAGATCTATACAGATTTAGTTAACAGATTTAGTATGTGTGTGTGTATATATATATATATATATATATATATATACACATTCATACCTGCCATATGCATGTAAGAAAGCCAATCTCCCTAATGTAAGACACAAAATACATTTAATTTTAATAGATAGTTATATAATTGTATATAAGTAGACTTTACCATATTTGGAATCTAGTCTATTTATATTTATTCATATAGAATATAATGATTTAATACCTGTTTATTACCCCAAATAACATAAATTCAGGGTTAGGTTAACTTTGTTACAGCATTTTTCAATGATTATAATAGAATCCTTAGAAAGCAGAGTTAGTGATTCTCTTCATTTTGTTGGATGACTGTTTTAAACTCCACGTTAATCATTCTCATTTCCAATATCTCAAATAATATTTACTAAAAAAACTCATATTCTTTAGAAAATCAGCCTGATTTAGTACACCGACACTAACATCACAATTTTGTATTCTGTTAGAATATGTCACCAACTTGATCTGCGAACAAAGCAAGTCACATTCTGTTTCAGTTTCTTTGTACATATGATGAGGACTAGTGCTGTGCAGCTAGTTGCCCATTTTTCAGGATTTAGATCAATTGATAAAACCTTTTATGGAGATATTAATCTAAAGTTCTCTAAAAACACCAATATAATGGAGACAGACTCATTTTTACACTTTTGTATTATCTGGAACAGGACTGAAGGAAATCAGAAGAATTGGAAATGCTATCAAATCAATGTTCATACTGTGCCTGAACTGTAGATAAATGGAAACTATTTTTAATAACAAAATATGGCCCTTTAGATGAGCCCTTCCTTTAGAAATGGATGGTCTTCAGGTTCACGCTGAATTTCACACAGAATAGCACAATTTACAAAACCCGGCAACACAGGGCAATTGGGTAATGTGTAAATTGGCTACTTCTGTTTGGAATCAGTATGCACTTTGGCTCCCCTTGGATCTTTTGTAACTGAAAAGTTGCTGAATCTCTACCTAAAATCTAAATTGGAAAAAGAGAGAACAAGAAAGTCAGCCACACATGACTGGGCATGCCAAAGAATTCTAATGTAACAATTCAACTATGTGTTGTATAGCAACAGGTTCTGGTTATTTTTCAGCAATTTCCCACCATTTTAAACACTGACAGCAAGGTCATATATACAATTAGTGCTTTATTGAATAACCCGCATTTTTATATATTTGCTGTTTGTCTCAGAAGTCTCTCCTTTAAACTCTTTTATCTTTACTTTTCTTCACTGTCCCCATATCTTCCTGTAGAGTTTACTCATTTACTCCCTCACTCTTACTGTCTTATATATAACTCTCTAATGCTTATGGATTTTTCCTATGCTCACTGCTATTTTTTGCTTTTTGTTTTAATTTATTTTTATGTTCCAGTTAGGAAATTTTATTAAAAAAATTTTTTTTTCTAATTTCCTTTACTTCCACTCTTTTGCTGTCTGTTACCCTTTTTATGTGTTTATAAATGCAGATAGAACATGACTTTTTGTTATGTCAACAAGATTATATGCATATGAACCAAAGACGCATTCTGACCTAGTATGATGCTAAATGGACATAGCTAAAGTACCCACTTGAAATCCGAATGTATTGTTCTGAGATCCATGCCGAGGCACACCTGGGTTTTCACAAGAGGTTTGGGTAGGCTCTAAAATGAAGATTAAAAAGATATTAGTCCTTTAAAATTTACAATAGATATAGTTCTCTCACAGAAAACAATTTTAAATAATCTGGGGTTTGGTACAAAGGATCTAGGAAATAATAAATAATGTAAATGTAATAACATCTCTCCATGGACAGAAGCCTGTTAATCTTGAAGCAAGAAAGTCAGGTAGACTCCATTTGATATGAATTATGAAATTCTTGAACTTTGAACCCTTCCGATATAAAAGCACTTGACATTCAACTAGCTCTGTGGATGTAAAATTAAGGAAAGATAAAGGATATGAAAGCAGTGTACATGCATATAACATTTGTCCAAAGACCTTGCTAAACTATGATTTGGGGTAGGGTAATATTTCTTTGAAGAAATAACAGTTTTTTCCCAGAAACAGGACTTGATAATTTGGATTTTACTGACACCCATAGGATATTCAGGCATAATAATGGTAGGTAGATGTGTCGGTTTATTTGAATGACAGATTATTTGGTTAGTTTACCAAATATGGCATTAATTTTAGGATTACAGAAATATAGTTACAATCATTTTGAAATCAATATAACTTTTAGATATTTTTGGAGCAAATCTAATTTCATATGAAGATTCTTTATTAACTATAAAAATCTAAGTAAAATGTTAGTACTTAATAATGTCACTACCTGAAAGTATTTTTATTTTTCATTTTACTGATATACAACAAAATTCTTTCAAGTGTTTCTTCTGGAAGTTTAAAGTGCTAAAATTAATGTTGTATTTTCTACCAATATTCATTTCCAGTGCCTTCTAATTGCTTCTATATTTTACACTTGTTTTTATATTAAGCCAACTATAGGTTATAGGATAAAGAAAACCATTAAATGTCACCCCTATTAATTACACAGTTACTGTGCATAATCAGCCTTTAATTAATATTACCTATGCAGTGAGGTGATGAACCACTCCAAGTGCCATCTGCTTGACATATTCTGGTGCTTGATCCCACTAATATGAAAGGAAAATTGCAGCTGAATGAAACCTCTGACTGGTATATAAAGCTTTTGCCTTCTCTTTTTCCTTGGGCAGGTATACCAGGGTCACCACAAAACTTTGCTGGAAATGAAAAGAAAGACGCTTATATCAAAGATTTAGTATACAGCAGAGTACACAGTTTGGAAAAATGGTGACAATCAATTTGAATATTGTACTAAAGAGATATATTATTCATGATAAAGCTATCCCAATGAAAAAATTTATTTTTTAGCTTATGTGCAGATAAATACTGAATTGAAAACTCAGTATAATATTTAAAAATTAGCTCGATTTCGATGTTTTCCACTTAGTAAGCTACCTTAATAAAGAAAGAATTTTTGTACTTTTGTCGTTTTGTATTGACCAAAATCAAACCACATATTTGGACTTGTTGGCTGCCAAGGTGGAGTATAGCCTTGAAAAAGTAGGTGACTCATAGGTGTCCCTGTCAAAAAGAAGCAACCCATAATGTTCCAGGCTGCACGCTACAGATTGCAGTGCCCTTTTACATGTATATAAAAAGCTCTGGTTATTTGTTTTATTGTACCCTGTATACTTTGAATACTCGAAGCACATATCCCAGAAACTTATTGCCTTCCTCTCCAAAATACTGTCGGTATTTTTAAAGCATTTTTTAAAAGAAAAGAAGGCCATCAGAATCTAAATCTACGCAAAACTATGGAATGTCAATGTTCTACAACAAGCACTGGAAAGATCAACGTGACAGGCTTTCTAAAAATTTTGATTAGATTATTCCATTCAACTTACATTTATTAATTACTAAAGAAAAACATTATTCTAGGTGGTTTGGGGCACTTGAACATGTCAGTAAACAAATACTGTAGGAAATCTGCTTTTATAGGGTTTATGCATTTGTGAGGGAAGTGAACAAACAATAAACATAATTAGCAAGTTTAAGAAAAGGTAGTATGTGAAAAAGTGGTAAGTCCCGTGGGAAAAAAAAAATCATTCAGACAAAAGAGATCAAGCCTGTATGTATGTGTGGTGGTGTGTGTTAGGAGGTGGGAGAAGATCTTAAATAAGGTGGCAAAGGTGTCTCTCACTGAGAAAAGATTCAGGGAAACAAAATACTTAGCCATGATGAAGTCCTAAGGAAGGGCATTCTAGGTAGAGTAAACAGCACTGCCAAAGCCTTCTGCTGGGGCATGGCTAGCTTTCTAGAGGAAGATTAGGAGGCCTGTGTGGCTGGAGCAGAGTGAGCATGAAGAAGTGTAATGGGGAATGAAAGCAAATGATTTCAAATATATCAGACAACACAGGCAAATGCACCTTTATCAAATGCTTTCAATGTTTTTATTGTGGCAAAGAAAATACATAACATATAATTTATAAATTTAACGATTTTCAAATGTACTCGATTTTCAAATGTTCAGATTAAGCACCTGAAAGCTTACTTCCCTCTGAAGCAAACAAACAGCAACAACAAAATGGTTTTAAGTATAAATGTTGCCTTAGGAGGATTATAGGTTGGGTGTCCATAAAATGCATCATCCAAACTGAGAAACTTTTGAGAGTGAAAGGGGATCCTAAATGTACAAGAGATCGACCACAACAATGGGAATAAACTTGGCATGCCCGAGCCATCTGGAACGCATGTATACCTTAATTATAGACTACCATAATCTTGGCCTTAATGTCCAAATAAAACCTTCCCTGAAATTCAAGACTACACGATAAACTTGGATTTTTAAACCTCCTTTTAGTAGCATTTAAAACTTTTAAAAAATAATTAAAATGAAAAGTAATCATTAACAGCTATTTATAACAAACCCACAGCCAATATCATACTGAATGGGCAAAAACTGGAAGCATTCCCTTTGAAAACTGGCACAAGACAAGGATGCTCTCTCTCACCACTCCCATTCAACCAAATGCTGGCTAAATATAAAAACAAGTATTGGAAGTTCTGTCCAGAGTGATCAGGCAAGATAAATAAATAAGGGTATTCAAATAGGAAGACAGGAAGTCAAATTGTCTCTGTTTGCAGATGATGTGATTGTATATTTAGAAAACCCCACCATCTCAGCCCAAAATCTCCTTAAGCTGATAAGCAACTTCAGCAAAGTCTCAGGATACAAAATCAATGTGTAAGAATCACAAGGATTCCTATACACCAATGATAGACAAACAGAGAGTCAAATAATGAGTGAACTCCCATTCACAATTGCTACAAAGACAACATAATACCTAGGAATAGAACTTACAAGGGATGTGAAGGACCTCTTCAAGAAGAACTACAAACCACTGCTCAAGGAAATCAGAGAGGACACAAATAAATGGAAAAACATTTCATGCTCATGGATAGGAAGAATTAATATTGTAAAAATGGCCATACTTCCCAAAGTAATTTACAGATTCAATGCTATCCCCATCAAGCTACCACTGACTTTCTTCACAGAATTGGAAAAACTACTTTAAACTTCAAATGAAATTAGAAAAGAGCCTGCATAGCCAAGATAATCCTAAGCAAGAAGAACAAAACTGGAGGCATCACGCTACCTGACTTCAAACTATACTACAAGGCTACAGTAACCAAAACAGCATGTTACTGCTACCAAAACAGATATATAGACCAATGGAACAGAACAGAGGCCTCAGAAATAACACCACACATCTACAACCATCCAATCTTTGACAAACCTGACAAAAACAAGCAATAGGGAAAGGATTCGCTATTTAATAAACGGTGTTGGGAAAACTGGTGAGCCATACGCAGAAAACTGAAACTGTACCCCTTCCTTATACCTTATACAAAAATTAACTTGAGATACATTAAAGATTTAAATGTAAGACCTAAAACATAAAAATCCTACAAGAAAACCTAGACAATACCAATCAGGACATAGGCATCGGCAAAGACTTCATGTCTAAAACACCAAAAGCAATGGCAACAAAAGCCAAATTTGACAAATGGGATCTAATTAAACTGAAAAGCTTCTGCACAGTAAAATAAACTATCATCAGAGTGAACAGACAACCTAGAGAATGGGAGAAAATTTTTGCAATCTATTCATATGACAAAGGGCTAATATCCAGAATCTACAAATAACTTAAACAAATTTACAAGAAAAAACCAACCCCATCAAAAAGTGGACAAAGGATATGAACATATACTTTTCCAAAGAAGACATTTATGCAGCCAACAAACACACGGAGAAAAGCTCATCATCACTGGTCATTAGAGAAATGCAACTCAAAACCACAATGAGATACCATCTCATGCCAGTTAGAATGGTGATCATTAAAAAGTCAGGAAACAATAGATGCCGGAGAGGATGTGGAGAAATAGGAACGCTTTTACACTGTTGGTGGGAATGTAAATTAGTTCAACCACTGTGGAAGACAGTGTGGCGATTCCTCAAGCATCTAGAACTAGAAATACCATTTGATGGCCTGGCACAGTGGCTCACGCCTGTAATCCCAGCACTTTGGGAGGCCAAGGCGGGCGGATCACAACGTCAGGAGATCGAGACCATCCTGGCTGACACGGTGAAACCCCATCTCTACTAAAAATACAAAAACTTAGCTGGGTGTGGTGGCGGGTGCCTGTAGTCCCAGCTACTCAGAAGGCCGAGGCAGGAGAATGGCGAGAACCCGGGAGGCGGAGCTTGCAGTGAGCCGAGATCGTGCCACTGCACTCCAGCCTGGGCTACAGAGCGAGAATCTATCTCCCAAAAAAAAAAGAAAAAAAGAAATATCATTTGACCCAGCAATCCCATTACTGGGTATATACCCAAAGGATTATAAATCATTCTACTATAAAGACACAGGCAGACGGATGTGAATAGCACTATTCACAACAGTAAAGACTTGGAACCAACCCAAATGTCTATCAATGATAGACTGGATTAAGAAAATGTGGCATATATACACCATGGAATACTATGCAGCCATAAAAAAGGATGAGTTATTGTCCTTTGCAGGGACATGGATGAAGTTGGAAACCACCATTCTCAGCAAACTAACACAAGAACAGAAAACCAAACACAGCATATTCTCACTCATAAGTGGGAGTAGAACAATGAGAACACAGGGACACAGGGAGGGGAACATCACACACTGGGGCCTGTCAGGGGGTGAGGGTCTAGGGGAGGCACAGCATTAGGAAAAATACCTAACGTAGGTGACAGGTTGATGAGTGCAGCAAACCACCATGGCATGTGTATACCTATGTAACAAAACTGCACGTTCTTCACCTGTACCCCAGAACTTAAAGTATAATAATAAATAAATAAATATTAAAATGAAATCGGAAACCAGAGTAAAGTAACACAAGTATAATAATAGCACAAAAAACATTGGTTTACTGTGTTTAAATTTTCACTATCTCTTGGATATTGTAAAACTTTGGGCTAGTTGACATTCAAGTCCTTCTGGCAATGCTGTATAATATCAAACCCAAAAGCCAGGGACACTGTCTTATTAATCTTTGTATATTCAGTACATTTTGAATTAATACATGCTTCCCAGTGAACATCATCAATGGGCACTTCAGCTGAAGCAATTGTTTCTATAACTAACTTATTGCCTAACCTACTTCTGAAGTGTTCCTCTTATGCATATTCAAATAAAGGAGGGAGACTTAACCACCTAAACTCCTCAATCCCCCAGTACCCTCTCTGTGTGTCATTCCATCTATTTCTATCCGTGAATTTTCATGTATAAACCAAACAACCTATTGATATCAGGTTTAGAGACTTAAGACACAGAATTTCTTGTCAAATGGCTTTAATTCATAAAGACATAAACTTTTAAGATGAGAAAACATACTTTAAGCAAAATTAAAGAGAAAAAAGCATTCCTCTTTATAAAGTCCCTAACATTAATGGATTTGCATACCCAATGGATAAGGCCATCATTTCTTAAGTATACCTTCTCTGAACTTCAATCCATACTCTGCCATTTTCTAGCGGTATGACCTTAGGCCTTATGACAATGTAGCTGCTTCCCTAAATGATGGCAGAGTAACACTGTGCCCTTGCAATTTGATTTTCCCTTCTGAGTTTAAGTGTCATTGTCTATTAAAATGTCATGACTAATCCTACGTACCCAGGAGCTCTATTATGTGTAGTAGAAATGATATACGTAAAGCAACTGAGACAAAGATAGCGTTATTACATTTGAAATGTAAATACATATTTTATTACTATTTGTATTTCAATAGAACCAAAAACAAAACACCATATCAAGATAACTTCTTGATTGTAATTTTTTTTTCAGTTATATCAAACAAACAAGCAAACCTGCCATATACTCATCTTTGTAAAACCTACTTGACCCTATCTGTCCTGGAGAAGACCTGGAGTATCTAGTACTATTCAGAACATAGTGATGTTTGCTAAGATGACCTCCTCCATGAGTCAGAATTTTAAGGGCGAATTACGTGACAAAAACATTGAGGCACTGGAACAGACTTCCTCCAAAATTAGAGACTCAGGTAGAAGGGTGGGAGGAGTAGTGAGGGATGAGAAATTACTTAATGAGAACAGTATATACTATTTGGGTGATAGTTACACTAAAAGCCTGGACTTCTCCACTACTCAATATATCTATGGAATAAAACTACACTTGTACCCCTTAAATTTATAAAGTTATTTTTAAAAATCATATTACAGTACCTAGAAGGAGCTCCTTTGGATGTTATATGAACTGCAGTCTAGACCACTACTGTAATAATAAGTTAGTTTTATCTCTCATGCTCAATCTAACTTGTTAATATCTCTCTGAAGCAAATGTACTATTAGTGACCTGATGAGCAAGCAAAATAGCCATATGCATGCCCAGTATTTGCCATCACTTAATAGGAAGCTTCTCAAGTAAATAATGCCAAAGTGCACCTAATAGTTTGTCTTCAGTTAGTCATCATAATTCTATGTCTATAAAATATATATTTATTTTATACTAACATATATCTGTTTCATTTTTAAAATAGGTCTATAAAATACATAACTTGCATTAAATTATAAAATGACTATCCATGAACCTAACACTCAACTTTAACAATTGATAATTGCCAATACTGTTGCAAATCTTTGTAGGCATCACCCAGAAAGCATCCCTTTTCTTAGGCCCAGGGTAGCATACTTTGTGTCATCCTAAATTCTGGGTTTCTCATTTCTATACATTTATTGGTAATTTACATTCACGTGTATGCATGTGTGTGTGTGTGTGCATATGGCATATATGTATGTGTGTGTGTGTAAATATAGGCACTATTATTTTACTGCTAAAAAGAATGCTGACAACAATATTCTTGAACATGTCTCCTCGTGCACATATATGAAAATTCCAGTAGGGCATATACTTAAAAATAAAATTTCTTGGCAATAGACTCTGCAAGTCTTTAACTTTACTAAATAATACCAACTAGTTTTGCAAGTGGCTGTGTCAATTTACCCACCCATCATGAGTCTATAGAAGTTTATGGTACTCCATATCCTCACTAATACTTGATATTGTGTAATATTTTTTTCAATCTCCTGAGAGGAAATAGCTGTCCAGGTATTTTGACCATTTTTCTTGTATTGCCTTTTTTATTTTAGAAAAAAAAATACATATATATATTCTAAATATTGTCATTGTTTTCACACATATTGATTACATTGTACAAGTCTGTGATTGGTCTCTGATAATGAGAAATTTTCATATTTTAACATAGCTGATATTTTTTCACTTTTTCATTTGTGGGTTATACCATTTGAATCTTGCTTAAGAAATTCCTTCTAAACCTGAGGTCATTTAGATAGATTCTAAATGTTTAAAACTTTTATATTTAAATCTCTGATAAATCTAGCACTGATTTATTTGTTGTGGGTGTGTGTATGTGTGTGAACTAATTGCCTTGCAGACTTAATTAAAATGTCCATTCTTTCCCTACTGACTTGTTCTATAATATATCACATATGTATAAATGGTTCTGTGTTCTCCATAACATTGTTTTACTTTCTATACCTACATCAATACCATACTGTTTTAATTACTATAGCAATATAGTTTTTATATCTGCCAAGGACTATGCTATATTCCAGGGACAGAGCAGTGAATAAAACAAAAAAAATTCTCTGCTTTCAGGGAGTATACATTTGAGTAGAGGACATAGTTCAAATAAACAAGATAAGTAAAATGTATAGTATGTCTTAGGAAAAAATCAGAAGTGAAAGGGAAGTGTTAAGGAGAATAAATAAAGCCTGGAAGGGAAGTGTTATATGTCAGTGATGAAATTCAAATAAGGTGACCAGAGAAGGCAATACTGAAAAAAGAAATTTTTTGTAAAAAGCTGAAGGAATAAAAGGAAATTTCCAGGTAAAGTGAATAGTGAACATAAAAGCCCTCTTGCAAAAGCACAGCTGAGTGCTCAAAGAAAAGTAAGAAGGCCTGTGTTTCTGGAGCAGAGTGGATGAAGGGGTGAGTAGTAAGATATGATGAAATCAGAGGAATACAAGAAAAAAAGTCCTATGAGCATGTAGGGGATTTAGTTTCCACTTTGAATGAGGTGAGAAAACCCTGGAGGGTCCTAAGCAACTGAGACAGTTAGCTCTGCATAATGTCAAGGTCATGAGACAGGTAGAGTCCTCCTCTATCCCATGCTGGGAAAGGAAAAAGAACTAGGAACAGGATAATGCTAGACAACTCTCTGAATGACTATACTGTCCAGATAATGTTCTAGAATCATTTATGTAAAACTGCAAGAGGAGTTTGTTTTGTTTTGTGTTCTTCCAAATTAATCTTGAAGTAACACTTGCTAGGTATATAGTATACAGCAACCTCTGTAAAAAAAAAAAAAAAAAGGCAAAACAAACAAACAAGAAACCCTTTTATCTCTATGCTTACCCTGGTAATTTTAGATGTAAAATCCCAATCATTATCATGACAAATGCCATCATAAGAACTTTATTTGAATAAACATGTAGAAGTGACATGGATTTATTGCCGAAAAAGATTTGGGAACAAATTTCAGAGTATTCGGCTAAGACAAAAAGGACATAAATAAAAATAATTTTCCAGCAGTAGAATAAATTTAAGGCTGTCTCTAATTTGAGAAATAATTTTGAAAAATTAGAAAAGTTTATAAACTAAAACCGTTTAGTGTAAAATTTTGAATCAGAGAAGGAGAAACATAATGACTTAATTACATGAAAAGTAGCTACATTGGTAAATACTGATTTTTCTTTGAACCCTAATTAGGCATTGAAGGAAGCTTAACAATCTCATATTTGGTCTAGAAAAATTTGAAAATTTTAAGTAACAGTTGTTAGTAGAAATCATACTTACGTAAGCACTGCGGTACTTCACCACTCCAGGTACCATTCCCTACACAGGTCAAAACAGCAGGGAAGGATAGCTCATAGCCTGGAGAACAGATGTAGCTAATACTAAAGCCCCAGTCGAAATTTGTTCCTTCCAGCCTTCCATTAGAGATCTGGGGAGGAGTTGGGCAGGTAACAGCTGCAATTACATTAAAAGTGATTAGACACAGCTGTTGAAATATCCTGAGCCTTAAAGATATAAATAAATATCATTAGAAGAAGCACATGTGCTAATTTAACCTTTTCGAGGACAATATGTTGTGACATATCTTATTCTCCTGGTAGTGTTCCTGAGTCATTCCTGGAATTAATCCCTGCAGGATGCAACTTTTTCTTGGCAACATAATGGCTACTGGTTGTCAGAGATTCTCTTACAAAATAGCAAGCTGCCTGACATCTCAGAGAAGGCAAACAGAGGGTGACCTTCAATCTAGTATACTGTAAGTGATAAATTATTGGTTTTATATAAAATTATTTTCCAATGACCTTTAGACAGACAAGACTTGGGTTGTTTAACTATATATAGTATCAGCATCTTAATCATGGAATTTGAAAGTAGTTCTGTGACATTTTTGAAAACACAGGTCATATGTCTGAGTATAATATCCAAGTTAGTTCCCTTAACCACTTAGATTCATATGTTAAACCTTATTATTATAGGGTTTATAAATGCATTTTTAATTTTTTTAAAAAATGTATTTTGTTTAAATTGTTTTCAGTTATCTTTAAGCAAAGACAGGTTGGATAAGATAGAGATGAAAGGATGAGGAAGGGTATCAACTTCAAAATCTAAACATGAGGAATGACTGTATTATGAGAACTAAAAACATATCTGAATAGCTTTTTACAGTTGAGTAATATCTAATTCATATCAGTATGAATTAATAAGTGTATAGAATAACATCTAAAACATAAAATGTCTGCTCATGTATTTTCATTTACTAACTGTATATTTATAGTGATCTGATACAGAAGCTTAATAATCAAGAAGGAAAGACAAACACATTGAAATTATTAATTTTGTTAGATTATAAGTCAGTAAGATATTAAACTATTAATTCACATTTAAATAGAAACGTAAACGAAAAATCTTAAATATTAAAAATCTAATTATTATAAAACAATTTGTCTGACATTGCATGTACAGTATTCTACAAGTAATCATAAAAATTGGCCAAAAAATTTATAAAAATATTTCCAGTGGAAAAACAAACAGCATAAAGTAGCAAATTTATGGCTGTATTGACTAACAGGTTAATTCTAGATTGTATTATATGAAAAACAAGTTTTTCCCATTATTTAAGAAAAATTACGGTTCTATAATTCAGGCCGGCTCTTCCCAAATTATAGAAAGAATTTTTCCCCACCCTTGAATTACTTGACCCAAGTGGATCAGCAAATTACAGTTATAATTCATCAAGGTTATATTCTTTTGAAAATATTCATCAATTTATATAAATAACAATGGTGAATATGGACATAATATTTTACTTATTTTTGTTACATTAAAGCTTATTGTCATTACTCACAATAAGATATAATGTTTTTGTCAAAATATTATTTTAAATTCTATATATTAAAATAAAATTTTTAAGAAACAGCCATTTTTAGTACTAGAAAAATAAATGCAACCTGGAACTAAAAAATTTTATTTAAGTATACTTTAAATTTGTATATAAAAATAAGAAAATATGTACTGGTTACCATTTTTAAATGTTGAAGAAATCATTATCATACCTCTACAAGTTGGCATTACTCCACTCCATGTGCCATTAATTGTACAAGTCCTGATTCTGGAGCCATTCAATTCCATCGTGTAGCCTGGCTGGCACATGTAAGAAACATTTTGTCCAACCACATAATCATCTCCATATCTCAGTCCATTGGCTGGTATACCTGGGTCTCCACAACTGATTACTGTCAGTATTGGATTAGAAGAGCAGATGGTTAATGAGGCATGTATTTAATGGAGAGGAGTAGTAAGCATATGGCATACTTAATATATAAGCAGGAAAATTAGTTATCGTGTTCATTTTTAATCATAAAACATAAACATATTTAAACCACATACTGGCAATTCCTGATTATGATCAGGTATGCTTATTACAGATTCTACACATATGGCTCAGAAACTGTCACTTAGCCCCTGAAAAGGCTAGGTTAATATGCCATTATGTTGTAGTGAATTTGATGCAGTAACCTCTTCTAACCTTCACTATAAGACCACAGAGAAAACAATCTGCAGAATCAGATTTCTAACATAATATTTGAAATTCATATTCCTATATATGGCTACTGAAGTATCTAATTTATCAGGCATGCTGGATGGAGAGCATATTTTCTGCAGTGTCACTCAGAAAGACAACCCCCAAGAAATTGCAACCTTCACTCTGGAATGTGCTTGTTATAAGAAATGCAGATGTATGAGGGGCCATCCCATCCAAGTCCTTGACCAATACATGATGATGTTTCCAGCCCAAAATAGGGACTGTCACTGCTCTGTTCTGCCCCAAGACTCCATTAATATATCCAACTCTGACGATCCTCACGTTTGCATCCAACCCCTAAAAGGAGGTAGGACAATAGTGCAATGTGAACCTCTCTTTACTGATGACACAATGGATGAGCTGGGTGGAGGGTGTCACGTTTTGCAGAGCAGGGATGGAAATGGGGAGGCCATGCAGGGCCAGGGGCAACAGGTTGTCAGGAGCAAAAGGTCTAGACCCATCCCAAGGACACAAGAAAGAAGGCAACAAGGCAGACTGCACATGAGCAGAAGCTCCAAGCCCTCAGAATATGCTGCACTGTTCCAGTGGACTTCAATTACAAAATGTTAATTTGAAGATAAAATTATTAAGAATTTTGAGATGGCTATCACAGAGCATTAAACTCTAAGCACAAGACTCTTCTGAGCATGAGATCCTATGAGTTGCACTGATCTCATGCCCATGAGTGTAAGTGCACACATAATATTATCGTTTCTTTATAATGCCAGCCAAAATGTTTCAGAAAGACTTGAGACAGCTTAGAAACACAAATAACAATTTCATTAAAAATGTATTTTGATTAAATACAAACATAAGATTCAAACACTACAAAGATTATATATGTCACACAAGTGATAACTGTTTTGAGGCACAGGATTTAAGCTTAATTTGGGCAGCGAATTGGCTAAAAAACTTTCTACCAGCTAAGAAAACGAAAACTACAAGTTACACTTTATTTTCTGGAGATAAAAAACATGTAGTATACTTAACATGCCTTTTAGTCTGCTAAATCTTTTGGTTCATAAAAGGGTAATTTCTCCAGGTAAATCTGGGTTATTTTTTTTCTCTCTCTCTCTGTCTACTCCTCTTTCTGTCTTTTTTAAATTCACTTTTCCCAATATTTTGGAGATTCAGGATTAAAGATTAAGAATGAATTAAGGCATGGAAGACCTTAAGAACACCTTAGTTACATTGTATTTATTATGTTATCATTAAGAATGATTAATGTCAAGATTCCTTTCATATTCTATTCTGTTGATTCTAAGAAGTTTTAGGATTATGAATAATGGCATTTAAATTAAACAACATCATTCAGAGCATTCAACCTCATAACTTTTGGAGCCCTTAAAACAGTTCGATGAAATTAAACTGTTTGAGTGTTTCTTTCTCAATAATAATAGAGTTTTATATTCAGGACTGCTTTCCTTCCTATGATTATTGGGGAGTAAAAAGATTTTTTTTAATGATACAACTGAGTTGGATAGAAAATCAAATAATTCTACTCATGTACCGACAATACGTCATCTCTTTTTATAGTTTAAAAATTTACAAGAATGTAAAAATGAGTATAAGCCTTCAATTTATTATTTTATTTTATTTTATATTTATAACCAAGATTTTTAATTAGGAAGAGGAAATTAAAGAGAACACCTATAAAGTGTTGTTGTTTTCTGGGCAGTGCTTTCCAGACTGCATTAGAATCTTGGCAAGGAGAAATAGCCAGCCTGGTCACAGGGCACATGAGCTGAGATGCGGCCACCAAAAGAGAGGACAGAGCGTTTATTTTACAGATGCACGAAGAAAGAGTTCTGCACATCATGGCACCACCATGAATGAAATGCGTGACAACAAAAGCTTTAGAAGGGTTTGTTTGGTGACTTCCTAATGAAGCAAAGGCTAGTCAAAGAGGCAGTTTCCAAGAGCAACAGTCTTTGTAAACAGCACCTGCTCTGCAAGTCAATTCATTCACTACCAGCTTGTTTTCAGAGACAACCAAAAAAAAAAAGGCTTTTGGTTTTTTCAGGAAAAAAACCTTAGAATAGTAGCTCTTTAGTGCTTCACCCTAAAATTCAGCGATATCATTGTATGACAACAAATTCAGAAATACCATTGCATAATAAGAAGATCATTGACCTTCTTAAATACCCATCTCTCTCACACAAACACACCAATAAACTCCATAAAGGCAGATACTTTGACTCTTGTATGCTATTTTCTTAAGAGTCTCATCTAGTGTATGACTCATCATAAGAGATTAAATATTTGTTTGAAGGATAAATAAATGAATGAGTACATAAAGGAATCATTAAGTTGTCAGCTCAAATTCTCAAAAACACATAAATTATTTGAAAGGTCTGAATTTGTTTTGTGGGAGGCTTCTCAATATGTAATTGATGCCCATCTGGCATCATTTATGATAAATCTAAGTAAATAACCTCTATGCTACAAATAAAACATAATTGTGGTAATTCTAGTCAATCTATGCCGCTTTAAAACTACTTTCTCTTTTAACTTCTTATACAAGCATTGTAAATGTGCATTTTAAAATAAAATAAAGTCACATTACTTTTTTCACAGGATTCACTTTTTTATTCAATATCTAATGGATATTTTTGCATGTAACTATTAATATACATAGACATGCATAACATTTTTAATGGCATATTAATCCCATGCAATATAATTTATGCAACCAAAGACCTATGGACTGGTGTTTGAGTTATTCCACTGCTTTTCTGTTACAGACAATGCAGCAACGAAAATGCTTGCTTGAGCATCATTACATATGTATGTGCTCTGCCATACTTCTAGCTTCAAGCCCAGAACAGAGTTCTACTGTAGCAAAATGAAGTTCCAGAAAGAATGGCTAAACCATTCCTCTCATAATGCTTCTGATTTTACACAATCTCCACATTCAAAAAGTTGGTTTCTTCTTTAGATCTCAAAAGGCAGGGTTTCTCTACCTTAAGCTTGACCCTATTGACATTTTCAGTCAAACAATTCTTCGTTGTGAGGGGCTGCTCTGTGCATTGTAGAATGTTCTGCAATATATCTCTGGCATCTGCCTGCTAGATCCAAAAGCACCCCCTGCCCCTGCACTGTGACAATCAAAAAGTATCTTCAAACATTTCCAAATGTCCCCTGGGAAGCAAAATCCTCTCTAGTTGAGAACCACTGTGCTGAGGAATAGCTCTCACTCCTTGAGGAGATTTAGATTATTTTTTATCTGCGCTCAGTTTTATGCTGGGATATCCCCAGCCCTCTCTTTTGTAAGACTAACCCCATCTTCCTGATCTGTCCTCTGTTAGAAAAACATCTTTGAGAATTTTCAGATTTGTGACAAAAATTCAGTCAGGGGCATTTCGATAGGTGGCTATTTGGAAAAGGAAGCCTTAGATTCATTTATCACCTGGACCTGATTAAAGATGGTGTCCTTAGCCCAAAGGAACAAGACTTCCCAGATGCAGGATGTTGGGGGTTGGTCCTTTTGGACGCAGAAGTCCAGTCAGTTTTCTAAAAATATCATCCAAGAAAATGAATAAGCACATGTCTTTTCAGACCAGAAAGCTAATTCTTACTCTACTTGGCAAGCCCTGTCTCAGCACTGTTTGTGTCTTCTTCCCAAAACACCATATGCACTCTGTGTATGATGGGCTCTAGGTAACAGAGGTGGTACTGCCTGTTAGACATTGAAAGCTAAGGATCCCCTTATAATTAATATCCCAAAACATTTTGTACTGACAAAAAAATGTAATTTTGAAAGAGTAATTACATGTACTTATTATATCTTCTCTCTCTGTCTGAACATCATAGAAAATAACTTCACTACATTTTAAATCAAGGAATTGATTTGAGCGATCTGGTATTATGCCAAATATCTTTTTCTTCTAGTTTGGTTAGCTCTGTGCATGTTTCTTCACACTTATAATCCCTCTGTCAAAGTGTGCATAACATTTTAATGCATGATCTTGATTTCAAGATACAATATTTTACCCACCCAGGAGGCAACTAGTTATTCTGAGGAAACTTCTCCTTCCACCACTGGTAGTGGGCTTAATGAGGACATGTCTGGAGTTAGAAACAATGAGTGTTGGGAAAAGGGAAAAGATTTTGCTTATGAGGCATACTTTTAGAGATAGATTAATTAGACTTGCAATTTTCCAACTCACGTATAGTCTGAAGCCGGTTGAATAACAGCAGGTAGAATTTAGATGAGTAAAAGTTTATGCTTTTACCAACATCTCTACTATGGCCAAGCATAGGGGATTGGAGACCTTACCATTATTATTAAATCACATTTATTCCAAAGATGTTTCTAAAATCATTGAAATGAACAAGGCAAATCACAGCTGACACATTTCCACATATAATTGAACTAGAATTTCTAAAAAACAGAGGGGTGAGTGTGTGTGTGTGTGTGTGTGTGTGTGTGTGTGTGTGTGTGTGTGTGTGTGTGTTACTGCTGGACAATAGAGCAAATGAAAAGGTATAGTTGCAAATAACTCCAGTGGGAAATTCTCAAAGGTAAAATTCTCAAAGGAAATTCTCAAAGGTCAAAAATGCTTGGAATTCCAAAGTTACTTCACTGATCTGTGAAATATTAGGGAGCAGATACCTTACCGACTGAACTCTGTCTTCTCAGTTCCTAGCAAAGTGCCCAATGATAGTAGGTTTTGTTTAAATGATTTTTTATTAACTGAATCTATAAAAAATCCAGTTCCATTGTATACTCACAGTTATGTTTCTACTTTGTTTTTAAAGGTTTTTGTAAGAAAACATGCTCTAATATAAGTTAAAGATTTTTGAAAAGCTAAAAATTGGATTATTCCTCTGATTTGTCATTACTCAGGAGGAACTAAGTGCCCAAAGATAACTAGCCAAGGTAAAAAACAAAAACCTCTTAAAGTGACCAAAATCTTATAATTAAAAAGTAAAAAGAAATCCAAATAAAATTGAAGTCTTTATATTTTGTCTTTACCACATAGTTTAACTATATTTTAAGGGTATTATTAATTTTCTCAAGGGCCTCTATTCATTCTTTCATTCTCAAATCACCCTACATTGAAATATCTATCATATAATCAATCTTGCTGATTTTCTTTCTTTGAACTGACATTGTCATAAATCTACTAGATCCTCTTTGTCAATGATTATGTACAAGATTCAACGAGCACTCTTGTTCACTTGCTTTGACTCATCACATTAAAATATCTCATCTCTTGTGAAACCTGCAGACTTATTTATTGACTTACATTATATTTGCTTTGTACATCTGACAAAAATATCATTGATAACAAATAAATAGGAAATTGTAATGTTAAACTGGAAGTATTGTTTAGCAAAAACAAATTTTACAAATGGTCGTTTCATTAAGAAATGATATAATTTTGCAGAATTCAAATTGGTAAATGCAGAGAAAACAGAAATTAAAAATTTTTTAGAGAAATAGGTCATAAATTAATGAGACATTTTCATATGCCTTATCACCAATGTTCTACTTATTATAGTATGTCATATACATTTGACCATTGTAGTGAAGACAGAGAATAAAGCAAGAAAACTAAATGGAGAAAAGTACAGAAGAAGAGATAAAAGTATACTAAAGAACATGGATTCTTGAGTGAAATAGACTAGGGTTTAAATCTTACATTCTACAGTTACTAGCTATGTTACCATGGAAAAGAAAGTTGTTTCCTCTCTAAGAAACCATTTATTTGAATGTGAAATAAAAAGGATAACAGTATATATCTCATAGATTTGTTGTAATAATTGAGATAATTATGTAAATCAGCACAAATCCGAACAAATGGTAAACACTCAATAACAGATACTATTATTTATGAGAAGAAATAGTAATAATTAGCATGAAAAGAATAAAGGCTTTGTTTCTTTAGTGCTATGGTTTTAATATCTCTTCAAAATTCATGTGCTAATTTAATCCCCAATTCCATAGTATTAAAAGGTAGGGGCTTTGGGAAGTTATTAAGTCATGAGGGCCCTCTCCCCATGAATGAGGTTAGTGCCTTCTAAAAGTGTGGGAGGGAACTATTAATAGCTAGGCCCCTTTTTGCTCTTTCACCTTCTGCCAGTCAGGGCGTAACATGCACCCCTTTTGTCATGTGAGGACACAGAAGCAAGGTGCCATCTTAGAAGCAACAAGTAGCCCTCACCAGACACAGGATCTGCTAGCACCTTGATCTTGGACTTCTCAGCCTCCAGAATTTTGAGAAATAAATGTTTGTTCTTTAGTATTTAACCCTGTCTCAGGAATTTTATTATAGCAGCACAAATAGACTAAGACATTCGGGTTTTCTAAAAATTGATATCAGGATGTTGGTTTGGAAAGTTCAGCTACTTCAAATTTTTTGCATACCTCATTAATTTAATTCAAATTCATATAGTAACTGGCATACATCAAATAATTTATTTCAAATTCATATAGTAACTGGCCTATAGTAACCATAAAATTTATATAGTCTGGGCATATAGTAACCATAAAAATTGTGTCTACAGAGGCAATTATAACACATCAAAATTTATTAAAAACATATTTACACTTGAAATTAGCCTTCTAGTGGGTATAGAGAATAACATGAATGGAAAATTTCATCTATATATGTGAAATATAGATGAAATTATTGTTTAGTGTTGAGCTCTGCCCGTAGTCAGGAAGCCCTCTAAATACGTGATGCCTGAGTTTCTTGATCTAGACAATGTGAGTCTAGGACAATTCCCAAAATAATATGATTCTACCAATCATATATTTAAATTTATGTTCATTGCAAATGAATGAGAAGGAATCTGAAGCACTGATTCTAATTTAATTTGATTACCACATATAAACACTATCACTATGCTAGATTCTTTAATTACAGAAGTTTAGGCTGTTTTAATTTCCACTGAAACCTCTCTCTTTGTTTCTTTTTGGGGGTTTTTATTTACGCTTTTGGTTTGGATTGTTAATGGGGTGTTAGTAACTTTTTGCCTATGAAGTACATAAACTTACAAATTATCAGCTTTTAGTTTAATAGCAATTCATTGTTGAAAAGCTAACACTTAAATTATTTTATGCAATACGATATTTCTCTTTGAAGAACTGACAGAAACAAACTTTCCTTATACTTTTCCTATGTTATTCATAATCAATCTGTCTTGAATCAAATGACTTATAATTTAACATTCCTGAGGAAAAATGAAGACAATTCAATAAAAATGTCAATGTAATTTTCAATCACAAAAATAGGAATGTTTATTTATTTTTATTTCACTAAAATTGGAAGACAGCTGTAAATAAAAGATTGAGTTATTTATCCATAAATAAACAAAATTGTTATTCATTGTAAAAAAAAAATGAAAGTGTTCCTCAGCATATTTCTGTTACTCTGAACTATTTTCATTATTTCAATCTCTTCAATGACTATTATTGAAAACTTACTATATGCCAGAACCTATGTGCTATGTTAGCCATACAGTTGTAGGCCCTATCTGCAAGTAGTTTAAAATTGAGTTGGACGGTGGCTCACACCTGTAATCCCAGCACTTTGGGAGGCCGAGGCGGGTGGATCACAAGGTCAGGAGATCGAGACCATCCTGGATAACACGGTGAAACCCCGTCTCTACTAAAAATACAAAAAAAATAGCCAGGCTTGGTGGCAGGCGCCTGTAGTCCCAGCTACTTGGGAGGCTGAGGCAGGAGAATGGCGTGAACCCGGTAGGTGGAGTTTGCAGTGAGCCGAGATCATGCCACTGCACTCCAGCCTGGGTGACAGAGTGAGACTCTGTCTCAAAAAAAAAAAAAAAAAATTGAGTTGGAATGGTAAATCATGTATACTGATAACTAAAATAAAATTTGTCTATTGAAGTCTGTCACCAACAATTTACTGAGTTGCTCTTATTCATCAGGTGCTATGCTCCACCATAAAGGGCCAGTGAGATAAACAGACCCAGTCATTACTGCTCTATAAAGTTTACAGTTTAGTGGTATAGGTAACATACAAAAAAAAAAAAAAAGCTATACAGTATGGAGAGATTACTTTTAGCTAAAAAGGATATGAGGAGAAAATGTCTTGAGGTGTTTTGCCAAATGTTTCACATGAACTGATACTTAAAAGGTGGATAAGAGTTTTAAAGGCTACGGTGGGATAGTGTTAAGTTGTTCACTATTGCAAAAATGAGATATTTTCTAAGTAAGTAAGAGGAATTCAGCTTTCCTTCAACGTGGAGTAACAAGGAAGAATTTACCTTCCATCTGAAAGAACCAAAAGAAAAAAAAAAAGGAAAGAGTATATTTAAAAAAAAGAAATATTTCAAAACAATGGACATTAGGCAACAAAGCACAGTGATTCTTGAGTGACAGGAAACAAATTAGTTGAATCCCCTGATTGCCTCATCTTACTACATTAAGAGAGTTTCAAGTCTGTGGCACAGGGAAGAGGAAGCTATGCATAGCCCAGCAGACTCCTTGAGTTGAGAAGATGGATCTGAGAGTCAAGAGAAAACTATGCAGGTAGAGTTTATGGGACATGGTACCAGAGTCGACATTGACAGAGAAATGTCTCTAGAGATATAGGAAGGAAACTCCTTAAACAGTCAGCAGATTTCTGATCAGCTCCTGAGGAAACTGCCCATGGTTTGAGAAAAAACTACCCCAAAAGATGAGATGTAACAATATCTGGAGCTGACATGGGGCCAGGAATGCCACTTGTCATACAGAATTCTATACCCAGCAAAAATATGTATTTTAAAAGGTGAAATGAAACATATGCACACAAAGAAAAGCTGAAAACATTATCATAAGTAGAAATGGACCACAAGACAAATTTAAAGAAGTCCTTCCAGTGGAAGAAAAATAATACCTCATGCAAGTATGTATCTACACAAAAATATTACAACACTTGAAGTAGTAATGACGTACATAAATAAGATTTGTCTTACTATTTAAATCTCTTGAAGAAATAGTTGACTAATTAAAGTTGTTTAACTACGCTGCGTGGTGTTTTGGTGTTTGTAACATTGACTAAGTAAAATGTTTGACTACAAGAGCATTTGCATAAAGAACCTTTTGATGCTTCAAGTTCTACCTCCCCATTCCCCTTCTACTCCACATCTGGGCAAGCCAACAAGAAAGTCGGCTTGCTTCCTCATTTGGCATCAGCAGGGAAGTTCAAACCATGCAAACCCTGGCACACTCACTAGAACTTTTCCCAAGTTCCCAACCACTAACCACAATAAAAAAAAAAGCAAAACTATATGTATAAGTACATTTTTCACACTGCTGATAAAGACGTACCTGAGACTGGATAATTTATAAAGAAAAAGAGGTTTAGGCTGGGCACGGTGGCTCTCGCCTGTAACCCCAGCACTTTGGGAGGCCGAGGCAGACGGATCACCTGATGTCAGGAGTTCAAGACCAGCCTGATCAACATGGCGAAACCCTGTCTCTACTAAAAATACAAAATTAGCCAGGCATGGTGGTGGGTGTCTGTAATCCCAACTACTCAGGAAGCTGAGGCAGGAGAATCACTTGAACCCAGGAGGCAGAGGTTGCAGTGAGCCAAAATTGCACCATTGCACTCCAGCCTGGGCAACAAGAGCGAAACTCCATCTCAAAAAGAATAAAAAAAAGAAAAAGAGGTTTAATGGACTCACAGTTCCAAGTGGCTAGGGAGGTCTCACAATCATGGCAGAAGGTGGAAGGCACATCTTACATGGTGGCAGGCAAGAAAGAATGAGAACCAAGCAAAAGTGGAAACCTCTTATAAAATCATCAGATCTTGTGAGACTTATTCACTACATGAGACAAGTATGGGAGAAACCACCTCCATGATTCAATTATCTCTCACTGGGTCCCTCCCACAAAATGTCGAAATTATGGGAGTTACAATTAAAGATGAGATTTGGTTGGGGCTACAGCCAAACCATATTATTCCAAGCGTGGCCCCTCACAAATCTCATATCCTCACACTTCAAAACAAATCATGCCTTCCCAATAGTTCCCAAAAGTCTTAACTCATTTCAGTATTAACTCAAAAGTCCATAGTCCCAAACCTCATCTGACACAAGACAAGTACTTCCACCTATGAACCTATAAAATCAGAAGGAAGTTAGTTACTTCCTAGATACAATGGGGGTACAGGCATTGGATAATAGCTGTTCCAAATGGGAGAAATTGGCCAAAATGAAGGGGCTACAGGCCCCACACAAGTCCAAAATCCAGCAAGGCAGTCAAACCTTAAAGCTCCAAAATAATCTTCTGTGACTACATGTCTCACATCCAGGTCACTGATGCAAGAGATGGGTTCCCATCATCTTGGGCAGCTCCACCCCTGTGGCTTTGCAGGTACAGCCTCCCTCTCACCTGCTTTCACAGGCTGGCATTGAGTAACTGTGACTTTTCCAGGCACATGTTACAAGTTGTCGATGTATCTCCCTTTCTGGAGTATGAAGGACAGTGACCCTCTTCTCACAGCTCCACTAGGCAGTGCCTCAGTGCAGACTCTGTGTAGGGGCTCCAACCCCATGTTTCTCTTCACCAAGATAATGGGGAAAATGTCCCCAGGGCATAACAGAACTCTGTGACAGCTCCTCCCATCACAGGCCTGGAAGTCTAGGAGGAAAAAACGGTTTCATGGGTCAGACCCAGGGCCTTCCTACTGTGTGCAGTCTAGGAATTTGGTGCCCTGCATCCAAGCCACTCTAGCCATGGCTAAAGGGGTCAAGGTACAGCTCAGGCCATGACTTCAGAGTGTACAAGTCCTTGAAGACCCCACTCCTGCAGCAAACTTCTGCCTGGACGTACAGGCATGTCCATACATCATTTGAAATCTAGGTAGATGTTCCAAAACCTCAATTCTTGACTTCTGTGCACCTGCAGCCTCAACACCACATGGAAGCTGCCAAGGCTTGGGGCTTGCACACTCCAAAGCCACAGCCTGAGCCATACCTTGGTCCCTTTAGCCATGGGTGGGATGCAGGGCACCAAGTTCCTAGACTGCACACAGCAGGAAGGCCCTGGGTTTGACTCACAAAACCATTTTTTCCTCCTAGACCTCCAGGCCTGTGATGGGAGGAGCTGCCACAGACTTCTCTCTTGTGCTCTGGAGACATTTTTCCTATTGTTTTGGCAATTAACATTTGGCTCCTCATTACTTTCACAAATTTCTACAGCCAGCTTGTATTTCTTCTCAGAAAATGGGTTTTTCTTTACTATTGCATTGCCAGGCTGCAAATTTTCTGAACTTTTATATTCTATTTCCCTTTTAAAACTGAATGCTTTTTAACAGCACCTGAATCACCTCCTGAATGCTTTGCTGCTTAGACATTTCTTCCACCAGATACCGTAAATCATCTCCCTCAAGTTCAAAGTTCCACAAATCTCTAGGGCAAGGGCAAAATGCTGCCAGTCTCTTTACTAAAACGTAGCAAGAGTCACCTTTACTCCAGTTTCCAACAAGTTCCTCATCTCCATCTGAAACTATCTCAGCCTGGATTTCATTGTCCATATCATTATCAGCATTTTGCTCAAAGCCATTCAACAAGTCTCTAGGAAGTTCCAAACTTTCCCACATTTTTCTGTCTTCTCCTGAGCCCTCCAAACTGTTCCAACCTCTGCCTATTACTCAGTTCCAAAGCCACTTCTACATTTTGGGGTATCTTTACAGCAGCACCCAACTGCCAGTACCAATTTACTGTATTAGTCTGCTTTCACACTGCTGAAAAAGACATACCCAAGACTGGGTAATTTATAAAGAAAAAGAGATTTAATGGACTCACAGTTCCAAGTGGCTGGGGAGGCCTCACAATTATAGCAGAAGGAGAAAGGCACATCTTACATGGTGACAGTCAAGAGAGAATGAGAACCAAGTGAAAGGGGACACCCCTTATAAAATCATCAGATCTTATGAGACTTAGCACTACCACGAGAACAGTATGGGGGAAACTGCCCCATGATTAAATTATCTCCCACTGGGTCCCTCCCACAACACATGGGAATTATGGGAGCTACAATCTAAGATGAGATTTGGGTGGGGACACAGCCAACCCATATCACTATTCATCCATCCCTTCTCTCAAACCATTTCTGACCAAAGAGAGTCTTACCATGTGGGTAATCTTTCATACCTTCTTGGGACATCTTCAGCCTTGTGGCATAATCAGTCAATATGGAACCAATTCTGGGGAGGGGGCAGTTGATCATGCTCTTTCTTAGGCAACCACAGAGCAACTGGCAGTGAGTAGGGTGGCCCAAGGGATGACTATCATTACCTGAGGGACTTTTTTGTTGTTGTTTGTGACTTGATAACTGGCTCTGCTGCCACCTGGCTAGAGAGTGCTTGGTGCTGTGCTAGTGTACTTACACTTTGAGATGTGCTGATTTTGATGCATTTTCTGAGCTTTTCTGGCCTCTGCCAAGATTTAAATGATAGATCTAAGTCAGAAGTATTGAAAATTGACATTCAGAGACAGGAGTATTGGCTTGTGGTCCTTCCCAAAGTGATTCTGAGTTCTGTGCCTCTCAGCTTAGACTTATCTGTGTGTCTTAGATTTAATCATATGTCTCAAATTTAGTGCAAGCCATGAATGATGCTAGGCTCAGATGAATGTCTTACTCTATGACTATTGGTTATGTGTCTCAAGCAGGTGTTGACTCCCATTCTATAGAGTGCTCAGGGGAAAGGCTGGCACACTGTGCAATAAGTATGCTTATCCAATGCTTGCCTATCTGACAAGGAGTGGTCACCATGTGGTGTCCTCCAGTCCATACCTAAACTCAGATGGCTTTAGGTATCTAAAACAACCTTCGTTGTTGTTGCTACTGTCTATGTGTCTGTCATCAAAAAGATTCTGGTTCTCAGGGAAGAACACCCATATCATCTCATAGCACAGCTGTGGGCTTAATTCAAACCTGACTTAAGCCTGGAGTCCCTAAACCCAATAACAACTGCCCTGTGGGAGACCCCCAACATTTAAAATAATGATTTGGAACTCTCTGGAGGAAGATACATATAAATAAGGACAGAGTAGAGAAGATTGCCCTTCTTCCTGAAGCGTATCCTGTAACTCCACCCCCAAAAAACAACAACAACAACAACAACAACAACAACAACAACAACAACAAAACACTAGGATACAGGGAGAAGAAACAAAAATTGAAATAAAGATCCACAACTGGACTCAATTGAAAATACAAATTTTTCTAAAATAGTTATTCAACAGAAAGATAAAATAACAGAATTGGATTTCACATCTCCACAATATGGGTTTTAAATGAACAGATTCTGATATGTAGTACTTGAAAAATCTTTGTGGTCTTCATAGATACTGGGCCTCAAATTACAGTTATATGAGGAGATACCACTGAATGTACAAGGTATATCCTGTACTTTAGAGGAGTTACCAAACACAAAACAGAAGGCAAACATGTATGTCTCACCTTAAACATTGAAACTGTTGCTTTGCCTAAATTCCTTGTGGTCAGAGTGCCCATTGACCTATAGCACCTGATACGGACATTTTGAACCAATTAGTAATAAATTAATATTAATTATCTGGCATTTACAATCAGCTTGGTAAAATGGAGCCCCTTGGACCTGTCCTTCTAATTACAATAGTTAATACAGCCCAACTTAGATTAAAACAAGGTCTACAGTAATTAAGAACCATCATATAACACCTACTGAAGGAAACAACTATTGTTCCTACTGCCTTCCCTTTAAATAGTCCAATTTGTTCAGTGTTTAAACCTGATAAAAAATAATTGGCATGGGAAAGTTGATTACCACAGCCTAAATACCCTGATGCCCCTGATTAAGACCTCCATATCAATATTACTGAAGTTGTTGGTTCCTATCAATAACTGGAAAATATTTTGCTATTATAGGTTTAGTGAATATGTTCTATTCAGTACTTATTTCAACAGCTTCCCAAGCATAGTTTGTTTTCACTTTTGAAGAGACAAAATATACGTGGGTATCTCAACAGCCCTTGTGTGACATTGCACACAAACTTTGCATGCAATATATTAACTACAACTGATTTTCTCCAGGAATGCATGTATGCCATTATTTTGAGGGCAACAAATTCATTTGACCCATTCATCCAGAAAATGCAAACAAAAAGGAGCCCAGAAATAAAAGGGGATTATCTCACCCACACAATACAAGGCCATGCCTTCTCAGTTAATTTTCTGATAATTATTTGGTCAGCAAAAGTATATATACTCTGTCCAAACTGCAATACAAAAGGCCCTCCCACTAGTATCCCCAAGTCTCCTTTGCTACAGAGGCTTCAGCAACATCCTCTCATGATACTTAGAATCCATGAACACACAGTCTAAACAATTTTCTTTTGAGACAGGGTCTCACTCTGTCACCCAAGCTGTAGTGCAGTGTTACATTCGGAGTTCACTACATCCTTGACCTCCTGGGCTCAGGTGATCCTCTCATCTCAGCCTCCTGAGTACCTGGGACTCCAGGCATGCACCACCACACTTGACTAAGTTTTGTATTTTTTGTAGAGACAGGGTTTTTGCCATGTTTCCCAGGGTGATCTCAAACTCCTGGGCTCAAGCGATCTACACATCTCAGCCTCCAAAAGTGCTAATTCTTCTTAATGAAAATAACCATAATTTCCAATGGTTGTGTATTATTGTTGGTTAAATACTATTTATTTTATAAATAAGCAATAATGTGTATAATTTTAAGACTTTTAAACACATTTTTCAAAAATTTCTTCAAGGGAGTAATTTTATTATAATGCAGAATCTCCAAAGTGCCATCTATTTTTAACATAACAAGAGAGCAAATCAGTTATCGAGACTCACTACGACAGTGCAAGAACCCATAAAGAATCAGTATGCCTTTTAAAAATCAATTTTGTTATTAATATGTGTTATATTGACAAAATAAAATTGCATCCATTCTATTTTTAATTTTAATTGCAGCTATAAATCATCATTGTTCTTAAAATTCTGTTAAATTACATTTATTAGTGCTGACTTCCTCTGACCTCTCTTTCTGCTGCCAGTTAATGTAGTACCTTGATAAGCCAACTTATCCTAAAGTCATTAGTATACACTCAGCCATGGTAACTACTATAATCCTTTAATCTGAAAGGCAGTACAAACAGTTAAAACCTTACATGGTTTTATTAATTACAAAACACACAAAAATACTTATATACTCATCAATACTTTCATATAATTACTGATTTTTAAATATTGAGAATATACTTACTTGTACAGTTAGGTAAAGTTCCAGACCATGTTCCATTGGCTGTGCACTGTCTAACTGAAGGTCCAGAAAGGATGTATCCCTCCATGCAGGAATAAATGACTGAACTAGAAAATGTTGTGCCATCAATTCGGAAGACTTTCCCATTGGCTGTGGTTCCTGGGTTACCACACTGCACAGCTATAAAACAAAGTGTTTAAGAGTATATATAAAAAATGCAATCAGAAATTCTTCCCAAAAAAGTTAATGACTAAACGATTCTTTCAAATTATTCAAAGAAGCAATAAAAACTTCTAAAATAAGTAGTAAAGTATCTAGGTAGTTGAAATTCAAGATGAATGTATGTTGATTTTATTCGCTTAATTACTGGGATGCAAATTATAACATTTTCTTAAGACTTTTTTTAGCAGCTTCAGTAAAAACTCTACAGAGTAAAATAATTATTCAAAGAGTACTGTATTGGCTTCAGGTACCACAAAATCTTTTAGAGAAGGATTATAAGAATCTCTGTCTAAAAAGCAACTCATGTAAAATTGGAAGACATGTAACAATGAGTGATGAGATGCAACAGAGATTTATTACATTTATATTTCAGAAAAGACAGATACACAATTTTAATATTGTAAGCATCTATGTATATTTTTGTTTGTATAAGTACATAACTGTTTTGCATTAAAATGTATAAATTCTATTTCTAGACCAGAGTACCAAAACTAAACCGAGTAAAAACAAAGTAATTAAATATTAGTAATCGTTTTCATTAAGTTTCAATATATTCTAAATAAAAGTTACAAACACGAATGTCTTTTTATGATTAACTATTTTATATATGTGTTTAACTATTTGTCAACAATATGTTAATTTTTAAACTATCTGACTTAAAAGCTATAATATATCAAACGTAATACTTAATTTTCTTGTAATATCAGAAGGCATTTTAGTACCTTACAGAAGTGAAGGCTTTTATGGATATGAAATATGATTATAATTTCAGAAAATACCATCTGCATCTCTTGCTGCATCTTAAATATTTCTTTTTGCCTATCATTTGTATAACTGCCGTGTGTGTGTGTGTGTGTGCATGCGCGTATGTGTGTGTATGCATGTGTAGGCAAGAACCTTATCCATTTTACATATATACATAAAAATCAAACTCTAGATAATATTTTAAGCAGAACCTATGATAAAACAGACATTTTTACTTTGTTGTTAAGCATGATTACTTTCTTCTAAATGCATTAGTGCCTGCCTGAAATAAAATTTTGGCCATGTTTACTTGTTATATATCATGATCCATAGCTTGACGTAATGCAAGAAGGATTTGAGATAATGTCATCTTTTAAAATGTCATGTAATTTTTATTTTGAAATAGAGACCTAGGCAGAGTCAAATTTCTGCACAATAAAAATCAAGAATTTCTTTAGTCAGGGTGGTTTCAAGATATGGCCAAATCGTACTGTTGTTTCTGTTCTCTTGACTTTAATTCCTCCACACCTAATACACAAATTTCTCCTATCCAGACATTTTATTTGAACTAAGCACAAGTAAAATTAACTTAAAATGAAACAAGGTAAGTGCGTCATCTATCATGAGTGAAGGCTTAAAGCTTGCTGGATACAATGAAAGGAAACAGCAACTACTTTGCCTCTGCAATATTGACATTTAGGAGAAAAATGATTTATTGTTGCCTGTGAATAAACCTGCATTTACATTTAGTACTAGTCAACCAAACCATCTCTTCTCACAAGAGTCATTTCCCAGCAGTCAACAGACATAATCTAATAAAAATGAGAGTTACTATTTTTTTAGATTCATTAAGCACTTAATATGTCACAGCCACAACTTTTCCAAAATTATTTACTTCTCACAAAAATGTTCTGAGTTAGTATTAACATCACCACCATTTCTTAATAGGAAAGTGAGGCACAGAAAGATTAAGTAACTTGCCCAATCTCACAAAGCTAGTTAATAGCAGATTGTTCATCTAGTACAAATTCCTAGGAATGATGCTGATAGCATACAATAAAAGCATTGAATCATATTCAGGGTAGGAAATAAGCTGAAACATAATACATGTTTGTAAATTGAATTTTTTTTTGTGATGCATCTTTATAGGAAGTATATTTTATATGTTTGCCTTTCTTTTGTTGCTAGAGAGAACTCTTATTTTAAAAATCATGGTACCATTTGTTTCCTTGTATCAAAGTAATAAGTAGTCATTTCTAAAATGACAAAAAGAAGTATAAGGAAGAAAGTAAAGATTGCTTAAAATTCCACCACTGAAAAATAGAAATTGATATTTATATATGCATATGTGTATATGATTATGTATTAATATGAATATAATTATTTCAATATTCTATGCTTTGTGTTAGGTATAGAGTATACAACAGTGAAATATTAATTTACTCTTTTTTATTTCTATTTTTCTTACATAAAATTACAATTAAGGTATCTTTCTATCATAAAGTTTAGTAACTGTATGGTTTTCCATACAGTTAATAATTTACCTAACCAATTCCCTGTTGAAAAACATTTAGTTAGGCTTGGTTTTATTTTTCTATGATTTTTAGATATAACATACTAGAACTTATATTTACAACTCTGTACATTAGTTCTATGTTTAAGATAAATATCTAAAATAATTTCTGGATCATATTTTAGTAGGGTGACTGTAATTAACAACAGTGTATTGTACATTTCAAAATAGCTAGAAGTGAGGACCTGAAATATTATCAACACATAGAAATAATAAATGCTTGTGGTGATGGATATCATAAATATTCTGACTGGATCATTACACATTTATGCATGTAACAAAATATCACATGTGCCCCATTAATATGTAAAATTATGTATCAATAAAAAATACCTAAAACATTAAAAATTTAACTTGTTTGAAATATATTGCCACAGAACCACTAAAGATATTATAACAATACACACTTGTATTGATAGCATAAAACTTTGCTTGTGTTCACACCTCCTATGTAACACCATTTGCCATCATTTAAAAGAATCTCAGTTTGTCAAAAATGTTACATTCTTCAAATTTGCATTTCTCTATTGATTAAATGAAGTCACTTAAACACATTATTTAATATTTTTATTTTTACATGTGCTTTATCCTTCACATTCTGAAAATACCTTTCATGTTTTATTATAAATTATTAAAGTAATATGACAGCAATAGAAAACATTTGGAATAAAGAGTAAAAATACCAATAATTTCACAACTCTGTCCTAGTATTATTTTTTTGTGTATTTCCTTTCATACTTTCACTTAAATGAATATCATTTCTCATGGTTCTAATATAGCACATAATTTTAAATCTTATTTCTAAGTTTTATATAATGTACATTTTCTCATATTGCTTCATGGCCTATATCGTAATATTTTATTGACTATACTCTATTAGATCATGTAAACATAAAATTGCTTAAGCAATACTTTTCCTAGTGTAAGATTGTTCCAAATTATTGCTAGTTATAAACAGAAATAAAAATTACATTTTCATAATTGTGTGTTCTCTTTAATATTTCTATTTTCCTTGGAAAACATTCCACAAAAGTGGAGTAATAAACTGAAGCAATAGATATATCCCATGAATATTTATCATTCTATTCATTATCAGTTTGAGAGCAATTTTTGTCAAATTGCTCTCAAAATATAACAATAAAAATCATCTTGAAATATTTTAAAGTTCTAGTTTTGCTGCTCCCGCACACAATAATTTTATATTACCGTGTTTAAAATAGGTGAAAATGATACCTTAATATTTAATCATAATTTTTTATTAGTAGTTCTGTTGAATTTTTTCTATAGGTTACAGTTTTTTTTTATTTCTGCTTTCTGTTCATATCCTTTATCCATTCGTCTACTAAAATCTGTTTGTGTAAGTGATTGGTATCAGCTTCATTTATGAGAAAAATATTAATTCTATTGTATTTGCTACAACTAATAGTTCTCCTTTTATCCATAATATGCATGCTAACAAAGCAATATCAGCACAAGTCTGCATTTCATCTATAAAATATTTTGTAGGTCAGCTGAACAAAGGACTGACTTAGATGTCACCTACACAATGTTGCATGTATAATGATGCCCACAGCATCATTAAAAAGACCTTGACTTTGGAAAATAAGTTTGAGAAATAAAGAGTTTAGTCTCTCTTACTGTATTTTACTCAGCACTATGTTTTCCAAGTCTTTTCCCTATATCAACTAAGTTGCAACTCCTTCTTAAGATTATTAAAACTGACCCAGTTACAAAAAGATAACTATCTTTTCTAGAATATAAATATTAAACATAATCAAATATTTCTATAACATAGTCAATCAAAAAACCCTCAGGAAAGTTTGATTGGGAATTATCTTCTATTTACAAAACCAATATGTTTGGTACAACGTCAAGTAAGTTTAAAAATATTTTGCAAGTTTAGTTTTTCCAATAAAATAATCACAAAAAGAACAATTAAGGTCAATACAATAATTTTCTAGCAACATTTTATTTACTAGTCAATTTTGTAAAATATTTTTCTTTTTCCTTTTTATCTTTCTTTTTTTTTAAACAGAGTCTCGCTCTGTCACCTAGGCTAGAGTGCAGTGGCATAATCATGGTTCACTGCAGCCTCTGCCTCCTGGACTCAGTGATCCTCCTGCCTTAGCATCCGGAGTCGCTAGGACTACAGGCATATGCCACCACACCTGGCTAATTTTTAAGATTTTTGTAGAGATGTGGTCTCAGGCTGGGTCCTACTCAGGCTGGTTCAAACTCCTGGCCTCAAGTGATCCTCCTGCCTCAGTGTCCCAAATTGTGGGGTTTACAGGCTTCAGCCACAACTGGCACTCTTGTAAAGATTTAATTATGTTAACTCTGAGTCAGAACAATTAAAATTTTACTCAAACACCCTAGATGTTGTGAATTCTAGTAACTAACAGTTGTACTCTACAATTAAAAATCTTAATAATACTTCTGTATGTTTCTATATTTTTCCATTTCTACAAACTAGAAGCTAAGACAGACATTGAGGTTATGTTAGGGTAAGAATAACCTATCATTTTCTCTTGTCTCTACAATATAGGTACACTAGTCTCCCCTTATCTACTATTCTTTCCACAGTTTCACTTAGCCATGGTCAATCATGGTCTAAAAATAATATATGGAAAATTCCAGAAATAGCCAATCCATATATTTTAAGTTCTGAGTAGCATGATGAAATATCATGTCGTCCCACATGGAAAGTGAATCATCCCTTGTCCAGGGTACCTACCCTGTATATGATATCCACTCGTCAGTCACCTAATATCTGCCTTAGTTATCAGATCAAAAGATCACAAGAAGAAGGGTGAGTACAGTCAACAAGATATTTTGAGTGAGAGACCATATTCACATAACTTTTATTCTAGTATATTGCTATAATTGTTCTATTTTACTATTATAGTTTTAATCTCCTACTGTGCATAATTTATAAATAAAACTTTATTACAGGTATGTGTGAAAAAATCATAGAAATAAAGGGTTAGGTAGTATCTGCGTTTTCAGGCTCCCACTAAAAGTCTTGGAATGTATTCTCCATGGATAAAGGAGGGACTACTGTAAAGAGGAAAGAATAAATATTTTTAACAAATATATATTACTTTTTAAATCTAAACATTTGCTATGTTGTGAACAATGTTTGCATATATATGACCAATGAGGGTTTTTTAAAAAAATTATCGGTTATAGTTATCTTAGGAGATGGTTACAGTATAATGGGAATACGACTGTTTTATTTCATAGTTGCAGGCAGAATAAACTAGTAAGAGTAATTTTCCTAGTAGTACTCATCTGGATTTAGATACACACTAAAATCCAGTAGTTGCAATATATTTAATTTCTGCTTGAGATTACCTTTGCACTCTGGCTGCCTTCCGGTCCAACTGCCATTAGCTAAACATGTTCTTTCTTCTGAGCCATGAAGGATGTAACCAGTATCACAAGCATAACGTACAGTACTTTTAGTTCTGAAATTGCTTTCCTGTCTAGAGCCATGGCCGGGAGTACCTGGATCGCCACATGTCCCAGTAGCATCACCTGCAATGCAGTACAGTTCAAGTTAACCAATTCCCATAAACATTTATTAAGTTTACCAGTTAGTCCAAGGGCCTGGTAGGCATTTGTTTTTGTGCATGCGGTGTTTTAGCACAGATGGAGTAAAATTGTAATTCATATTTCTTATCTGACTCCAGTCATTAAAAAAAAGTGTAAATGAAAAAGAAAATAGTTGCAGAGTACAGTGTTACTTTTTTATCAGTGAATTTGGAGACGTTAAATAGGTTAAGGATATTTCATAAGTTTTTCCAAACCTAGTTAATAACCAAGCTAATGGAAAATGTGTAACTGACAGTACTATGAACTCAAATGACAACAGACTCATAAAACCAAAATTTAAAAAAAACTGAATTCTGCAATTTGCATGTTTCCTTTTCTGAATTTCCTGATTACTGATAATATTTTTATTGTTTTTGTTAAAGTAGAACTGTGGTGTGCTAGGACATGTAAATATTATAATACAGTTCTGATAGCCTAGGTTTCTCTCTCTTATTTTCTCTACCAATGACCAATGATCAAAGATGAATGAACTGCATATTCCTCGTATATGAAAACATAAAAATAAAATGTAAAAGACCAAAATTTAGAAACTCTGACTTAAGTTTCTGATAAGAATATTGCTCATAACTAGGCGTTCATCTTTTGATTTTAGTGTTAAAGATTTACTCAGTCTTTACCTAGTCGTTTTATCATTTCTTAAATAATCCTAATCAAAATTGCCATAGTGTTAATATACATTGAGAGAGAGAGTGAGCGAGCTAGAGAGAAAGAGAGAGAGAGAGAGAGAAGGGTTGAAAATATAAGCATTGAAAATGTTCTTTCCATTTGTCCTTTTTATATGCCTTGTGTATTTGGAATACTTCATTATATGTCCTTATTTTCATGTGATGTAAAATTAATAACCACACAAAATTTTAAGATTAGTATTTCACTTTTAAATATCTGTGTACCATTTTATTACTCAATTTAGTAGCAGTTTCCTAATTTCCTAATACATTGTGGGGTGGGGGCGGGGGGTGAGTCTGTGTGTTCGCATGTATAAGCAGTTATCTGAGAGTTAATTTACTATGAGTCACTCCAAGATAAGACTTTAATTCTCATAAAATCAATTTTATAGTTACATTAAAAATGATAGTTTTTCTAAATCTGTAGATTACATTCAAAGTCCCAGGCAGTCACTTCATAGGGATTAATCACTAGTTAAAAGATTTGGGGTTAATTTACCATTTCACTGCTTTTAACTCTAAAGTGAAAATAATGTAAAACAACTCCTAGTAAGTCATCAGAATGGTATCCACAGAGATAAAGTAGTGTAAAGACAATGGACAATATATAAATATAAAGAAAAAGCAGAAAAATAAGCACAATATCTGGTTGATGGGTAAAAATAAATAGTATCAACTAGGGAGCCATCATAGATCTAAAACGTAAATGGTGTTTTTGAAAAAAAGTGGTAACTTAAACGTTTATCTCAGAAAAGATTTACCAAATACTTACTCTGTGAACAAATTATTAATTAAAATATCTTTAATACTGATTTATGCAAAGATAACTCTAAGCAATATGTCACTTATTAATATTAGGATAGATAAATATCTTTAATAAAATGAATTAGATTAGTTCAATTTACAACATTTTGGACTTTATTTTAAAATTATACCATTAAAGTAATCAATTGCTTAGAAAGTTAAACAGAACTGAACTCTGACAGAAAACCACTGATACAATATTGCCTTCTGGGGAAAATTATATGTGGTATCTGCTAAAATGGGATAGATACTTTAGCTTGAATAGTTTCACCATTTTAACGAACAAAAGCACTTCATACAGTGTAGCATCCTAAAACCATAAATTCTTTAAATTAGCAACACAGTTCAAAACACAAACTTGTAATTTATCATCTACAACATCAGTACCCTGCATTTCTATAGCCTTACACATATTCCAGTAATGTGTAAGCAGTGTTTCAGCTTTTCTTATGAGATTTTTCAGAGAGAAATATATTTTAAGTCTTTAGATTGTTTTGTGTATACGTTGCTACTACTACTACTAACAATAATGTAATTTCCAACACATATTGTCCAATTTTCCAAGTGGTACCTGAACAATGAGGTTGTGATCCACTCCAATGGCCATTCAATTGGCAGGTTCTTGATGACTGGCCTAAAAGGGAACGCTTTCCTGTGCAGGAATAGTGAACAGTAGACCCAAAAGTATACTTCTCGCCAGACAGGACTGCATTAGGAGGAACGCCAGGGTGTCCACAGTCAATCACTACAATACATAATTATTAAATATAAAATTTTTTTATATCTCCTATCGAACAACCTATACCAGCATGTTTATAGAACATACCAGAAGTAAATGTTCTGCTGAAACATCTAAAGCCTCCAGAAATCAAACATCTATGTTGAAGGTGTCTTTTTAAAAACAAAGTGGAGTTTGCAGCTATAGCAGCTGTTCTGTTAACTTACTCATTCCGAGGATGAGTTTAACAGCAACATTGTAAGCTAAGTAAGCATTAAAAATAATTAAGTGATTATGATAAATCTGTACGTGTGAGAGTGATGAGTGTGTGTCCACATATATATGTGTATGAGTTCGAACTGTATCTGTTCCTGGTAAAATCTGTGAAAGTTAAGGAGAAGATTAATGTGGATTTGCTAAGTAAGGACATAGGACACCATGTGGATTTAAAGTGAAGCAATACAGAAATTACATGAAAAGAACTTGAGGGTTCAAGAGATTCAATGAAGATTGATCTGTGATTCACAATTTAATATATAGTCTAGAATCATTACATTTCAAGTCAGTAATGAATAAATTATGCTGTAAAAAGACAATACTCAGTGGCTTATAAACTAAAACTGCTACTCATAGCAGAATCAAAAGTCAATACATTGTAGAATATTCTTTATGAGTGATAGGTAGTTTCAGAATTTAACATGTGTCCCCTGTTAGTTGTACTCAGAGAAATACTGAGTGTCACATATCTCTAGAGTATCATACAGCACATGAGGACACAAAAACTTAATAAAACCTTTCAGTATATAATACTCTACCAGGGAGAGCTATAGGAAATGATAAGTCAAAAAACATATGAGAGCTCAGAACACCTGAAGAACTTCAGGTTTACAAGTCCTATGAAGAGATTTTTAACTTTAATGTGGTAGCTACATAAGAATAAGTAAGTAAATTATTCAAATAATTAGACCAGTCAACACAAATAAGTCAAATGAATTTTAATCAGCAGGCCAAATTACTGAACTATATGCATAGAATCAAATTTTACAGACACAGCAAAAAGTGTTGTTTCTTCATTAGTACATGAATGTTGTCACAAAATGTTCATAAAAGTACACCTCATGAACATAAAAAAATCCTCTAAATGAAGCATAATCATAAAATAATTTTATTTAGCAATTTAATAAAACCAAAAATTATTTGCCAAAAATGAACGATTTCTTCACACGCTATTCATTCAGTCTATGAAATTGTTCTTCTCTTCCCTGTCAAGTCCAAGACTCACCAACTGTTTGAGATCTAGTTCAATTTGAGGCCTATCAATTGACTGAATTGCTAGAATTTATGTTCACTCCTCTATGCCTTCACAGAAGTTTGATTTATAACTGCTAAATTATTTTTCTCACTACGTGTGTTACTTTAAGCATCTTGGCTGTAATCTATTTTATGTACATTCTACAACTCCTATCATAACATATAACAAAATGCACTTATTAGATATTCACTGACTAGAAAGATGATGTATATTAACATTTATTGCATTAACAAGTATATGTGTCTCTATATGACAAATATTTAAGGTCAATAAGTTTTAAGTCACACCTTTGTGTAAATCTTCATGTATTCTGAATCCATGATGGATGTTTAAGACTAATTTTGCCTTAAATGAAATATTAAATATTAGTACAGAATAAAAGTGTAGTTGCCTCTTACAGACGATAATATTGTAAAGTAGGAAATATGACTACTTTTCATATTTTATATGCTCCAAAGTGCAAAATCAAAGAATGATAGATAAATATTTATCACATTAATTTTAAGAAAATTACATTTGGACATTGAATTTGCAAAATATAGAAAAGTATAATTTCAAAACAGTAAAACAATAAAATCAATATGCTTCTCTGTGATATATATCTTTAGGTCATTTTATAAAGATGATAAACATTCCTATGGTTTCCATGACATGTTCTCAAGAAACAATTCACATTATCTACTTACTGATACATTCTGGTAAAGGTTTGTCCCATTGTCCATTTGGTTGACATATCAAAACTGAAGATCCAAATAAAAAATATCCAGGATTGCAGTCATAGAATACCACAGTGCCGTAAGTAAAATTTCCATGTTCTATTTTACTTTCTCTTTTAGAATTGGCTGGAATTCCAGGATCAGAACAGTTGACCACTAAACAAATGACAAATTTTGAAACATATGTTTGGAATAATATACATATACCTATATAGATTTATATTAGAAATGTACATACTTAGTTTCAAAAGTAAATTTATTCAAACAACCAGATTCCAATAATAAAATTAATCCCATGGATTATCTAGAAAATGGACTGACATCTATGTGGTAGAAAATACAGAAGAAAGAAAAAAATTTGGCAACAATTAGGAAAATAGCAACTTTGTAAGTATTGCGCTAAGTACGAATTTTAAAAATGACATATTTTAAGCTATAGCTGAACTGTAAGAAAACAACATGCAGGAGAATGATAATTAGGTTGTATTTTGTCATACAATATGAAATATACTTCTTTGCAAACTGGAAAAACATCGAAGAGTTCTCCTTAATCTGTTTCTATAGATTAAAAAAATGAATAAAGCCTCAATACAGGTGTACTGGCAAGCCAGGCCCACATATAGTTTTCAGAAAAATAAAAAGAAAATAAATGCCAAAGCAAATTGCAAGTAAAAATAATCTCAATTACTTTTTATATGCAGTCACAAAACAGATACAAATAAGAGAGTTAGAAATTAACTCTACCACTTTTAACTTTTAAAAATATAAGTTACAAAAGAAAGTTAGAAATTAACTCTACCACTTTTAACTTTTAAAAATATGTTACAAATTTAGAAAAAGGAAAGCATTGTTAATGAGATGACATCAGTATTAAAGCTTTTTGTTTTATTAGATAAAAACTTTTTACTATTCTGCTCAAGCTGTTTTAAGTGTGTCACTGATGTTTATGTGAATATTATTATCATGCCACCAAATGGGAATATACTTAGACATTTACCTTTGCACATAGGTGGAGGATGGCTCCACTGTCTGTTGGCCTGGCACTGTGCCTTTGTTGGCCCTTGCATAAGATACCCAATATTGCATGAGAATGTTACCACATCATTAAAGTTGAACCCATTTCCACTTGTTCTTCCATAAATTGGACTACCAGGGTGACCACAGCTAACAGCTAATAAGATGTGGCAGGAGGACAGGGAAGGAAACACAGAAAAAAAATATTTAGTTATCAGTTATTGCATTATTGATTATACTTAATCATTTCAAACAAAGTAGAAAGAAGACTACTTTTTATCTGGAAATATACGGAAAGTACATTTACTAATGTAGATGAACAAAGTAGAATGTCAAAATAGTCTAACAGCATGATTATATTAGTAAATAGAAAATTATTTAAAATTGTGATAATTTTATGCAAGTGGTACATAGATATTTAAAGTTTCACGGTACCTATTTCATCCTTTCTCTCTACTTTATTGGGGAGGCAAAGAGCAGAGTATTGAAATGCAAAGAAATCTGGGGAATAATTAAAGTTCATGTCCATACCTAATAGCAGAAAAGAACAAAACTAGCCAGGTGTGGTGACTCATGCCTATAATCTCAGTGCTTTGGGAGGCCGGGGTGGGAGGATTGCTTGAGGAGAAGAGTTAAGGCTGTAGTGAGCATGATCATAGCTATGCATATATATCATAGTGAGCTATGATCTTGCCACTGCACTCCAGACTAGATGACAGAATGAGATCTTGTGCTTTAAAAAACAAAGTTAAAAAGTAGAAAAGAACAAAACTGCACCAGTTTTCCTTGTCTAGTTAATAATTGAGGATATTTAAAGGCAGTTTTTTGCATTTAATTTTGAAATAGTGCTTTCAATATTATTTGAACAACCAATTTTTATGAATAATAGATTGATAAGCAAATGTGTGCTTGTGAAGTAAATTAATGTGACTACATAATGTAGAAAATAGAAAATGATACACAAAGGCTGCATTAGGATATTCATTAATATTTTGAGATAGTCTCAAAATATTCTCTAAATCAATCTTACTGGTTTCTTCATCACTGATATTTGATAATATAATTTTTCTTGGAAATAATATTCTTAATTAGGTTCTTTTAATGCTGTGTCCCACTATAAATTTTACATAGTGCTGGCTTTCCCCAAACACTATTTCTATGAACTGTTTTATTGCATTATCTCACTCTATTAATCAGAGCAACTTCAGTAATAGTGCTTCCTAATTGGGCACAGGAAACGACCACAGTCACTTTCAGTACTTAGGAAATGACCCAAGAGCAATTATTTTTCAGCTGTATTGTTAATGTCAACCTACCCATTTGGGAATTTAACTGCATCTTATTCTGGTTTAAAATTATCAATAAAGAAACCAGTTTTACCCTAAGGGCCAATTCTCATTTATAGTCTCAATTATTCAACAAGAAAAACAGTGGTATTAATTGGCTATGCTTGAATATAAATGAAAAAGAACATATCCAGGGCAGACACAAGCAGGATATTGTTGTCTTTAAATCATCAGACAATCAATTTGCTTGGGGGGGGTGTAGGGGTGGAAAGTGATTTTCATTGTCAGCTAGATATTCTATTATCCTATTATCATAACCATGAAACTAGATGTTCTATTATCCTATTATCATTACCATGAAACTAGAATTTCTATACGTTTCTGTGGATTGGATCAAAACAGTATTATGACCGAATTTATAAGTATACATGCAATTGGTCACAGATTAAATGAAATATTTCCTGTGAACGCATACTAAAAGTCCCATGTATTGTTTATCTGACACTTCCAAAATCTTTATCCTATGATCCTATTATAATTACAACATATTTACAGTACTTATTTACTAATAATAATTTTAATATAAATGTCCGTTATCTGGAGATGGATATTATTAGGTGAAAAATATAAGAAAAATGTAGTTGACTTTAAGATCCAAAGTAGGATAGATTGTGATCTGAAACACTAAATACTTACGGGGATTCTGAGATGTACTAGAGTTTATCATTATTCAGCTCTATTTTTATTTTCATAATATAGCAGTCATAATAAGTGCACAATGGCCAAATCCACAACATACATATAGGAAGAGATCCATTAAAACCACAAAGCACAGCAGGTATATTTAAGAAATAATGAAAAGATATTTCAAAATACACTTTATTCTTCATCTGTGAATTCATATCTAATCAACCTAAAAGATCACATGGATATATGTCGAACTGGTGAGATCTTTTTAAAATATTTCTAAAATTACATATATTCATATGTTTTGTATGAATTTTAAAATAGTGTAAACAGTGCTTTAAAATAAACTTTTATTTATTTTCTTTTTATCTGCTTTTTAAAAAATTATTTCAATAGTTTTTGAGGAACGGGTGGTGTTTAGTTGCATGGATAAGTTCTTTAGTGGTGATTTCTGAGATTTTGGTGTACCCATCACCTGAGGAGTATACACTGTACCCAATGTGTAATCTCTCATCTATCACTCCTCTGCTACTCTTTCTCCCTAGTCCCCAGAGTTCATGATATCATTCATATGCCTTCGCAACCTCATAAATAATTTTTAATTTTTTTCAGACAAAATATAGCTACGTTACATATGTGTAATCTTGATATATTTAAAAATGCAATGCATTTTGAGGTTAAAAGATGACATAATGATAAACATCTTCAACCACACACTCTCTATATAAGGGAATTACGGCCCAGAGAGATTAAACACTGCATTAGCTCACATAATCATCAGAGGACCTGAAATGAGAGCAAAGGTTCTTCATGTCATGCCTAATGATAATATATTCCCCACTGTGCTTCATCAGTATATAATCTTGATGTCATGACAGTAGTATCATAATTGTTAGATAATATTTATCCAAAATATTTTCCACTATAAAAAGCTCTGTAATATCACATAGTAACAAACCTTGATACAGCTACACAGTGGTCTCTAGAAATTTAAACCCTTATAATTACAAATGTGTTGATAATGTGTCTTCCATATAAGAATATTAATTTATCAATATTATATATTTATATTAAATATGAGAAGAGCTAAATTTAATTTATTATCTTCATGATAAAATATAACTGAAATTCTCTTGAACATATTCCACTTTAAAGACTTTTGCATAGCAGTATCAAATTGGATTGTGGAAATTTACTTTATATTGATATATATAACAACATAATATATATATTCATCTTGCCTAACAAAAACTAGAATTATTCCAAAGATCAGAGGTCTCTAATTGCTTTTGCCATGCTTACTTACGCACACAGGATGGGAGCTGACCAGACCAATTGTGATCCTGTTGACATATCCTCACTGAAGAACCAATCAATCGAAAACCAGGATTACATTGATATACAACTGTGTCTCTATATCCATAATTTTCTCCAATGACTTGACCATTCACAATCAGTTCTGGAATTCCACAATGACCCGCTGAAATACGTTATAAAGTAATATTTTTAATACTGTGATTTGTTTTATTTGTATATTTATATACATGTGGAACATGAGCAAACCTTTAAAGTTGTCTTAAAAGCAAGCAACAAATAATTCAATTATAACTATATGACATAAAGGTAACTATGAAATATTTAGCAAAACAACAAATATATGGAAATTAAAAGAAGACACGTGTCTAGTGACACTTGGGTCTTGAAGAAATTATAAAATATCTCAATGTGTAAAAATGAAAATATAGGCTGGGCACGGTGGTTCACGCCTGTAATCCCAGCACTTTGGGAGGCCGAGGTGGCAGATCACGAGGTCAGGAGATTGAGACCATCCTGGCTAACACGATGAAACCCCGTCTCTACTAAAAATACAAAAAATTAGCCAGGCATGGTGGCAGGCGCCTGTAGTCCCAGCTTCTCGGGAGGCTGAGGCAGGTTAATGGCGTGAACCGGAAGGTGGAGCTTGCAGTGAGCGCAGATCGCGCCACCGCACTCCAGCCTGGGCAACAGAGCAAGACTCCACCTCAAAAAAAAAATAAATAAATAAATAAAAGAAAGAAAATATATCAAAATTTAGAGGTACAGATAAAGCATTACTTATTAAAGAAATTAATAAGTTTCAGTGCTTTTAGTAGAAGAAATAGAGATATAAAAGCAATGACCTAAAACTCCATGTTAAGAAGAAGCAAGGAGCAAAATGATGTAAAAATAAAGCCAAAGTAAGTAGACAGAAGGAAATATTTAAGATTACGAATAATAGAGAACATTAAGTTAAAAATTCTTTCTCTAAAAATAGCAACAAAATTATTAAACTCTTAGCTAACCCTATTAACACCAAAAAGGAGAGAATAAAATTGTCAATAACAGGAATGAAGTGATATCACTATAAAGCCTTAAGAAATTAAAAGAATAAGGGAATGCTAAAAACAGCTTTATGCCAATACATTTTAACACTTCAGAAGAAAAGAAAAAAAATTCTGTGAAAATTATAACTCGCCCCAAAACTAACACAAGGTAAAAATATAAAAATATTAATAGTTTTTATCTATTAAAATATGTGAATTCTTAAACAAAAACCTTCCCACGGATTTTTTTTTTTGGCTGGGAAATTCAAGCTTTTAATGGGGAAAATAATTCTTATGCAAACTCTTTTAGAAAATAGAAAAGAAAAAATCACCTTTGAAATTATTTTATGAAGTAATCATTAACCCCAATAGTAAAGCCTCAAAAAAAAAAAAAAAAATTAAAAAGTACCAAAGTCCTTAAATGATTATAAAGGACCAAAGTACTTCATAAACAGAGATACAAACCTCCTTAATAAAATTTTAGAAAATCAGTCTAGTGACATATAAATGATAATACATCATGATTATCTGGGATTTATCCAGAAATGAAGTTTGGCTAAATATGAAAAATTACTGTAATTTTGACATAATAAAAGAGAAAAAATTCTATGTAATTATTTCAATCTATGCAGAAAAAGTATGTAGCAAAATGCAGTGCCTATTCACGATTAAAAACTGACAACAAATTAGGAATATAGGGAACATTCTCAACCCAACAAAGACATTGTTAAAAAAACCTCCAGTGCAATACATTAATACAAAGAAGAAAAACAGCACAATGTTGGGAAACAAAATAGTGAAACTGTTCTATACTCAGGTAATACGTACGTAGAAAATTATATTTTTAAAACATCTTAAACTAGTAAGTGAATTTAGAAAGGTTGTAGAATATTAGGTAAATATTTTGAATAATTGTATTTTATATACTGACAGCAAACAATTGGAGAATGTAATTTAGATAAACAACTTTAGTTGGGCACAGTGGCTTATGCCTATAATTCCAGCACTTTGGGAAGCTAAAGCAGGAGGATCTTTTGAGGCCACAATTTCAAGACCAGCCTGGGCAACATAGCAAGACCCTATCTAAAAAATAAAAAAAGAACAATTTTACTTTTTACTTACAATAGTAAAACATTCTGGGGAATAAATTTAGCAATAGCACATTCTATGCTAAAAATACAAAATGTTGCCATTGCACAAAAAAAAAAAAAAAAAAAAAAAATAAGTAAAGACCCAAACAAATGTACTCTGTTCATGGATCACAAGACTCAATGTTTTTAGAAGCCAATTTTCCCCAAACTGATGAAAGGATTCAATCCCACCAGAATCTCTTTGTAGAGTTTCATAAACTAATATAAGATTTATATGAAACCGCAAAGTGTTATGGTATCCAAAGTGATTTTGAAAATTATGAACAAATTTAGAGGATTTACATACATGATTTCAATAATTATTATGAAGTTTTTTCAATAAATAGTGCAAGATACAAAGTGCAAGTAAAAAAGCTCCTCAATGCTACTATGTAACACATAGGAATTAAAAATAACATTGGAGATATAAAAGTTAAAGCTAAAACTATAAAGCTTCTAGTAGAAAGTAAAACAAACAAAAATGATAGACTTTACCAAACTTGAAAATTCCTCGTTGTCAAAAGATGTTATTAAAAAATGAGTAGGCAAGTCATAGAATAAGAGAAAATACTTATAAAACACATAATGATGAAGGCCTTGTAACAAGAATATGTAAAGAACTCCTACAATTCATAACAAAAAGGCAAGTCAATATACTTTACCACTTCACAAAGGAAAATTTACAAATAGCCAATAAGCCTATGAAAAACTGTGCTTAACATTAGTATTCATTAAGACAAAAAATATTAAAATATCATAGGATACCTTTATGCATCCAACAGAATGGAGAGAAAAAGAAAGTTGGCTATACCACATGCTGGAGAGAATGGGAGACAACTAGAACTCTCCCACATGTATTCTGTTGTGAGTATTCAAGAGAAATGAATGCGTATGTCCACAAAAAGACTTTTACATGAGCATGCATAGCAGCTTTATTCATAATAGCCTAAAACTGGACATAGCCCATGTATCCATCAAAAAGAGAATGGCTGAAATGTGGCATATTTGTACAATAGAATCCTATTGAGCAATAAAAGGAACAAATTACAGATATGCACAACAGCATAGATAAAAGAGAATAAAAGAAGCCTTATACAAAAGAGTGCACAATTTTCAATTCCATTTAATGAATTTCTAGAACAGGGGAAATGAATATATGGTGAAAATATCGAAATAGTTACTGCCTCAGGTTATGGAGGAGGAGAGTTGCACAGTGACCGTGAAGGGGCATAAGAAAACTTTCTGAGGTAATGGCAATATTCTATGTCTTTATAGTGGTTTAGTTACACTGATGTATACATTTGTCAAAACTGATCTAACTGAACTTATGATCTATGTACTTCACTACATACAAATTTTGCCGAGTTTAAAAAAAACTTTGAACAAATACTGAACTCTAGCTAATGGTATGCATGCTTAATATTTGGCAACAAAGTATACTGATGTTTACAACTTATTTCAAAATGCATCAAAAAAATAAATTAATGGATTGATGGAGGCCTGGAAACATGGATAGATATGTGATAAGCAAATATGAAAAAAATGCTAATTGTAGAATTAGGTGGTAGGCATATGGGTGTTCACTGTCAATTCCTTTAATTGAAAAATTCATAATAAAATACTAGGAAGGCAGGAATAAATGCACCATACTTAGAGAAACAATTATAAGCACATTCTCATGGCCGTTCTAAGCTAAAAGTGTCTGAGGTTACACAAACTAGTTGAGAAGAATGAAACCTTAAGGTCAATTCACAGTGTAATATTCTGGGATTTGCTTGTTTGGTAACTGTACTTTCCTCCTACCAACATCCTTTTGCATTTCATTGTATATAAACACTGTATTCTCTACAATGGATGATCTTGTCTCCTTAGACTAAGAGGCAATATTTTCTTATAAATATTCCTGTTATGCCCTGTCTTTCCAGAGAACAGAATCAAGATTCTAAGTAGGTGAATAAAACCACATACTATATACAATATTAAATAATATATAATACACAATAACAATTCATGAGAGCACATGGCCATAAAATATAGTATTTTCAAATTTATATGTATATTTAAAATGCTTTTAAAATTTAGTTTTATTTTAACTATATTTTAAATATGGTTCATTTTAAATATAATATTTTAATATATATTTAAATATTTTAAATATTGTATTTAAATTATATATCATTTAAATATAGTATTTTAAATATATATTTATTTATAAATGTATACATATTTAAAGATACATGTAATATATAATTTAAATACTTGAGTATGTATAAATATATATTTCTATATAATTATATATAAATTTAAAAATTTATATGTAAACTAAGTTTACTTAAAAATGCATAAGTAAACTAAGTAATCTGTAATTGAAATTAGTACAACCAAAATCAGTTTACAAACTATTAAGATTTTTTATTTTTTTGAGTTTTTATTTGATTATATAATCACATATTAATACATAATCATTTAACTCATTAACTATTTTCTGTTTTCTTCAATAATCATTGAAGTGGCCTCATCCATATGCCCAACCTTATCCAATGGGAGACATCATGACTCCTATCCTCACCACTCTGCTCTGTCTAGGTGAGACTTAAAGAGGAAGAGGAAAGACACTAGTCTGAGAGGAACTCCATCCCTAGCCAGAGCCTGGTCCATTAATGACCCCAGAGACTCAGGAGTTCCCTGTGTATATTCAAATATGTGTGCTCTTATAAAGAAATTGTTGCTGGGCTTCCAAGCATAACTATTAACAAATGTGCCTGAGAAGGAGAAAAAAGACATTTTAACCAAAACTTCTAACTATACCATTTGAAATTTCAAATAATGATTGTATTTCTATGAATATTTTCAAGCTTATTAGCCACACAATATATAAGTATAAACTTTTCTGCCATGTGTCATATTCTTAAACAGTAATATTTTAAAGACAAAAACACTGTACAAATTTTGCCGTACTCTATTCATGATAATCAGCAATTTTTAAATTCGTAAACAAAAAGATCTTGCCTTACTTCCAACAGATAAGTGAATAATCATTAGAAAAATTTTCATTATTACCTAACTCAATACTTGCTGTCAGATCTTGAAATCATTTTAGAGAAAACAAAGCATAAATAGCATAAATCATACTATTTTCTTAATATTAAATAAATTATTGAAATCTTTGAAAAAGGAGATAAAGCATAAAATATAATATTTTCATAATAAAAGAGGCAGGGTAAGAAGAACGAACTAGTTCAGTTTCTTTAACTGAAGATTTTTTATAATAAATACTCTAAGGGGAAAACATCCTAATTGCCTAAAATCAGGTTCAAAAAATTTTTTTTTAATTTTAATAGAAATTAGTTTTATGCATGTTGAAATCTTATGAAATAAAACGGAAGAAAGGTACTTAAATACACACATTACATTGTTTATCTTCTTCAGTCATTACCTTAAGCAAATAGGTGAAAAGAGAATTGACTATGGTTTAGAATGACTTAATAGCTACAGCGATTAATCCAGCTGAGTAAGCAGGCATACAGTTTTCAGCAATTAGTTTTCACCATTATATTTTCACCATGCCTGGAAGAAAATGTGTCTCTCCTTAGATTTCACTAGGAATGCTATTTGATTATTCCGTTTAGTAGCTTTTCTATCATGAGCCATTTTTAAAGATAAGTATTTTCTGGTTTTTAACATACTTACTGAATGAATATAAATTAGTATCTCATATTAGGGAAAAAGAGATGCCTCTTTTCAAGGGTGAGGGGCAGGGGGAAGTTTGACAAAAACAAATTAAAAATCTGTACCTAGGCATCTGGTTTCAGATTCACTCCAAAGACCTGAGGAAAGGCATTCCCTTACAGCAGAGCCCACAAGCATGAATCCCAAGTCGCAGGTAAAGATAGCTGTTGAGCCATATGAAGTTTGAGTTCCAATCTTATTTCCATTTGGAGGTGTAGGTAGTTCTCCACAGGAAATAACTTTAAAATGATAAATAAATAAAAATCCTTAAAGATATAGTCAAGCTGCACTTGTAACAAAACTGTGCTTTGAACATTTTGAGCTTCCTATGATTTGATGTATTTACAAAGGAAATTGGCATTTGTAAAACATGTTTGAATGAGTGTGAAAGTAGGGAGAAAAGAGATGACATAACGTAAAATGTACCCTCTTTAAGTCCCCATAGAACCTTCTAAGTAACAGAGACATAAAGTTCTTTTTTTTTCATTTTTTTTTTTTTTGCATTTTTCGCTTAGTCAACCTGGCTATAGTGGATGAAAAACATCACAAGTTTAAAGAGATGATAATTCATTAATCCAAAATCTTTCTCTGCTTTATCAAGTAACTTTGGGCAAGCCCTTTGACTTACCTGAGCCAAAGTTTCTTCATATCTAAACCAACATTAAAATAATAATTACAATATAATTTTTGTCAAGAACTCTATCGTTTGAGTTTTACATGTAAAATATTTGATTTTCATGAGATCCATTAGATATAATTCATCTGTTTTTTCTAAGTTTTAAAAAATTGAAGAAAATAAATTTAACTGGCTTGCTGGGTCATATAGCATCTCTTATGACTTCTTCATATTTGAAGACCACAAATGAACTGTCATTCTAGCATAAAAACAATAACAGATCATGTTCATTGGGCTTGTATTATGTACTAGGTGCTATAGTGTTTTCATTTATGTAATGCTCAAAACAACTCTCTAGGTTTTCAGTCTTAAGTTTTAGATAGCTGTCAGGTAGAGAAATAGAAAACTTTCAAACTTGCAAGAGTTGCATATCAAATTTAAAATGTACTGATGATTTTGAGCTCATCCCCCCAAAAAAAATCATTTGAGGTCGCTATTAATATTATTGATATACTAATATTATTATTAATTCTAATATTTATATTATTTTCATTTAAAAGATGATTAAATGGAGGACCAGAAAAAAAATACTATTTTTTTCTTTTTCTCAATTAATTGCAATTCCTAAATTCCTTGCCATTCCCTCATTCTTACCTGTAGGCAGTAACCCAACCTTATTCATCCTTTAAACAATTCTACATAGTAAAGAATCTAACACAATGGAATCAAACATTTGTTGAAAACCTGATTAAATGAGTGTTTCTGTTGTAGATAATAATTACCTAGCTCTTTGAAATATTCCTATCCATGTGCCCTTTAAAAACAAATTATTCTTTTTAAACAATAATTTGGAAAAAACAAGGAGTCTGCAGTCAGAGAAAAATCCTGGGAAAAAAACTTGGAGGACTAGTACAAAAATTTAGAAATACAGGCTGTGCGCAGTGGCTCATGCCTATAATCTCACCACTTTGGGAGGTTGAGGAGGGCAGATCACTTAAGGTCAGGAGTTCCAGACCAGCCTGGCCAACATGGTGAAACCCCAACTCTACCTAAAATACAGAAAAAAATTAGCCAGGCGTGGTGGCAGGCACCTGCAATCACAGCTACTGCAGAGACTGACAGAATTGTTTGAACCTGGGAGGCAGAGGTTGCAGTGAGCTGAGATCGCGCCACTGCACTCCAGCCTGGCAGACAGAGCAAGACTCTTTCTCAAAAAACAAACAAACAAACAAACAAAAACAACAAAAAAAAATACAGATGATGGCACATTTTTACAATATTAAATATAATTTAGAAATATATTTTTAATACTTTAATTCATTAATGTGATTATCTTGGAACACAGGGCAACCGAAAAATTCTATACTGATATAGAGATTCAAAAAATAAATTTCAAATCAGTGAATATTCATAAATAAAATAATATCAGATACTTGTGTACTTATTACACATAAGATAGTTGTCTGCTACGTTAAACTTCTTAATCATAATAACCCTAGGTAGACCTTTGATCTCTTTATTAGTTTGTCTATAAATCATGGGTCTCTATGCAATATATACCATAGAGTTGTGTTGGACGCTAATTAAAAGACTGAATTTTCGCCTAGCATATTTCCTGAAACAAAACAGACAATAAATGAATGTAAGAAAGGGAGTTCAAGATATTTCACCTGAATATCCTATGTTCTGTTAGCTTATGTATATTAGATACTGGCCATTTATATTATAAAAATGTATGGAAATAAAACGCCTTAACTGCTCAATTTGGTTCAATAATATTTATTGAGGATGTGGTTATAGCTGGTATTTCAATTGTGTCATACCATTAAATGTTTGCAGTAACTCTACATGACAGGTGTTATAATTTTCTAGTTTTAAGATTTTCTAGTTTTAGAATTTGGAATCAGAGAGAATAAACATGATATAACATGATAAAAAGTCAAGGGTTTTAGTCAGGCTACTTGGTCAAATATCATTTCTCTATCATTTATAGGCTCTCTGACTTTAATAGAATGATTACATCTGGGGCAAAGGTTTTTTTTTTTTTTTAACCAAATGAGTATAAAACATATAAAGGACTAAAAGCAGTGTCTGTCAAGTAGTAAGTAATCATTACTTCATTGTTAAAGTAGGTAATAGATCAACAATTCAAACACTAGATTTCTTAATCCAAAGCCCATGTTTTTCTATTTGCTAGAAAAGCATTTACTAATACATAGAAACATAGTTAGAAAATTTAAAAACGTAACGAGAATAAATGACCATATTAGTAATGTCATCCAATTATTGATCTAATGTGTTTATGAAAGGAACTGATTCAAACAATTCGATAACCAAACATAGCTTATGAAATAAGTTTAGCAGAGTGTATACTTACTTTGGCAATATGGTCTTTCATTTCTCCAACTCCAAGTACCATTAGGAAGACATTCGATGGAGGCAGGACCTAGTCCATGATAACCAGGGTCACAGCTGAAAACTACTTTGGTTTTGTATTCATAATGGGAGCCATTCACAATTCGCCATCTTCCATGTTCCAAGATAAAGGAATTGATGCTTGGACATGTAACAACTATACAAAAACCAAAGGGTGTAATTGCTAACAAATCACTATATCTCAACGTCTATTCCATTCTTTACATCTCCACTGACCTAATTCACTTACTCTTGCACTATACAAGGTCCTTTAGCATTTGTTCTTTATTTCTTTTGCATGTTGATATTTTCCATTCCCCTAGCTATATGGTATTGCTGGCAGTCTGGAACACACTCAATGGTTTCACAATTCAATCTTGTACTTATTATTCTACCTACTTAGAATCCCAGTTGTTGGCTTACCTCTACTCCCTTATTTCTTTATAAGTTTAGAAAAGACTATATTTTGAGGAAATTTTTTTGATGTGAATGGCCTTTTTGTGCAGGAGTAGTGATATCAACTTTAGCTAATTCAAAACTTTTTCAAGGTAAGTAGAAGCCTTATTAGAAACCTATGCTGAGAGTGCGAACAACTTAACAATCTTCATTTTAAATGAAATCACAACTAAGTGGAAATGCTAGTACTAAATGGGAAAAAATAATCGAAATATAGAGAAAATTCAAGAGTTTATTCACATCAATATTTTCTATTTTTTGCTACCAAATCTTTACCAGAATTAATGTCTTATCATTATGTAAACTTATTTACCTAGTGAAGTAATAGTGACAGCAATAGGAACTCTTCTAAGTGTAAGTAAACAGAAGAATATCAACAAAAGTTTAAAGTTATGGATAATTTTTGCAACATTATTTATCCTTATAAAATCAGAGTGAAATATGTCAAAATATAATTTTATTAACACAGTCTTTAAAAATTTTCTCAAGGGGCCATGTACTGAAAACACATGTTGACTAAAGGATGACTTTTTACAAAATAAAACATCATTGTATAAAATAAAAGTGCCTTTTTTGACATAAATATTCTGAGGTTTTCAAAAATGATGGAAAAGACCTTGTACTGTCTTCTAGTACTTCATTGTACAAGATAGCTTACTTAACTTTTATTTCTGACTTAGACATCACATTTCAGTTTAGGGATTGGTTTTTATAATTCTAAAATACATAAAATTTCAGGTATATAAAATACCAAGAGAAAAACAAGTGATGAAATTCCCTTGACACACATACCAACACAGCGAGGGGTCTTGTTATGATTGCTCCATGTTCCATCTGATTGGCATACAGCTGTAGTGAGTTCTTTGGATGACAATCGATATCCATCATTACAAAAATAGGTAACTCGCGTTCCTACCAAATAGTCTGTTGTTAGTATTCCTCCATTTGTTGGAGCTTTAGGAATCCCACAGGAAATTGCTAGAAAAACATACACACAAGCAAAATCGTATAAACAGAAAAATGTTTAATTTATTAGGTAACTCTGCTGAACTGTAAAACATGCAAAACTAACGGGGATTTTTATCAATTCCTCTGAAACAATCTCAGAATCACAGAAATACTTTCCGAACCATAAATTTTGAATAATTTATTCCAAACCCTTATTTAGCAATGTTTATAAATTGATGAATCTATACATTGTTAATGCTTTATTTCTTGGTTTCTTACTTAATTTCTGGTGATCATGTGCATGGTTATCAGCATTTGTATGGATTATATGAGAATGCAAGTTAGGTAAAGAGTATCTCTAATGCAAGCCCATGACTGGACCATCATATAGCAAGTTTGATTAATTCAATTTGACAGATAAATATTAAATATTTTAAAGAGAGTGGCAACCAATATGAATCATAATTTTGGTCAGGAATAAATCAAATAGATTTATTTTACCTGAAAGCTGGCTATTTCTGTCTTAGCAGAAGCCACAATGTATGAGCTGGGGCACCATCCACAAAGTATTGTGTATATTGGATATGTTTAATAAATACAAGGCCAGGACTTACTGTCTTAAAAACCTAGTTAGGATCTTCCTGAATTTCACTGATGTGTCTTAGATGTCTTGATTTTTATCTACAATACATTTGATTTAGGTGAAAATTAGTTTTACTATGATGTGATAATAATGTAAAATGTTATATTTGCCTAGTTTGTTGTATATATTTTATACTTTACAATTTTAAAAGGCTACAGAAAAATCCCCTAAAATTGATTTTTTACCATTTTTGCCCTATTAAGTACACAATTGGCACTTAGAAACAGAAAAAAAAAAACACATAATCTTTCAAATAACATGTACATAATCTTTCAAAGTATATATTTGGTAGCAATACTCAATTAAAGTCAGGTTTTTTGTTTTTTGTTTTTTTTTGAGACAGGAGTCTCAATCTGCCGCCTGGCTGGAGTGCGGTGGCACTATCTGGGATCACTGCAACCTCTACCTTCTAGGCTCAAGTGATCCTCACACCTCAGCACCCTAGTAGCTGGGACTACAGGTGCGTACCACCATACTTGGCCAATTGTTTGTTTGAGACACAGTACTACTCTTTTTCCCAGGCTGGAGTCAGTGGCAGGATCTTGGCTCACTGCAGCCTCTACCTCCTGGGCTCAAGCAGTCCTCCTACCTTCAGCCTCCTGAGTATCTGGGACTACAGGCACGCATCACCAGGTCCGGCTAATATTTGTATTTTTTTGTAGACACGGGTTTTCGTCATGTTGGCCAGGCTGGTCTCAAACTCCTAGGCTCAAGCAGTCCAGTGGCCTCTACCTTCCAAAGTACTGGGATTACAGGCGTGAACCACTGCATCTGGCCCTATGTGTATCTTTATATATCACTCTCAGAGTAAATATTTATACATATCTCCACATAAGGACTAACGTATTTGAATATGAGTGTCATTCCAGAACCAACTGGAGTTATGTAATAACTGATAGATATATGTAGTGCATTATTGTTATAAAATGAGAAAGCTTCTGTATTATGAAAGATATCTAGCTTACACGTTTCATACAAAGAATTACAGATTTATATTTTCTCTCATAACAGAAGAAATAAACTACAGAAAGATGAGTTTAGTTTAAATATTATAAATGCTATGTACTATTCACCCATCTTCCATTTCGACCAAAAATTGTTTCCACTTCTCTTATAAAATCTACCATTTGCTGCTTAATTTTCATTAACCCACGTAAATTAAATATAAAATGAAAAACCTTAGTGAAATCTTTACAAAACTGTCAAAACTGAATGGCAGAATCCCTACTGCTGAATAATTGATCTTCTGTAATTTGGTAACCTGTAAATTATGAACAGAAAAGCTGTAACACTGACTTAAAATACATATGCAATCTCACATAATTATGTTATTATCCCTGCTTTCTAATTACAGAACCTCTAAAATAGTGTTGAAAAGTAAATGGTTCCCTGATGTCTGATAAAGCAATGTTTATATTTTCACTTAGAACTTTTGGGAATTTCAAGTTGTTATATGCCATCTCCCTCCCAAAGATCATGTATTTACTGATTTTTAAAAATTAACTATTCATTGTTGGTGTAGTATAGATTGAATCTAGGTCAAAGTAAAAAGAGATGTAGTTAAATAGTATAGATTCCACATATATGTTTAGTAAAATGTGGTTCTATTTTAGAACTAAAAAGAGACAACGTACCAGAATAATGGGACAATTCCTGTGCCTATGGATAGTTAACAATTTAACTTCTCCGCTAATTTTTTTAAAAAGAAGAAAAGAAAGAAAATAAATCCAGTTCAGAAGAAAAGTCATCATAATTGAGTGGTTGTAAAAGAGGCTTGTCTATACAACTCTCAGGAAATCACAAATTAAAAGTGAGACGGAATACAAAGTGAGTTTCCACGTAACACTACATAATATTTAATTATATTCATGAGGATTGTTCAATTTTTGAGGGGGGGATCAATAGTTATGTGATGAGAACAAAAATAAATAAAACACCTGACCAAACCCAAATAGATATAGCTGACTAATTTTCTATGTTTATCCTCATGTTGTGTAACTTTATAGCTCAAGTAAATGTATGTCAGGATGTATAAGAAGACCTAAGAGGTAAGAGAAAGAAAAATGACTGAAAAATGCAAAACAAGTTGAAATAAAAGGTGCATTATGCAAATAGCTCTTCCAAATGACATACAAACATTTCATTTCAATTAGTAATGTCCAAATAGAGGTCATATCCTGTAAGCATTTTTTCTTAATCTTTTTTAACAATTAGAAAAGATCAATTTTTGGAAATGGCTACATGATTTACATATATTTTATCATTTTACTTCACCAAATATCTCATTTTTAAACTATATTTCAACTTTCTTATTTGAATTTAAAACAATTTTAAATTAAGGACATTGAAAAAATGACTCCATATGTAAATTACATGGAATATATTCAATGAAATTGTAGCACTAATTCTACAAAGCAATTTCAAAATTTCAGAAAGCATGCGGTATTTTTATTTTACATGATAGTCAATTATTCTCACAAAATGTTTCTTAAGGATTATATATGTATACCATATAGGAGTGTGTATGTGTATGTGTGTATATAAATATAAATAAAAGCAATCATTATGTAACTAAAATACAAAAGTTTAAAATTAAAAACAATTAAAATTCAGAGCATGTTAATGGTTATTTAAAATATATATATTATAAGCTTATTTTATATCTTTTAATTCTATTATGAAATTTGACATCAAAGATTCTTTCCCAAATTAATTCTGGGAAATCAGTTAATACTAAGAACTGTAAATACTCCTGCTATTCATTGGTCGAAGGAAAGCAGCTGTTTTAATACTTTATTAAAATGTATCTATTCTGCATGAAGTAAATGCCTTCAGTGTTGATAACCCATTAAGGTAATGGTGCTTCCCAGAATCCTAATAAGTGATTAATGTTTCCTTGCATCAATACAACAAGAAACAATAATTCTTTCATTTTGCATTTGTTTACATATGCCTTTGAAAGCTATCCTTTTATGAATTATAAATTGCACTCTAATAGGTAAAAGAAGCCATTTCAAGTGCCTGGTAATACCTATTCTTTAGCTAATTTTAACTTATTATTGGTTGATTTTAAATTTTAATTACCTATCTTACATTTTGTTTTTTATAAATGCCCACCAAAAAATAGGTAATAAGTAAGACTTCTTGTTTATTAACCTAGAGTATCCTGCATTTTTTCATGTGAGAATTCAAAGTTGCTATCTGCATCTTTACATGCTGAGTAGAGTTAAACAAAATACAAAATTAATTTTCATCTTGATAAAATAATATAATGAATTAAGTATTTTAAAATTTTCAAAGTCCAATGACATTAGCTTTTCTGCGTAGCTGATGTTGAGCTTGTCTTTATGACTATGACTACACTTACGTAAGAGACTCAACTACTATTTAAAACAAGTCTTTTTGTTTTGTTTTGTTTTGTTTTGTTTTTTGAGATGGAGTTTCGTTATTGTTGCCCAAGCTGGAGTGCAGTGTTGCAATCTCAGCTCACTGCAACCTCCGCCTCCCGGGTTCAAGTCATTCTCCGGCCTCAGCCTCCCATAAAAACAAGTCTTAATCAAAAACTCTAAAACATGCAATTTTTTGATTAACAAGCTTGTTATTCTTTTTGCAGCATGATATAATGCTCAGTGCCTCGACTTTTGACAAAATACAAAGAAAAATAAAAAACATATCTTTGATATCTCTGTTGTGTTATCTGTACCACTGAAGAAAAAAAATATCCAGGTGGTGGGTTACATTTTTCTCTTAAATTTGTTGCTGTGAGTGCAAATTTTGGATGCTAAGAGTGAAACTCAGTCTTCAGTGTACTTGCCCATTCTTATTCTCTATTACCTCTCTGCAGACTTCATACTAACTCAGTCTTCCTCTCTTTCAATAATTGTCTTAAAACAAAGTAACTGGAATGGAGGATGTATGAATAAAGTATGTATACAAGGGGAAAAAGTCAAGGCATATAAGTTGCATAACAATAATGAATAATTATAAAACAGTATGTTTCTTTCCCCTGGAATTTATCATTCTGCAATGTTATGCCTTGTTTTTATGAAAAGAGTTCACAATATGCTTCCGAATATTTCCATTCTCAGAAAAGTTAGTGATCCAAATAAAAACGTTAAATGGTGCTAATCTCACATTCATGTTTTTGTTCATTTTGGCATAATATACTTCACCTTGACAGGCAGGGACTGGCGCATCCCATGCATGATACCCATAGGAAGACTTTCTGCACACAGCACTGCTTTTTCCAACAAGTCGGAATCCTCGATCACAGGCCCAACGGACCACACTGTTAAGCTGCCCACCTGTCTGACTGATAATATATCCATGAGGTGGGGATTCTGGTGTACTACAGTAGAAAGCTTTTCAAAAGAAAAAAAAAATGCTGTTTAATTAATGAATCAGAAGTTATTACCCAAAGTGATAAACACCTATACAGCGACTAGTGCTTAAAAGTAGGTCAGTGGTCATCTATGTAAATTTTACTTCATATGAACAACATATTGTGCTCTTTCCTCTTTTGAAAATGATCTACTGACACAACTTTTGGGAGACATAACTAACTCTGAGCTTTCTTCCAATTTATATTGTCACCGAAAATGTCTTCTGAATTGAAATGTATTTTCTTAACACCCTGGAGGTTCAGAAGCCCAACAAATATCTAACTGAATTTTGGAAACCGCATTTCCTGTCATTTGAGGGACCTATATGCCACAGCCTTGGTAGCAATATTTTAGAGCATGTCGTTTACATGTCACTTTGAAGTTATATCCAGACACCTCTACCATGTTAGGTCATACATTTCATTTTGGTTGATGTCTAAAATAAGCCCCCACATTCCATAATCCTCTTTCCCAGTCTATTAAAGTGTGCCCATTCTGTCAAGAGCGTTTACATATTATGATACAAATTGCCAATAAAATAAAAAAGTTTTTTCATCTCCTGATGTTTGAAATGCCAACAGATACTGTCAAATAGCTTTTTCATATGTACTTTTGAGAATATTCAGCATGGCAGGTCCCATTTACCTTCTGAAACTTTAATGAATTCATCTGAGAAAAATGGGGCTTTGGGGGTAAATAGTAAGAAACAAATTGGACTTAGGATATATATGTCATAACCTGTCATTTCTAAAGGCAAAAATACATATTTAATATGTCAAGCTGTTCTTGAGGGCTAAAAGTGGTATTTTCATTATATTAATATCCAACTTTGTCATAAATAATAAGAACAAGGATTGGTCTATAATACAGTCAATCTAATACTTACAATTGTTTAATTTGAATAGTTTCCTTTTATGTTATCATGTATCATGAATTTAATGTGCTGACTTTTAAATGCCCTATTTGGGCAACACTTTAATAAAAAGATATTTACATTGTTTATATTATAGAAACATAAGCTCAAGTATGAAAATTCTTCAAGATGACTGGGTGTATCATATAGTTCAGTTTTTTGGTTTTTTTTGAGAAGAAGTTTCGCTCTTGTTGCCCAGGCTGGAGTCCAATGGCGCTACCTTGGCTCATTGCAACGCCCACCTCCCGGGTTCAAGTGATTCTCCTGCCCCAGCCTCCCGAGTAGGTAGGATTACAGGTGCCCACCACCATGCCCAGCTAAGTTTTTGTATTTTTAGTAGAGAGGGGGTGTCACTATGTTGGCTAGGCTGGTCTCGAACTCCTGACCTCAGGCAATCCACTCGCCTCAGCCTCCCAAAGTGCTGGGATTACAGGTGTGAGCCACCGCGCCTGGCCATGTTTCAGTTTTTTAAAACACGTCTACTTTGATTGCATAATAAATTATTTTTGATTTAATAGAAACATTGTAGGATACAATTATGTACATAGTAGTAATATGCTGTCAGTCACAAGTTATTCTAATATGTAAAATACAAATTATTAATTAGTTAAAATCAAACTATCATCTCAGAGTTTTAAAATCAAGGGAATTAAACAGAATTATTCTATTCATACATTTTATATGTAGTTGTAAATTTGTATAAATGAGTAAAATTCAAGAGTATACTTTTTAGAACTGAAATTCAAAATGTATCTGTCTATGCCCGGAATCATAGTGTCAGAGTTTATAAAACATTTATAAAAGGAATTTTCGGTTGAATTGATTACCAATGACACATGATTTGGGAAGCATGGTGTGAACACTGTATAGAAAGAGACAGCTGGCTGATTCTGAGGGATTCTGCTATTGAGCACATATCCATGGCCTCTGACATGATTTAGAATGGTCTCTGACGTGATTTAGAATGGTCTCTGACATGATTTAGAAGGGCAGTAAAGAAAAGGAACATAACCTTCACATAATAGAGGACTATTTATGTACATTTACTCAACAAGAAAATTATTGGTTCAGTATCAGTAGACCCTATAAACAGGAAGACATAATAGAAAAATCTATGTCATCTTGCTATTAACAAGAATTTCCAGCCTACATCTTTCTAAGCATCACGCAAGGAAAAGCAGTAGCGACAAAACGCTTCCGTTTTTAAAAACGGAAGGTTTGTAAATGATGTGTTACTCTCTCTTTCGACATTTAAGATATTTTAGCAAGTATCACAAATAGATGGATAAAAATTAAAACAAAGATTTTGACCTCTGTATGTTTATCCTTTGTTTTAACTTGTCATTTAAAGGAGTTCTTAAATAGGTCAGATAACACACAGCTGAGCAACACTATTAATATTTTTTGTCAGTTCAAAGAAAACAAATCTATTTTTTAAAGTATTAAAAATCACAGTTTAATTTATAACTGACATATAAGTCATAAATATCCTAAATGCTTTTTTAGGATTTTTTAGTCATAAATATCCTAAAATGCTTTTAGGACATATAGGATAATTTATAACTGACATATAAGTCATAAATATCCTAAATGCTTTTTTAGGATATTTTACAAAATCATATGAGGGATGTAGAATTATTATCATTACAATAGGAAATAGAGAGGTTACATAAATTGTCCAGGAACCATCAATGGAGGAGCTGTGATTTGAATTCATGTCTAACTGAATAGTGTCTCTGCTCCTTAATCATAATCATACCGAAGATGATAGTGAGATCTGTCCTGAAGTTATAAGTTTTACATACCTATATATCTTATCCGGAAGCCTTTTTTGTTATTGCCATGATCTGCTGACCACTGAAGAAATACTTCATGACCATTGCTTGTTATATTAAAAGCAGATGAATAATCCCCACTGAGGGAAATAAGCACTGGACTTTGAATATTTGGTCCTTTGGGAAGAAAATAAAACAATTTAGATAAAGCTAATTATATTCTCATTTGTCTTTAGTATTTTATATCTTTAGAATAGTATTAAATATGGTTAAATTGCTTCACCACCAATCTACCTCATTAACAATAATTGAAAACATAAAATGTTTGTTTTAAGCATTTTAATTCTATAGCTAAATGATGTATAATTTGTAAAATAATAGTGGAGCTAACTATAATTTTCATATGGTATAGGAGTGAATTTAATGTTGGTACTTCTAAAAATATCTGTAAGATAAACTCACATAAGCAGCTGTTTATACTCAAAGTTTACATGTATAATTAGAACATTTGTACTTAATTGATGAATATCCAATAAATATAACCCTTGGTTACCATCATACACCTGAAGAACATCAAATTCCTTTTCTGTCTGGAAGAATTCTACAAACATGGTGATATTATAACCCTTTTCCACTGAAATGCTCCATGCACACATTTGAAGATTTGGGTAACTGTCAGGATATCCAGGGCTCAATATGACTCCAGTAGAATCTAGCCGTAATTCATTGGCAGGACAGAGCACTGTCAAAGAAAAATGTCATTAAATAATGCCAGTCTTTTAGAGCCTCAGTGAAAACTGTATTTTAGATACTGAGTATTCTGCTTTCATGTTCAATAGCTATAAGGATGATACGTTGAATTATTTGTTAGAAGAGACAAGTTGTATTAAACTTATGATTCAAAAGCTGGAGGAATGACCTAAAAATTTATAGTATTGATTTATTTTTTATTACATGGAAGATGCACCACTTTCTGGACATAAATAAATACATAAATAAAATATAAGCCATTTAATGCCTCCTCTTTCTTCACATTTTTCCCAACCTCTCCTAATCTTTTGTTCTCCCACCTCTGCCTGTCTTATCTATGTCCTTGCTTTACCTCTTTCTTTCCTTACTTTTTAACTCACTCTCTTCTCTCTTAAACCTTCTACTCACTCAGGTGTGTGGGGTCAGATAGAAAACTGTCCTCTCTCAAAGTATTCATTTCAAGTAAAATCATTTCTGATATCAGGTATATGTTTACCATGAGGATTTAACACAGTTCTGAGTCACCAGTTGCCTTTCAGCTCTACACTATCTCCAGCCCATAAATGTAGCCCAAAGCACAAACTCTTTTTATTTAATAATATACCTCTGCTTTAATATAATATATGTATATATATCAACACACTATAAAAACACATAAAATGTGTTATACATTGACAAAAAACATAATTATGGTCTAACAGCCTGCAACATATAGCAAATTTTAGTTGTTGGCATCAATTGCATTCTGTATCAGACCAAAATTATGAACATCTACTTAAATTTGGATTTAGAATGAAGAATATGACTAAGTTGATCAATCCCTTTTTACTCAAATTATGCCATTTTAATCTCTTACAAAATTTTTTTGAAGTTCTGTGATGTGGAAAGAGTATTGGAATTATTTAGTATGGTCCATTGTGCAGAAGTAAACCAATATGCACCAAACAGGATTTGCTTCAATATAAGGAAGAACTTTCTATTTGTCAGAATAGTATAATGGCCATAGTAAAATGTCTTACGAACATAATTGCTAACCAGTTTTAAACTTAGACTGGACTATCTTTTGGGTGTTCTTACTGAGAACATTTAGGCAACTGAATGAATGGGTGAACTAGATAATTTTGATGATTTGGTTAATTAGAAATATATCCCATGCAATTTCCTAATTCATCTACTATACCTTAGCTTTCATTTTGGAGTTAAATAGCATTGTTTCTCAAAATAATTAGAGCAGCACTTTAAGAAGAATTCCTGTTTTTCAATGTTTATTTGAATGAGTTGGGATTGAAAACTACTAATGTAGTTGCTGGAATATAATAAATAGATGAAGAACTTATATATTCATAGTGTTCAGGGTACAAAGACAATTAAATATTTTTGAGTTATAAAGTCTCCAACAAGTATAGGAGTAGAAAAGAGTAACTAACATAGTGGATTATGGCAGCATATGATTTCTCTATAAACATGTTAATAACTTGAAAAGACTTCTTGAAAACTTGAAAACCGGCCAGAACTAACACATGGCTTTTTGAAAACTGACTATATAATAGAGTTTAAAATATAGTATAGCTAAAGCTAAGAGCTGTTTTCTACTTTTTTTGGATATTATTTCAGTTTCTTCTACTTCAACCTGGGATTTTCCTTCATGGATATAATTTTGAGATTAAAAATATTGCATAAATGGTATCAGGTCATTCTTTCTCCACCTAAAAAGAGAACTCTGACATTGATTTTCAAAAAATTTAAAAATACATAAAAAAGAAATAGATAAACCTGAAGATTGGAAATGATATGGAATATATGAGTCAAAGGCCAAAAAAAAGTAAGTATGTGGCTACGACATATTGAAATGACTGGTATGATCCAATATACTTTACTACAATACACAAATTAATCTATTCTCACATTATCTAACATATAGCAAGAAGCCTGACAGCCACCAAGAATAACAGTAAATATTTGTTGATTGTAACTTTATGTTAGGCACTGTTAAACACCATTGGTACATTATCTCCGTTATCACAACTTTAAAAACTGTGTATACTTTTTATCCCCATTGTACATATGAGAAAACTGATGGCCAGAAAGTTTAAAGTGCTCAAAATCTCCTAGATTCAGTTGCAGCCAATGTTTTTAAACCAGAAAATGTAAGCATCCATTAAATTTCATTTACAACAAACTCTTTACAGAAAACCATATCTGGAATTATTTTCCACATTTTAAGTGAGACACATAGAGCTACAGAGCATCTAGAGAAGAAGAGAGAAGAAAAATGATACTACTACTTTTTTAGGAAAAGTCAAAAAATTTTTTAAATGGACTAAAAACGATGTAGGTTAATTCTAGCCGATTCCAAACAAATGACTGTCTTAGCAAGCTTGTGTAATAAACTCAATTAAACAAAAATGTAAAGTTAGTTTTTTGGCTTAAATGCCTGGTGAAATAATTAATATAGAAACTCTACATAAACTCATTCTAAAGGATGATTTATTAACTTTATTAGCTAGTATCTGAAGTGTTATCAGGAGACAAAAATTTTCTATGTTTTCTGTATTCTCCACAGCAGACAGAATAAGTTCAATTACTAATCTACAGGAAATTCTGATTTGGGGAATAAGACATTGAAAGTCTGAGAGACAAAAAACTGTAAAATATCTAGCTTATCTGAATGTTATATTTACTTTAATTCGTAAAAAATTTTTTGAATTGGGATTCAGATATAAAAACAAGAAGCTTGCTCTCCAAGAGCTCACAATATAGTTTTTATTGGAGTCAAGACAGAAATGCTGTTATGTAATTGGCTCATTGACATATCCTGTGTCTGCTCAACTTTTTTTCCCATGTATAACCCCTCAAAGGTTGAGCCTCTGTCTTCTCTATTTGCATATCTAAATATCTGAACATGAAACCGACATAATCCTAAAGGTCTAGAGAGTAGCCTTACATGAAGGAAAAAGCTGAATGAATGACATCTAAATGTCTGGAATATGTAAGTGATAGACTTCAGAATTCTCAACCAACTTCAAGATGTCCTAATAGCAGTAAGACCATGAGAAATTCTCACATTGGCTCCAATTTATACCCCCACACCCACTTTCCTGCTTTTCTTTTTGCTACCATCAAAGCCTCCTGCAATCTTTTTATCTTCTTGAAAGGCTTTCAATTTTATAGTATGCTTAAAACCCCATAATAATCAGAAGTTACTTTAGACTTGTTATAGCAGCTAAGATACTGCACAAGAAACAGATTTCCAAACGAAACCTAAAGAAGGAATTAATCCAAAAAAGCTAGAAAGAATAATAAAATACAACTCAATTGTATTCAACTTAATCAACATTTATGATAATTGTGTGTTAGGCACTGTTCTGGGCCTAGGGGCTACACAAATGAACAATAAATGTTTTTTGAACATCACAGCTTAGCACATCATTCAAGGTCTATCTTTGCCTTGCTCTTGTAACATAGCGAATCCTTGAAGTCCATGCCCTGTTGTTTTTCACTTCTCTATCTTTGCATATATATCTGCCACTTAGACCACCCTCTCTCTAGCTCTGTTCTACCAGAATAAGACTCATTGTCATTTGGAATTGTGTTTCATGACTCAGGAAACAATGCTTCCATCAAGCTTTCCCTACCCCACAACCGGTTAAAAATTATATGAATCTACAGCTTCCTGGTCTCTTTCCCTAAACACTGTACAGCTATCCCCTGTATGACTGCCATATCCCTTTTCCATGATGCTTCCACAGCGAGGGCCACTTAAAATTTATTTTTTGTTACTCTGCTTGTTTGTTTTTTCCTTAGATCCTCATTGTGTAACAGGTACTCAACAAAGTTTAATGAGTCTAGTGGTTAGATAAGAAGCTCTATCTAAGTAAAAGCAATTAACATTGAAACCTTTATTTAAAGTGATTTCCCTTTCTCTCCACCTCCATTCCCATCCCTAAGAGCAAAATAATTGAAGTAAGTTGAACGGACTTCATGCTAAACCAGAAAAATTTACCCTTGAAAGAATCAAAGATGTTTAAAGTTAAATCTGATAAACAGTGGACTATTTCTAAATGAAATAGCACATATGAGTTATAAAATGTATAGCATTGTTTCCAGTTAAACATTTCATATTTATATAGATTTTTCTCAATCATACCTATATTAAGTTAAACATAAAGCAAATATTTAAGAAATAAATAATCATAGGAACCATTGAATACCTTGACAAACTGGAGGTGCTCCATCCATCTGCAGTCGTTCTCCTAATCTGCACGTCAGAATTGCATTACCAACTAAAGTAAATCCTGGAAGACACTGATACCTAATAATATCACCTATTAAACAAAAGAGGGGAGGTTTCATATAAGCAACAAGGTGATGATAAAAATAAACAAATATTTCAATTGTAGGAGAATATTTTCTCCTTTAGTTATTTTCAATCAGTATAAAAATGTTATTAGGTATAAGTAGGAGTTATATTCAAAATATTGAAAAACCAGTATATAATACTCATTGACCCATCAGGACTGAAGGCAAAAGTGAACTGCCATTCCCTCTGTACTGGTGCATGCTGGCTGGATATAAGCAATAGTCATAAGGAAATAATTTAGTTGATATAGGTGAGATATTCAATAAAAATACAACAAGTAGTTAGAAGGCTTTCTATTTATTGAAGTTACATCGGTCACTGATAGTTTCTTTGTGTGTCTCAACCAAAATCAATATAATAATAATAATGAATAATAAAAGTTTATTACAGCAACATTAAGATGTCTTCGTATATAATTTTTTTTCAAACTGTGTGGCATTATTTGGGTTGAATTTCCAACTCAGTTTTAAAGCAACTTTATGATTAAATTGAGTAGAATCAACTAAGCATTTTCCAAGATATGGAAATGAAATATGTCTTCTAATATGGCCTACAAACCATTCATTCTGCCAAGTCAGGCATAGGCCTGAATTCAAAGAACAAAGGTTAGAACTATAGTGTCAGAAGGCAGCAAAATAATAGTTTGGAAAGAACCATCAGAATACAGTTAACGGCTTCAAATTTTAACACGTTTTCTTATTGTACATTCCAGAAAAACAAAATTAATTTTTCTTCTCTAATAATCCCTTTCCTCTTTTCACTCCTTCTCCCTTCTTAAAAATTCTAAATAATCTCTATCAACACAGGGAATGAGGGTCTCAAGACAGGCTATTACTATTCTGTATTTTGGCTTATTTTTAAGCAAATAGTTCTGCCAGCAGTATGTTTTCCTTGAAAATAATTTAACAGCTTTACCTATTTCAAATTCATCATCTTCCGTCAAAATTTCAGCATTGGGCACAGGTGGTGGAGGTTGGCACACCCTTAGTTGATAGGCTACAAAAATAAACAAAGTGTTTATTCCTTTTCTGTGCAGCTACATGTATTCACATATGCAAAAAAACAAGAAAATTATGGAAAGTTGTTTAAAAAAATAAAAATAAATTACATAATTTATCAAGTGTCAATTACATCTTTATTTTTAAAAATATACTACAACATTACAAAATATTTTCCCATGGTAACAATGCTTACTTTTTATTCTTTATTTCTTACCCTTATTCTAGTCCTTCTTGTTATGTGGTTCAAAACACCTTGTTTTTTTCCTCCTTTGCATGATCACAATTTGGAATTACGTATTCATGTTTGCTTACTTGCTCTGTGCCTATCTTTCCCAATACTCATCACTGAATGCCCTGCACTTAGCAAAGTGCATGGCATACAGCAATAATTGCAAACAAATGCTCAGTGTTTACTTTATTCCAGACAGTATTATAAATACTTAACTCAATCCTCACAAAAAAAATTTTCTTATTTAATTTATGTTACTATTTCTATAATTGCCCCCATTCTTTTTTTTTATACTTTAAGTTACAGGGTACATGTGCACAACGTGCAGGTTTGTTACATATGTATACATGTGCCATGTTGGTGTGCTGCACCCATTAACTCGTCATTTACATTAGGTATATCTCCGAATGCTATCCCTCCCCCCTCCCCTCCACCCCACGACAGGCCCCGGTGGGTGTGTGATGTTCCCCTTCGTGTGTTCAAGTGTTCTCATTGTTCAATTCCCACCTATGAGTGAATTGCCCCCATTCTTTAAAAAAGAAAACTGTTAAAGAGAGTTAAAAATTTGCCCAAATCAAGAAGCTATAACGTGACAGAGCTGAGATTTGAACCTAGATAGCCTGGCTCCAGAGCCTTGTCTTGCCATGCTACTTTAATATAATTATGAGATATCTGTTTATCAAATGTCATGTTTCTAATTATGATATCACTTGAACAGTTCATCTCATTGGATTAGATTGGCATTTGGCATAATTGAAAGGCCACCACGACAAAGTCTCTATGAATCCAAGCTTCATGCCTACTATCCTCACATGACATCTAAAATCTACAACAAAATCATTTGCTTGATTGAAGTCTTTTTTTTTCCCTTAAAGTCTTCTAAAAATGTACTATACTCATATTCATTCAGGAAACATGTTTTATACTATTATAACATCTGAGGCAAATTGTTTTATATGCCTATTTTTACTACTTAAACTTAGAAGTTCTTTATGTACTCAACGTGCTGATAAAGAGAATGAGACTCAAAATACACAGTAGCTTATACAAGAGCACACAATTAGTACAGGACATAGCCAAAAACTGAAGTGTATATCCTCTAATTTCAAAGCCCATTCAACACTGCTTCTATTGCAAAAAAGTATTATGGGAGTATTGAAAAGCATCAACTAGACCAGCTCAGGAAGACTCCTATAGTAGGAAAAGAATGAGATATACTTGAAAGAAGGAGTAAAATTTTTCCAGTTCTGAAGAGTGATCCTGGGGAGAAGAGCATTTCAGGTGGAGGAGAAAACTTGAACAAAAACTTGTGCAAAGCATAAAATCATTGATTCATCATCATCTAACAAAAAGCTATTTATAAGAGATTAATTGGCTAATAAACATTCAGGTTACTAAGGACAAAGAAAAGAAAGACTTTTCAAAATGTAGATCTACAGTGATGAAACAACCAAAAAAATCGTGTTTTAATTTTCTTCTGCAAATTGTTTTCTGTCCCTTCAAACATCTTCCTTCCAGTAGTTTAACCTGTTTATAAAAGCACTTGCTGTGCGTGGATGTTAACTTGCAAGTAAAACACCACTGTACAGAAGGGTTACTGCTAGAGAAGAAAGACTTGCTGGGAAAGAACCCCATGGCAGAAAGTATAATCCAGATTTTTGATAAAATGTTTGGTGGATAGTAATTAGGAATTTTGACAATTGTTTTCCTGAACTTATACTTTAAAGGGGGTACAGTGATAAAGAAAAAAGGTAATTGTAAGAAATGCCTAAAATGTAAGAGAAAATGGAGAAGATAGGGGGAGCCTAAACAGAGAAATCTTTCTGAGACTATGCTTTAGAGAAGGCTTTGTCTGATCTTACCAGAGAATAGAGATCAACTCAGAAATTACAGAAATGTAGAGATGCTCATACCTGTATTATTTTACTTGTGTTTTTCTGTGAAGTTATTTTAATCTTCATGCTAATCCTAAATTGTTTGATTATTGTAAACAAGAAACACTTTTTTATGTGGAATCCATGACTATTATCATCTGTGGAATATTCTGAGAATGACCTAGATAACTCAGTCACAGGATTTAAAAGATCAAAGGTTGTAATTTTTTACTAAAGAAGACTATGATGCTCAGAGTTATTATGTTATTTTTCCAAGACAACATGGGTGCTGTGAGCTAATGTCTTATTCTCTGTTCTTTCCTATCACTGTCAGTTTTATAAAATGTGTCCCTAGAAGCTAAGAGATCACTGTGAGCCCATGGAGGGTCTGAGGTGTAATGTCCTTAACTTCCAACTCTACTTCAATAAGAACAACTCTATTCTTATCAATTGTATAAATTTGAATTCTGAACAAACTTTCCTTTGAATAAACATTCTACATTCTTACCTAAGTGATTCCCTTGATTCTTTTGGCTACAATTCTGACTCTGTGTCTCAATTCCCAATTCTATATTGCCAGGCTAAACATCTCTTCTGACCTCTTCATGCCTCCCTTTCCCACTCCTCACTGTTATTTTCTAATCACAGAACCCCTTTTGTGGCACATGTAAACACGACTTGTTCAAAGTGTGTTATTTTCCATTTATTTGCATGCTTGTTCATTGGGTCCCTATGTAGACTTTAAGTTACATGACAGAGGCTATTTGTTTATCTACCTTTTTCACTATCCAGGAATTAGTTCTTGTCACTATACTTATAATTCAACTAATATTTGCTAATAACTGACAGAATGTAGGTTTCTTCAAGAGGGAAGCAGTCTCTCAACAGTCTTCCCTAAGATGACTCCCAACTTTAAAATTGCCAGTGGGGATGAAATAGAAACAATTGAGTGTCAGACAATGCTAAACATTGAAATATAGGCAAGATCTGGTTAAAATGCTTTTCAGGGTTGAACTATGTAATTTTGAATAAAAAAGTAAAGGGGAAAGGAGTAATGAAAAACAAACAAACAAACAAACAAACAAACCTCTTTTCATCTGTTTCTCTTTTGACTTTTGAAGACCAAGCACTACAAAAGGCTTAATCATAAGTAGCTTGCAACAATTTTGTTTTCAATCTTCATCAATCTCTACTAGTATGTTCTTTAACATAACTCTATGATTTGTCCAATGTCTCTCCAATCTTGCTGCCAATATCTCAGTCTAGATTCCTGCCATTTAATTCCCGCTGTACTGGGTTGAATAGTTTCACCTAAAATTCATGCCTTTCCTGGAACCTAAAAATGTTATTTGAAATAGGGTTGTTGCAGACGTAATTGGTTAACTTAAGGTTGTATAAAATTATGGGGGTACCCTTAATTCAATATGACTAGTGTCCCTATAAAATAAAAAGAGACACAGAGATGATCACACAGGTAAGATGGTCATGTGATGATGAAGGTTCAAACTGTAGTGATTCATCTATAAGCTAAGGAATGCCAAAGATTGCTTTTAAGCCACCAGTTTGTGGTACTTTGTTTCAGCAGCCCTAGTAAACTAATACACCTGTGTTATTAAATTGGCCTATAGTGTGTTCCTTACCTTCAGTGTCTCCCTGATACTACCCTTCTTACATACAGTGAAGTGATAGAAGAGAATCAAGGAAGTATTTACCTGGAATCCACTTTGTACAAAGGACTCTGAAAAGTCCTTTACATGCCTCTTTCATTAATCACTAAAATGCCACATCAAAATATGTGTAAATATACTCATGTTACCAAAAGGGACACTAAATTTCATAGTGGTTGAATTATTTGCCCTACTCACACAGCCAGAATTTGAACCAAGTTCCAATATAAAATTAAGACACATTGTCTCCCCGATTTATAGATAAATAAACCTCATTTTGAATATCATTTTGTTGCTGCCATTTCCCTATTTTCAATTTACAGTGTTTTTTTATGGCCTACAGATTGAATTTATCATCTTAGATAAAGCAAGATCATTACCCTAATTCTCATCAGTCTCTCACACAAGATGTCTGCTATATACAGCTGAACTTTCCTGGGTGCTTTGTATTTGCCATGTTCATTTCCTATCCCACATCTTCATTTCTGGCAAGCTTGCCAGCCTAGAAATTGGCACCATAATATTTAGCATTTAGTGTTTCATTGTGTTGAATTGTTTTATGTATTGGTTCACGTTCCGCGTATAGCTTATGTATTTTGTATTGTATTTGCATTTCCTACAATACCTAACACATTTAATTTAGTTGTTTATTAAATAAGTTATTATTGAGCTCCTATGATCTGCCAGATGCCAGAAACCATAATAGGTGCTGGAAATGCAAAGGTAAGCAAAGCAGACAGAAGCCTGCTCTGTATATGCTAATAGTTGGTGAGAAAGATATTAATTAGTAGAATTTAACTAGTTGAAGCAAGGGGTGTGTGTGTGGGTGTGTGTGTGTGTGTGTGTTTTCTGGAGATGAATGATAGCCCTAGTGAGAGAGAGGAGGGATCGAAAAGAGCAAAAATCAGGGGCTAAATCAGACAGGATTGTACAAGTTATACTCAGGATTTCATTTATTTTAAGCTGAGACCAATGGGAGGCCTTTAAAGAGATTTAAGTTGGAGGGGAATGTGGTCAGATTTATCCTTTAAAAGATCACTCTGGCTGTAGTCAGAAATTTTTAAAAAGCACACACACAATTGGAAGAGAACAAGAGTGGATAGCAAGAGACTACTAGAGTCTATATTGCAGTGGGTGTTAAATAAACAATTGCTGATAGAGTCTACATAACTTCTTAGTGTCCCCAAATGACTTACGCATTAAATTAAAAGTCTTGATTATGACCTCCAAGGGTTTCTAACTTTGTCTGATTAACTTCATCCCCACCTATTAACCAGCTTATATTTTTAGCTATAAATAATCAAAAAATAGTTTATCTCCTCTACTTAAAATTCAAGTACCACTGATAGGCATGTGGCCTATCATTCTTACTTCTTAAAAAAATGTTAAACCACATCTCTTCATTTTTAATACTAAATTTCAAAAAATCAAACCTGTCTACAACCTCTTACTGTAGTCTTTTTAATTACTGCATCAACAGAGCTCTTAAATGGTTGAGAGCTTAACATTTGATAACATAGCTAAAATTTTATGTTCTGTATAATTTTCTTTTGTCTTTCATTTTCTTGAAATCTATCTTCCTAGCTCTTTTATAACTTTGAACATGACCAAAACAGAGATGTCTTCACTGATAATGCTACCTAAAGTTGATCCTTTGCAGTTAACTTTGTTTCACAGTCTGGCAATTTTCACAATCTGTAAGAATTATGCATTTGTTTACTATCTATTTTCTTATACTAGAATGTAAATTCCATGAAAGCAGGCATTTTTGCTTTTCTTATTAACTACTAACTCTTTAGGGCATAATCCAGTGTTCAGCACGTAGCAGCATCCAATAAATATTTGCTGAATGACTGACTGCTAGAGAAATGAAAGAATGGATGCCGAATTAGTGTATATACATATATATTACATATAAGTATATATATGAATGAGTATATACGTATGATATATAACACATTCTTATGGTATTGAGTAAGGACATAGTCTAGACTCTTTGGCTCTTTGGGTTCGAATCTTATTTTGAACACTGAAAAACTGGCAAAACTTGGGCAAGTTATTTATCTTTCTGCTTTGCTTTCCTCATTTATAAAATAATAATGATAATAGTAATAATTTTATGCCATCCCAAAGGGCAGTTATGAGAATCAAATGGGTTTACACATGCAAAGCATTTGGAATACTGTCTGGCACATTTTAAGCTTATCTTTCAATAAGAATAAACCACTATGACATCAAATTGGGTTTCTATTTCTTCAAGATATTTGACATTCACAAATAAATAACATAAATATTAATATTTTCTGCTTTTCTTAACTTTCACTTCTTATGTATAAAGGACATTTTGATTTGGCAATTATTTACAGAATTATGAATAAAATTGAGGCATGTTGTCTTTGTTGGTCAAAGAAAAGGGTGTAATGATTGTGAGGTGTGATGCAGCAGATGTTTTGTAATTGAAGGCAACAAAGGGGAATTAAACATTGTGCAGCTCTGCTTCTCTTTCTGAAGATGTTTCTATCAAACCAATCAACATCATAAAAAAATACATAATCCAGTTTGTATTGATAACTACATTTGTGCACAAAGCAGGCTGATCAAATATTTACTCTGTAACCAGACTGATGGTTCAAATCTCGGTCTGCTGTTGGCTATTTCCATCACCTTAGGCAAACTGCTAAGAATCTGCTTCAGCTATCTCATCTGTAAAATAGACATAAAGCCAAGATTGAGTTAAAATATTATAAAGTGCTTAGAATAAGGCCTGAACATATTACCAGTTAAGAGGGAGGGTACATTCCGCTTGACAAATATTGGCATCAGCATTTCTGCTGTGATGATGTTTGTGCCCCATACTCATGTAACTTCAATCTGACGTGACCTTCCTCACAATGGGTCATTCAAAGCACCCACGTGACTTCCCAGAACGTATCTAACCATTTGTTTGTTTCTTTTCTGATTTAAATTGGATATTCTTGGCCAGGCACAGTAGCTCATGCCTGCAATCCCAGCACTATGGGATGTGAGGAGAGCAGACCACTTGAGGTCAGGAGTTTGAAACCAGCTAGCCACCTGCAGAGACAGGTGAAACCCTGCCTCTACTAAAAATACAAAAATTAGACAGGTGTGGCGGTGCATGCCTGTAATCCCAGCTACTTGGGAGGCTGAGGCAGAAGAATCACTTGAACTCAGGAGACAGAGGTTGCAGTCAGCTGAGCTTGTGCCGCTGCACTCCAGCCTGGGCGACAGAGTGAGACCCTGTCTCAAAAATAAATAAATAAGTAAATAAATAAATAAATTGGATATCCTTGTTTTACATTGATGTACCTTATACTGTAGTATAAAATCCATGAGTTTAGCAACACACTGTATCATCCTATATAATATGTAAGTGTCTGTGGTCTCAAAACTATTAGCACAGTGCTCTGGAAATCACTTAAGAAATACTAATTAATAACAAATCAAAGTTAGAAAATACCTCATTCTGTATAAAATATATGCTTTGGTTACTCAGGAAGAAAATAAACAGGTCTGGTACAAATATATCCAATATTGTACAGGTTAGGATCATAGACAAACTGGAAATAATCTTAGAAATCATTTCTCCTAGACTCTTTAAGGGGTAGTAGGAAGATGACCTAAATAAGTGAAATGAGGTGGACAAGGTCACACATTCAGCCACTGGTGGAACTGAAATGATTAAATCATATAAATTATGTCATCTAAACTTTAAATCATATGTACATATATGTTAGTCCATGCTTTTCATGGATTGTTCTATTTAGAAACAGTTTGCAGCCATGACCATTAACAGAAAAGCTGCACAAAATAGATATTCACACTTTAAAAATACACATTGGAACTAAGTATGTGTTCTTTTTAGAAGAATCATGTTATCTGACATGCCCCACCAACTTTTAAACACCATTTGCTATCTAACAACTACTAACAACTACATGAGAGCATCGTATTCCACATGTCTGTATCTTCTGAGGATGGCTATTATTTAAATAGTTCTCTGTTTTTGTCCAAATGTGCATAGATATCTGGTTCCTCGTCCAACAAATATGCTTTTTGAAATTGGTTTAAGATTTGATTCTGGCAATAGTTTTTCGTTATTTTTAATTTTCTATTTTCTTTTCAATGAAACATCCAACCCAATTCCAGAAAATAATGCTGCATGTATCTACTTCTATTCAATGCGCTATTAAAGCCTTCTTCAAAAAAGACAAAACAGAACACTGGCAAATTGCCATTCCTTCTCCAAACCAAAAAAAGCACAAGCACATAACCTTTCTGCCAAGTAAGGACACAGTATTCCTTACAGAGGACAGAAATAACGTTGCATATTCCCTTATAAACTCTAAGCTCTATATAAGCCCCAGTGTACTTCAGTGCTCATCCAGATTAGTTCAAGTATGATAATCTCATGATTTGGGGGAGAACAACCATTGATAAATTTTATGTTCTGTTATGCAGTTTGGGCAGTGTTATTTTTAAACTTATCTGAAATAAGCTTAAGCTATTTCACTTGAAAGCAGAACTAAGTGTATTGAAATTAATGCTACCTTAGTTTTAATTGAAGAGAAGAAAACAATAAATTTGTTTTCCATTTTGCAGAAAATCTGCCAGTGAGTTGACATGAAGATAGAAGTGTGTTCCAGCAGGGTTTAAATTACTTTACAAATATCCCTTTTACATCACTAATATTTTATATTCAGTTTGTTTCTCTGCCTCTATAAGGGAGAATATTAGAAATCAAGAGTGAATGCTTATTTGGATTTAGAGATGCGAGAAAGAAAGTTTCTATCATGAGGAATGAAAATGAATCAATGATCTGATTTGGTTCTGTGTCCTGACCCAAATCTTATCTCAAATCATAATCCCCATAAGCCCCATGTGTTGAGAGAGGGATCTAGTGAGAGGGGATTGGATCATGGGGGTGGTTTCCCCGATACTGTTCTCATGAGAGTGAGTGAGTGCTCATGAAATCTGATGGTGTTTGACAGTTCCTCCTTTACACACTCACTGTCTCTCCTGCCAACATTTAAAACGTGCCTGCTTCCCCTTCTGCCATGACTGTAAGTTTCCTGAGGCCTTCCCAGTCATATGGAACTGTGCGTCAATTAAACTTCTTTCCTTTATAAATTACCAAGTCTTGGGCAGTTCTTTATAGCAGTGTGAGAATGGACTAATACAGTCAACAAGAAGTCACTCTTACTATTTACCTAGAAAAGAAATAACAGAAACTATTGTGAAACAAAACTACTGGGATATCTGCTGCATTATTGTAAGAACATTTCAATATCTGTTGCATGAATTGTCTTCTCCGCATGCAGACAGCTAATTTAAGGTATGCTGCCTTAGTGCTGAGCCCATTAAAATCTGAAAAATAATGTGCCAAAGACCTCTTCTCTACATTGTTGAGTTCCCTGGCATATAGACCTGGCTCTAATTGATAGGCATTGTCTCCTGTTAAACATAAACAGTTTCCCAGAAGACAAGGTAATTCTTTGACCTTGTTGAAACAAGCGAGAAATAAGACCTTTCCATAGGCATAATCAGAAAACAAGAACACTGTTCAAATAATCAAAATGACAGTCTTCCACCTCAGCCAACATTAGTGAATAGTATTTCCACACTAATTATATAGGTATATTCCATTCCCCCCCACCTTCTAGAAAAAATACTAAGATATCCAATCATAAAACTGCTCAAATTTTCTAACAGCACCCAATCCAGAAGAAAATTATGTTTCCTTGAACCCTTCTCAAAACCATCTCATACAGTCAAATTCCTTTATCAAGCCTCTCCTGACACACTTTTGCTGAGATCACAGAGTCCCTCATCATATGTTGTCTCACTCATTATCATGAGCTAATAAATCTAACTTTGTTTAACAGAAGTTGTGTTCCTGATAGTCTTTGGCTGGAGGCAACAGAAAGTAAGATATTTAAGAAAATAAATACCATACCTTATCAACTGGGCATATACATACAGTGAAGTGTCAAAAGATAGTAATTTTGACATGACTTTTAGTTTTGAGTAATAATTAAGTAGTCATTTAAGTCATTTAACTAACAGTAAATGGTATTTTCCTTTCCTCCTAACAGTTCTAGCAGTTTGGGTTTTAGCTCCATTGTTTCATTTTATACACACATATACACACAAACACACACACACATACATACACACACATACATTATTACACGATGTCCATACCCCCGTTCTCTCTGGACATCAAATAATAAAACACTTTACGGGTTCTGTGCTCTAGCTATTACAATACAAAAGGAGGTCAGGTCTTTAGGTTATGTGAGGCAAAGGGGTCACACAGTTAAAGGCAATCGTGACTTATGGTTTATATAAAGCATGTCCTTACATCTGCAGCAATCTCTTTTAGGATGAGACTTTGTGAAGTTAAATATACTTGTTTCCAAACACAGCATTTATTGTAAAAGTAGCATAACCGTAAAAGATGACCTGAAACACATTACAGGCCTTTTAAATACATTTCTTTACAATAATGAGTCATTATGTAATCAACTCATTCTTCAATAGAAAATGTGCCAATAACAGAAAATAATAACATAATTATTAAATCATATTATGCTAAGAAAATCTTCCACTTACAAAGTGAATTTCCCTAGTACATTGATATTAGAAAATCAAGTGACCTGGATAATTGGCTTAAACACCATAAAATAATTTCGGTATTAAATTAGTAAATACATATTTTGGCTATACTCTAGTCGCCTGGTTATTTTGAGTGACATAAGCCAGATCTCAATAAAATTTTTTCTCTTGGCACAGTGCCCACAGGCACATTTTAGAAACTATAAAGAATACATTGAGCTGTGATAAATCTATAATGTACTGTCACTACTTTGTAGATCTTGGGTAAATGAAGCAATAAGAAGCTTAAAGCTTCAAGTTATAATTAGGAGGCGTATTTGAGAAAATGAGATGACCCATCACATTGCTAAAAATGAAAATCACTTTGACTAAATTTTTAAAGAACAATTAGGTTTATATACCATTAAATATAATCTATTCATGAGATAATACCAGCTTAGAACATTGTCTGGCACTTAATAAGAATACAATGAATTTTAGCTGTTGTTATTGTTGTTTTGATTTTTCAAAAAGGGATCATTCTTTGAAGTCAGGCAGACCTATTTTGAACTCCAGCCAGCCCTTCTACTTATTAGTTCTCTGGCTTTATGTAGGTTATCCGGTTTTTTACTCAGTTTGTTCATTATTAAAATGAAGATAATAATACTTACCTTATAGGGTTACTATGAAAATTAGCAATAATACATGGAAAGCACCTAGCACAAGGCTCAGCATATTAAATTTTCAATAAATGGTTGTTACCACTAATATAGTGATGGCTATACAAAGTCACTGCAAAAAGAACACTCAGTTAAAATTTATTTTGAGTAATTTATCTTTCAGGGGGTCATTAATTAGGACTGAATATTATTATTAATTATAAACCAACCTCATCTTGACTCTACAGCAGATATGAAGAAAATGCGGTTCTTATTTTAGGAAATCATAATTATAGCAACACAAAGAGATACAAAAACATTTCCTCAAATGAGAAAAAAATATGATATCTGAGGTAAACTGCCTCAACATTTACGCTTGTCCTATTTTTTCATTGCAGAGAGCTTTCATTTTGCAAAGCTTTTTTATAAATGTTATTTTTGATCATAAAAGGCTTTACGAAGGTGATGTTTTATAAAAGACAGATGGCTGCCTGGATCTTATAAAGGAAGTTAGGTTAGAGAAAAAAACATACATTTTTTTCCCTCTCTTTTCCAGCACATTCAAAATATATCAACAAATAAAACTTCAATGATCAATGTGACCTTAAGAAAATACACAAAAATATTGAACTGTCAACCTTATAAAATAAATATACAAGTCTTGAGAAAATCACTTCTGAATTATAAAGCAAGGTATATCAGAAGTAACTATCAAGTCTAAGAGGATATAAAGAAAACTGGGTGGGGTAGTAAACCATTCAAAGATTAGGCATACTCAGCCAGCTTAAAATAAGTGTTAAGCTTATAATGAATTATATACTTGGTTTATTTATCAAAAATTCCAAATAATTTGACCAATTTTTTACTATTATGAGATTTCCTTATGACATTGAGCTTATAGCTCAAATTAGTATTAACAGGCATATCTTCTTGTTCTTGTTAAGGAGGATGTAATTTAGAAATTACACATTTAGTAATTCTAAAATGATCTTTGTAAAAGTTGTTACTAACACTGCTCAAATAAATGCAAACAACTTTTTAAAGAGTCTGAATGCACACTTCCCACTGTAACACTAAAATACAATCAGTCAATAACAAAAATATAAAGAGGATAAGAACAAGAAATTTGTATCCTCAAAAAACAGTCAATAAACTCCTAAGGCTTATAAAATAATACACCATATTGTAATTAAGTTTTCAAAAGTTTGGTAAAAAGAGTAAGTGTAATCATAGAAGTGATGGCAGTGATCACCATGAGTTCAAATTATCAAGAAGTGGAGGAAATGGGACTTAACATAAAAAGACTTAAATAACTGAAGATGAGTTAAGAAACCAAGAGTATTTATGATGGAGATGAAGATGAGATTTAAGAATGGAAGTTCAGGAGGCAGTGAGAAAACCAACCTGACTGAAGTTGTGTAGGGACTGCAGAGTAACAATCAGTGAACTGGATTATAGGGTAGCTTTAAATTAGATTTAATGTAGGCCTCATGCATTCTTGAAAAGGCAGGTAGGAATGAAAGCAGTGCTTTAGAAAAATTATCCTATTAGGCTAGAGAAATTTAAAGTATCAGTCAATTTTTAACATGAACTCTGGCTATGCTCCCAAACTTCAAGTTTATTTTAAAATTTGGGTAGAATCTCCATAGCTGTTGATTCAAACAGTAGGCTTCATTAGGCTCTGGCAATTTTTTTGCACCTTATTATAAAATCTAATGAATAAATGTCCTATTTGAAAAATCTAAAATGTGAGGTAAGATATGGTATGGAAACAGATATTTACTGAACATCTGCTCTGCCAGGCATTATGCTACCTGTATATTATCAATTATCTCCAATTCTCAAAACGTCTCCTCAGCTTAAAGCTGATAATAGTAACAATTACAATATTTCTACAGTTGAGCTATGTAAAATTGCCCATAGGATTTTTTGACCAATGATTTTATATGGTTCAACCTAATATATGCCAGTAATTGGAATAAATTATACATATATAATATGACATTTAATCCTCTCAGCAATTCTATCACATTGCTTTACAGCTGAGGAAAGTAGAGATCAAAGTGTAACTTGTCCAAGGTCAAATAGAAAATCAAGGGTTAAATGAATATCTGATCTGTTTTATTTTTATTGATTGATTGATTGATTGATTTTGAGACAGAGCTTCACTCTTGTTGCCCACGCTGGAGTGCAATGGCGCCATCTCGGCTCACTGCAACCTCTGCCTCCGGGGTTCAAGTGATTCTCCTGCCTCAGCCACCTGAGTAGCTGGGATTACAGGCATGAACCACCACGCCTGGCTAATTTTGTATTTTTAGTAGAGACGGGGTTTCGCCATGTGGGTCAGGCTAGTCTCGAACTCCCGACCTCAGGTAATCCACCTGCCTTGGCCTCCCATAGTGCTGGGATTATAGGCATGAGCCACTGCGCCTGGCCTTGATCTGCTTTATTCTTAAGCAATTCTATTTCTATCACACATGTCTCAAAGCCCACTTGCAAAAGTCAAGTGAAACATTTTGAAATGAGGATATATGTTTATATATTCATATATGTGTATATTTAAATCCACACTAAGATTTTGTGTTTATGTATATCTATTATCCACATATTTTTATATGAATGTTCAAATTCTGTCTCATACACACACACACACACACACACACAACACTGACATCCTTTCCTTTGATAATATTTTTCCCTTGAAATGTCTCCTAAATTTATAAAAATTTTATACTTCCTATAGGGTTATCTTGTGGATATTTATAGTTCATCAATGAATAGTCCTTTCTTTATGATTTCAAGCAGTACATAAAATGATAAAAAATATTGAGGCAGAAATCCATGTGGAGATAAAATGTACATAATATAGTTTGGCAACTAATTCATTTTTTTATCTTAATGATTATGTATTAGTTCCCGAATTATGATTTTCTATCAAAGTAATAATTCTATTGTTTCAGCCTTAGGCTATATCTGCAAACTGCCAGCATTAATGATCAACTCAGTAGGAAAGGCAAATAAATTATTTTTTTAAAAAAAACAGCCGGAATAAAAGTTGTCTGACTGAATATCCAACTTTCCAGAAGAGATCAGCGTGTTCATGGTGGTATGGCCATAGACTGAACCCCTGACTTTTCAACTGGTTATGTTGGATTGCGTATCAGTTCTGGATGGCAGTGGATCACTATGGAGAAACTAATTAGATACCATCTAATTGGCTGATAAGTGCTCAAATTAAGCAACTCAAACATTTTATGATAAATTTCTGACTAGATCCCATGTGCTTTAAATGTCTTTGAACACAATCACAGTTGATTTACTATATACTATATTTTTCATGGAATATAAGCTTTAAGTATCAAATATTTAGCTACTTGTATATTAAAAAGGTGAAATGCTAAGTCATACATTATGTAATGGGCAAAGCACATGTCCAGCCTCACATTTTCATATAATTTTTGCAAACTTAATTTAGTAGATTATTGGTCTTGTGAAATACTCATGGAATTAGTCTGACAAAGTTATATGAGGCAGAATGTGTTATAATGAGACTGTAGTCATAGCAGATAAAAGGATGTAATCATTATAGATAAATAGCCATTTTCTTATTAATAATGGAATACAACCAATTGAGGATTAAAACAAAAATAAAGAAGAGAAACACCTCTGTGAAACCTTCTGAATGTCCTTTCAAAAAGTTAAGTTTATGAATACAGAGCCCAGAACAAAGGATCCTATACAATGAAATCAAATTGAGACTATACATAAATTATTCCACAGCAGTAAAAGCTATGAACTTAATGATCTGGAATAGTCACTTAAAACTGTAAGATTCTAGAATAGACACAGTTTTGAAACAACAGTATAAATGAATGAGTAATGTGATCCAAAGCGTGAAGATACTGAATGCCAATTTTAGAAAGAGTCACAGCAGGTTGAATAGATTAAACATTTTGTATAGGAAAAAAATCTATTGACGTCTCAAAATTACATGCACTAGAGTATGAACAGCTGGTTCTCCTTTATTGGTTTTCATGCAGAAATGATTATTTTCCAGTGGGTAATTACTGACTGATTTATTTCCTATATCCATTTGCTCACATTTTAATGTCCCTGAATACTTAGAAGAGGTCATCTTTTGCAAGGAAATGTGTTTGAAATGCTAAAGTTACTGTGATTATAAAATTTCTAAATTTTAATACCTTTTCAATCATTGGTTAAATATATATTACATTCACTTTTTTCCAGGACAAATTAAACAGTAGCAAATGAAATAGGAACTCTCAGATAATACCAACCGTGATAACTGAGCACAAAAAAGCCACTTGTTGTGAAATCACTGTGGAATTTGATTAGAATCTGATTTGAAGTACTGTAGACTGATTCCAAAGCGGTATTGCCACTGAACTGACCGATCTGAGGTGAATTTTGGTCTGGTCCATCCCTATGAGACAAGGATTGGGAAAGGAGGAGAGATCAAGATTGATTGTGGAAGTAGTTTTGAACCGTATTTAATAAAAGTATTGCATATATTTATATTCTAACGTATCAATAATAAAGATGCAGGAAGCTAACCAATGAGTACAAATTATATATTCTATATCTATGTAGGTGACCACATATTTTTAAATGTCAAGTATAAAAATAGATTACATTTTTACTAAATGGAATGTACTCATATTAGTTATAATCAATACATTGTCTTTGTTTTTTTTTTTTTTTACCAAAACTCTGATGCTTTTAAATGCTTGAGGTTTGCCCCTCTTTTATTTTCTTCAGCAACAGTCTTGAGAATCACAGACTGTTAAAGTTACAACTCTTAGAACTCAGATAAATTATCAGTAGTTAATTATTAATTCAGATACTTTCTTTAATACATTTTTATTTATTTATTTATTTAGAGCCAGGGCCTCACTCCGTTGCCCATGCTGGAGTGCAGTAGGATGATCACAGCTCACTGCACCTTTGACCTCCCAGGCTCAAGGGATCCTCTCATCTCAGCCTCCTGAATAGCTGGGACCACAGGCGCATGCCACCATGTCTGGCTAATTTTTTATTTTTTCTAGAGAGAGTCTCACTATGTTGCCCAGGCTGGTATTGAATTCTTGGGATGAAGTGATGCTCCCACTGTGGCCTCCCAAAGTGCTGGGATTGCAGATGTTAGCCACTGCACCTGGCCTTAATATATTTTTAAATAAAGATGTTTCAATTGACAAGACTTTAATACAATTAAATTTTTATGGCAGAAATCCACTAGTTATATTAAATAATTATAATTTCTTAAATTCCACTGGCTTTTGTAAGTAGAGAACTTCCATACCTTAAACTTAAGTCTGTTAACTTCCTGTTTTAGCACATTAATTTAATAATATTTTTTAATCTTGTTTTCACCTATGAAGTCTTTGTTCCACAATGCTTACCTAGTTCATGGGGCAAATAAGCCAAAACCTATTTCTCTTGTGTATGTAATTCTACAAGACACATACTGTCACCCTCAGTTACTCACATCAATTCAAATATCAGATGACAATTTGTAACAGAGGATTGTGATATATTTTTATTCCAACCTTGTTTTACTGTGTATATAATTGAATAAATCAATAACAATAGTCCTGACTTACCATACAGTAATGAAATCATATATTGGTTCTGTTTGAAGGACAGTAAAATTGATGTAGATGCCATTCCCAGGGGGTACTCTTACAAGCCAAAAACAATCTTGAAAGTTTGGATATTCATCAGGATACCCAGGAGAATAAATGGTGCCATTCATTGCAGTTATATTCCCACCACAAAGAGCTACGGAAAAAGTCACAAAACAAAATAATATTTTAAAATAACAATAAACTGACTGTGGAGAAAAAGGCAAACATTTCACATATCTTAAGCATTATGAAACACATTTATGCCTTGTTTTTACTTCAGTTGAGGTATGTATAATGAAGTTGGCAACAGTGCACAAAATAGAGTCAACTTTTATTTATTTTTCCACATGAGGTATACTAAATAATTGTTATTAATGATCACTAGATTAGTAAATTACATTGTCTTCTCTATTATTTAAATATTTTATATCAATGCAAAGACTTTAACTTTCATTTGCCTCTTACTATGTGTACATATAAGGCCTTATAAGAGGTTCAAAGCCTTTTATTTCAAAGGATTTTCTAGAGGAAAGGAACTCAGTAGCAGTATCTGGGTTAGTGGTTTATGTAAGAATGACTTAAATGCATACAAACCCACATGCACCCCCTTCCCTTCCCCACACACATAAGAAAAGCTCTAAAGTGTGAATCAACTATTTTTTCACTCCCAATAGGAAAGGTTAGGACTCCTGCCAATAATGATAAAATCGTTATTCATTATAGAGCCTTAGGGGTTTAAAAAATATCTTCAGCTGAGAGACTATATATTTAGCATGCTATTGGAAGAGGAAGACAAGTAAAAAGTGCCAAAACAATATTAAAAACAGATGACATCACCTAAAAGATAGCTTCAAGTTAGAAGCATACCTTCACACCTTGGAAGTGGATGATTCCAATTACGACTGACTCCGTGAAGGCATGTGAGAGCTGAATTTCCAATTAATGTGTATCCTGGGAAACATTCAAATGAAATGGTTTGACCCACAGTAAAATCATTACCAATTACAAAACCATTTCGAAACGGGCGTGGATCAGGACAGCTTTGCAACTGATAGGCTGGAAAGAGGAAAAAGAAAGACATTTTTTCTTTCCAAATTTCAGAGGCCACAGATAGGGTACTACAGCAATTTTGCAACTTAAAAATAGATGTGATGCTACTTGCAGTTGATTATAAATAGCAATTCAGGTTTATGATAAATGCTGTCAATGACCTGTGACATAAATTTCTTCTCATGTCTACAATTTTCATATTTAAAATGTTAGTACAATTAATAAAAACGCATGCTTTCTTCACCTACTTGTGCAACCCAACTAAATTATGTTTTAATGAAAATGTAAACTCTTCTTAAAGCTACAATTTTAATCCAATGCATTCTGATTCTCTTCCAGAGAATGCAATTGCTTCTTGATTATGTTACAAGCACACAGAATGCAATAAGAATATGTATAAGCCTAATTCTGAGCCTTTTTACAGTTTGTTTTACTAATTGTTTTTCTACAGATCACAATATACTTCTGTTGAGTTAATTTCAAAGAAGTTAGTTTGTAAAATAAAGCACTGGAAAAAAATTTTATTTTAATATAAAATGAACTTTGTACTTCAGTTATGGGATAATTTGGGCAATGCAGTATAATTGCCTATTTATTTGTTCATACTTCTCTTGCTCTACATTTTGTATGAGATCAAAGTTCCTGTTTGTATTATTATCATATCTCAAAGCCTTGGCTATTGCCTTTCACAGAGTAGTGTTAAATAAACATTACTAAATAAATGTTAGACCTATGAACAGGGCCTATTCTCATAAAATATCAATATTTGGAACTTTTTAATTAAGAAGTTCAAAATTGTATTCTAATTAGTAAAATTTAAATTTCTGAAAATCAAAGACTACTTCTCTACCAAACCGTTAAAATTTTATATTCCTCAAATAAAAAATCACATTCGAAGTTAAATAAACTATCCTGTTGTTTATTACAATATAACTCAAATTTTTAGGACTAAAGATTTCAGAATTAATGAACAAATTCTTTAAAATGTTAAGTGCTTTCATTCTTAATGTGTCCTTTTCATTTTAATTGATATTCTACACAAAAAATATTCTACACAAAAATATATTAGAAAGAGTTCTTATTCCAACTTAAGACAAATGTGTATTAGGAATTGATCATTAGGAGTTGGAATATATTATTCTATTAAATATACCCTTTCAATTTCTACTCCAAGTTTTTTAGTTTAATAAGTATAGAAAATAGATTTTAAGTGTGTAGGAGAAAGTTCCCATTCTAATGTTATATACAATACAGTGAGGTGGGAGAATTGGGTCTGGAGGCAGGGAACCTAAGGCTGTCTAACACCAACTTCCTCAAACTAAATTGAAAGGAAAACCCTAACTTTCCACAACTTAGTAATAAGAGGACCAGAGGCAACTCCATCTGCAAACCCCTCACCTTTTTGGCCCAGCAGATGAGAAATTGGCTGTCTGCAACCAATCAGACTGATTGCAGGCCGAGTCCTCGTTTGCACAGAAGTATAACTTTGTAACTTCACCTTAGCCTCTGATTGGTTGCAAAAAGCAATTGGTTGCTTTTTGCAACCAATCAGATATTTGCACAGGAGTGTGATCTTTGTAACTTCACTTCAGCTTCTGGTTGGCTGCTTTCAGATCAGACTGATTGCGGGCTACCACTTCATCTACATGGGGTGAGCATGAAGTGGCCAATGGGAAACTTCTAGGGGGCATCTGGACCCAAAAAGATTCTGTATCTGGGCCCTTGAGCCACTGATCGGCCTGCTCCCACACTGGGAGTGTACTTTTGTTTTCAATAAATCTCTGCTTTCGTTCTTTTGTTGCTTCATTCTTTCTTTGCTTTGCTGGGCGTTTTGTCCAATTCTTTGTTCAAAAAGCCAAGAATCCGGACAACTTGCAGTCACAATCTTGTACCGGTGACAACAGGACTTACCAAACCTAATAATCTTGTCAGTAATAACATTAATTTTCAAACTGATTCCTTCAGTAGATGGGTACTCTAAATTGTACAGTATAACTTTTCCAAATTCAGAAGGTTCTTAAAATTTAACCACAAAATCAATCCAAAAATAATATTGACTCTGTGAATATATATGTTAACTATTTCTTTAAAATGCACTAGGTTAGTTACATAAATGTAGCACAAAAAGAAACCATTTTAAAACTCAGTGTGATTCACAACATCTCCTCATCATTGTAATACATTATGGCTCCTGTTAATAATACGTCAGTAACAGTGAAAAAAGTTTATATATTTTACACTTTTATTAGGTCAATAATGAATTGTTTTTCAAGGATATATTAACTGAAAATATCAGAGTTAATAAAGCTCAATTTCTAGTTTTACATCATTCAAATAAGAACATTATTTTGAGAGAGAGGGAAAATGAGAATAGGAAAAAAACAGGTTTAGTCTGTTTTAAGGTGCATGGCAAAGAACTTGGCATAAGGCCATGTACACTTGCTAAAGTATATCACAAATATGGTTCTGAGTCTTCTAGCAGCAAAGAAGAGAAATTCAACCAATTACCCAATTGTTTTAAAAATAATTAATTTCCTTGCAAGCATGGTTAATTCAATGTGCTGGGAGGTGATTGAAATGACTCCTATTTTATGAAAGTGATTATGTGTAATGTAGTGTTCTTACATTATGCACGCAAGTATAATACAAATTATAATTATTTCAGATCCATGTAATTTGATGTTTAAGACCTATCTCTATCTTAACTACTTTCAAATTTCCTCTTTGGTAGATACTTTAGCAAATATTTATTGTGCTTACTGCTCTAGATGCTTATGATACTCCAATGAACAACCCAATTGCCTGTTCTTGAGGAGCTGAGATACAAAAGCATTACATAAAGTCCTTCAATAATTAGGGCAGAGATGTAATAACATTTTAGTTTATTTTGATTAAAAATTTCAGCCATTAGAAATAAACTTTATTATGTAAAATATCATTTTAATATTTAATTTTAACAGAATATACACATATAAGACATGAAATAATATAATAGCAATAGCTAAAAAGGACTGAGTAATTACTAAAAATATACATCATGGAATACACCTTACATACATTTTTTAATAAAAAGTTCAATACAACTTATCTGAAAGTATAATTAACTCCATTATGCACATGAGCAAATGGAGAGCAAGGCCGAGGCCACATTAGATAGAATAGGAAGAATCAACATTTGAGCCTAGCTCTACTTACGCCCAAACCCTTTACTCAAAAGAGATAAAAATCTTGCTCAAGGTCATGCAGTAGTTCTGTTTGAGAGATAGGTCTAATATAACATGATTATCAAAGTATTTATATTCTCATGACAATAGAACAAAATGAAGGAATGTCATATTAGTCTTATCACTATAAAGTAAAAGAACATTTTACATAATACAACACATGAATAATACAAAATATCTTTTCAATATATTCCTTTTAATATAAAAGCAAAGATACATCTTTGCTGTGCAGCTGGCCTTGCTTATTTGCCATGCCTTGCTTAATTTAATTGTGTATTAACTTAAGACTAATTCAATCCAGTTTCATGGTTAGGATTTTCTAAGGTCTCAGAGAGACATCATTCTCCCTGTGTAGTTCCCAGAGAGTTGCATTGTTCTAAAAATCTTCCTAATTGAAGCTCACCTTGGCTTAAGTTTTTTTTTTTTTCTTTCTAAAACAGAATACAGAAAATAATTAGACTCAGTTAAATATTTCTAATAGCTGATTTGGGGTTATATAAATTTTCATTTTTTATTATTTCTCTTACCTTGGTATACAATATGAAACCCTTGTTTGTTTTGTGAATAGTCACTGTGAAAATATAAGCTGGTTTCATGGGTGGTGCTGAATAAGGAAGATGGTATTTGAGGACCACTAAGCCGGCCAATAACAGTACTAGTTTCTGAGGATCCACTTCGTACTTCCAAATAATCATGTATGGTTTCTGTAGAAAAATTTACAAACTGGAGATGTACACCTGAAGAAGAAAACAAACAGAATGCTACTTTATTTGCTTTACCGAATTAAACATAAATATACACACACACAATCACATCAATGTACTTAGATAAGTTTGCATTTAAGTCAAGAGGCATAATCTCAAGATCTGAGTCATGGATTTGCTGTCTGCCTAGGACAGGTAACTTTGCTGAGGTTCAAAGTAAAAGAATACTGCTCTCACATGTCCATTATTAGTTAAAAGGAAAAACATTTCATTTCATTATAATGTCACTGTATGAAAAATGATCCAAAAAAGTGGCTTTCTTATTCTTTAATACGCTTTAAATTACATAAACTAATTTTTAGAGGAAAAGGCCGCTTTTGGCCTAATTTGTGTTATGGAAAAGGTCAATCTAAGGTTGAAAATAATTGCAAATTTGTAATATAGATTTGTAACATAGATTCCACAATTGCATTAGAAGTTATTCATTCACAGGAGAGAAATTAACTTCTCAGAAATATAACGTATATAATTTAAAGGGTGCTCTTTCAGTGTTTTGCTTATCAGAAGATAATGCAGGCTTTTATATAATAACCTTAATAAAATCTGGTGATCATTGTTATATGTGGTCATATTGCAATGTAATCTCAATATCTTTATAAGCATAACTAAAATACGAGACAGTGAAATGTCTCTGGGATAAAAAATGTTAATTAAAGTATATTTGCTTAATTAATTTAACACTCAATTTTAGTAAATTTGATGTTTTTCTTACTATTATCACTCTCTAAATTATTTGTAATAAAATCTGATATTTGGTGAAAGTTTTAAGTTATTTATATTTGCTACACATTATATATATTACCTGCCTTAAGTGATTTATATATGCTAACTTATTTAATTCTCACCATTTCATGAGAACAAGGAAAGTGAGTCGCAGAGAAGTAAGACACATGTAAAGTTTACACAATGACCCAGTAGGCTTGAACTGCAAACCGAGGCATTCAGACTCTTAAGCTTATGATATTAATAACTACACTGGGGCTCTGAGTAAACGCGCATCATGTTACTAAATGATTTTTTAAACAGTCCCTTGGACAAATAAGCTTTGGAAATATTTAAAACAGGGTTTAAAATATTAAACAACTTTCTAAAAAATTAGATTAACTTTTTAGAACTTTGGACATGCAACCTTAATATGTGAAGACCGAAGATATGCACTTTTTGTTTTTATTTTTAACTGAGCACTTTTATTACAAACATTTTCCAAAATTGTTTCATATATTCTTGAACATATGTTTCTTTACCTCTTGAAATGTATTATATATATATATATTTATATATATATATTTATATATATATATATTTATATATATATATATAGTTTAAATACATTGGACCTAATATTTGATTTAATCAAAACTCAAAGAAAAGAGTATGGTTATTAAAATGTAATCAAGTATCTAAATCTCTTATGTTTTCATTTATAAATTAGAGCTATATATTCAAGTTTTAATAAAGTTGGTTTTCAAAATCAAGAATTAGCCAGAAATTGAAGATCATGTTATAATGAGATTATTGAAACTATTTTTAATAATTCATTTTAAAATAATTCATTTAGCTACATAAGCTACAGTGGCTAGTGAAAGACGTGGAAGAGCCATGCTGGTTCAAATCTGTTGTTCATTTACATCAGTATTCTATCAATGGACATAGAAGTTCACTACAACTTCGAATTTAGAGTTTCCACATTTTAGCCAAAATGATCCTAAATAGGATTTCTAAATAGAAAGTCCCCAGCAACCTTCTCTCAATAACGTTCTGCTTTCCCAAAACCTCAGGCCAGTCACACAGTGTTCAGGCATGTTTAATTTTTTTTAGCTTTCTCACCTGCATTTTTCTACTTGTTACCTTGTTTACCTGGAATTTCTTTCACACGTCCTGCAGCAGACTGACATTCTTTGCTGGACTGACTTTTACTTAACTTTTTGTTTTTTCATTTCATTTAATCATTTATTTATTTTTTAAAGACAGGGTGGCCCAGCTGCTCAGTGGCATGATCACAGCTCACTGTAAACTCAAACTCCGGTACTCAAGCAGTCCTTCTGCCTCAGCCTTCTGATTAGGTGGGACATACAGGCGGGCTCCACCATGTGTGGCTAGTTTTTTTTTATTTATAGTACAGACAGAGCCTCACTATGTTGCCCAGGCTGGTTGATTATTTATTTATTATTTATTTATTTATTTTTTGAGATAGAGTCTTGCTCTGTTGCCCAGGCTGGAGTGCAGTGGCAAGATCTCCGCTCACTGCAGCCTCCGCCTCCTGGGTTCAAGCAATTCTGCTGCCTCAGCCTCCAGAGTAGCTGCGACTACAGGTGCGTGCCACCATGCCTGGCTAATTTTTTGTATTTTTAATAGAGATGAGGTTTCACCATGTTAGCCAGGATGGTCTCAATCTCCTGACCTTGTGATCTGCCCGCATCAGCCTCCCAAAGTGCTGGGATTACAGGTGTGAGACACCATGCCTGGCCTGGTTACTTATCTTTAAAGCTAAAGTTTAAGCATCACTCCCTCTGTCAAGACTTTACTGCATTTCCTATACTAGGCTGATGTCCATTCTAAGTACAATCCTGTGCTCTCTAGTTACACTGTATCATAATAATACATTTTACTGTCTCCTCATTATGACTGTAACTTATTTAAAGAAAAATGCAAAGTCTGCATTGCCATACATTTTATCTCCAGCACTTAGCAGTATCTGGAGTATAATATACACTCAGTAAATATTTGTCAAAACTATGAGTTATCTGTTAATTTATGTAAAACATTTAAATATGCATTTATACTCTGAGGTTGTAGATGCTTACTGGGTAGTGAGATACCCAAGTTCAGTCCTCAATAAGTGACATAGTACAGAATTTCCTAATAACTCTAAAACTACCTGGTTTGTGCTTCAATGAGTATCTATTCATCCTAGTCTTCTGTGATTTAATGAACATGTGTACCCTCAATCAAGCACTTCTTTTAGTGCATTTATAAACTCATAGGATCTGCAAAAGCTGTAAGAGAGTATATTAGTGATGTAAGGGTAAGGAGAATTTATTAAATATGATATATTATGTAATGTATCAAAAATATTGGGAATTATTACATTAAAATTGGGAAGGTATTATAGTGATTTGTATTTAAACCTAATATTTTAAAATTCATACTACTTTTTAAAAATAAAATCTGATTTACTTGCAAAGAAAATGGGATGAATTCAATAGATTACTAGAAAATAATAACTGTACTACTTGATTACAGCAATAAGAAAAGAGTTACAAAAACAATGCACATAAAATTTAGGTTGAATTTATCATTATTATACATATCTAATTCAGGGTATATCCATACATAGCGACTGAAAAATAGTATAAGTCTGTCTAGCTATATCAGTCTATACATCTCTATATATAATTATAAAATGACCTGGCACACTGTTGGTGGGAATAAATATTAGTACAGACATTACAGGAAACAATATGGAGGTTCCACAAAAAAATTTAAAACAGAACTACCACATGTGCCAACAATCCTACCACTGGGTATATGTGCAAAAGAATTGAAGTCAGAATCTTGAAGAGATATCTTCAATCTTGTATTTCTGCAGCATTACTCACAATGGACAAGATACGGAATCAACCTAAGTGTCCATCATCTGATGAATGGATAAAGAAAATATAGTATACATACACAATGAAACACTATTCAGCCATAAAAAAAACAAGGGAATTCTGTCATATACAACAAAATGGATGAACCTGGAGGGCATTATGTTAAGTGCAATTAAGTCAGGCACAGAAAGACATATCACATGATCTCACATGTGGAATCTGAAAAAACTGAACTCAGGAGTAGAAAGTAGAAGGGTAGTTACCAGGGTGTAAGAGAGAAGGATTAAGAAAATGTTGGTTAAAGGGCACAAAATTTCAGTTACACAAAAGAAGTAAATTCATTGTACAACATGGTAACTATAGTTATTAACAACATATTGCGCTCTTGAAAATTGCTAAGAGGGTTTTAAGTGTTCTCACCATAAAAAATATTAGAGATAATATATTAATTAACTTTATTTAGTTCTTCCAAAATGTATACAAATTTCAAAACATCATGTTGTACATGATAAATATGTACAATTTTTATTTGTCAATTAAAAAATAATAAATCAGAGTAAAAAAAAAATATGCCCATATACCTTCAATTATCCAAGTACTCCAAGTGAAATGTATTTGACTTAAGCAACAATTATTTAAATTTCACTCTTCAATTTACATAGTTGTATGTATTCCTAAACTAAACTGCAATTTGTGAAGATTTTATAAATTCTTATTCGACATTGAAATTTATTTTAAGGCTACATTAATAAATATTGAAAGCTCTTTCACGTGTTTTTAATACACATACCAAAACCTATGGGTAGATTTATTGTCCATGTGCAATCTAAACTGCTGGGATAGTTTCCAGGAAACCCAGGACTGAGGATCACACCACTGAAGTCTGACATAGCACCACCACACTGAGCTGCAAAATAACAGAAATCCAAAGTAAACCAGAGTAGAGGAATAATTTACTGTATTAAAAAACATATTAAAATCATTTCACGTTTTCAAGGCTCTGAGTTAAAACTGATATAAATTTGAATATTGTCTGTTCACTCACTATACACTAGGAATTAAATATAATCAACAACAGATTTTCTAAAACAGCATAAAAAGACAACATCCTTCCTTCCTCAGAAATAAGTGGAAAGTAAATCAATTATTGCATAAAAGTAACAGATCATGTGCAGTAAATATAAACGAACAAAGACATGTGCTTTGCCACAGCGGGCACTTTATTTCTCTTCCTCAAGTAGTCCTAGAAATGTTTTGAATCATCCCAAAGACGATATAATTTAGAGTAAAATCAAGCCAACCACTTCAGCTCTAAGTACTGTATTCAAGAGGAAATCATTTTCACAGCCTTCCCTCCTTTTCCTTTTTTTTTTTTTTTTTTTTTTTTTTTTGGAGAAGGAGTCTCTCTGTCACCCAGGCTGGAGTGCAGTGGCGCAATCTCGGCTCACTGCAAGCTCCGCCTCCCGGGTTCACGCCACTGTCCTGCCTCAGCCACCCGAGTAGCTGGGACTACAGGCGCCTGCCACCACGCCCGGCTAATTTTTTGTATTTTTAGTAGAGACGGGGGTTTCATTGTGTTAGCCAGGATGGTCTTGATCTCCTGACCTCGTGATCCGCCCGCCCAGGCCTCCTATCCTTTTCCTCTTTTTGTGAGAAGGCTCAATAAAGATTTGTAAGCAAAATATTGGTTTCCATTCATATGTGAGAAGTTCACATATTACACATTAGATATGGCCTTATTTTATCCTAAAAGAATCAAGACAAAAAATAGAGAAGTAAAAATAAGTAAAAAGATGCACACAAATTTGAGAATGTAGGGAGTTCGTAAATGTGCTTGTCTTGGAATCCCTATTATACGGTTTACTATCAATAAGGTAAGCAAAAGCTCTAAGACCAGAAATTTACTCAAGTTTTTAAATATAATTAGATAGAACCCTTGAGCATATATGAAAGGCAATTGCATTTTAGAAACCTATTCTTGACCGTCTAAAGCACATTTTTATCATTTTATTGTTAGATGAAGAATCAAATTTCATGACTACAAATGAAGTTCAAAAGTTACCTATACAGAATACTTATTTGCAATCGCATCCATTTATTTCGTGCCAAGAGTAGCAACACACAGATACTCAAATCTCAGGTTATATATTTTAAAGGCAAATTCAGTAGGAATTTTAACAATGTTTTATACAATATTCAATAAGTTTGACAACTATCTTTTGCTATGTGAACTAAATAAATTATGTGTCAATCTGATTTTATATAATCTTGGAGTCAACCTGCATATAAACCTTTCATCAAACTTGTGATTATAATCAAGCTCTAAAGATATACCCATATGCTTTTTTATGCTTCTGAAATCTCGTTAATTCACCCTTAAACCAAATCAATTTTCAATGAAGTTAGTATTTACCAATTCATTTTCCTAAATTCAATTGTTCACACATATTCATCACAAAATCTGATAATTAATGAGTTGTAAAAACAATAGTTTGCTCAATTAAAATATTTTTAAAGTTTATGGCAATACATTTGTAGGTTTGTTTTGCTTTATTCTGAAATTTGAGTAAAAGGCAAGGACTATCTTTTATTTTCTTGCCTTCACAATTTCAAGTCTTTGAGCTGCTGATTGTCCTTCTAATTCTGTTACTTTCTATCTCTTTAGATATGAACTGGAATTCCTGTCCTCTGCATTGATGGCCCCACCTTTCAGGGTGAAAAATACCAAAACCAAAAGAGAAAAAGAAAACAGAATAGAGTAAAGAGATAACAACAACAGAAGAAAAACAATGACAAATCATTAGAGACATATGAAGAAGGATACCAAAGAATGCATCTGCCTTCAGCAATTTGTTCATGTCTATTTCCTCAGTATCTCTGCAATCTCAACACTCCTATGCCTTGAATATCAATTTTGTGTGTGTCATCAGCAGCTTCATGTACACTCTTTTGTGTCCCATTACACTCTTTTTGTTAGGGACAACCATACCTTAGTCTTCCAAAATAAAATCAACTTCTGTTTTTTCATCTTAGTTGTCTCTAATATCTAAAATCTCACATAAATTTTCCTTCTTTCCATCAAAATATCTGGCAGATTGCTTATTTTCCAGTTCACGAGGCTGTAGCCTTGTTATCTGATGACTAGTGTTTTAAGACATTCGCTGAATCAGCCTCTTGCTTCTAGTTTCTCCTTACAATATTGCTATTGTATCACTGCCAATATTTTAATACTCTGTCACATGTAGTACCAGCTTATTGTTCAAAATTTATAAAATACAAAAAAAAAGAGTAAAAAGGAATTTAAAATGGGTCAGGTGCGGTGGTTCATGCCTGTAATCTCAGCACACTGGTATACCGAGGCAGGCAGATCACCTGAGGTCAGGAGTTCGAGACCAGCATGACCAACATGGTGAAACCCCAACTTTACTAAAAATACAAAATTATATAATAAAACAATTTTTCTAATTTAGTTTATAATATAAATGTAAACTTAATCAAAATGATACTTTATCTACTAAAAAAGTAATTTTTTAAAAAATTGTTTTGTTACATTTTATTTCTCTTTTGCCCTGTCTTATGGTGCTGAGAAAATTGATAATTTTTTAAGAATAATAATTGATGTAAGCAATATAGCAAGATGGGAACTGTCCTGTAATAATAGAGTGGTATTTAAATTGGTACAACCTTCTGGAGCAATTTGATAATATTTATGAAAGGTTTTAAGCAGTTCTATTCAGTGACATAATTAATCTATTTAAGAAAAATTATAAACAAGCTATTAGAGCTGTTTTCTAATTATGATATGAGATGTGTTCATAATAAATATAAAATTATGAAGTACATAATGTGAAAAAATAAATATGTAATTTATAATATCAAAAGATGAGAAATAAACTTTTAACGAAAAAGAAGTAATTGCACAAATTAGACAATGCTATGTGTCAAGAATCAAAATTCAAATTTTGTTTGTTTCAGTTGTAGTTTTTGACATTTCAAATTTTGAAAACAATATGGTATGAGAAATTCTTACACGTTAACATCAAAAAGAAAAACATTACTATATATATATAGTATCCCAAGCCTTTACATTAATTTGTTCACTAAACAGTATATAATGGATGCCTATTTAAGATGAGAAACTTTTCAGGCACTAGCAATATGGTAATGGATGAAAGATCTAAACTCTGTGCTTTCATATTAGCAGAAAAAAACATATTTATTTTACTCTTTGTGCTCTTTTATATTCTCAACTTTTATACTCAATTGGATATACACATAAACACACACACACCACACAATATATTTACAATCACCATTATCTGCACATATGTAAGTGTTCAGAATTGCATTACATGTATATATATGAGGTAATTTTAAAATTGGTATAATATGCATTTACAAATTAATCATAGTACCTTAAAAACTTCCCTTAAAAAAATCATCCAATTTAAAGTCTGAGTGTTTTCAATGTACTTTGCCAATTAAACACATCATCACTCTTAAACATTTTTCAGTACTCTTCAAAAAGAATTGTGTGCATTTTACGCAGATGTTGTGGACTTAATTATGTCCCCCCAAAATTTATATTTTGAAGTCCTAACCCCTAATGTGACTGTATTTGGAGATAGGGCCTTAATGAAGGTACTTAAGGTTAAATGAGGTCATAAGAGGAGGGTCTTAATCCAATAGGACTGGTGTCCTTTAAGAAGAGGAAGAGACACCAGGAGCGTGGGTGCACAAACCAAAGATCATGCAAGAGATACCATCTACAAGCCAACAAGAGAGGCCCTTAGAAGATACCAATCTGCTAGCACCTTGTTTTGTAACTTCAAGCTTCCAGAACTCTGAGAAAATAAATTTCTGTTGTTTAAACTACCCAATCTGGAGTGTTCTGCTATGGAAACCCAAGCAGAGGAATGTAATACAGGTACGGTCATTGTGCAGAGTTAAGTCACACAAGTCATGGACTTTTTTTTTTTTTTTTTTTGACTTGGGCTCTTTCTCCAACTCAGAAAGAGATATCTTCTTCCTCCATGTGTCTTAATTAGACTTATTATCCAAAACTCTGTGAAAACCTTGCAGGCTGAATATGTTTGCCAATACTTTAGTCAACCCCAGTCTCACTTTTCTGAAATTCCATCATGTAGTTAATGATAAAATTTAACTCTAAATTATTTGATAACAAATTCATTTATTTTATTTCTAGTACTCCAAATAGTAATTGAATGTTTTAAAGGTAGGGATCATACCTCACATTACTTTCTCTTACTCTTTACAGCCCAGTATATTAATAGTTGCACACAAATACAAAAAAAAATGAGGAAGAGAAAAAAAAGCATGAATAGAAGTAATTTGGAAGCAGCATTGAGTTAAAGCAAAAATGTGCACCTGTACTTTCAAAGTACCCAAGTTTCCTTTTAATATATTCCATATCTTGACTGCCTGACACCACTAAAGACATCTCATGAGGTGTCATACTCCTTTTGCTAGACACTTTAGATTCTTTATCTATTCCCGCTCAATAGTAAGCAATAGAATATTTACTTATTTTTCTGTTCAATAGATATACTGAGAAAACTCTCTAAGAATTTTTTTAAGTCTTTTCTTAATTTCTACAGCTTAAGTCATCCACTGATACTGAAGTTGAGGATAAATAAAAATAAAAATTTTAAATTAAAAAAAAGAAGATGTGAAATATTTTCCTCAAAAAGTCATTTCCATAAGATCTGGTAAAAGGCAAACTATATGTTTGAAAATCATGATATACAGAATGAAACTTTAAAATCTGATGAAGCTTACAAATACTTTATAGTCTTTTTTTTTACACTTTAAGTTCTAGGGTAAATACTTTATAGTCTTTTAACTTACCTAAACAAATTGGGATTGGATAATTCCATCTTCTTACAGGTCCTGGCATACATGTAATGTGAGAGTGACCCTACATAAACAAAATGATGTGGTTCAGTACACATACATAAAAAGTTTAAATTTATTGTAGCATAGTCAATTATTATTATAAAAACAAGCTTAAGTACATGGCTTTATTTTTATACACATATTTACTTATATGAAAATCTTAGCATGATTAAAGTAAGAAAGGTGATTATATACACCTATGATAAAATGTAAGAAATAGCTACATGATAGTGGTAGAAAAAATAATACTTCATATCATATTAGAATTGCGGTTTTAATATTTTCCTATAACAATATGTTTTACTAAGATATTGCAGTGATTATATAAGTGAAAGGGCAGTATACATGGTGGTTTATAATAAATTGCTATAACACACAAGGTGAAGTAGGTTAAAGAATAATTTTAAAATTTTTTCACAAAAATATTAAAACAAGTCAAAGTATATTAACTTTTATATTGAAATATAAAGTCCTGAAAGATCTGTTTGCACTTCTGAGATTTATAATTTTGTGATACAACTTTAAAGACTATAAATTATTAATTTTTAATTTTGCTTTCTCTGAAGAATTTATTTATCTAATATGTGAAACAGTATTTTCCTTAACTTTTTATCTTAATGAGTTTATTCTTTAAGGAAATTTTTATGTTACTATAAACCTGGGACCCTCGACAAAAAAAATCAAAAAAGATCAATATAAATACATAAAATCAGAATATACATTGCAAATCCAGTTCCTTAGCAAAATATACTTGTAGTAAATTTTCACTAATTTGGGAAATGTATTGTTATGGAAGTTTCATTCAGTGTTTTAAGTGGCATTTCCCTTTATTTTCAAATTCTAAAAATCCAGGAATTCAGTTGTCACAATCCTATGTGAATAGAGACAAAAGTAAAGATTAATTTTTACTTTAAAAGACTTTAATCTAATTAATTAAAATCAAGGAGAAAGGACTTCCCTAACTTTCCTAATTTTGACTCAAAATCAGTTTTGTTTACTTCCAAACAAAACAAATTTAGTCAATTCCAGCAATATTTCTCATGTGCATATTTTATTATCAAATTGAGCACCCTTTTGACCTCAGACACAAACCAGGATCAATGTTGTAAAACCCGTGGCTTATCAATCATTGATTTGTAAAATATTCTGAAAGGGCCATGAAAATCAAAACCACAACTTTAAAATAGACTTACCTGAAGAGAATATCCTTGATCACACTGAAAGGATACTACATCTCCAACCATATATCTGTCTCCAATTTTAATTCCACTGCTAGGAGTTTGTGGTTCAGGACAGGAATCCAAACCAATTGCTAAGAATATTTAATGATAACAATTTAAGTAACTTTCAAGTGATAAATGCTTAAGTTATGCATATTAAGTTGCTAAAATTGAATATCAGTGTCTCATCAAACTAGATACTATATTGAGACGTTGAGAACGTTCTGTGAACAAGATTTAACTGTAGATGTCAAGAATAATGCACATTTGAACATCATTATAAAGCTATACAATTTTAATTTTTATGGCACCAGTCATTAAGCTAGCTGTGTGAATATACCTAAATTGTGTTTTAACTCCAGGCTTAATTGTTTTCTACTGTGAAACAAAAGTAAAAATTTCTGAAAAGAAAATTCCTACATGAAAATTAAAAATAATTTATTATGATAATAGAAATAAATAATACTTTAAAAACATTCTTAGCAAAAACTTAAAAATTATTTGCTATTTTGTCTTCCTTGCTTAACTCTTTCTTCTTTTATTCTGAATCGGCTTTTAAATTTATGAGGTACATTTTGATGTACTTCTTATTATATGTAAAATTTTTAAAATATAGTTGTAAGTAGAACTTTTCTTTCTCTGAAGATACTATAATCAAAAAGGAGAGGCCAAGTGCGGTGGTTCATGCCTGTAATCCCAGCACTTTGGGGGGCTGAGGTGGGTGGATCACCTGTGGTCAGGAGTTTGAGACCAGCCTGGCCACCGTGGTCAAACCCCGTCTCTACTAAAAATACAAAAATTATCCAGGTGTGGTGGCAGGTGCTGTAATCCCAGCTACTTGGGAGGCTAAGGCAGGAGAATTGCTTGAACCCAGGAGGCGGAGGTTGCAGTGAGCTGAGATCTTGCCATTGCAATCCAGCCTGGGTGACAGAGCGAGACTTCATCTCAAAAAAAAGGAAAGAAAGGAGAAAAACTGGTGTCTCATTGAGACCTGAAAAGTATTATGTGCTACTTGAATTCAGTATTTTTCTGATAAGGAGATAACAATGTAATTCAAAACACTTTCATTATTTTTATTAGGTAAGAACTTATTTTTTATCTAGAGCAAAGGAAAAAGTTCCTGGAAACATGCAACCTCCCAAGATAGAATTTTTTATCTAGAGTCAATGAATAAATCCTTGCAAACACACAACCTCCCAAGATAGTATCAGTGAGAAACTGAAACCCTGAACAGACCACTGAGTTCTAAAATAAAATCAGTAAGAAAAAAACCTACCAAGAATAAAAACAAAGCCCCAGACCAGATGGATTTATGGCTGAATTCTACAAAACATACAAAGCTGATACCAATTTACCAAAACTTACAAAAATTCAATGAGAAGGGACTTTCCTAACTCGTTCTACAAAGGCCACCATTAACCTAATACCAAAACACGGCAAAGACACAACAAAAAAAGAAAAATACAGGACAATATTTCTGATGAACACAGTTCGTAAAATCCTCAGCAAAATACTATCAAACCAACTCCAGTAGCATATCAAAAAGTTAATTCACCATGATCAAACAGGATTCTTCCTGGGATGCAAGGTTGTTTCAACATATGCAAATTAATACATGTGATTCACCATGTAAATAGAATTAAAAATAAAAGCCATATGATCATTTCAATAGATGCAGAAAAAGCTTTCAATAAAATCCAACATCACTTAATGATAAAAACCCTAAAGAAACTATGCATTAAAGTAACACATTTCAAAATAATAAGATCCATATATGACAAACCCACAGACAATATAATACTGAGTGGGCAAAAGCTGGGATAATTCATGTTGAGAAGAGGAACAAGAAAAGGATGTTCACTCTCACCACTTGTACTCAACATAATTCTGGAAGTCCTAGCCAGAGCAATCAGGCAATAGAAATAAATAAAAGGTATCCAAAAAGGAAAAAACAATAAGTCAAATTATCTCTCTTCACTGACAACATGATTTTATACTTGGAAGACCATAAAGAATCTGCCAAAAGGCTCATAGAACTGATAAACAACTTCAATAAAGTGTCAGGATATTTAATCAATGCACAAAAATTAGTAGCATTTATATACACCAACAACATCCAGGCTGACAGTCAAATTAAGAATGCAACCCCATTTACAATAACTGCAAAACAAATAAAACATGTAGCAATACATCTTATTAAGGAGGTAAAAGATCTTTACATGGAGAACTACAAAACACTTCTGAAAGAAATCATAGATGACAAAAACAATGGGAAAACATTCCATGCTCATGAATTGGAAGAATCAATATTGTTAAAATGACCATATTTCCCAAACCAATCTACAGATTCAATGCTATTTCCATCAAACTACCAACGTCATTTTTCACAGAACTAAGAAAAAAACTGTGCTAAAATTCATATGGAACTGAAGTAAAGCCCAAATAGCCAAAGTAATCCTAAACCAAAAAAAGAACAAAGCTACAGTCATCACATAGCCTACTTCAAACTATACTACAAGGCTATGGTAACCAAAACAGCATGGTACTGGTACAGAAACAGACACAACGATGGATGGAGTGGAATAGAGAACTAAGAAATAAATCCACACATCCACAACTACTTGATTTTCATCAAAGTTGACAGAAACAAGCCATGGGGAAAGAACTCTATTTAATAAATGGTGCTAGGATAACTGGCTAGCCATATGCAGAAGAATGAAAATAGACACCTATCTCTCACATTTACAAAAACTAACTCTTGATGGATTAGATATTTAAATGTAAGACATCAAATTTCAGGAATTCTAGAAGAATATCTAGGAAATGCCACTCTGGACATTGGCCTTGGCAATGAATTTATGACAACATCCTCAAAAGCAATTGCAACAAAAACAAAAATTGACAAGTAAGACCTAATTAAACTACAGAGTTTCTGCACAGCAAAAGAAACTGTTAAAGGAGTAGCAAACAACCTACAGAATGGGAGAAAATGTTCATAATGGGAGAAAATGTTCGTAAGCTATGCATCTGACAAAGCTCTAATATCCAGAATGTATAAGGAACTTAAGTCAACAAGCAAAACACAAATTCCCCATTAAAAAGTGGGCAAGGCCGTGCGTGGTGGCTCATGCCTGTAATCCCAGAACTTTGGAAGTCTGAGGCAGGTGCATCACGAGGTTAGGAGATTGAGACCATCCTGGCTAACACGGTGAAACCCCGTCTCTACTAAAAATATAAAAAATTAGCCAGGCGTGGTGGCAGGTGCCTGTAGTCCCAGCTACTCGGGAGGCTGAGGCAGGAGAACGGCATGAACCCAGGAGGCGGAGCTTGCAGTGAGCAGAGATTGTGCCACTGCACTCCAGCCTGGGCGACAGAGCTGGAGTCTGTCAAAAAAAATAAATAGATAAAAAATAAAAAAATAAAAAGTGGACAAAAGTCATGAATAGACACTTCTCAGAAGACACATGAATGACCAACAAACATGAACAAATGCTCAATATCAGTAATCACCAAAGAAATGCAAATCAAAACCACAGTAAGATACCGTCCCACACTAGTCACAATGGCTATGATGTAAAAGTCAGAGAAAAACAGATGGTGGCAAGGCTGCAGAGAAAAAGGAATGCTTTTACACTGTTGGTGGGAATGTAAATTAGTTCAGCCACTGTGGAAAACAGTTTGGAGATTTCTCAAGGAACTTAGAACTACCATTTAACCCAGCAATCTCATTACTGGGTGTAGAATCAAAGGAAAAAAAATCATTCTACCAAAAGACACATGCACTCGTATGTTTATCACAGCACTATTCACAGTAGCAAAGACATGAAATCAACCTAGGTGCCCATCATTAAATAATATGCAGCCATTAAATAATATGCAGCCATAAAAATACAGTGAAATCATGTCCTTTGCAGGAATGTGGATACAGCTGGAGGCCATTATCTGAGGAGAATTAATGCAGGCATAAAAAACCAAATACCACATATTGTCACTTATAAGTGGGAGCTAAATATTAAGTAGACATGTGGATGAAGATTGAAACAACAGACACTGGGGGTTACTTGGTAGGGGAAAGAAAGAGGAGGGCAAGGGTTGAAAATCTATGAGTACTGATTCGGTTTGGCTGTGTCCCCTCCATATTCCACTTCCCATGTGTCTCCTCCCACAACACGTGGGAATTCTCATCTTGAATTCCCACGTGTTGTGGGAGGAACCTGGTGGGAGGTAACTGAATCATGGGTGAAAGTCTCTTCCATGCTGTTTTCATGACAGTGAATAAGTTTCATGAGTACTGATGGTTTTAAAAAGAGGAGTTCCCCTGCACGAGCTCTCTCTCTTTGACTGCTGTCACCCATGTAAGACAGGACTTGCTCTTCCTTGCCTTCCACCATGATTATGAGGCTTCACCAGCCCTGTGGAACTGCAAGTCCAATTAAACCTCTTTCTTTTGTAAATTGCCCAGTCTCAGGTATGTCTTTATCAGCAGCATGAAAACTGACTAATATCGTAAATTGGTACCAGTAGAGTGGGGTGTTACTGAAAAGATACTCAAAAATGTGGCAGCCACTTTGGAACTGGATAACTGACAGAAGTTGGAACAGTTTGGAGGGCTCAGAAGAAGACAGGAAAAGATGGGAAAGTTTGGAACTTCCTAGAGACTTGTTGCATGGCTTTGACAAAAATGCTGATAGTGATATGAAGGGTAAGTTCCAGTCTGAGGTGGTCTCAGACAGAGATGAGGAACTTGTTGGGAACTGAAGCAAAGGTGACTCTTGTTATGTTTTAGCAAAGAGACTGGCAGCATTTTGCCCCTGCCCTAGAGATTTGTGGAACTTTGAACTTGAGAGAGATGATTTAGGTTATCTGGAGGAAGACATTTCTAAGGGGCAAAGCATTCAAGACATGAATTGGGTGCTGTTAAAAGCATTCAGTTTTATAAGGGAAGCAGAGTATAAAAGTTTGAAAAATGTGCAGTCTGACAATGTGATAGAAAAGAAAATCCCATTTTCTGAGGAGAAATTCAAGCCAGCTGCATAAATTTGCATAAGCAATGAGGAGTCGAATGTTAATCCCCAAGACAATGGGGAAAATGTTTCCAGGGCATGTCAGAGGTCTTCATGGCAGCCCCTCCCATCACAGGCCTAGAGGCCTAGGAGGAAAAAGTGGTTTCATGGGCCAGGCCCAGGGTCCCCATGCTGTGTGCAGCCTAGGGACTTGATGACCTTCATCCCAGCCTCAAGCCTTGGCAGCTTCCACGTGGTGTTGAGCCTGAGAGTACACAGAAGTCAAGAATTGAGGTTTGGGAACCTCTGCCTAGATTTCAGAAGATGTATAGAAATGCCTGGATTTCCAGGTAGAAGTTTGCTGCAGAGGCAGGGCTCTCATGGAGAACATCTGATAGGGTAGTGTGGAAGGGAAATGTGGGGTTAGAGCCCCTACACAGAGTCCCTACTGGGGCACTGCCTAGTGGAGCTATGAAAAGAAGGCCACCATCCTCCAGACCCCAGAATGGTTGATCCACTGACAGCTTGAATCATGCACCTACAAAAGCTGCAGACACTCAATGTTAGCAGACAGGAGTGAGGCTGTACCCTGCAGAGCCACGAGGGTGGAGCTTCCTAAGAGGGAACCTACCTCTTACATCAGGATGACCTGGATGTGAGACATGGAGTCAAAGGAGATCATTTTGGCACTTTAAGATATGACTGCCCCATTTGATTTTGAACTTGCATGGGGCCTGTAGCACCTTTGTTTTGGCCAATTTCTCCCATTTTGAATGGCTGTATTTACCCAATGCCTGTACCCCCACTGTATCTCGGAAGTAAACTGCTTTTGATTTTACTGGCTCATAGATGGAAGGGACTTGCCTTGTCTTGAATTAGACTTTGGACTGTGAACTACTGAGTTAATGCTGAAATTAGTTAAGACTTTTGGGGACTGTTGGGAAGGCATGATTGGTTTTGAAATGTGAAGATGTGGGATTTGGGAGAGGCCGGGGGTGGAATGATATGGTTTGGCTGTGTCCCCACCCACATCTCATCTTGAATTCCCATGTATTGTGGGAGGAACCCAGTGGCAGGTAATTGAATCATGGAGCAAGTCTTTCCCATGCTGTTCTTGTGACAGTGAATAAGTCTCACAAGATCTGACGGTCTTTAAAAGAGGAATTCCCCTGCACAAGTTCCCTCTCTTTGCCTGCTATCATCTATGTAAGACGTGACTTGCTGTACTTTGCCTTCTGCCATGATTGTGAGGCTTCACCAGCCCTGTGGAACTGTAAGTCCAGTTAAACCTCTTACTTTGTAAATTGCCCAGTCTCTGGTATGTCTTTATCAGAAGCATGAAACCAGACTAATACAATTGCTATGCTGACTACCGAGGTGATGAGATTATTCATACCCCAAACCTCAGCATCATGCAGTAAACCTATGTAATAAACATACCCACATATCCCCTAAATCTAAAATAAAAGTTAAAATTATGTTTTTTTAAAAAAGAGTTTATTTTTCAAAATAAACTAAAAACATAGTAAAAGTAAATGGTTTTCTGAAAATGATTCATTGAAAGCCTTAACAAAATGTTTGCTTTTTTGCCAAAACATTTTTCAAATATGCAACTATTATTATTAAAAACTTTTCATCTTCATTAAAAGCCATTGTTTATTATTCATTTTGTTGTAATTACATTTTCAGGCTAATCTAATGCATATTTAAATGGGTTAGAAAAAGAGGTCACCACTCCAGCAGCATTATACTGTATACATACGGATTTCATTTTTAAAAAGCATTGAAAACTAAACCCTAAAGAATGATAATGCTTTATATGTATTCCTTCATTCCTGTGCCAGATTATTTCTCTCTGATAGATATTCTTGTAGCACCACCCTCTACATTCTTTTTGGATACTTAACACAATCTGATAATATATAAATAATTGTGCAATTAATTGTTCAATATTTATCTCCCATCTGAGAATGAAAGCTCCAGAAGGGCCGTTAGAGAACAGTGTCTTGAGGAGGCACTCAGTAAACATTACTTGTGTGAATGAATGAATAATATAAGAAAGAGAGTGTATCCCTATATCTAGATTATTTCTTAATAAATATTAATGCCTAATTATGCAAAGGAAAGCTATCTAATAACACAATGGTTAGAGTAGCTTAAATCATGCCAAACTGGATGACATTTAACAATAGAAAATGCCATAAAAGCAGTGACTTGATAGAGTTATGATTAGATTAGAAAGTCAGGCAGTAAAGATCAGGAGTAAAGTGGTCATTTGGGAATACATTTGAGGCAGTCTTGAATTAGATAAGGAGAGTCTGTACATTGCAATCCCAATGCCCAGTGCCTTAATTAGTTAGGTCTCCAAGCATGCATCATGTTCTATTCCTTTTTGTAGTATTGAATTTATGGACCTAGGAAAACTTGGTTACTATTAAATTGTGACCTAATTTTAAATGTTTAAGGGTTTACAACTTTCTTCTCCAACTAGATTTTGGAATCTAAGAAGAGATAGAAATTGCCTTCCCTGTGTATTAATCTTACTTAATACCCGTTGATAAGCCTCACACATCAAATTCATCTGATTTCATAGAGTCTTCATCAGAAACTACCGAATACAAAAATAGTGAACTATGATATAAACATGTATGCTTTGTCTATACAATTTCACCTTCCTTTGGTACAATTTTAGTTTCTTGGGAGTCCTGAACAGTAAATTTATTACTCTTCACCAGTAAGGACATTCTTGCAATCATTCTCACTGAGAAGGCCAAATTTTGTACACATTCATTTCTCTTCCTTTCTAATCAAATACTCTATTCAGGGTCATATATATAAAAAACTATCAAAATCCAGTAGCGACAGTTTCCTTCTCCAAGAGGAGAATAAATAAAACTATGTTAGTGAGGTAGCTGAATACTGAGATGCTCATTTTTAAACAAGATTTTACATAATATACATAAACAAAATAAAATGTTTGTGAAGGTGTTTTAACTTTTTAAAAAATGACACAAAACTCTATAAACTAGGTAAAAGCAATTTTGTAAGTTAAAACAAATTCTTATATGTATATAATCACAGAGATAAATAACCAAATGTAAATATGCCAAATGGTGGTTGTAATTCTTGATTATAAGATTACTGGTGATTTGTATGTCATTCCTTGTATTTTCCTGCATCTCCAGAGTTTCTATAATAACATAAATTATTTTTGTATATAATAAAATAACTTATAACCTAGATGAATTAGTACTAGCAGAAAATTTAGAAGTACAGGAACATATTCCCTTCAATTTTTCTAGATGATATTGAATTGGGCTAGCTAAGTTCATTTGAAGAGATCAATCAGCAACTGATTTGTGTTAGGGAAGAAAATAATGATATAATCAGATAAGTCATATGCTGATGGCTTCATTCATTTTTTTGCAGCAGTTTCTTTTTCATGTGCAGTAAAGAAAATGAAACAAAAATACATGAAAGTCCTACAGTTTGAATTTTGCAGCCATTTTTTAAATTTACACAAATAAATCTCCAAGTGGTTAAATATTAACTCTAAAATATCTTTGGGAATTATTTTTCACCTCTTTATAAGTGACAAAATCAATAAGTTATTTGTAGGAATCAATAAGAGAATTTTTTTGTAGAAATGTGGAAAAGGCTTCTCTTCTGCTTAACCAAGGCTAGTTTCCTGCTTAACAAAAGACATCAAAACATTGAGTCATTTTAAGGTTCATGAGTATAAATTTTGTAAAATTATGCCGTTGGCAACCAAAGCTGCTCTCTGATTAAATATTTTTTAATGGGATTGGATCAATTAATCTGCTGTTGTAGCCAAAAAAAAGAAAAATCAGAAATGAATCCAGGGACCAATCCATACAAAAAATTGCACACAGTTATGTCTGTCTGCTGTCAAATGATTGCAGGCAGTTACCCTGGCTGAAAATATTAAATCCTTACTGCTTCACATTACTAATATTTATTTATAATCAAAACGTATTATTTCCAATTCTGTTCACAAAGCAATCAATCAATCTGTATCAGAAATGTTGTTAATCATATCATATATAGTTGGTAATTCTGAATGTGTGTGTGTAAATAAAAGTGTGTATGTATATATATACACATACATATATATATATATATATATATATATATATATATATATATATATATATGTCCTAGTATTCCAAATTGATTTCAAATGAGTGATTAACGCATTGAGATACGAAGACATGGAGGGGAAAATGTTTAATTACTGCTAAGACACCCAGTAACATTGTTTTGTTAAAGGAAAAACTCATTCATAAATTTGACATGACAACCTATGTATCTATTTATTGAAAATGCAGACCAAAAATATTGGTTTTGCATTTATGTGAGAAAGAAACAAAAGTTAAATCATGTGTCTTTGCACTAAAGGTGGTATTTAGTGATAGTAAAGATCTTTTTATTCCAAATATGTTGCATGTCTTTGATTTTCATCTTTTCTCTAAATTGTGGATACAAGACAACTATTATGTTTATGTTGATACTACCTTTAAGGGTTTTAAAAAGATATACCAAAATTATCATTTCACATTCCACATCTATCATTATAAAGATAAGAGTTCAAGAATAATGTAGACATTTGTGGTAATCAAACGGTGAACCCAATATGAGTTGGTGTACTATTAATAGTTTGAAGACTTGTAGAAAACTGCTTTGGTAAACATGCAGATATTTTTCTGGCTTAAGGTACCTCAGAATCAATTGATTAATCTACTAAACAAATATTTTGTCAAATACCTAATCATGTAACAAGTAACTTCATGAATGTTTGTGGATAAACTTTTTTGGAAGCAATAATTCTGACTATCATCACTGATGGGCAGCAATGCTTTGGGAACATGTAGCACAGGCTACATTAACATTTACCTTGATCCTTAATACTTTATTTACTTTATCTGTGCTTACTGTAACTGATATTTAACTTAGAATTACTCTGTATAAGTAAATGAATACTCAGTAATACACACTACTTATCAAATTTTAGTCTATAGAATAATACTAAGTTAAATGAACAAAAAGTTAAATAGAATCACGACGTGTAGGTATTATTCATTCATTCAATAAGCTGTTGGTGAGTACCTATTGCGTGCTCTGTATCATGTTACATTCCAGAAATGCAGAGATCAATCAGCAACATAAGCAACCATGCTCTAAAGAGACTCTTGACGGAACAGGAGAGGAGTTTGATTTGACAGATGATGATTAGAGCGCGGTGGAACAATTGCAATAAATGAAGGTCATCCTTTGTTTAATTAGATAATTGCTCCATAGAAGTAACCCATATGAGTACTGAAAAATTATATATTTTACCAATTCATTATCCTGAGGGGTAGTTGTGTATGGTGTTCTGACACAGAAAGTAACATATTAAACGAATGGAGTTCTTAGAGATTTTTCTTTCTTTTTTGGAAAGGAGGGAAGTGTTTTTCTCAAAAACACATTGTAGTGTTCTGTGGAAGGCAGCAAGAAATGAAGCTGAAATGGAAGGCAGAATATAGACTGTGAACAGTCCTGAAATCTTAACCAACACAGGTATTTGAACTTTCTGTGTTTAATGCAGGGAGAATTCAGAGTTAAGACCACAACCTTTTGTGTGCATCCTGGCTCCTCTAGTTGCATGCTGGTTGGTTTGTTTTAAAGTCTGAGATGTTTTCTATGCCTCAGTTTCCTCACCTATAAAATGGGATGAGTAAATAGTGACTTCACAGTCATATTATGATACTTAAAGAAGTGCATGCATAATACTTAGAGTAGTGCCAGGAATATTGGAAGTGCCTAACAAATGTTAACTATTGTTGAAGTGTTTCAGGCACTGAAGTGAGGATGTCCATTTGTATTTTAGATAAAAAGTATACTTTTCTTCTTGTCACGAAGGGTATATTTCTGTTTAAGATCAAGAGATTTCACATGTGTGCTCTAGTAGTATTAATACAAAAAATATATAAATATTTATATAAAGCACCACAAATTTAAGCATCCTGAGTCTTTCAACTGACTCAACATGAGAGGCTTCTTCTATATGCAGCTAAAAGATTATTACCTTCACTGCAAGAAAACCCTGGGTACCAGGACCAGTGTCCCTAGCTCATGATATAACTAGAGAAATGTATGAAGACAAAAACACAATGTTTACAAAATTCAGAAACCTAGATTAGGCTAAAACTATCTCTACGTCATCATCACAAAGGGGTGAAAAATCAGTGAGATAATCAGGAAATAAAATATGATGGAAATAAAAGGAAGCAAACTGTGATAAATCTGTAAGGGCTTTATAGGGTTAAGAAGTGCAATGTGTTTATAAAGATCAATTACACTTATTTGCATGCAATGTATTCTGAGTTAATGGCAATTGAAATTAGAAATGACAAATACTAATAATTTAATTTGGGCAGGAGGTATTTCTACAATTAATATTTATTACATTTATGAATGTTGATGTGCATAAACTAGTTAAAACAAGAAAATTAGTGTAAGTAAAAATACAGTTAATCTTAAAATCCCTGTTTTTCCCAAATAATCAATTATATAATTAGCTCAAGGGAGAAGACCATTTTTAGTGATTATAAAAGTAAACTCATTAAGAACTAATGCATTATCTCTTAAGCATATTGCTCGAGGATGGGAAGCAGTAAAAATAATAACAGTTATGCTGAATTGAATCTTTTGCTATTTATAAGATAGAGTCAAATGGATACATTTCTGGGCATTTATTATTTTGAGACTAATTTTATGCTTTTTACAACTACTACAAGGGATAGAAAGATGCTTTCAGATATTCCAGTTTTTCCTAGGATTTTACTGAAAATTATAATCATGAGTGCTCTTAGGTGTAGGGGAAGAGAAAATCTATTCATTATGGTAACATGTACCTTTGCCTTCCTCAGGGACTACGTCCTGAGATTTTTGAAGACCTCTAAAGATCTTCAAAGGACCTTGAAACTACCATTACTTCATGCAGCCTTCTCTTTTAAAAACATGTATATTTTATAAGTTCAAAATGTAATTCTGCTCATTGATTTACATATGCTGCAAGGTCCCTCTAGGATTTGCCATTAGTGAGATTTTAACATGTGTCTCTACAAATTTAAAGAAATGAGATGGAAAGGACATATTCATATTACAATCAGGCAAAGAGTCTAATCCAAGACTATTAATGCTGAGGCTTCACTAAAATCCAAGTGGCAGGACAACTGGAAAGTACAAGTTCTCTTAGTGGAAGCCTACCAACAATCAATATATTTAATGATATTCCATGAGCTAGGATCATTTTCCCTAGCAATAAAAATGATTATGCATGATATAAAATTACAAACAGGAGCAAATATATTTGAAAAAACAAACACACCAGAAAGCAAAAATTGTCAGTTTAAGAATTGATTCCCATATTCCAGTGCTAATGTGGATCAGGAAAAAGAAAACTTGAATACTTCATGTGAGAAAAATTTGGGGTAAATTCTATGAATTCAGCACAGCTACATTTGTTCACAAGACTATGTAACCAATATATGTTCCTAATACAAGTAATGATGTAGCTTTATTTGGATTTATGATAGCCTATATCATAAAATACCAAAATAGTAATCAGCCTCCACTAAATAATGTTTAAACTTCTCTCTAATGAATAGAGAGAAATGTGTCCACCAATATCTGGTATGTTTGCCTTAATTTTCCTATGTCTCCCAAAGTTGCCAAGCAAATAGATTTTCTTGAATTCTGCCTGCCTCCTTCCTCTTCAATATTCAATCCCCTTTGTTATTAACAGAAAGCAAAATTGGCTCTTTTTCTCAACCTTTCCATTAATATTTGAAACTTATTTATATGTTAGGTAATTTTTGTTAGCACAAAATCAGTAGAAGACATCAAAGTTTAAGAAAAAACAATTAGGGTGAAGACACAAATTGAGAAATTTATACAAGGAGACTTCAAAAAGTTTGTAAAAATGTATATTATGAAAAAAAATTACGCATAGATTTCCTTTTTTTTTTTTTTTTTTTTTTTTACCAAATGGACTTCTACCATCTTCTTATAACATGTTTGAATAGAATCTACTTTCATGCACCAAGAAGGATAAAATACTAGTTTGAAAAAATTCCCCTATCAGAGCAACATGAATTCTGCAAAAATTACATGAAGAACAAACATCAAACTTATGGTGAGGTTTGGGTGGAAGAATGGTGAAATTCATTGATGCTTTACAAAAAGTGTATGGGAACAACGCACCCAAACAATCAGGAGTTTACAAATGGATAACTCATTTTAAGAAGGAATGAGAGAAGAAGATGAAGCCTGCAAAAGCACACCATTCACATCAATTTGTGAGGAAAAATATCATCTCGTTTGTGCTCTAATTGAAGAGGATCAATGTTTAACAGAAGAAACAATAGCTAATTGCCTAGACATCTCAACTGATTCAGCTTACACAATTCCACTCAAGGGATGCCAAAACTTTTGTGCCCAGATCAGCTGCAGACGAGAACAAAGCTTTCAATTTCAATGGAAATTTTAAACAAGTAGGATCAAGACCCTGAAGCATTTCTTTGAAGAACTATAACAGGAGATGAAACATGGCTTTACCAGTACAATCCTGAAGACAAAGCACAACCAAAGCAATGGCTACCAAAAGGTGGAAGTGGTTCAGTCAAAGCAAAAACAGACTGGTCAAGAGCAAAGGTCATGGCAACAGTTTTTTGGGAAGTTCAAGGCATTCTGCTGGTTGACTTTCTGGAGAAACCAAGGAAAATACTGCTTATTATAAGAGGGTTTTGAGACAGTTAACCAAAGCTTTTGCAGGAAAGCTTCACCAGAGAGTCCTTTCTACTGCAACAATGCTCCTGCTCATTCCTCTCATCAAACAAGGGTAAATTTGAAAGTTTCAGTGGGAAATCATTAGGCATTCATGGTTTTTTGTTTTGTGTTGTTTTGAAATGGAGTTTTGCTCTTGTCACTCAGGCTGGAGTGCAATGGCACAATCTCGGCGCACTGCAACCTCTGCCTCCCGGGTTCAAGGGATTCTCTTGCCTCAGCCTCCTGAGTAGTTGGGATTACAAGTGCATGACAGTATGCCTGGCTAATTTTTGTATTTTTGGTAGAGATAGGGTTTCACCATGTTGGCCAGGTTCGTCTCAACCTCCTGACCTCAGGTGATTTGCCCGCCTTGGCCTCCCAAAGTGCTGGGATTACAGGTGTGAGCCACCACACCCAGCCAGGCATTCACCTTATAGTCCTGATTTGGCTCCTTTTGACTTCCTTTTCTTTTGTAATCTTAAAAAACTCTTTACAGGGCACTCATTTTTCTTAAGTTAATAATGTAAAAAAGATGGCATTGACATGGTTAAATTCCCAGGACCCTCCTTAGAGATGGACAAAATGGCTGGTATCATTGCTTACAAAAGTGTCTTGAACTTGATAGAGCTTTGTTGAGAAATAGAGTTCATATTTTTAAATTTATATTTTAATTCCATTTTTAATTCCCTTTTTATATACATTCAATTTTTCTATAATTCAATTTTTCTCTAAACCTTTTGTAGTCCCTTCATATTTATTACCTTGCTTTGTATGTCTGTAACTTAGAAAAACTGCACCAATTCAATTTATTTGTGGCATATCTATAACCTCCAAAATAGTATAGTTTGAGCAGCATGACTATAAATATTTAAAATATATGTATATAATAAATGTGCTATCACATTACAATTTTTTCTTACTTTACAAGTAGCACTATATTCACCGTCCATACAAGTTTTACTCTTTGAAGAATACATCTATCTTGTCATTATCATTAGAAATTAGGAAATACTTTTGGTTCCTAGATTCCACAGAAACATATGAGATCCAATTACTACAGTTAAATAAAAGCACTTATGCTGACCTTGATATAATTAAATCAATACCTAGATGCTGAAAACAAAAAAGTCTAGGGAGTTGAAAGGCCAGCTCTCCAATTAATTAAAGCAAAACTGTTATCATGTAAGAAGTGATATTATCTAAAGTGAAAAACAAAACAGAAGACCAGAAACCTGAGAATCATCCTCTACTCCTTTTTCTCTCTCATCCCCAACATCTAATTGGCCATAAAGCTTTTCAATTATATCTTATTAATATCTCTTGAATCTGCTGCCATTTCATCTACACAACCACAACTACTGCCTTCAGAGTTTCCCTTGTGAACCAATGCAACAGCCTCCTCTTAAATTTCTTTCCTTGGGCTTATTCTCACCATGTAATGCATACTTCACTTTCCAAAATAAAAAGTCCTCTTTAAAATTCAAAACTTTTGTTACTCTAAAAATCCAAGTCCTTCAATGAGGCTACTCTTTCTCCAAGAAAAAAGCCTATGCCACATTTTAAATCTATACCATTTGACTACTCCAGCTATGTGGGTTTATCTCATCAGCTATAAAGGGTAGCATTTATTAAGGGTTTACTATATAACTGGCACTGCAATAAGCACTTTATTTATTTAATTATAAAGCAATCTTTCAAATTAGAACTATGTATTATGGGTGAGATAACTTGGTTTTTAGGGAACCTCAAAAATTTTCTGAGTGTCACATGGCCATCAAATGGCAGCGTCAAGATAGAAACCTGAGTCTGACTCCAGAGTAAATGCTCTTATATCTATCTGCATTCCAGGAGGTCCCTTCAAATGCCAAGCCATTCTCATATCTATCTTTAAATTCTTATTTGCCAGAAGGAATTCTTTTGACTTTTGATGAGGTTTTCCCTGACTCTACCACCAGTAACCCCTAATACAAATGATCTCCACCTTCTCTGTTCATCACCTAAATTATACAAGATATTTTCATACTTTGGCCATTGTGAGAGTCACTTTGGGACCTTGGTAAAAATGCAAATACTTGAGTGAATCTCAGATAAACTGACTTGACATTCTGGGTTGGTAGCCTTGTCATCTGGAGTTTCTAAAAGACTTCAAGATGATTGCAATGCACAATTATCTGAGAAGTACTAACTTACATAAACATATTAATAGTGCTTACACCATTTTGCAATTGCTCTACTTGTTTACATGTCCTTACTCTTAATTAGTCTAAAAATATTTTAAGGCTAGATGTTACACAAATTTGCAGCACCTACACCTAGAAAATGTACCTTGCATTTAACAAGTACTCAATAAATACTTGATGAATAAATGAATGGGTTTGTTCTCAGATTTGAAAAGCAATATGAAGATGAAAAATTATGGGAGGAGGTTATAAGTAGGGATATAATACAGGAGTTAGGACTAATTGCTTTGGAATAAAATTATCTGAGGTCTACTCTACAACTTACTAACTTAAAAGTACCTAAGCTCTGAGATTATTTTCTATAATTTTCCATTTGTAAAATAGGGTTAAAAATGTATCTGCCTCACAGTAATTTAAAAAAATAAAACAAAAATACCTCTATGAAACATTTAGCAATGTGCTTGACATATACTGAGTACTTGAAAATGTTAGCTTTTTAAACATATAATGATAATAGCATAATGTTGTATAACCTTCTTTATTATAATTATAATAATGACAGTGGAGGTATCATTAGCTAGTTTCGAAGAATCTAAGCAGTCATTCAAATGCTTACAGTTCATAATACTCTGGTACAAATGGCTATTTACAATGTGGATCTACCACACTTTGAAAGTAGTCATAGACAAGTCAATGTGAGCCTCAAATATTGGTTCTTTTCATATTATTAAATAGTTTTCTTTGCTTTTATTATTTTAAAAGGAAAAATATATGAAAACATTTAACGCAGCTATATAGAAAACTTTATTTAAAAATATAAACTTTTAGATTTGTTTAATGCTTGAAAGGAATAAAAAATTTACAAAAACCCAAAAGCAAGATTTTTCTTACTCTAAAAAATATAATTTTTGAAATTTAGTTCCCCTTCTTTAATAAGCAATTAACAAAAGAACATATTACAAACTAGCACATTTGGTGCAAGTAGCTTGTTAGAAGTCAGGTATTTGGTGACCATCAATAATAGACTGGATAAAGAAAATGTAACACATATACACCATGGAATACTATGTAGTCATAAAAAAGAATGAGTTCATGTCATTTGCAGGGACATGGATGAAGCTGGAAACCATCATCCTCAGCAAACTAACACAGGAACAGACAACAAAACCCCACATGTTCTCACTCATAGGTGGGAGCTGAACAGTGAGAACACATGGACACAGGGAGGGGAACATCACATACCAGGGCCTGTTGGGAGTTGGGGTGCAAGGGCAGGGAGAGCATTAGGACAAATACCTAATGCATGCGGGGCTTAAAACCTGGATTACAGTTTGATAGGTGCAGCAAACCACCATAGCACATGTATACCTATGTAACAAACCTGCACGTTCTGCACATGTATCCCAGAACTTAAAGTAAAAGAAAAACTAAAAATAAATAAAAATTAAATAAATAAATCACAATTTGCTATTGCAAGAAGAAGAAGAAGAGGGGGAGGAGGAGGAGGAAGAAGAAGAAGAAGAGAAAGAGGAAGAGGAAGAAGAAGAGGAAGAGGAAGAAGAAGAGGAAGAAGAAGAAGAAGAAGAAGAAGAAGAAGAAGAAGAAGAAGAAGAAGAAGAAGAAGAAGTAGTAGTAGTAGTAGTAGTCAGGTATTTGTATACTCAGTGATAATAGCCAAGGCATAGCCCATAGTCATACAAAGTGATCATCTTCATCAGATAAACATAATCATTGTTTTGTTTTGTTTTTCACTTTTCCAGCAAATATTCATTGAGGACATAAAAACAGCAAAACATCATCTTGTGTCTTATTGGAAATAAATAATGTGCAACACACTACCCAAAAGTAGTTTAATATTCATGCACAGAGATAATTCAAGAATGCTAATTACAATTATTACCTAAGCATTAGAACTGCAGAACATGGTAATACCTTGTAAATCAGAGCATGTCATTCCTCTGCTCAAATCTCCCTAATGATTTCCATTTCAATTAGAGGAAAAATAAAGTCCTTACAATGGCTTATAAGCCCCACTTACTTTTCCTCTCTCATTTAATTTCCTACTACCTCACTTTTTTGTTCTTCATACTTCTGTTTCGTGGTATTGGCTCTAGCTGTTCCCTAAAGCAGTATCTTCACTTACCAGTAAGGTTTATTCCTGCACCACCTTCCACTACTTGCTCAAATGTCACAGTCTCCATAAGGTCTGCCCTGACCACCATAACATCCTTCTTTTTATCCCTAGCACTCCTGATCCCTCAACTCTCCATCTATTTTTTTCTATGACACATCATTTTCTAAAATGTTATATAGATTACTCCTTTATTATATTTTCACCTTTTATCTGTCTTCACCTGATAGAATGTAAAATCCAAGGGGGCAAAAGTATATTGCCTCTTTGGTTGACTAATGGGAACAATGCCTGACACACAGAGTTCAGTAAATATTTGTTGAATGAATGAAGATATAGGCATTGAGACAGGTAAAAAGGAAATGATACCAGAATTCAGAGAAGGAAGAGACCACTTCTGGGCTGGGTTGATTTGATCAATGAAGTTAAAATTTAGGGTAGAAAAGGAGCAAGGATGGAGAAGATGCTCAGAAAACATGCAGCTGCCCAGATTTCCCCTGGCCTCCTACTGGGGATCTCACTGCTGTTCTCCAGCCCATGAGAGGAAGTGGGCAGAGGTGAGGGCCTAGCCCACATGGATATGGGGCACACGCTGCTGGGCAGAGAAATGGCTGCACATATACTGCTCCTCTGAAGCAAGACTCCTTGCTGGTCTCCTTCTCTTTTTCTCCTTAAAATATTGTTAGAATGCAGAGATCATTGATTTCCTTTGAAACAATTCCCATACAGAATACGACATCTCAAACAGTTCCTCAGCCCTTGGCAATATTTGTGTGCAGGTGTTTCATGAGAAGCAGCACATAAGGTCCTGAGAACCAATGAGTACTGGGGAGTGGCACAAGGAGCTTGTGGCACCTAGCACTGTGGCATCCCCTACACTCCAGGAATTACACTCCCTCCTAAATGTCTCCCCCATCTCCTTGCTAACCTGACTTCCAGCCCCCAGTCTTAAGTAAAATAGGAATTATGTTTTCTCTCTTACTACATCTGTGAGGTGTAAGATAAAAACAAATGACAAAGGATGGGCACAGTGGGTCACACGTGTAATCCCAGGACTTTGGGAGGCCGAGGCGGGCGTATTACGAGGTCAGGAGTTCGAGAACAGCCTGACCTACATGGTGAAACCCTGTCTCTACTAAAAATACAAAAATTAGCCGGGCATGGTGGTGCATGCCTGTAATCCCAGCTACTCAGGAGGCTGAGGCAGGAGAATCACTTGAACCCGGGAGGTGGTGGTTGCAGTGAGCTGAGATCACGCACCATTGCACTCCAGCCTGAGCGACAGAGTGAGACTCTGTCTCAAAAAAAAACCAAAAAAACAAAAAACAAAACAAAACAAAAATACACACACACTCACAAATGACAGTTCCAAAGACAAATTAATCTGCAGTGAACAAGGTGGAAGAAAGGAAGAATGAAGACTACTTGATAACAAAATACAAAAACAAACACAGGCTAAAACAAAAAACATGAACACTGATGGGATAAAAAAGTTCACAAATAAAAATAATCCATACACACACACATATGCACACACACACAATTCAGAGTTGAGTCTTATAGCCAGAAAAAAGAAGAGAAGTAGAGCATGTCAAGTGGAGGAAATGAATCGTGAAAGGAGTAGAGAGAGGAAAGGCATGTTACATTTTAAAACAAATGCTTAATTTGATTAAGTGGGGGAATATTACAAAATTCATGTGTGAAAAATGAAACATTAAGAAATCAGTGTTGGAATAAGAGGCTAAAGAATGTTGCCTTTATTTAGTAGATAGGAAGGTAATGATATGAAATGACCAAATATCTGGAAATATTAATAAGACCAAGGTGTAGAAAGGGTTGAGTGGAAGGAACATTAGGTTTATCTGATATAATTGATAGTGATAATAGTATTATGAAAGATCAGGCATTCTAAAGTTAAAATGCCATTATCTCAGGTTCAACAAAGAAAAGATAACTATAATGATAAAAATCAGCCTATCTGGCGGGCGCGGTGGCTCATGCCTGTAATCTTAGCACTTTGGGAGGCCGAGGAGGGCGGATTGCCTGAGCACAGGAGTTCGAGACCAGAGTGGGCAACATGGTGAAACCCTGTCTCTAGTAAAATACAAAAAATTAGCTGGGCATGGCAGTGTGACATGTAGTCCCAGCTACTCAGGAGGCTGAGGCAGGAGAATTGCTTGACCCTGAGAGGCGGAGCTTGCAGTGAGCCGAGATAGTGCCATTGCACTCCAGCCTGGGTGACAGAGCGAGACTATGTCTCCAAAAATAGAAAAAAAAAGATAAATAAATAAATAAAAATAAATCAGCCTATCCGCCAGCATTTACCTTTTAGGTAAATAAAAAGCAGGGCATGTCTGTGTAGTAACTCTGCCAGCAGAAAAAATATATATATATATATTTATATTTTATATATAAAAATATATATATATATATATTTTTTTTCTCATGAGTAGAAAAATCAGATGGCGAAAACACTCACTTGCTGGGAGGAATCTCAGCCAAATTTCCATTTACTAAGAAAGAACACCTGCCATGTTTCCTGAAACCTTCACTATTTAAAATACTCCTTTAGGAATATAGTAAGAGTCTACTTTCTTGGATGAAAAAAATAAACACTATCCTTTTTTATAGAAAACCTTAAAGTGTTCTGCATCTGTTGCTGGTATTCATAGTGTGATTATAGACTGTGATTTCCCCACTGTGATTCTTCCCTTATGTTACTCAGTGGGCAGAACTTTTATCTTAGAGACTGTCACAAATGAAATACCCAAAAATGTGCAGTGACATAGGTGTCTCCTTGATAGGAAAAAGTTAATATGCCCACCCTGTTTACACACACACACCACTCACACGCAATATCATTTTTTCCCAGTACCCAGTTGTTTAAGTATTTTGCTTATCTCAAGTACCTAAAATTAGGTATTTAAAAAAAAATCCACTTAGTCCTTATTTACATGCATTAAAAACACAGTTTTCTCTTCCAGAGGCTGTATATCTCAACCAGCATTTTGAGGCACCTTAAAATACATAAGGAGTTCTTCAGAATTTCTGTATCTAGTTATTAAAATCTGCCTTAACAAATGAACAGATTCTTGAATTGTCACAAAAAGAGATGTTTCTCTACCAAGAGAAGCCTACCTTTTTTGAAACTTGACAGAAATTATGATGCCCTTTTCATAAGCAAAATAGATTATTGGGCGGGCGGGAATCGATGTGGTGCTTGGGTAGAGGGCACTGTATTCGCTGGAGTTTCTGGGAGTAATAGTCTCCAGTGTGCAACTGAGTGAATGGTCAGCCTTTCTGATTGCCCTGCTGGATATTGTTCTAAACCACAGCTGCTCTATGTAGCACTTGATCCACCAAACAGATTTTAACTGTTATTCAACCTGTTCTTAGCAATGCAGCCAAAAATGCTGCCGTGGCTTGTTTTATACGTTTGTCCTTAAAGACCAGGGCAGAATTTATTAGTATTTTTAATTCTGTAAGGCAATACTTAGTCTTTAAATTTTCTTGTTCGATCTCCCACCATTCTCCCGAATTTAAACTCAATACTTAGCAAATATTATGTTAATGTCCTTACTGATTAGACAGTAGATTTGCAAACAAGAAACATATTATAAAATTTTAAAAAATGATTAAAAGAATGTTAGTTATCCTTTGGCACAGATCTCCCCACTATCAACAAAATGTATCTTTTTCTCATCTCTCTTTATCAGTCCCTCTCCCCTATTACCTCTCTTTTTCCATATCCTGTAACTCTCTTTTTCACATCTATTTATCTGTATCCTTTCAGTTTTCTATTTACAATTATAATTTTAATTTAGGGCCACTGACTTTGTTTAAAAATAGCACCTGCCACTGTAGTATTTTTATGTCACCAGTGTAGTCAAGTGTACCATTTAGTAAGGTATTTATTAAATTTCTTCAAAAAAGAAAGGTCTTTGTCTACATGGAGAGTTAACTTCTGCTAAATTATGATTTGATAAAATTATTATTTTTCTATATCTTTAAAGGCTTTTTGTAGTGCTGGTATTTTTAATTATATTTACTTTAATTCAGGAAGTTTTCAAATAATAATGTTCCATTTAAAAGGAAGCATTCAGCAAATGCTTTGATGTCTTAGTTAAGGCCTATCAACACAATGCTTTAAAAAGTTGCTGATTATAATATCGTCTTCTAATAGGTTGCCACCTTGTGGTTTTTGAAAAATACAGTTAACACATTTCACAGATTGCATAAATATCCTGCTCTATGTTTTGTTTGTTTATTTTTCTCTTAGGTGAAGAATCTAGATAGCTAACGACTCTTAAGAAGTGTCTAGGGATCATTTTGAACCCAAAGCATCGCTTTGCGAACATTTAGATTATGTGAATTCAAACTAACAGATTAAACGCCATTCACTTTGAATAGCCTCTGGACCATTAGGAGAGTTGGTAGTGTTATTATTTAAAGCAACTGCACATAAAACACACCAATGTATCATTTGTTCTTATGCTCATTCATTACCAATAGTAAATTCTTTCTTACATTTTTTAGTTTGATTCAGATAATTAATTTAGAGGACAGTGGCTTTCTTTGATTGCTTGTTTTATAGAAATAACAAGTTGTAACTTAATTGGGTAAACAGTCACAAATACACTACAGGGAAAAACATATTCCATGTAATAAAGTTTTCACTCAATTAGAAAAGAGATTTGTCTCATTCATCTCCCAATTCCCCTACAGTTCTAAGCAGAGTGTCCTTCACATAGGCACTCAACATTACTTTCTACATTAAAGATCATGATTTTAAATGCTTAAATTACAACTAGTATGTCTTTCCCGTCAAAGATGTTGGTTTCCAAGACCTAAAATTGTGAGATTTAATGTGACTAGTTATTGATTTCCCTCAGGAAGAGCAGTCAAACTTGCAATTCTCTGTTCTAAAAGGCAAGATACTATGTATTATTAGCACCTATTATGTGTTAATTAGGATATAGCTCAATTTTTCTCATTTATTAAAAATAAGAATTTCTAACTAAAAGAACAGTTTAAAAAATATTATATATAACTAAATCATCTTGTTAAATATTAATGATCATATCTTATACAAATAAAGGATTTTTGCATTCAGCAATATATTTTAGAAATGTAAAAGTTGTACACAAGAATCTTTTTAAAGTTTCATCAATTTACTTGTGGTTTATTATAATTTAATGGTCTGTATTATGAATGACTATCAAAACATATGCTGCTTTTGATCTGTGGCACCTATAACAAAGTCAAATTTCTCATTACGACATCCTATACCTTTCAGGAGTAGTCATGCTTATATAAGCAGCCTTAGTTACTGCCATGCCCTCAAATCTTATATACCAACCCGACTGAAATAGTTTGAATTTTCCCTAATGTGGCATATTTCATAGCTCTGTCTGAACATGAAGTTTCCTCTGCTGAATCTATCCACCCCGTCTTGCTTAACTGTAAAACTCCTACTTATATTTTAAGACTCACCCCAAGTGTCACCTCCTGTTTGAAGTATTCCCTGAATTTCCTAAATGTAGCTGATTATTTATTGCTTTTGGGTGATCTACCACAAATATATCTATTACTGTATTCAAAGCACTGTAATATTGCTTTATCTTTCTGAATCTTCTACTAGACTCTTCAAAGAAAAATACTGTGACATGTCTATCTTCACATTTTCTATGTCGAGCATAGTGCCTGACATATGGTAGGTGTTCAAAATATTTGCTGGTTGAACAAAGAATGAATGAATAAATTTTGTCTTATGGATTTGACATGTATTTGCATTACAGTAATACATTTATTGTATCTGAAGTTAGCAATAACTGAAAAGTAAACTTCATTATAGAACCAAAACAAGTAAAAAATTAATTACTTGCACATGCTTATCAATTGCAGCTGTTGTTCGCTCCCACTGAGAGTTTCACGTCATTCAAAACTTCCAGTTTAGGTAATGGTGTTTCAGTGAGGAACTAAGTGGCCTGAATGAGGTGATGTTGAGGAGCTAATACTCAGTGGGAAGCAGAAGCCAGCACAATTACAAAACATATGCACACCTAGATTCTAAACCCCATTATGGACACCAGCATCAGTGTAGGTATACTAATGTTAATGATATATATACCAACATTATATGTCCATTATCTTCTACCTCTAGGTGCTATGTCCATTTATTCATTTACTCATTCAACAAGTATATTTTAATTGTTTGGTAAGTTTCAGGATCTATACTCAGTGTTAAAGACACAAAAACACTCTAAAGGATATGGTAAACTGCTATGAAAGATTTTTGTCTTCTGGAGTTTGCATTTTAAGTAGAGTGTAAGAAAAACCACAGTTACCCAAACACTCACCTAATTACATTTGTGATAATTTTATGTGTGAAATGACACAATGTTTCATATAGTTGTTTAACAGGAGAACTAATCTATTTTTATGATGAAAAGTTTTGCAGGAATTTGGGAGATGAATGTACATTTTCTATGTCAAGAGTAGCCACTTTAATTCCAGTTTTAAAATTTCTACAGCATCTAGTTGCTTTTTCGCAATTTAAAAACACTTATAATAAAAAAGTAGGCATTACAATTGATGTCACAGAAATTAAAAGAATAAGAGACTACTATGAACAATTACACACCGAAAAATTGAATAACCCAGAAAAATGAAAAAATTCCTAGAAATATAAAAGTTACCAAGACTAAATTTTAAGGAAACATAAAATCTACATGGACCCATAACTAGTGAAAAGATTGAATCAGTTAACAAAATCCTCCCAACAAAGAAAGGCACAGCACCAGATGGCTACACTGGTGAATTCTACCTTACACTTAAAGAATTAACATCAATCCTTCTCAAACTCTTCAAAAAAAATTGAAGAGGGGAAAATATGTCCAAACTTGTTTATTGCAGTCAGCCCTGCCCTAATACCAAAGCCAAAGACACCACAAGAAAAGAAAAGTATAATCCAATATCCCTTTTGAATATGGATGCAAAAATCCTCAACAACATGATAGTAAGCCAAATCTAGCAGCATGTTTAAAAACATCATATACCACAACTAAGAGGAATTTATTCCTGGGATGCAACAATGGCCAAATGTATAGAAATCAATAAATGTGATATATTACATTAACAGAGTGAAGAATACAAGGCACATAATTGTATCAATGAATGCAAAAAAAGTATTTGAATGTATGTGACACCATTTCATTATTAAAAACTCTCAAAAAACTAGGTATATAAGAAATTTACCTCAACATAATAAAGACCATATATGAAAAGCCCATAACTAACATCATACTCAATGGTAAAAAACAAAAAGCTTTTTCTTTATAATCAGGAACAAGGTAAAGATATCCACTCTCTCCACTTCTAATCAAAATACTACTGGAAGTCCTAGCCAGAGGAATTAGACAAGAAATAGAAATAAAAGGCATCCAAGTGAAAAAGGAAGAATTAAAATTGTCCCTGTCTGCAGATGATAAGATCCTAAATGCAGAACAACATGATGACTCCACGGACCACACTGAGGTGTCATCTTGCCCCAGTTAAAGTGGATATTATCAAACACACAAAAAAAAATGTGGAGAAAAGGGAACTCTTATACGTTGTTGGCGAGAATGAAAATTAGTCAAGGTATTATAAACAATAGTAGGGAGGTTTCATTAAAAAAAAGAAAAAAAAAACGGAAAATAGAACTATATAAGATCCAAAAATCTCACTGCCGGATATATCCAAAAGACAAAATCAGTATATCAAAGAGATACCTCCACTCCCATGTTTATTGCAGCAGTATTCACAATAGCGAAGACACGGAATCAACCTGTGTCCATCAATGGATGAATGGATAAGGAAAATGTGGTATACATGACAATGGAGTACTATTCATCCATAAAATTGAAATCCTGTTACTTGCAGCAACATGAGTGGAATTAGAGGATGTTACGTTAAGTGAAATGAGCCAGGCATAGAAAAGGGATATTGCATATTCTCACGCATAGGTGGAAGCTAAAAAAGTTGATCTCATGGAGGTAGAGTAGAATGATGATTACCAGAGGCTGACTTGGAAGGCAGGGATGAAGAGAGGTTGGTTAATGGGTTCAAAAATACAGTTAGATAGAAATAATAAATTCTGATGTTTGATAAGCAGGGTGACTAGAGTTAATGGTAATTTATTGTATACTTTAAAATAATGAGAAGAAAGATTTGAAATGTTCCCAACATAAATAAATGATAAATAATTGAGGTTATGAATGATAATACAATTACCCTGATTTAATCACTACACATTGTATACATGTACAAAAACATCACATGTATCCCAGAAATATGAATAATTATTATGTATCAGTAATGTTGAAGAGATTCCATTAAAAAAAACTGTTAGAACTAATAAATGAATCAGTAAAGTTGCAAGATACAAAATTAACATGCAAAGAATCAGTTGTAATTTCTATATACTAAAAATAAACTATCCTAAAAGGAAATTAAGGAAATAATACCATCTACAATAGCATGAAAAATAATAAAATACTTTAGAATAAACTTAACCAAGGAGGTGAAAGACTTGCACTCTAAAAACTACAAAATAGTAGGCGGGACGTGGTGGCTCACGCCTGTAATCCCAAAACTTTGGGAAGTCAAGGTGGGTGGATCACCTGAGGTCAGGAGTTCGATACCAGCCTGACCAACATGGTGAAACCCTGTCTCTACTAAAAATATAAAATTAGCTGGGAGTGGTGTCGGGCACAAGTAATCCCAGCTACTTGGGAGGCTGAGGCAAAAGAATCGCTTGAACCCAGGAGGCGGAGGTTGCAGTGAGCCAAGATCATGCCATTCCATTCTAGCCTGGGCAACAAGAGTGAAACTCCGTCTCAAACAAAAACCAAAAAACCTGAAAAGCTACTAAATAGTGACGAGAAAAGATACAAAAGACACAAATAAATAGAAATACATCCCATTTTATGGATTGGAATATTTAATAATGTTAAAATGTCCATACTACACAAAGCAACCTACAGATTCAACTAGATGCTTATCAAAATCTCTGACAAGTTTTTCCAAAAATAAAAAAAGTACTAAGATGCATATGGAACCACAAAAGATCTTGAATAGCCAAAGAATTCTGGAGCAAGAAGAACAAAACTGTTGGGGTCACAATTCTTGATTATATATTACAAAGATACGGTTACCAAAACAGTGTAGTACCGGATAAAAACAGATATACAGACCAAAGGACATCCAGATGAACCTGGAGGACATTACACAGTAAAATAAACCAATCACAGGAGGATAAATACTTCATGATTCCACTTCCATGGGAAATCTAAAATAGTCAGACCCAAAATGGAGTAGAACAGTGGTTGTCAGGGGATAGGGAGAGGGGGAAATGAAGAGCTGTGGTTCAATGGGTATAAAGTTTCAGTCATGCAAAATGAGTAAGCTTTAGAGATCTGTTGCATAATATTGGACTTATAGTTAATACAATATTGCACACTTAAACATTTGTTGAGAGGGTAGATTTCACATTAATTATTCTTACTCAACAACAAAAAAACTTGTAAATTCTTGTGAAACCATTAAAACTTTATTCATGTAATTTTGCAATTGAACTGAAGTAATAGTTCAAACTTTCAAGAAAATAAGACAATGTTTTCTTTGAGAAAGTTGCTATAATATGTACATATCAACAAAAATATTTTTAATTAATATAAACTTGTTCTTAACCTTTTTGAATGGCACATGATATTATTTTTACCTGTGTATTCAAGATGAAATCCTGCAGCAGAAACACTGATGTCTGATTGAAAATTTAGATACAGATTATTAGACGTACTATTCAAAAGATGGGGTATTGTTGTTCCTGAAATGATATATGAGAAGGCAAGACAATGACCACATAATAAGTACTATAATAAAATTAAGTAAGTTTACTAATCAGCCAATAGAATACCACTAAAAATATGCATTATTCAAGTTGTTTTTCAAAAAAAATTTAATAGAAATATTTTTCTCACAATCCTCTTTCAATATACTATTCCTGTTTCCAAGAAGACAGACCACCTGAGATGGCTTTAGATTGCTTCCTAAAAATAGGTAGGAGCAAAAAGAGCTTGTGAAAGTTAAAGCTATACGTTTGACATGTTCACCAAAAATAAATGTTGAATTTCATGTGGATTTCAGTATTCCGTGCACAAGCTAATAATAAACAATAAATACATATATATGTAAAGTTATATTCTGTTAGAAACATGAATGTTTGCAATGATTGCTTTCAAAGAGATTATTACTCTGTATTCTCTCTGTTTTCCAATATGTTTTTTTGAAGACTGTGTTATACCAGAGGCTTCTGATTGTCAAAGTGATAACCAGTTTTAACTGCCTGTATGTACCAGATTGGTGAACTAACTAAAAAGAAACACAAAATATGAATAAAACACAGTTTGCAAACTAAAAAAGAATAAATAATAAGCTTAATTTTGAACTTTGCAAAGTAACAACTTTTTATGAGTCAGATAATATAGTCATTGATTTCCTTTTAATAATGAATTAAAGTTAGACAGCTAGATAGATAGATTATTCTATACCAGGTCAAGTGCCTCAATGTTTCTTATACCCTGACAGCAAAGCTGGTAGTCAGCTTTCAAAAAAATTCCAATTATGAACTACTGTTACTCTTGTCTTTCAGCAAATGCATTATAATGATATTTTTCTGGACTTCTGAAGGAGATCAAATTTATTTTATTAAGTTATTGAGCTTGAAAATATAAAGTATCTGCTTGAATCAATTATTTCTTGACTTTGCTATTGAGCAAAGAGTTTAAGATCTTTGACTCCACCTCTAGCAGTTTCAAATGGCAAGCATGAAAATAAACAAGCGCTAATTCTACATCTTAAGACATAGTTCAACAAGCATATGAGTTGAGGTCATTACAAACATTTCTTTATAAGTAACTACTTTCTTTACATTTGCTTTGCGCAACTTTGTGGACCTCACCCCTGATGTCTTCTATGGAAGAACAGAAAGAATTTATTACACAGCACACACTTGCTTCTTTTCTGGCCATAGTGTGATAACAGCAACCACTGAAGACAGGGATAAACAGAAACTTAAAAGGTCATTTCACCTGCCTTAAGTCTCTTACAGGATGTTATTGATTAAGAGCTCTAATTCTGGAGTCACACCAGGTGGGTCCCAATCTCATTCTAACATTAGTTGTACAACCTCAGGCAACTTAATCTCTCTAAGCCTCAATTACCTACCAGGTCTGCTAGAAAGATCAAATAAGGAAATGCATGGCAAATGTCACACAGAGCTAGCACTTAGTAATCAACAGCTGTTATTTATCACTCATATTATCATTACATTATTATTTTAAAAGTATTACAGATGGGTATGGTGGCTCATGTAATAATCATGGGATTACAATCCCAGCTAATCAGGAGGCTGTAAGACAGGAGGATCTCTTGAGGCCATGAGTTGGAAACCAGCCTAGGCAACATAGCGAGACCTCAGCTCTAAAAAATAAAATAAAATAAAAATTAATTGGGGTTGTGGTATGTGACTGCAGTCCCAGCTACTCAGGAAGCTGAAACAGATGGATTACTTGAGCCCAAGAATTCAAGGCTGCAGTGAGCTATGATTGCACCACTGCACCAAAGTCTGGGCAATAGAGCCAGACCCTGTCTCTAAAATGCAAAAAAAAAAAAAAAATTAATAATACTACTAATAAAGTATTACCCCTAACCTATTACAAATAAAAGTGTGCTAAAATTGTGTGCGATTTTTCTAAGATTTCTATCTAAATCTATATTGTTCATGTTTAAATCAAATCACTCTTGCTCCAGATATTTCTTTCTTTTCCTCATTGGTGATGATAAGTAATTGGTTCCACAAGTCCATTTAAAAATCTCTTAAAAGCTTAAAGCCATTCAAATTTATTTCAGCATATCTGAATTGAGTAAGTTAATATGTTAGCTATATTTATATTTCTAGAGTTTAAAAAGTATAATAGTAAAAAATTAACAAAGTAAAACTTTTTATTTTAACTTCTATATGTCAAAAGAAGCTTTTAAATTATTGCATAAACTACCTTTTAAACCTCAATAAATCTGGCTGGGTGTTGTGGTTCACACCTGTAATCTCAGCACTTTGGGAGGCCAAGGCAGGTGGATCACCTGAAGTCAGAAGTTCACGACCCGCCTCGCCAACATAGCGAAACCCCATCTCTACCAAAAAATACAAAACTTAGCTGGGCGTAGTGACGCATGTCTGTAATCCCAGCTACTCTGGAGGCTGAGGCAGGAGAATCGCTTGGACCCAGGAGGCAGAGGTTGCAGTGAGCTGAGATCTCACCACTGCACTCCAGCCTGGGAGACAGAGCGAGACTACATCTCAAAAAATAAAAACCTTAATAAATCTAACAGATTTTAAAAACAAGTCAACATCTTACATAAAAATATAAGACTTCTATTTTATTTATTTCTGGTCTTGTTAAACATGTATACACTAATTTTATATAATTTTATTCATTTCATAGAAATAATTCTGTATTCTCTTTATTCTCATTTAACAGTACCTTGTAGCATTTACCTGGTTATTTTCATGACTTCATAGCACACAATTCAAAGCACAGTCTAATTTTTAATTATTATTGCTCATCCTTTTCTTTTAAGGAAAAGAGCGTACATACTATTCCTGAACCCTAACTCAGCTGAAAATATTACCAGTAACATAAAACCATCAATAAATAATTACACAAATATAGGAAGAATTGGTAAGAATGTAATAAGGTTTTAAATATCAATATTGATATCATCTTTAAATCTTTTAAACTTCAGTCCTTGTATCTTTGTGTATAGTTTGTAAAAAGCAAATTAAAACTACCAAGTAAGAGTTGTAGATAGCTCTTTAATTTTTTTTATATTCCTAATTATATCTGTATTTTAATTAAGCTCAGCTCTCTTATTTACCTGAATAGCTTCCAAGTCTTGGAGCATTGTTGTCTCCCCCATCATAAAAGTCCAGAGAATCCCAATTATGTTCTGTAGCAAAGCTAACAACTTGCACCTGTGAAATAATAATTACAGGTAAGAATACACATTTCTAACCAGATACACATAACTATAGTCCACCAATCCCCCTTGGAAAAGAGAGTTCAAATCCTGAACCACATAATTGTGACCCTTCATAGAAGGGTTTTTAACAGAACTGATTTTTTCCATTATTGCACTGGCTTACACGAGCTGATTTTTATATAGAAAAGCCTTTGAAGCACCGACCAATGTTCATTGTGGGTATAACCAGAGCAATGTCTGTCACTATCTCAGAACATTCTCTTTTCAAAAGATTTGAGCTAATCTAATGACTCAGTGCCAGGAATCTCAATGCATGTTCAAAACAATCGGTGAATTTTTATGTATATGTACTGATTTGAGTTTTCTAATTTGCTTGTAGCTATTAGGAAAAACCAGATCTGTGGTCTACAAGCCTGTAGGACCTTATAATATACCTTTTTAAAACCAGGTTTATTTCTGGATACTTTTAATTTATCCTTTCCTTGCATAAACTTTGCTCAATTTCTTCTCTTCCTTTTATTTAAAAATTTTTAACACGCATATTTTTAATAAGTTTCAGTATGGATGACACAAAAAAATGATATTTTGTAATTAATTCAAATGAATTTTTAAAAATTTATTTTAATGAATAGAGTTATAGTAACTACGTCACAGTGAAGGTCCTTAAAGTTGAGAAGGAAAATACTGGGGAGGTTTAATTCTCTCCTGTCTATTACAGTTTATTTAGAGAAAGATGCATGTGTTACTTTATTGCACATCACTTGGCACAGCTTGAGCTTTTGCAAGAACCCACAGGACCCTCACAACTACGGATGCTACCTATTTTGCTATTTCTTTATTAAATTTTTTGTGGTTTTAGAGGAAGGAAAGGAATAACTTTATTAAAAGTTTTTTAAGCTAAAATCTGTTAAAAATGTATGCACTGCACTCATTCACTAAATAATTACAACAATTTCACTCATTAAAAATTTATTATCTGCAAAATAGCCCATCATTATTCTTCCATGCAAGTGAATGCTGGTGCCTGTTTCCAGGGGTGAGTGCCACATGGCAATAGATACCCTGCCTGTATGATTGGCATCAGACCCAATGGCAGTGTTCTAAGATAGGAATAAGACCAGAAGTAAAGCCGTATGATTGTAGTATAACCGCCACCTCCTTAAACAATTATCAATTCCCTCTTCATATCTAAATTTCCCTTTCCTTCAATTCAGAGGAAGAAAATACTGCATTCAGCTTTTTAAAAAATGTGAAGATTCACGCAGGAGTTGACATTTGGGCTAAGCTGAAGATATTGAGTTATTCCACTGAAGGAAATTATTGAGTGTCTAACAATGTAAAAGGAGTCAAACCATAAGCTAGATTTAGTGGACCATGAGTAATCTTCTTTAGCTACAGTGGGGGGTATTTACATAAGAATAAATATACATGAAAAGTTCGAGAAAGAATAAAAAAGTTCAAAAGAGTAGAGTACAGTAGCTAAATACAAGAGAACTTAGAATCAAAGAGGCTAGGTTTGCAACTTCCTGGCTCCCTCTCCTCATGGGCATATCATTCAAGGAAAGTTGTTCATCTTTCTGTACCTCAGATTATTTACATAAATTATTGTCATAAGGGTATCAAATTCATAAATTCATTGTAAAAATTAAATTAGTTAATTCATATAAGGCACCCTGCATGTAGTAAAGACTCAATAAAGCTTAGCTAAGAGGAAGATCAGGGGAGAAACTCAATAAAAAACTAAACCCCAGCATAGCAACTATGCACTTCAAGACGTGGTGATATCTTCAGTTTTCCAATGAAGGTTTCAGAAGTCGGAGGAAGAACATGATTAAGACAGTGCTCTAAGTACAGCACTGCATTGGGTGAAGAAAGTAAAAGTGAAAGACAATTTCAATATCTATTTCAGTAATATTTCAATATGTATTGCAGTAAAAAACAATGAGAGACTCAAGTGTATTGGAGGCAGGAGTAGTAAAAATGGGAACCCAGACGTCACATGTGTTGCTGTAGAGGAAGTTATTAAATTTTGTGTGATTTGAATAGGGGAGGAAGTGAAAGGAAAAATTTGAGAATAATTTATTTTCTTTTCTGTTATTGAGAGTAGTGGGGTAGCAAGAGCAAAAATGTAGACATCTCCAAGAAAATCTATTGCCTAGGTGGGAGAAAGAAAGTCAGTTTACTTCTGGATACATGTGTCTAGTGTATATAGCTGAATAATGGCTTCTGGAGATATCAGGTTCTGATCTCTGGAACCTCTAAATACTACCGTATATGGAAAAGGGTCTTTCAGATGAGCTTAATTTAAGAATCTTGAGAAAGGGGAAAAGAGGCCAAAGGAGATTCGACATTCATAGAAGAGAAGACGATGTGAACACGGAGGCAGAAATTGGAGTGATGTGGCCAGAATCCAAATGCCAGCAGCCACTAGAAGCTGGAAAAAACCAAGGAAGAGATGCTGTCATTCCTGAGACCCTGAAGTGGGCAGGGACGAGGGAGGAGAGGTTCTGCCAGCATCTCAATTTCAGTGCAGTAAAGCTGATTTTGGACTTCTTGCTTCCAGCGCTATGAGGAAAAAAATAAAATCTGTTGTTTGTAACTATAAAACTCATGGTAATTTGTTACAGCAGCCAGAGAGATGTAATATAATTTGCCACTGGGATTCGAGGTACATTGTGAATGTAGTTTGGCATAATAAAAATATAAAGAGTGTAGAAGCAGAATTTGGCCAGAAGAACTGGCAGACAATGCTATGAGATTTGTTAAGGGACTCAAATACATGATCGAGTACTCACTATGACAGAAGACACATGAAAGCCAACCAAAGATTTTTTTTTTCTTTTTTAGACAGAGTCTCGCTCTGTCGCCCAGGATGGAGTGCAGTGGCGCGATCTTAGCTCACTGCAACCTCTGCCTCCCGGGTTCACGTCATTCTCCTGCCTCAGCCTCCCGAGTAGCTGGGACTACAGGCGCCCGCCACCACGCCCGGCTAATTTTTTGTATTTTTAGTAGAGACGGGGTTTCACTATGTTAGCCAGGATGGTCGCTATCTCCTGACCTCGTGATCCGCCCGCCTCGGCCCCCCAAAGTGCTGGGATTACAGGCGTGAGCCACCGCGCCCGGCCCAACTAAAGATTTTAAAAGAGGTAAATACTGATTCAGTGTTCAGAGTAACTTTGCGTTAGATATAGTTGTCCATCATGGTAATGGAATAGCTTCATGAGGTAATGAATTTCCAATCATTAAAACTAGGCATCTATCATATAACTGTTCAAATTACATTTTACTTTAGATTATATAAAATCACGATAATCATGCTGTAAATTGATACAATAATGTAGCCAACATATTTTCCCCCATGGCTTATTACATAAATATTTCCCTTTTCTTGATGGCTATCACTGCTAATTTTGAATGTAGCTGCACTGGAATTCTCCAATAGACCCTGCTAAAATAAACAAACAAACAAATGAATCCACTCTTTGCCACAAAGAGTGGGAAATTCTCATGTAATATTAACAAATTGTTTGTTCAGGTAATTCCCAAAGAATGTTCAATTATTCTATATTATTGTAATTTTTCAGCATTCCATATGTTTCTTCTTTTCTCCTCTTTTCAAGAATGATTATCCCACTTTATCTCATATATGATTTATTGAATATTCATACAATTCTTTATTCACACACATATTTGGCCCAACAGAGAAAAATATTAAACATTGCTTTAAACCTAGGGTAGTAGCCAGATAGCTTTTAGGTAAATTTAATGAAGTTTCAAATGTAAGTCATATATTATGTGTGTGTGTGTGTGTGTGTGTGTGTGTGTGTGTGTGTTACAAGTTTCTATGACTCAGTGATATGTCTAAAACTAGCATCCATGTAAATGGTTAATTAGAAAAAGGTCCTTGATAGTTTTTTTTTAGCGTGTTTAAAATTAAAAGCCCCAAATGCTTTACACACTATATGTTTGCTAAACGTGCTGCTAAACTCAAATTTTGTTTTCTAAAGTACAGTCAATAAACAAAGTCCTTCCTCAGTGAAAGATTTTAGTGTTATTCATATGTGTCCAGTTTTGAATAGTGTTTGCCTAGGATAAGTGATATATAACACAGTTTTTCTGCAAACATCTTAGTAGTTCGTTATGCCTGCTAACTCTAAAATAGTCAAAACTCCACTTGTGCAAGTATTCATTGATTCGTTCTAAAAATATTTACTGAGAATACACTGCCAAGCACTGTGCAGCATGTACTTCCACTGTACTAGTTGTCAGAATGGACTTGGCACTGTCCTCATGAGCTTACAGATAATTAGTAGTAACATTGAAATATGATGGAGAACTTAACCTTGTCTCAAGTTCATGGAAGGTCTTCCACAGAAAATGTATTTAAGTTGAGACAGAAATGTTAAGTAAGAATAAGCAACATAAAAGGAGATCATAGAGAGTGCTCACAGAAAGAACAACATGCACAAAGGGTCCAGAGGCAAAATGAAGCTAGGTTTTTATAAGGAGCTGAAATAGTGCAGATAGAATAGTTACAAAATGAGAACAGAGCACAACGGCATAATCGACAGTGTCAAAAGAGATAAGGAGATTGGAGACAACTGAGGTATTAGATACAAGAAAATGATAGTATTAGATTTTTACTTTCAGATGGTTACTCTACTGGACGTACAGGGAATAGACTGCAGGAGAATAAGAACCTGGGACAAGGGTGATGCTATCTGATCTCGGGTAGTAAAAGTGTGAATGGAGAGATATAGATTTGTTTAAGAGATTTATGAAAGACAAACCTGACGAATTTCATTGTACCGAGTAAGAGTCAGAAAAGAATCAAAATTTCTGACTTGTGTAACTTAATGGATGAGGAAGTTGTTCTGAGAAAGAGAACACTGAGAAAGTTCTATAGTTTTGAGAAAATTCTATGAAGTCAGTTTTAGAGGTTGAATTTGACAAGCCATCAAGAAGTTTAGCTGAAAATGTCCAGTGGGCAGTCGGACATATGTTTTGCAGCTTAGGTGAGAGGTCTGAGTTAGATATTTAGGTCTGCATGTCATCATTTATTCAGTCCCTCATTCAAAAATATGTTTTCTGATTATCTATTATGATTTACGTCCTCGACATCTCTAACACATAAAAGTAGCTGAAGCCATGGAATTAGACAAGGTCCCAGAGAGAGTAAAGTGAAATGAACAAAGGCCACAGAATCTCATAAACACTAATATTTGAACAATGGATTGAATTGCAAGAGGAGACCATGTAGTAGATATAGAAGTAGGAGCTACAGATGTAGAAGAGAAAACAAAACAAAATCCAAGAAAATATTGGTGTCCTAGGATCTAAGGAGAAAAAAATAGTCTATTAGGAGTCAGGGGAGGAACAGCAAGATAGAGAGCTGCTGACAGAGCAAGAAAGATGAACCACACAATGGATTTAATCATATTTAGATCTTCACTATGAGACTGGCTCTATTAGAGTATTAGTTGCTGAAGCCACATTGCAGTGGGTCAAAAAGAGAAGATGATAACTAAAGAAAACATGTCAGGGTTTTCAAAATTTTAAGATTAGATGGAAATAAGTAAGCTGATTTAATATATAGATGCTCTTGAATAACCTTGAGAAGATTATAACCAGATGATGTGGTAAAAGTTCTATGAAGATTCTAAAGGTATCATATCATTTCAGATCCTCTATACAAGCTGGAGCATGGGCAATCCCAAAATCCTTATTATTCTACTATAATAAGATAGGATTGATTCGTTATCTTCAAATTTGACAAATTGTCTATAAACTAGCAAGAATGTAAGTATGCATCTATAATCTTTGGATGGCCTTAAAACTCTGAAAATGTACATGCTTTTTGTTTTGTCATTGGTTTGCTGGCATATTTTACTCCCAACACCTGTCAAGTAATTTTTAAAACGTCTGAACAATTATAAATCCATGAAGCTGATTTTTTTTACTAAAAATTATGCTTCAATCTAATTTCATTATTAATGCATGGCATCTTGGCTAATTTTTCCACAACTCTTATATGTCTCAAGTTTCTAAAGAAAAACTCTACAAATCAATTAGAGAAGTAATCAAGTTATATCTGTGAAGGCTAGATAATATTTATGAAGCATAATTACCTTTCATAGGATATATATACTGATTCTGCAGTAAAATATTATCAATTCATCCAGAAAAAATATATATCTTTATGTAAAACAGAATAACTGGTCAAATAGCAGCCCCCAAAATAGCCATAATTCAAATAACAGGACAGTCACTGTTGATTACCTATTTTTAAAGAGCATCTTCCTTCCTTGCTAACACAGATCTGGCTTAGTTCAATTAAGTGAGAGATGTGTGCATAATAGGAGGCTGCACTTATTGCTTACTCCTGATACGTAATATAGTTTTATTTGAGCCAAATCATAGTAAATCTTTGGTTGTTGCCCATTGCATAGGTTTGGAACGGATATGATTGCAATCTTGGTCAATAAAACAGGAGGGAAAGTCTGCTGGCAGGTTTCCTGAAAAGTTTTCTTAACCACTGAAATGGTACATAACATAGGGACATTCTGTTTTAGCTGCTGGCCATTGCTATGTAGGGCTGTTACGCCTAGAGCTTTTGCAGCCACCTCAAGACCTCAGGAGAAGGTGTCTAAGAACTAAAACCAACAGGCTGAGCATGGCAGAACAGAGAGATGGAAATAACGTGGGTGAGGAAAGACACACTGAACCCCTGAAATAATGTTTAAAATCTGCTTACCTCAAGATTCCATGTTATATGGGGTTAACACATTTTTTTTGTATTGCTTATGCCATCTTGAATTGGCTTTCTGTTAATTCTACGTGAAAAAAATTAATAACAAATATCTTTCTATTCATTTCAACCATGTCAGTCAAAACCACTTGCTAAACTTTTAGAAATAATGTTCATTCTGTCATCTCTGAAAAGATTAACTACACACATACAATGAAAAGAAGAAAAACTTAAATATTCTTACTTGAATGCCAGCTCCCTCTGGCACTGTGATCTTCCACACACAATTCAGATTGTTGTCATAAGGCTCAGGGTATCCAGGTGACAAAATAGTCCCTTTGCGCTTAGTTAAAATTCCACCACAGGGCACTGAAAATAAAGCAGTCCAAGAGAGGGAGTTAATTCTAATGCAAAGGATTAAAATAAGAGTAAAGGTCAGAGATAACATCTTAGACAGATACTAGACTTGCAAATCAAATCATACTTTTTTCAAAACTGATAAAAGCAATGAAAATGAAGTTTTTGTATACCATGGAAACGATAACAAATAATTAGACAGCATTAATGGATGACCTTTGAATGGCATATCTAAAAATCACACTACAATTAACTCAATAACAGCATAGTATTTGTATTATATTACTAAAACACGCATTGACTAAATTTGCCTTAAAAATAGTTCATTTTTAGATAAAAATTGTCTCGAATTTTTAAAAAATTATTTGGTACTTTCTCCTTCATGCATTCTTTGAGGAGTAACAGCATCCACTGGAAAGTAATGAGGATGATGATAACAATTATATTATGATCATAACATTTATATAGAGCCTACTATATGCGAGGCACCCTTCTAAGTACTTTACATATTTTAACTCATTTAAGCCTTCCAACAACTAATGAGATGACTAAGTACTCTCCACATTCTACAGCTGAGGCAATCAAATGGAGTCATTAAGAGATTGTCTTGCCCAAGATCACATATGAAGAGATGAAGCTGGCCAGGTGCAGTGGCTCACGCCTGTAATCCTACCACTTTGGGAGGCTGAGGAGGCTCACCAGGTCGGGAGTTCGAGACCAGCCTGGCCAATATGGTGAAACCCCGTCTCTACTAAAAATACAAAAATTAGCCAGACGTGATGGTGGGCGCCTGTAGTCCCAGCTACTCTGGAGGCTGAGGCAGGAGAATTGCTTGAACCCAGGAGGCAGAGGTTGCAATGAGCTGAGATTGCGCCACTGCACTCCAGCCTAGGAGACAGGATAAGACTCCATCTCAAAAAAAAAAAAAGATGAAGCTGAGATCTGAATCCTGGCAGTTGAAGCCAGAGTCCATGTCCTTAGATGGAACTGAAGATACTTGAAGTGGTCCCAGTTTAGTTATTGCCAGTCTAACTACTACAAGAAAGAATATGTATGCAGACCTACTCAGAAGTCAATAAAGGCTTCTATCATTTTTAGAAGGTACTAGTCTGAAAGTAAAATTCTCATGCCATTAATAGAATCACCTTGATTCTGGCCATGACCTAACTCATAACTCTTAAATTCTGTGTGACTTTGACCTGTTCTTTACAATCTCTGAAACACAGATATCTTATCTGTGGAATGGTAACTCTATTGTTTCTAAAAGGCTTTTGTGAAAAATACAAAGAAGCTAGAATGTACATAAGAAACAAGCACACACCTTGGAAAACAGTTAGAAATCAATAAATTATATTTCCTTTTGCTACAAATATTATTTTAGGTCCCAATTGTACTGTGCTCCTGGGGAATTTGTCCTAGTATGGCTATAAATGATGAGATACAAAGAACATATCTTTTGTAATAATAATTTATTTTAAAAGTGAATTACAGTTTTGTGCCACTTCCAAAGACAAACGCAAAAACCAGGGCAATTACTCAAAAAAAAAAAAAAAAAAAAAGATGTTGCAAACTTTTTAAAATAGTGTGACAATATATTTTTAAAGAAACTCACTTAGTCGTGTTTTCTTACAAAGCTCTGTAAATGGGTTATATACAAATTCTGTTTAAATTAGTCAAAATTAATTTAGCTAATTTAAATAGAAAACCAGCAGTTTTGCATGATTTGAGAATGACATGCAAAAGACAGAGGAAGAAATTTAAAATATTCACCCAAAAAATAGAACAAAAACGTAATTGATGAAGTGTTGATCCTGCTGATGAAAAAAAAATACTTTATAGATGCTCTTCCTCTCCATCGCCACCGCCACAACTTTTCCTCATACGTACTTTTTTTTTTTCTGAGTTACTACATTAATCAAATAAGTGGCCTCCCTATGGCTGGTATGTTTTCCATGCACTATATTTTTCAAAATACTGTCAAAATTATTTTTCTAAATTAAAATATGACATGTTGCTTCTCTGGTGAAAATCCTTCAAAAATTTCCCCATTGTCTGAATTCACAGCTCACAGATAGTTTCTTTTTTTTCTTTTTTTTTTTTTTTTTTTGAAACAAGCTCTGGCTTTGTCGCCTAGGCTGGAGTGCAGTGGTGTGATTATAGCTCACTGCAGCCTCAAATTCCTAGGCTCAAGCAATCCTCCCACCTCAGCCTACAGAGTAGCTAGGACTACAGGTGTGTGCCATCACACCCAGCTAATTTGTGTACAGATATTCAGCTAATTTTTATATAGCTAATTTGTAGAGACAGGATCTGTGTTGCTCAGGCTGGTCTTGAATCACCAGCCTCAAACAATGCCGCCTCAGCCTCCTAAAGTGCTAGGATTATAGGCACGAGCCACTGTGCCCGGCCTACAGATAAATATAGTTAATTGTATTAGTCTCTGATTTCATCTCCAGGCTTGTATGTAACTATAATTTCCCAAGTCCTCATCATCTTAATCCCCCAACCCAGTCCAGCCTTCTAAACTAATATGCTTTCTTATTGCTGTCACTTGATTTGTCCCCTTCTCTCACCTAGCTAACACCTACCCATCTATGGACTTTCAGTGTGAATGTTACCGCTTCAACCCTTTGGAATTTCCCTGTGTTAAGTGTCCTGTAGTTTACCATAGCACCAAATGTTTTCCTGTACAATTTTATCATACTATGCTTCCGTATTATTTTTATGTTAGTCTCTTGAAACAGACTCAAGTCTGAGCAGACAAGGTCACCCTTTTGCCTGAAACTCTGTTTATCAAGATTCTAACTCTTCTTCTTTGCATTATAAATTTTCTTCCATGCTGCTACAGTGACAAGCTATCTCCTCTTCCTCCATCCTCTCTTTCATGCATTGCATCAGACTTTTGTCCTCACTACTCTGGTGAAATAACCATGTCAAAGTCACCAGAATATTAATGTTGTGATATGATCAATCCTTAACTTGCATTTTACTCAATCTATGAATAATTAGCTCTCACTGTTGATCACTCCATCTGTCTTGAGCCTTTGTTTGCTTGAACATCAGAACACCATACTCTCCTGGTTTTCTTCTCTATTATTGGCTGCACTCAGATTTTTTTTTTTTAACTCATTCTCCTCTTTGTAACTTTGTCTTAGGCCATATTCTCTTTCTAATCACTGTCCCCCCTTCCATGTCTTCTATATACTCTGACTACCAGATGTTTATCTCTAGCTGTGATTTCTGTGAGTTTTGCAATCATATGTCTAACAAGTATCTCAAAATGGATATGTCCAAAATAATAACTTTGAAATTCTTCTTCATCCACACTCTCTTTCATCTTAGGGATTGTCACCACCATTCACTCAGTTCTTAGGCCATAAACCTAAGATTCATCTTGATTTATCTTTCTTGCAGTCAAGTTTACATTTACATCTATTCTCAATCTATCAGTAATGGCTCCACCTTAAAAATATATCCCAAAGCTTACTAATTCTCATCACTGTGACCATAATCTTCCTATCCAAATCACACTACTTTTCCCCTCCATTACCTTGATAGGCTTCTAATCAGTCATATTGGTTCTACTCCACATCTCCCTACACTAACTACAGTGATTTATTAGAAACTGATTAAGATCATATCACTCCCCAGCTCAATATATTCCCATACTAGTTAGGAAAATTTCAAACTCACCGTGGTCTTCAAGGATCCATGTGACTTGGCCCTCTGCTCTGCCTCTCTAAACTCATCTCCTATCACTCTTTGCTATCATTTACTGTGTTCCAGACACTGTGGCTTGAACACGTCAAGATCTCTCTCCCTCAACAGTCCATACACTTGCTCACCAACAAGAAAGACTTTTATTCATCCCTCCCTCTGTTCATTTTATTCAGGTTTAAAATGGCAGCATGCTCTGGGTGTCTTGTTGCAACTCCAGCTCCTGCTTTATTTTTTTCTACAGCATTCTCACTCCCCAAAAGAAAAGAATATATTTCTTGATGACTTTTGTCCTCCTCCAGTAAAATGTAAAATGTAAATGCAAAATGTAAGGACAAAGATCTTATATTCTTATTCAAAACTATGTCACCAGTGCTTAGAATAGTGTTGGCATGCAGTAAGCACTCAATAAATTATTGCTGAATAAATCACTGAAGAACTGATTGTGTATCTGTACATATCTTGTGCTTTCAAATTACCTCTTTATCATTCCTGCATCATTCCTGTCTCCCAGTATTTTTCTAAACAAGCCATATTTGTCTAATTCTACTGCAATCATATTTATTTATTTACCAACAAAATATGCTATAGAAAAATTAGCAGATACGCAATACCACAATCTAACATTTGCATCCTGTTTTTTAAAAGATATATGATAAATTTCTGTTCTGATCAGTATTCAATATAATATGTGGATTAATAGAGCAGGCTTTCAAATCAAGCAGCCTAAGTTCAAATCCAATTCTGCCTTTTTATCTAAACCAAGAGGTTTTACTATCTGTAAAATAGAGATAATTATATCTACCTTCCAAAGTTGATATCAATATTAAATGAGATAATGCTTAATAGTGCTTCATTCAAATGCCAAAAATTGCTATTTATTATTGTATTTAATAACTTTTTCATGGATGAATGGATAGATGAATAAATGGATAAATGAATGAGATGGAGAGTTTGTATATATTTCTTCATGAACTTTTTTTCCCATTCTAAGAAAAGATGAAGTAGACAGGTGTTGCCATGGAGACTTTCAAGTAAAAGTAGTTCTTTCTGGGTCTCTAAAGAACTTGAAAAAACAGAACCAGATAAGCATGATCAGATAAGCAGCTAATTAAAGACTCTTTGCCTAAGGGGAGTAGGTGGCAGCTTCCAGGGCTTTTCAAAAAAGACCTCCCACTAACAGAAGTACTTATGCCTAAGGTCATATATTGTCAAAGCTATTAGTGGCTGCAGGGGGTTATTTGAATCACAGAGTCTAAAAGGGAGGAAAGCCTGGGGGTTTAGGAGACTGCATAGTTTAAGAAATGTGAAATGTAACAAGGTCAAATTTGGAAGATAAAAACTCAGTCTTCAGCATAAGTTTTATTTTTCAGTTTTTCATTGGTCTCAAGTCTAATTTTTTTAAGTAAAATTTTATTGTATTTTATTGTAATTAAGAAAGGCTTGGAACTACAGCTTTGTACAAGATTATTAAATATTGTTTAAAAACTGGTTGTTAAAGTTTGTGAATCTTCTAATTTAGTATTTGACCATTTTAACTATAAGCACAACTCACATATCATGTCTTATGGGGCTGCTTTCCAATCAACAGTTTAGTTTTAGTATGTCAGTGTGTGCAAAATTAATGAACATTTTCTTGTGCTTTACTGTGACAGAAAAAAAAACAGTGTTGACAGTAATAATAAGAACTGTGAAACTGAAATGATACAATTGAGAGGGAAATCATTAGGAATGTAGAAAGCAGTATTGTTTTGCTTTCAATTGGATGCTGACTTGGCTTAAGTTATTAACTGAGCATTCATTGAACTAAGACAGAAAAACAATCATCATGTATAAAACCCTGTAAATAGGCTGTCAAAGATTATATCTAAACTGTAAAGGGTAAATGGAGAATTTGCTCTCTCTCAGAATAAAACTCCCCATATAATATGTAAATCTTTTGCTTGTGTTTTACCAACATACATATCTTTCCTGCAGATGTCAGAAGAGTTTGAAACCTCAGATTTGTGAAGGTTTAAGCAAGGAAACTATGCAAGAGTATCACCATGTGGTGGAATACTGAAATGGAAAAAGTATGGACCTTGGACTTGGGAAGTTGGTAAGGGTTGTCAGACCCTCTACAAATATTCAGGAAATTGATACAGTAATTTACTAAAATCCACTCACTGAATAAAAGTTTGCTGAACACCTGTTGTGTGCCAAGTCCTCTTTTGATTGAGCCCAAAACCAATATAGTGACAATGGAAAGAGGGACAATTAAGACAGATTAAGAAATGTTTTACAACCAAAAATTATACATAATACAGTTCGATGGTTGCTGTAAAGGTAATGGTATAAAGAGTAAACGGTTGATGGGTGGCAGAAAATTATTTTAGATAGGATGGCCAAGAAAAATAGGAGACTTCAATGAAATGATGTAGTGAGATAAAAAGCTATCTGTTCTAATCAGAGGAAATAAGAAATTCAAAGACCTTGGGGCAGATGTTTTATGCAGTTAACAGAGGTTGAAAAGGAGCACAAATTAAAGAGAACACTTTGATATTAACGTAAGATAGCTCTGTACTTGACTCTCACATTTGAATATTTAAGACACTGAGCTTTTTCTATCTTAAAAATATTTTAAGACATGACCATTTTTATTCAGAACATTTTGAAGCTAAAAATATTTATAGTTAAAAATAGAAATGCAAACTATATTTTCATTTATGTAAAGATTAGTAGTTGCACCAAATGGTAAAACTTAAACTTGTCTATCTTCTGAATGTCATTTAGAATCATCACCTTTCTATTTCTTCTGTCACATAGACCCCATATATCCATCTGTCATATTGTCAACTTTATGGATTTACACCTGTTCCACAAGGAAGAATATTTTTAAAACGGTATAAGGTAATATGTCTTTTTCATGTGATCTTGGCAGAAAATACAAGTCATATGACACAATTTTCTATCTCTGGATATGCACTTTTAAACTGCCTCATTCTATTCAGGCCATAGCAAAATACCATAGAATGGGTGGCTTATAAACAACAGAAATTTATTTCTCACAGTTCTGGAAGCTGGGAAGTCAGCACTGGTAGATTTGATGTCTGCTGAGGGCCCCTTTCCTGGATTATATACGACCGTCTTCTGGCTGTGTCCTCACATGGTAAAACTGGCTAGAGATCTCTCTGGGGTCTCTTTCATAAGAGCATTAATCCCATTCATGAGAGCTCTGCCCTCATAACTACCTTCCAATCCCTGCCCCCAATACTATCATCTTATGGGTTAGGATTCTAACATATGAATTTGGGGGATTCAAACATTCAGACTACAGCATTCTGCTGCTGGCCCCCAAAATTAATGTCCTCACATGCAAAATACATTCATTCCATCCCTATAGCCCCACAAGTTATAATTTGTTCCAGCATCAACCATAAGTCTAATGTTCAAAGTCTCATCTAAATATCATGTCAATCACATATGGGTGACACTTTAAGATATGATTCATCCTGAGGCAAACTCACCTCCGGCTATGAGTCTGTAAAATCAAACAAACTATCTACTTTCAAAACACAATGATGAGACAGGCACGGGACAGATATTTCCATTCTTAAAAAAGAAAAACAGGGCAGAAGAAAGGGGTAACAGATCTTAAGCAGGACCAAAACCTTAAAATTCAAGAAGAATCTCTTTGATTCAATGCTCTGTTCTTCAGTCCCACTGGGCCTATGGTCTCACCTCCTAGACTCACAGGTTGGAGGTCTCCACCCAGACACGCTGCAGGGAAGGTCCCACATTCTGGACCTACTGGAGGTTATAGTCTTACTTCTGTAGGTTTGCTGGGCATAATACATACTACAGCTCTCACAGGTTAGAGTTGCATGCCTGTGGTTCTCCCTGACTAACATCACACACCAGTGGCTCTACTGTTTCATGATCATATTGGTGGCCCCACCTCTGTAGCTCCACTGGACATTTTTCCACAAGGCAATGCTAAAGGTGTGGGGCTATCCACATGACCCCTATGGCAGTTCTTTGCCTGGGCAGAGAGGCTTTCCAGGACACCCTTTGAAATCTACACAAAGGCAACCACATCTCCATAGCTTTATTGGGTACCGAGCATGGTGAGCCAGACCCACAGGAACTATCCCTATGTAGCCAAGCAGCTGTGTGACAGACTGCATGAATCAGAGCCTGAGGTTTAAGGCCCTTCCTTTGAAATCTGACTCCAAGGCCCTTGCACTATGGGCTTGTGACTGGATGGGTAGCCTGGATGATCTCTAAAATGCACTCAGGTTCATTCTTCCTTTGTTTTGGACAATAGGTCCTGGCTTCTGTTTAGATGGCTAACTAATGCTCTCATTGTATTGATGAATAGCTTCTAGCTTCTACTGAGATTGTGAGTTCATACTAATCTTCTTATCAAACGTTACTTGATTAAACTCTTTTTTTTTTTTTTAAGACAGAATCTCGCTCTGTTGCCTGGGCTGGAGTGCAGTGGTACGATCTCGGCTCACTGCAACCTCTGCCTCCCAGGTTCAATCAATTCTCCTGCCTCAGCCTCCTGAGTAGCTGGAATTACAGGCATGTGCCACCACGCCCAGCTAATTTTTGTATTTTTAGTAGAGACCAGGTTTCACCACGCTGGCCAGGGCTGGTCTCAAATTCTTGACTTCACGTGATCCACCCGCCTCGGCTAAACTCTTAAAGTTCTCTTTTGAATAGGTCTTCCCATTTTCCCAATACAGGTAGGTTGAAAGTTTTTAAAATATAGAAGTTTTGATTCCAAATTTTTTTTTTTTTTAGACAGAGTCTTGCTCTGTCAGCCAGGCTGGAGTGCAATGGTGTATTCTTGGCTCACTGCAACCTCTGCCTCCTGGGTTCAAGCGATTCTCCTGCTTCGGCCTCCAGAGTAGTTAAGACTATAGGTGTGTGCCACCACACCCAGTTAATTTTTGTATTTTTAGTAGAGACAGATTTCCCATTGGCCAGACTGGCTTCGAACTCCTGACCTTGTGATCTGCTCAGCTCGGCCTCCCAAAGTACTGGGATTACAGTTGTGAGCCACTGTGCCTGGTCCCGATTTCCAATCAATTAACAATTCCATGTTTAAATCATTGGCAGTCAAGAGAAGCCAAGCTGAACCATTAACACTTTGCTTAGATATTTTCTCAGCCAAATATTCAATTTCATTGTTTAAAGTTTTACCTTCTAGAAAACTCCAGAACATGAACACAATCAGCCACTTTTGTTATAAAGTGGCATAATCTTTGCCACATTATAACAAGAATATTCTTTCCTCTATTGTTCAACAACTTGTTCCTCATTTCCATCTAAGGATTCATCAGAATTACCTTTACTATCCACATTTCTACTAATATTCTGTTCATAACCACTTAGATATTTTAGTAAAAAGATGTTGCCTTTCTCTAGAGCTTTCCTCCTTTTCTTCTGAGCCCTCATCAGAATTTCCCGTTACAGTTCTTTCACAACAATGTAGGCTTTTTCTAGCATGCACCTCAAACTCTTCCAGCCTACACCTGTTACCCAGTTCCAAAGCTGCTGCCACGTATTTAGGTTTTTGTTACAGTAGCACCCCACTCCTGGTACCAATTTTCCATCTTAGTCTGTTCAGGCTACTATAACAAAAAAACATAGACTAGGTGGCTTATAAACAATAGAAATGTATTTCTTATAGTTGTAAAGGCTGGGAAATCAAAGTTTTCTAAAGCATTGGCAGATTCAGTATCTGATGAGGGCCCTTTTCTTGGTTCATAGACAGCTATTTTCTTGCTGTGTCCTCACATGGTAGAACAGGTGAAAATATCCCTGGTGTTGCTTTTATGAGGACACTAATCCCATTGGTCATCTCCTAATGGCCCCACCTCCCAATACAATCACCTTAGGGGTTAGAATTTTTACATAAAAAATTGGGGAAAACAAATATTTAAACCATAGCAAGAATCAATGCAAAATCAAAAGTAGTCTGTTCTTTATCTAAAGACTCCTGATGGATGCAGTGTAAGGATTCTCAAAAAGCCCAGGAAATACAGACTGCTGGATCTCTGACAGAGAGATGGTGTGGGTTCCTGGGTACCCACATCTTTTGCCCTAAAAGTAGGAAGTGAGTTCTGGCTGAATCTAGGTTGAGAACAGTAAACTAGCATTCACTCCTGAAGTGGAATATCAGTAATAGACTAGGTAACAGCCTAAAGCCTTTCATAGGCTTTAGTTCCTGGTGTTAGCTACTGTACTTGCTAAGATAAATCCTTAGTTGGATAGCATCACCTTACTCTTTTTATATAGATTTTTATTTTTGATGGCTAAAATGCTGGGATTAATCAATTGATACATTTGAAATACAAAAACACTTTGCAATAATCATGTAGAATAGGGGCCCTCTTCAGTTTCAGACACAAATGGTTAATGGTTTAAAATTTATAGTCTTGGGCCAGGCCCGGTGGCTCACACCTGTAATCCCAGTACTTTGGGAGGCCGAGGCAGATAGATCACCTAAGGTCAGCAGTTCAAGACCAGCCTAGCCAATAAGGTGAAACCCTGTCTCCAGTAAAAATACAAAAAAATTAGCCAGGCATGGTAGTGCATGCCTGTAATCCTAGCTGCTTGGGAGGCTGAGGTGGGAGGATTGTTTGAACTCAGGAGGCAGAGGTTGCAGGAGATCGCACCACTGCACTCTAGCCTGGGTGACAGTGCAAGACTCCATTTCAAAAAGAATAAAAATAAAAACAAAATAAAATTTATAGTCTCATATTCTCTATTCTATGTTTCACAAATATTCTCTTCAAATGTTCACTTTCTTCACTCACTTCTCTTCGCTTGCTATTTTGCTATTTTTTTTTAATTTTTCCTTTTCTCTCTCTGTTTAATGTGACAGATCATTTCTCCCATCTATATCTTGCCTCTTTCTAACTCTGTCTCATCTGCATGTCTTCATGGATATAAGAATATTTATTTCTTTGGATAATGTGATGTTTAAATTTTTAGGGTAAGAAGAAAAGCAGAGCATAAACATTGGTTAAATATATACTTGCAAGGCCTATTAAAATTGTAGTAATAATTATTTTAACTTTGTTTTTATTTTATGTTAAAAAATTTGCCAACAATGAAAACAAACCAAAATGTCTATTTCTTTAAGTACACTCCTCAACCATTTGACCTGGAATGCATTAATTGGTGGAAATTTCACTGTCCTCCTAAATGGTATATTTTAATAAAGATTTACTAGTATTTTCAATAAAATCAACACATTTTTCCTAAACTTTCATATAAATTTTAAATGCAAATAGAAGTCAAACATTCAAGGAATCCTAAATTAGAGTTGGAAAGAATGACAGTACTCAATGCTTTCAGCCTTTTCCAAAATGCAAAAATCTTCTGTGGAAGGCACATTTTCCATATAATAACTTTAAATTGTTTTAAAAATAAAATGTCAACAAATTAAAATCAATAGTATCAAACACTTGATCAGTACTGCATATTAAGTCCTATATTCTGCATCGAATACTTTTAGAATTGGAATCTTCTCTCTTGATTTTGTGGTGGCTTATTTGACAAAAACAAAAACAACCTATTTTCTTTAGTGCTTATTAGGTTCCAAGAACTAAGCCAAGGCTTTTAGTCATTTAGCCATAATGAACCTATGAAGAAGTTTTCTTATTTTCTTGTTTTATTGGTATGGGATTTGAAGATCAGAGATTATGTAAATTTTCCAGGATCTTATTGTAACTCACTTCAATTCAGTCATGCGGACAAAGCGAAGACATTCACCCACGACTCTTGTGCTGATAATTTAGTACAATTCCCAGCTCTGATGATTTCACTCAATTTTACATAATTCTTTACAACCTTTCACGTTAATTAGCACATTAACATGATAGATATACAAACAGAACCTTTAAGGATTAATTCATACATTTACATTTCAGTTCTTGGCATATGTAGGTTCTTTGAACACTCTAACTAAAGGAATAAAAGGGTTTTTGATGATATTTAAAGATTAATGAACTAGTTTATGAATTTCCATGTCATTATATTACTCTGTTTTTACAGTAGATTATATGAAACTAAATGAAGAGAACTACTTATCTAAGTCCTTCTATTTTTACAGCATTGATATTTTCTGTCAATACCTACATAAATATATTAAAAGTGACACAGAAATTATGTAAATAATTACTGGGGAAAGTGAGGCAGAAATAATGATTCTTAGTAATTACAGAAAAAGATTTAAAAATCTACTGTGAGTTTTGAAGAGAGTTATTATTATGTGTCTGTCTTCAATTATTAAACTGATTTCAAGCAATGTAATTTCCAATTTATGCATATTGCATGACTAATTTTCACAGACATATAGAAACATTTCTTTTAGCTCATGATTCCTTTAGTTCAGAATGTTATAAATGTTATTTATAACATTTCATGAGTATGAAGTCAATGTATTGTGTTGTATGTATTGTGGTTCAGAAAAGAGGACATTATTTGTTTTGTCTTTATGAGAGTGCAAGTACCTAAGGGGAGGATCTCTCTGCCATATTAACCCCAGCTCTCTGGTAGGCACAAGATAGGCGGAACATTAAGTCCAGCTGATTTATCTCCTGTATTTGTGGACTGTCAAAAATGTATTTTAATAGAGTCAGCAATTCTGCACAATAAATGAGGCAGAAATGTAATTGGGAAATAGCTTATAAGTCAGAACATAAAGAGAAGCAGTAATCTATCAATTAATTTAGGGTTCAAAGGTAGAAAAACTTAGTTTTAAATCCTGCCTCCACTCTAACCCTTACTATGCTCTGCCACTTTAAAGAGAACTATTTTACCTCTTTCAGACTCAGTTTATTCATCTGTACATTCCAAAAGTAACAGTTCCATAGATTTGTCAGAGGATTGCAACAAATATGTATTTAAATTACTTAGCATGGAATCGGGCTCTTTTAGACAATTCAGGCTGCTATAACAAAATACCATAGATTAGGTAAGTTTTCAACAACAGAAATGTATTTCTTAGAGTTCTAAAGATTGGGAAGTCTAAGATCAAGGTGCCAGCAGATGTAGTGTTTGGTGAGGGCTTGCTCGGTGCTTCATAGACAGTGCCTCTGTGTCCTCACATGGTGGAAGGCTGAATATGCTTCCTCAGACTTCTTTTATAAAGGCACAAATCTCATTACTGAGGGTAGAGCCCCCGAGACCTAGTCACCTTCCAAAGGCCCCACTTCTTAATACCCCCACATGGGGGATTAGGTTTCAACATAAGAATCTGTGTGTGTTGTTGGGGGGCGGTGGGGTGAGGGAGAGAATAAATATTCAGACGATAGGATTGGCAAACAGTGGCATTAAGAAAATTATAAATATCAGAAATCAGAAATCGTGGTTATTTAGCTAAAAGATAAGAAAATTGGAGAGTCATTTACAGTCTTCTAGTGTTTTAAATTATTTTTTGTAAGTGTTCATTCAACAAATAACAGAATAATACAAGAATAGTTCAGATTCCATCTATTGTCACGGAAAAAATAAAATATTTGTTTTAAGAAAAAAATGCACTGTGAAATATGCTAGGTATATTTTTGGGGTTGGGGTGGGAGTGGCGATATCAAATTCCTAGAGAAATCAAATGACCAACCATCCTTCCTAGTTATTTGTGAGAGCCTAGTTTATACCATTATCCTAGCACAATTGTTGACAATGTCCTGATTTAAATGGTAAAAAAAATATATTTTACTTAAAGCAAATATATTCTATAAAAATTACATAACCTGGCTGGGTGCGGTGGCTCGCACCTATAATCCCAGCACTTTGGGAGGCCGAGGCGGGTGGATCACGATGTCAGGAGTTCAAGACCAGCCTGACCAACATGGTGAAACCCCGTCTCTACTAAAAGATAGAAAAAATTAGCCGAGCATGGTGGTGGGTGCCTGTAATCCCAGATACTTGGGAGGCTGAGGCAGGAGAATCACTTGAACCTGGGAGGCAAGGTTGAGTGAGCCAAGATCATGCCATTGCACTCCAGCCTGAGTGACAGGGTGAGACTCCATAAAAAAAAAAAAAATTACATATCCTGTGAATGCATATCAACAGATTTATCTTTGATCTCTTCTCAGTAGAAATGAATGTACCTTCTATGTTATTTCATAATTTAAAATTATTTTTTATTCTAATGACCTATGAACTGACATGTGAACAAATGTATTTTAAAAAGGTAAAAATAAGAATGGCAAATATAATTTATTTTCATATGGCAAAATGTGTTATTAAAAAGTAATTTTATATATTTATGATTGTCTATTATGTGTCAATATACACACTCATTCCTCCCTATGGAGAGTGGACTATTAAGATTATTAAAATTAAAACAAAAATAAAACAAAAATTTTGCTTATCTTTTATTTTAAAAAGTATTATTTTCAGCTGGGTGCGGTAGATCACACCTGTAATCCCAGCATTCTGGGAGGCCGAGGGGGGTGGATTACTTGAGGCTAGGAGTTTGATACCAGCCTAGACAACATGGTGAGACCTGGTCCCTTTTGTATTTTGTAAAAATACAAAAATTAGCTGGGCATGGTAGTGCACGCCTGTAATCCCAGCTACTCTCTATGCTGAGGCAGGAGGCTTTAACCTGGGAGGCGGAAGTTGCAAGGGAGCTGTAATCATGCCACGGCCTTCCAGCCTGAGCGACACAGCAAGACTCTCTCTCAAAAAAAAAAAAAAAAAAAAAAAAAACCCCCATATATATATATATATATATATATATATATATACATATATATATACACATATCTTATTTTTAACATCACATACTAATATAACTTTAATGAGAAACAACTCAAGTCATTAGAATTATTTTATAACCTGAGATTAAGTCTTACCACTCTTTTTTGAATTTAATATTATGTAATTTAAAAAATAATAAAAATTCCCAGATATGTTCTTCGGGCAGAAAAGAGAGTAATTTCCCTACTTTCTATATTTTCTATGTCTATGGAACTCTACAAAAGCCAAGCGTCATTATAATTACCCTGAAATACTATAAAATTCTAAACTATTAAGATATCCATAATTTTAGATAGTATACATTCTATTTACCAATGCAAGTTAGATATACTATTGCAAAAACAACTTCGAAACAATAAGATTTTTGGCTAACCTTATGCATTTTACTCATTCAAAATGTTACCACCAATATTTGTGAAAGACTGAAAAAATTTATAATTTTATATTTTTATACATATCTGTAACTAATAGAGTAAGAAAAAATTAATTCATATTTTCTAATTCTTTTGATGACCAAGCAAAATATTTCCAGAAAAGTCAGCTTTTGGATTCTTAAAAGATCTCTGAATTCTTTACATATTGGCCCAGAAATCTTTGCACAAACTTTTAAAAATAAAAAATAATATTTATTTCAAAGGATGACTACCAGAGTCTGAGAACTGTAGTGGACAAAAACACAGAGTGTATAAGATCTGCCATTTGATAGCACAACAGTGTGACTACAGTCAATAACAACTTAACTGTACATTTGGAAATAACTTAAAGAGTATAATTGGATTGTCGCAACACAATGAATAAAAACTAGAGGAGATGGATATCCCATTCTTCATAATGTGCTTATTTCACATTGCCTGCTTGTAAAAAAAATCTCATGTACTCCATTAATATATACACCTACTGTGTACCCACAACAATTAAAAAAATAAAATAAAAGGATAGTAGTCCTTCATAATCCCACATTAGTAGCAGCAGATTCTATGTTCCTGGAAATATATATATTTACTTACATCCACATAAATCCATATAAATCAGTAAATGAGGAAATTATTTAGCTAATTCAACACAAATTTTTTTATTGATTTCATCACCAAGACAATTGCAACAAATCTCCACTGATTTTTCATATTTATATAAAGCATACTTATTAAATTATTTAAAATTAAGTACATAATTATTAGATCTGAAATTTAAAAAATTGAAAGATGTAACCAATTTTTATATAAACTATGTATAATCACAGATCATACAAATTTATATACTCACCAATACAAGTAGGTAAGGAATCATTCCACTGGGCCAAAGAATTGGGCACTGTTTCACACCTAATTGCTATGGATCCATGGAGAATATATCCTGGATTACAATCAAAAAGAACCGATGAACCGACTGCAAATTCATTGCCAATTCTTCTTCCGAATCTTGGTTCAGGCACAGAACTGCATTGTGTAGAACTTGTTCTAGGAACAGCTGTGTAGAAATATTATATTTATTTTAATTTTATATGGTAGACAAATACAGATTTCAAAATGTAACTGTTTAAACACATTTTTGAGAAATCATCACTTTTTATCAGAACTTGAATTAACAATTTGAATACATTCTTAAAGTTTTAAATTTCAGACAGAATAAAATATAATTTAAAATAAATATTGTTATTGTCATCAAGGTTTTTTATTAGAAAAGTTTTACTTTTGATTCTTTAAACATCAACGATTTTTGTTTTACCGAACTCATTAATATTACAAAATAGTTTTAGTTAGATATTTTTGTAATTTGTGGGATGAAAACTGAAAGTTTTTTTTCTTTTTAAACTTAGAATACCAAGTTCAAAAAATATGTGTCAGGTTATATCAAATAATTTTACATTTTTTTCAGTATTTGGTTCTTAATTAAAAACAGATTTTATAAAGGCAAACAGTACTTTATTAGTTTCATAAAATTTCACAAACTTAATTTCAAACACATTTGCTATTGAGAAAGATAACTACATTTGGACTAGGTAGAATATATGTCAGACAGATTAACAACAATAAAAGTTTTTACTTTAATAATCATACAATATCAGATTTGAAATTGCTTTTAGATTTTATAGGTATGCCCTTTAATTGTGCCTTTTTTTTGGTTTAGTAAAATAGAATGATAACAGGATGTTTTTTCTTTTTAAAACACATAACAAATGTGATTAAAGAGATTGACAATAGCCCAAAAAATGATATGATGAATTCTAAATAGATTAATTCTTCTTATGCGACTTGAGTAAATATAATTCCATTCATTATAGTGCCTTTTTGCAGTCGTAATACCACACATTGTTTCCAGGGGGAAGTACTACTTAACATAAAAGAGTACAGGATTATAGTCAACTGATAAATGGGGTAAGAAGGTTTAATAGGAATAACAAATCACAAATGTTTATACATTTCTTAGTAATAAAGTGCAAGATACATTTGAGATTAACTACTATATGACCATATATATTTCAAAGACAATATTTCAAATAATGGCTCTTAACTTGGTTTAATGATAACGTAGAAGGTTGTCTACCACAGGCAAGAAATAAAATGTGTAAACAAACTTCTAATTGCACAAAAGTCCTAATAACTGAAGAAAGTTTTAATTCTCCTGAGAGAATGAGAAACTATAATTTTAGAATGGAACACTGATTTCCTTGGCATGTTTAAGTACATCAGCACCAAAATTTTTATATCTTTAATTTCGAGTGCTAAACTAAATTAGACTAAATAGTCTAGAGTGCTAGACTGTTAGAAAATAGAAAATGTAGATAGTAAAGGATTGTCAGGAAAAAAAAGTAGATGTTTTGAAAATAATATGTGGGAAGGAAGGAAAATCAGACATTTAAACTGAGAATGATGATGGAAGCAATAGATTTTGTTTACTTTGGTCAAGGTGACAGTGATCTAGTGATGGTGGAGGGGACAAAATAAAACTGCTTAAAAACACTTTTATCTAGAGGATTTCATCATTCAAAAACTCTGAATACATCATGGGAAAATTATATCATTCCTTAGTGTGTTTCTAGACTACAGGGTCACTTACCTTGGTAAACAAAGTGAAATCCCTTAGCTGTTATTGGTCCAACTGAAGTAAATCGAATTGTGATCTGATTACCTGAACTCAGTGGAAGTGATTCTCCTACTCAACAAAACAAACACTAAGATATCATAAATAATTTTCATTCAGTAAACCTAACAAATTATATTATAATCTTACACTGTCATTTGAAAATGTCAATCTATGTTCTATCAAATTACTTTAAAATATCCTACAACTACCAATATATTTCCTTTGGGTTCAACTTGTATTGCAATCTTTTTCTCAGAAAGCTTTAATTACATTTTTATACATATTGCCTCATTCTTCAAAGAATTCTTAAATATTTTATATTACATTAAACACCAGAGACTAAGTGATTAAATATATTATTTACTTGGTTACAATCCCAGAGAATAGTTGGTTGTATTTTTCTCAACCTTCTGAGTTAATTTTGTTTCTATTCTTTAGAAAAAAAAAAGGTGACACTATTTTCAGTTTGCTTTATTTCTTATATTGATGATATAAATCTCAACTTTCACTACAATACTAATCAAAGTCAGTCTTTAATCAGTAACTGATGCATGGCAGTTCTATTAAAGGATACCTGAATGGGATCCTGAGAGGGAAGATAACAGAGAAGATTGCTGAGTTGGCCCATCATACACCTCAACAACATCGTGGAGTGATGTCTGGAAAAATACAAACTGGCCAAACACCACTGATCAACAGGAACCCGGAGAAGCAAACAAATCACCAACCATCCAAAAACGAAAACAAAAAACAAAAAAATAGAAAGAGGAGGAGAGAGAGAACAAAGTATTACAATATAATAGTCATTTTTTTTCTACCTAAAAGAGGATAGGTGCCAATTGGTTGATATTACTGACACATGTACTTCAGGTCATAAAAGAAGTGACCATGACCTAAAGCAATAAAATATTAAGACAACAATTCTTAAAAATATAAATGAGCATAGCATTTAATTTGGATCAGAAATCATAAAATTGATGATTAATACTTTATAGTAACTACTTTTGGCTTTTCTCAATGGTGGTTTGATTCTTTTCACTTTGTGACTCTCTTCTCTTTTTCTAATTTTTTACCTCCTCCTTTAGATAAGATAGACACAGTTTTAATTCAGGGGATTTTTTAAGTTGTCCTTAAAAATGTTATTCCATTATGAGTAATAATTTCATTAGAAAAAGATTAGCGAGATTCTTTTCAGATATAGTGTTTAATTTATATTCTAAGTTTTAAATGATTCCTAAACATTTATTGTTAATCTTCTGCCAAAATAAAGAAATATTATTTATGATTCCTCAGCAATTGAGATATCATAAAATTTTGCAAAATAATTGCTCTTCCATGGTAAGTACAGTTCTGAAGTACATACCAACAGAGCTTTATAGATGTGTCTTTTTCCTCCATTTTTACTTATCCTTTAATTACATACTAAACTTACATGCAGAATTTACCCAAACTAAAACTATAAAGAACCTGTTTCAAGAACAGAAATCAGTTTGCTTTGTGTTTTTTTTTCTTAAATAAAATCAGTAACAAAACTTATCCTTAAAATATTTCATTGGTAAAATTGTGGGGTTTAAAAGAGTATAATTTTAATGAAAATTTAATAATGCCAAAGCAAGGTCACTTTTATAAATTTGAAATCACATGAATTTAAATTGTTCATTCCATGAGTATATACAAATATATTTTTCAAATGCTGATTCAAATTGTATACCTCAAATGAAGGCTATGGACATCCTCTGGTGGTCCTTTTACTAACAGGCTAATTCACTTGAAACATGGTTACTTTTGCATATGAATTCAGGTATACACATAATATGGCAAACAAAGCTATATGTAGTTTTTAGGCCTGTAAAAATAAGCTGGTGATCTCAGTCCAGTTCTTTGTGGAGTAAAAGAAAATGAAAATATTAACAGATACAGCGATGTTTCTTTGAACGTTTCTGAACATTGGCTGTGCTAAAATTTGTCAATAATCCTCCTTAAAATATTTCCTAGAAGTCATGAATACAAATTTATGTTTCCACCTAACCAGACACATGCCGTGAATTATTTTAATGGTTTACAAGTCATACAAACATTTTGAATTCAGACCTTTTTAAAAGATCCCAAATTTGTTCCACCAAATCCCAAGCTACTTCCAAAATACTCCAAATATATATATATATATATATATATGTATATTTGTTTTCTAATGGAAAGAAAGAGTTAAAGGATGCTGAATTGTACTATGTATATACATACATATGTATATATATATGTGTATATATATATGTATATATATGTGTATATATATGTATATATATATGTGTATATATATGTATATATATATGTGTATATATATATGTATATATATATGTGTATATATATATATGTATATATATAGGAAAGGTTTTGTTTTCTGTTTTTGCATTAGATTAGTGTTTGGATGATCCTGTTCTCAAATATGTCTTAAGAAGTTTCTATTATATAAAGCAGATTGCCATTGCCTTACAAAGTAGCCGGAAAAAAGAAAAAAAATGGTATTTTAGTCTAATCACGGGAATTTTGTTACATCAAGCACACTGCCCAAAAAGGCTCTTGGCATGTAATTTATTCTTTCTCTTAGCTTTTTGGGAAATCATTAAGGAAAAGTACAATACCGCATCCTTTAACTCTTTCTTTCTATTAGAAAACATGCCCAATTTCCTTGCAAACCACTATATTTACAAACATTTAAAACAACTAAAATACACAGGTATCCAAGAGCTTTTTCTGAGGAAAAAGAAAAAAAAATTCATCTTTTTTTTTTTTTTTTTGCCTTTAGGCCTCTTCTCAATTATTGTTTGTATGCAGATAAAACAGTTTTGCATTACCTCTAAACTGAATATGTTGAGACTATAACTGTTAATAATGCAGCCATTAACCCCACATTTTTGTATCATATTAAGTATAGAAAACTGTAGGGCATGCTCTTTTAAGTGTTAATAATTTGTGCTTGTAATTTGTTGTAGTTATTAACTCGGTTGGGAGAGTTGAGAAAGCTAGGAGTGGGGGAGTACAGTGCTGAATCTTGCCTTATTAAGCAATGAGCAAGCCACTTTTCTTTAAAAGCAATCAACTCTGCATTAATATGGGCAATTGAAATTTTAAATTAAAAGTAGCTTTCACCAGAAAAAAAGTTACTCTGAGAGGATATGGAATCACTATAGTAAAGACAAAATTTTAAAGTACATGCCTAGTAAGTTATTTTGTAGTATGAACAATGAAGAACACTAACATAGTGATCTGATTTCCCACACATTATCATATTAGCTATTGTCTCATTAAACTGATATATTATAATAATGAACCTAATACTCCCAGTCAGAAGTCTTAAGAACTAAGTGATGACTCTCAGATTTGCTTCTCCATTCTGTCTGTAAATGTCTTAATTTATTTAGTTTTTTAAGGTGCAAACAGCAGTAGGTCTTCTGATTCTAAAATGTTCTGAATAGCCAAAGGTATTTGCCTGGTTGAAAGTGATGCAAGGAAAATGTGTAAGAGATTTTAAAGTGGCTCAAAAGATTACTGGTTATTGTTTTTTTGAAAGAAAGTTGTCCAGCAAATTGGGTTACTTGTGTTAAATGGAGACTGTGGTATAATGCAATGGATTATTGCCCAGTGAACAGATTTATTTTGTCTCTATGCATCTATTTGTTTGTAAATTCATTTTAACATTCCTGATTATCTATCTTATCTACAGATCTATCTAATTTATCTATTAACCATCTATTATTTGGTTATTTGAATTCTCCTTTGAACCACTGTAACATCTTACTGGGTTTCTCATTATTTAACTGGGAGTTAAATAAAATTTTTGATTTAAATATCCTTTATATTTATATGAGAGTCATAATTATGCTCTTTTTAAAAATTACCTCTTAACACTGACCTGATGCTGGTGCCTCAATCCAATGGGTAGAACACCCTTTTATTTCTAGGACTACAATTAACCCCAAGTCTGTGCTGATTATGCCTTTTGCATGATTAACAAGCTCCGTGGTGGTCTGTTTCTTCATTTCCAAGCACATACAGAATTCCCTGCATCTCAGCTCCAAGCTTCTTTTCTGTTTTCTTAAGCATATAGATTTCAAAACGATTTTGCTCTCAAGATACAAGAGTAAGCTGTATACATCAAGCTATTTCTTAAGGGAAACACTACTCATTTTTTTTCTTCTTTAAACATAATAGATGTTAAAGAAAATGTTTTTATCTCTTTTGTTGAAAAAATCAATTTTTATAGTGGTATATATACTGTAGTAAGCTAGAAAAAGGAAACCAGTAAGATAAAAGCAAACATAAAAATTATCTAGTTTTTATGCCTGAAACTATATCTGAGCCTATTATATTTTCATACATTGTATTTTAGAATAGAGTTTATTAATTCCACCAGCATTAGTTGATTCTATGATGTGCCAGGAACTGGGTTAAATGCTAGGGTTAAGAAAGTGACCAGTACAGATAGGGTCCCTGCTCTTTAACTCTATTAATTATATTTCTGTTTATTGATGTGGCAGCTTTTCTTTATTCCACCCATGAAAAGATGTTAGGCTGGCCAATTAATTATAAACCAACAATAGGGAACTTTGGGTACATATTTCCATGAAGAGTATTGCTATACTGATCAATTAAATCCATTCTTCAAAGCAAAGCACCTACTAATCTCTAATGGCAACATTCGTGGAGTTCTCGACCACATTTTTAATAAATCTATAACTTAGATTTTAAAAAAATCACTTTAAAAGTCTGGAGAAATCACTTAGAGGAAAACTAATTTATATCACATTGCTATAACCTTTATCCCAATTTTAAAGTATTTTCCTAGTTCATTTTCTCCCCCATGAATAAATTCAGAATGAGACAAGGCAGTGTATCTATCTACTCTTTCTTGTAGACAAAGCAAGCTTTATTTGACATCTAATTTTTGAAGTATCCATCCAAATAAGATTGAGAGGTAGGGTTCCATTGACTGAGAAAGTTTGCATAACATAAATTTTCATTTAACTGTTTCAATAAGCATTTGTTTTCTATTCTCTATCAAACCCTGTCGAATCCTTTTTCCTTTGGTCACATTCATTTAATACCTGAGACTTCATCCAATTTGCTTAATTAAGCCATCCCAAATGTAAATCAATAAATGATGACAGTGTGTAAGATGGCATAAAGAAACTCTTGAGCATTAGCATAGATAACTGGCAGAATTCTCACTACAGACCAACAGTTACCCTGAAAGCATCACTGTGGAAACAGTATAGTGGGTGCCTGGAATATGTCATAATGCACTAAAATGGGTTAGTGCTCACAGGGGAGGGCCTTTGCTTAGAACATGAATAAATAGAACAACAAGAATTTAAAGCTCCCTTTTCCACTAAACTCTAATCTGCAATATGGTTGAAACGTTCTACCACTGCTAGCAGTCTCTCCTCGAACAATGTTTAATCAGGCTCTTCTGAATCCTCTTCCCAACTAGGCCCTGACTATTTTACTTCTGTGTCTGTCTTTGCATTGTCCAACTTTAACAAGAATCCTAATGAGCTGGTTTAGCCAAAACCCCCTTCCCTCAATGTCTGATTACCCTCTCACCTCCACCATCCCCCAGGTGATATCTGTTCACCCTGGTTTGCTTTCACCAACAGTACTGTTAGGGTGGTTTGGCCAGAATCCCCCTCATCCCTGATGTTTCCTCTTAATAATTTTCCATCTACTGACCTCCATCCTGCTTCTTGTCTATAAATTCCCACTTTTTCTTGCTATATTTGAAGTTGGCTCAATCTCTCTTCTCTACTGCGAAACCCATCAGAGTAGTTCATATGCCTATCTTGATACTTCTGAATAGTCTATTTGATACAGTTTGGCTTCATCTTCACCCAAATCTCATCTTGAATTGTAATCCCAATAATCCCTATGTCCCCCTGAGAGGTAATTGAATCATGGAGGTTGTTTTCCCTTTGTTGTTCTCATGATAGTGAATGAGTTCTCATGAAATATGATGGCTTTATAAGCATCTGGCATTCCCCCTGCTGGCTCACCCTGTGTCCTGCTGCCACATGAAGAAGGTGCCTGCTTCTCCCGTTGCCTTCTGCCATGATTGTAAATTTCCCGAGGCCTCCTCAGCAATGTAGAACTGTGAATCAATTAAACCTTTTTCCTTTATAAATTACCTAATCTTGGGTATTTCTTCATAGCAGTGTGAGAACAGGCTAATACAGTAAATTGGTACCAGGAGTGGGGTGCTGCTACAAAGATACCTGAAAATGTGGAAGCAACTTTGGAACTAGGTAAGAGGCAAAAGTTAGAAAGTTTTGAGGGCTCAGAAGACAGGGAGATGTGGGAAAGTTTGGAACTCCCTAAAGATTTGTTGAATGGCTTTGACCAAAATGCTGATAGTGATATGGACAACGAAGTCCAGACTGAGGTTTTCTCAGATGGAGATGAGAAACTTGTTGAGAACTAGAATAAAGGTGATTCTTTCTCTGCTTTAGTAAAGAGACTGGTGGCATTTTGCCCCTGTGCTAGAGATGTGTGGAACTTACTTTGAACTTGAGAGAGATGATTTAAGGTATCTGGCAGAAGACATTACTAAGCTGCAAAGCATTCAAGTGGAAGCAGAGCATAAAAGTTTGGAGAATTTGCAGCCTGACCATGTGATAGAAAATAAAAACCTATTTTCTGGGGAGAAATTCAAGCCAGCTGCAGAAATTTGCATAAGTAATGAGGAGCCAGATATTAATCCCCAGGACAATAGGGAAAATGTCTCCAGAGCATGTCAGAGACCTTCATGGAAGCCCCTCCCATCAAAGGCCCAAAGGCTTAGGAGGGAAAAATGGTTTCCTGGGCTGGCTCAGGGCTCCCCTGCTCTGTGCAGCCTCAGGACATGGTGCCCTGCACCCAGCTGCTTCGGCTCTAGCTGTGGCTAAAAGGAACCAAGGTACAGCTTGAGCCATTACTTCAAAGGGTGCAAGTCCCAAGCCTTGGCAGCTTTCACACGGTGTTGAGCCTGTGGGTGCACAGAAGTCAAGAACTGAGGTTTGGGAACCTCTACCTAGATTTCAGAAGATGTATGGAAATGTCTGGATGTCCAGGCAGAAGTTTGCTGCAGGGTGGAGCCATCATGAAGAACTTCTGCTAGGGCACTGTGGAAGGGAAATACGGGATCAGAGCTCCCACACAGAGTACCCACTGGGGCACTGCCTAGTGGAGCTATGAGAAGAGGGCCACCGTCCTCCAGATCCAGATGGTAGATTCACTGACAGCTTGTATCGTGCACCAGGAAAAGTCACAGATGCTCAATGCCAGTCTATGAAAGCAGCCAGGATGGGGGTTTTACCCTGCAATGCCACAGAGGTGGAGTTGCCCAAGGCTGACAGAGCCCACTTCTTGCATCAGCGTGACCTGGATGTGAGACATGAAGTCAAAGAAGATCATTTTGGAATTTTAAGGCTTAATGACTGCTCTATTGGATTTTGGACTTGTATGGGGCCTGTAGCCCTTTTGTTTTGGCCAATTTCTCTCATTTGGAACTGGTGTATTTGCCAAATGCCTGTACCCCCATTGTATCTAGGAGATAACTAACTTGCTTTTGCTTTTACAGGCTTATAGGTAGAAGGGACTTGCCTTGTTTCAGATGAGACTTTGAACTTGTACTTTTGGGTTAATGCTGGAATGAATGAAGACTTTGGAGAACTGTTGGAAAGGTATGATTGTGTTTTGAAATGTGAGGGCATGAGATTGGAAGGGACCATGGGCTGTGTCCTCATCCAAATCTCATCTTGAATTGTAGTTCCCATAATTTCCATGTGTACTGGGAAGGACCCAGTGAGAGGTAACTGAATCATGAGGGTGGTTTCCCCATAGCTGTTGTCATGATAGTGAGTGAGTTCTTATGAGATATGATGGTTTTATAAGTGTCTGGTATTTCCGCTTCTGGCTCTCACTTCATCCTGCCACCCTGTGAAGAAAGTGCCTGCTTCTCCTTTGCTTTCTACCATGATTGTAAGTTTCCTGAGGTTTCTCAAGCTATTCAGGACTGTGAATCAATAAAACCTCTTTCCTTTATAAATTACCCAGTCTTGGATATTTCTGCACAGTAGCATGAGAATGGACCAATACACTATTCTTCTATTGTTTAACAAGTACACGAATGATTTCTTTTTAAAACTGCCTAAGCAAACCAGAAACTTTTGGAAGTCACTTTTAATTTTTGAGCCATCAAAATAACTAGCTGTTACATTATATAGAGGTTCACTGATTTAGCAATTAATTAACTTGAAACGAGGATAATGAAACAAATATGGACATGATTACCATAATTCAATGATCAGGATTGGAGTTATTGAATTAAAAATGAAAATTGAATTTATGTAAATTAATATTTCAATTTGTTTGTCATTTTTTTCTCAGAGGGGAATAATTCTCTGAGTATCCTAATGGCATGACAGTGTCAGAAAAAAAAAACTGAGACTTAGACTGGGGCATGGTTAAGGGAAGAGATTCAAATCCTATGTAGAAGGTGATGGAGAGTTAAAATTAAAATACGTAAGAGGTTGTAGTGAATTCAGCTTTGGTTTAAACCTGTAAACCTGTTTTGATATAAAAGTCTTCAAATTTGGTGGAGTAAGGGCAGCAGGTCTCTCTGGAAGCAACTCTAGTAGTCAGAAGGATAGTGCCAAATTAATGAATGGTGACAATGACAGTGCCAATCAAAGCTTGCCAAATGACAAGCCCTCTTTGTTGCATAGAAGAATGGATGAAGCAACCTAAAGATTATCAGCACTTATAGCTGAGCAGATTTAGGAAGATTAATGTTTTCAAATGACCAACTTATGTGTCTGAAATGTCCTGTGATATTAAGGTATTTCATAAAATTGCTTAATAAAGAGTTAAGCATTCAATTTCTGGAATCAGACTCTCAAGGACTTAATCCAGGATTAACCACATGGGAAAGCCTCAGTTTCCTCATCTGTAAAATAGGGATAATAAAAGTACCTGACCTCCTAGGATTGATGTGAATAGCACATAAATTAATACTTGTAAAACATTTTAAACAGCACCTGAAGCAGTAATAAATGTTAGTCACCATTACTAGTAACTCAGCTTTGTAAATATATATGTTCCTAATTCAGTCAGAAAACTTACTGATAGGCAAAATTTAATTGAACTTTTATGTGAGCATATCCTCTTTCATTGTCTGCTTTCTATACATCAGTATTTAGTAAAAAAGATAGAACTGCCTGGGTGAGATGAGTACTCCAGCTATTTTAATCAAGCTTAGTTTGTCTTAAGACTTCAAGATGGCTATGCACTTCTCTGTCTACTTGATTTTACATTCTATCCTTTTGGATGAAAAAGGAAAATGTAATTATCAGCTTTCTTTTGGGGCTAAGAAAAGGGGAGCAAGGTGAGAGTGCATTCTACCTTTGTTTTTGTTTACTCCCTCAATCTTAATTCCTTCTGTTTCAACTTCATCACAAAAGAAATAGTTCCACATAGAAGGAAGTCGGTGCAGAAAAGGAAATTAGAAAATATCATAAATTCCTATTAGATCTATGTTTGATTCTCAACATGCTTACTACTCCTTTTGCAAAATCTACACATTGTTTTGTATTTCAGGGTTTATTTTGATGCCTATATTAGGAACTGAGCTGGTTTGCCACTTTGTTAAAAATTGTATCACCCCTGTTTTGCTCAATTTTCATTTTATTACCAACACAGCACAGATGAAAATGCACATGTGCATCCACAGTACTGACAGAACAGAAATAAAGAAGGATTCAAATCAAAGATGGGTAGAGTACTATATTTCACTATGTGTGAAATCATAAAAAATTACTGTTGGTAACACAAGCTCTTATAATGTTTGGCTACTTTTATGTGAATTTCTGACTCGTATTTTCTTTTTTATTATTATTATACTTTAAGTTTTAGGGTACATGTGCACAACGTGCAGGTTTGTTACATATGTATACATGTGTCGTATTTTCATCTCATATGAATATTTTAAGACAAAATATTAGACATTTTCATGAATGCAAAATGCTTCCCTTTTAAATCAGTAACATACACTGTGCAGAACTGTTTGCCCTCCATACTGTATACTCTGAACTGTGAAAGTACTTATTGTATAAATAGCTACAAATTTGCATTTTGGGATCATTATACCACTTGTATATCATGATTTTAAAGGCTTTATCATTTAAAGATTATTACAAGATGTGCAATTAAAACTTCAATTTTATGAAAAACAAATAAATAAAAGTGTAGTATTATGAAAATTTACTTTCAAAAGCATCAGAAAGCCAGAATCTTAAAAATCAGTACCAAATCAAATCAATGAGCTACTGTTTTTTAAAACTATCATCTAGCAATGGACAAGTTTAGATAGAAGTTACATTAATTGATTAATGAATTAAATATCCCTAATCCCAAAATCCCAAATCAAAAACGCCTCAAACTCCAAATATTTTTTGGTGCTGAAATGACTTCACAAGTGGAAAATTTCACACCCAATGTCATGTGACGGTCACAAATATTATTTAAAATATTGTATAAAATTACCTTAGGTTATGCATATAAGAAGTATATGAAACATAAATAAATTTTGTGTTCAGATGTGTGTCCCATTCCCCAATATCTCATTATGTATAAGCGAACATTTCAAAATCCAAAATAATTGGACATCTAAGACACTTCTAGTCTCATGCATAAGGGATGATTAGGGATACTTGACTGTACTATCAAGTGAAACTTTTATTAATAGTTTGAAAACTTTTATATTTTCTACATATCAGTTAGATTCCAGGCACTTATGGTTATTATCATAGTACAATAGCAGTAAACATACTAACTCACAGTGAGCTGCGTTATGCTGATTTAGCATTTTAAAATCTCCATGCAGAAGCATGGCTCCACCCTAGAATGCTGGGGCCAATCCTGCCTTTGAGCAAAAAAGTCTGGAGTGCTAAGTCAGCAACTCACAGAGTATAATGAGACCATTCTGGCTCTGAAAAATAAATATGTGAAAATCTTAATATGTATTGCTATTTTGTAGTAATTAGGAAATACAATATGTTATTAAAAAATTCAATGATTTGACTATGGTACCCAATTATCCAGTAATTTGGTAGCTCCAGGAATCTAGGTTTGCTTTGAACTTAACAACAATAAATGGGGTCGTAATTTATCTTTCTGTTAACAATTTCTTTGTGTGATACTTTTGTCAACCCATAAACTAGGTTTGCTGACTAAATCCATAATATCTACTTTCAGATTTCTCTAAAGCTAGATTTCTGTCTGTATTGTGACCATTTGCCTACTGTCAAAATTTCAAAACTGCCTATTTGACATATTTTAAATGTATAGACATTAAAAAACCATCTTATAAGCAAATATAGTTTAATTTTCTTTAATTGTTCCAGGAGCAAATATCTATTCCACTGCAAGCCAGAAGTTTATCTGCAATTTGGCAGTTGTAACATTTCCCAGAAGTTGAGAATTAATTTGGTGTTTAAAAGCAAACGAAATAAAGAAAAACACAATAAGCGATTCCATTGTATGTTTAAAAGAATTAAAACAGAAAAGCCAAATAAAAAGTTTAAAGTGTTCAAATATGTTATTAGCACTTTTGTTTTGAACCATTTTCAATTTGAATGTGTGCTTTTATTTAATCACCTTTCATATTTTTTTTTACACATTTTGTAGAACATGTCTGCCAAATCCCAATTAGGTCAGAAAGATTAAAGCCAGAAAAACATTCTCCTATGGACTATAAATTAAATTACTGGGATTTATTTTATTATGTAAAATTTCAAACATATACCAAGTAGACATAATAGTAAACACCCATGAAACCATCACCCAACTTCAACACTTATCAACATTATGCCAATCTTGTTTCATGTGTCTCTTCCTATCCGACCTGTATCCCCAACCTGGAGTACTTTTAAGCAACTCCCCAACATCATATTCTTTTTCCATAAATGCTTTGGTATTTGTCTCTAACAGATAAAAACTTTAAAAAATAGCCACAATATAATTACCAGATCTAACAAATTTAATGATAATTTCTTTATTTCATCAAATAACTATTTCTTGTTCCGATTTCCCTGATTTTACCCAAAAATAGTCTTTTTATAGTTAGTTTAATCAAATCTGAATTCAAAGTCCATACATTTCATTCGATTGATGTGTTGCTAATGTTACTTTTAATATATAAAATCTATAACCCACATCTTATTTTTAATGACATATATTTGTGAAAAAAAATGAGTCTTTTAAAGCAGAGAGACTAAAATAGGATAAAACTCAATTGAACAAAATTTTACTGGCATCTAGCTGTTGGTGAGAGTTAATTTTATAAGGTTATTAAAGAATGTAATTCAATTTGTAGGTTACCTCTAGAGGTGAGAGAGATACTATGTGGATATAGTTCCTGGCCCCCCTAGCTCCTACTTCAGTTAGAGAAGTTTTGTTTCTCTCCGCTTTATGTGTGGGACTTTGACACACAATTTAGCATTATGCCCAGATTCAAGCTCTTGCTTTCATTGAATTCTTTAACTCCACTCTGCATGTTGCCTCCTACGCACACTCTGCCATGCCTTTTCTGCAGGCAAAGTACCCTCAACCCCTCAACTTTCAAAGTTCCATTTACTAAGGGCTCTTTCATTGGCAGAATGTACAGCTATTTCAGAATAACAGGTGGAGGGGTACACCATATGTCAACATTTTAAAAAAGGTTCTTAACTTTGCAAAAAAAATCATCACCAGTCATCTCTTTAACTTGGGCTCTAGCTTTATGTTGAGAGTCATGTTTGCACATTTTTTTTTTAACAGAAGGAATTCCAAGCTTACTTATTCTCACTATAAAATGCTACCATTCTTTGGCACTTATTTTGCCAGACTAGGCTGGGCGCAGTGATTCACACCTGTAATCCCAGCATTTTGAGAGGCCTAGGTGGGAGGATCACTTTAGGTCAGGAGTTCGAGACCAGCCTGGCCAACATGATGAAACCCCATCTCTACTAAAAATACAAAAAATTAGGTAAGAGTGGTGGCACGTGCCTGTAGTCCCAGCTACTTGGGAGGCTGAGGCAGGAGAATTACTGGAACCCGGGAGCCACAGGTTGTAGTGAGCCAAGATTGTGCCACTGCACTCCAGCCTCGGTGATAGAGGAGGACCCCCTGTAAAAGATATATATATATGTTATATATATGTAATATATTTATAATATATATTACATATAATAATATATGTATATATACATATGTACACATATATGTAATAATATATGTATATATGTAATATGTTATATATATTACATATATATGTATACCTATATATATATATTGCCAGACCAAAGTCTATTAAAAATTTCCAATGAAAGTGAGAGAATTTGCTCCTGGTAGAAATTGAGAAAATGAATAAAAAACAATTTTAAATGAATAAAAAACATTTTTAAAAGGTATAATATTAACTAGTTATCATTCATTAAACCCTTACTATATGTAATGGACTGTGCAAAGTTCTTTATACATATCAGCTTCATTGATCCTCACAAAGACCTTTGAGGTAGGCACTATCATCTCTGTTTTGCAGATAAAAAAACAAACAAGACAACTATCAAAAAATTAGTAAGCTAAAAAGGGAAAGAACTAAGATTTGAATTCATAGAATATGAATTTATCTTAAGCCTGGTCTCTTAGCCATTATCCTATAGAGCATGGCATCATGGAGTGTACTGGTGGACAGGTCACATTAAAAACTACTGAGAAAACTTAAGGTCAAACACAACAATTAAGACACATGATAAAGAAGCAGAACTGAAAGAAAAGAGTGAATTATTTTAAGGATATTTTGCTGAAAAGATGGGGGAAATATTTTATAATTTATTTATAAATACATTCATCCTAAATGGCCAAATTATTATTTAGTCATCATGAATAATAGAGGAATAGATTTCTATTATCTTAAAAATACACACATCATTTATATAAAATGTGTTCTGAATAAATAAGGTGACATATTCTGCAGACTTTTAGTACTTTCAGGAATAGATTTTAGAATTCACAGGAGTAGCAGAATCTATTGAGTAACTTTTATTTTCACAATTGTTACAAAGTAAAACGTTAGTCATAGAGAGTTGGGGATTTGCATTTCTACAAACCCAGATTTGACAAGCTTTGCTACTTCCTGGTGTGTGCCCTTGAACATGCTACTAAACTTTTCTGAATTGTTTTCCTAATCTGCAAAATAATACCCACTCCTTTGGATTGTTGTAAAGATTAATCTGTAAAGCATCTTGCCCAGTAGGTAGACGAAACAGAAAATGTCACTCACATGTACACTCCCAACAAATACACCATATTCTGTGGCATTTCTAGTCTGTTATCTTACAAATTCAAAATTAATATTGATTTTATAAATAAATCAAATTAACCACTTATTGTTTAACTCTGTCAAAGACAATGATCAACAGCAAAAACAAGTAACCTTAATAGAAACAAATAAGAAAACTTAACCCTGGAAACAGATAAGGATGATAGAATATCAATGTGGGAAGAGGTTTTATCAGTCATTTGGTCCAATTTCTCAGATGCTATACATATTCCTTTAGTTACTTAACCTTCTCCAGAGAGTACATAGACACAGAATGGAACATAAAGGAGTTATTGAAATAAATCTACAGAATGTGTATTGCTGAAGGAACACATTGATTTGCACTAGCAGACAAATGGTCTTATGTATTGTTTCAGTTCGCCCAAAGACTTTCCTTTGATAGTTATTTTTTTTTTCTTTTCAGAAACAGTCTTAAACAATATCATCCATAACCAAAAAGAGCAAAAATATAATAATTTATGCTAACCTGGGAAGGTGAACACTTCTAAATACAACCAAAGTAACACATCTCACCGTGGCTATTTCAATCTTTGCTATCACTGTTGTCATCTTCATCACTGATTTTTGGCAACATTATTGTCATCATCATCAAAAGCACATAAGAGTCACCTGTAATTTCATTCCAAACAGCCACATTTTTATTAAATTAGTTACTATTTGGTATGTGCAAAGCACTGCACTAATTGCTAAGAAACTTACAAATGGAAATTCTAGATATCATAAACATTGATATATTTCAGGCTAGAGTGCAGTGGTGTGATCCTGGCTCACTGCAGCCTTAACCTCCTGGGCTCAAGCAATCCACCCATGTCAGCCTCCCTAGTAGCTGGGACCATATGCCACCATGCCTGGCTAAGTTTTGTATTCTTTTGTAGAGACAGAGTTTCACCATGTTGCCCAGGCTGGACTCGAACTTCTGGGCTCAGGCTAAAGATACTTTTGACAAGAAAATCATTTAGGTATACTAATATGCTGAAAGAAAGTTGAGACTTTTTTCTTTACTTGGTGCACATGTAAAACTAATTTGGATTAGTATTACTAGCTGACAAGCAATGAGCCTATTAATGTTTGAGCCTCTACCTCTTGTCCCAAAGCTTTTATATATATATACATATGTAAGTATTCAAGTTCCATGCGTTGTCTAGGCCTGGCAGAAGCTGTGAAGTATGGAATCGTTTTAAATTACTTAATATGCTATAATTCCAATGGAAGTTTCTCATATTACATTTTAACAAAGTTTCATACTTATACACGCAAATTTTATTCATAGAATTCTATAAAGCATTTAGCCTTTAAAAGAAGCTGTGTGAAAAATGTTTTGGATTCTATTCAAAGGGAAAATGGTTGAAAATTAATGATTTTGTATCTGAATGCAAAAGGAGCTAAAATAGCATCACCTCCACTCCTCCCAACCTACTTGCAGGAATAATTAACGATTCAAAGCCCAGATCGACGGCCAATAGAGGAAAAAAATAGTTTTAAGATATGATTGCAAAAAACAACAACAACCTTATCTATTTACTAATTGGTTCCTAGTTACCATACCAAAGGCAAGAAGAATTAATAGTAAGTTCTAAACAAATATTTAAAAATTAATTTTAAAGCAGACTCACATTATCATTATCAGTAAAAGAAACTATAAAGAACATAAATTATTTGCACATGTGACTTACTTTGTATTATGTTTTGGTCTTCAATGGTTTACAAAGCCATGGTAACTCACTTCAAAACACAAATGGATCTTTTTAAAACAATGAATTAAACCTTATTCTCAAGGTTTGTTAAGACTCTCACTAGAGACCAAGAATAAGATAGGTAATTCCCTAAAATTATTCAGTTTCCCTAACTATGTCATAGCTTGATCCAAATTAGGATCAGAACATTTTTTCTTCTTTTCATGTTCCCATTCTTCTATTTTATTTTATTTTACTTACTTATTTATTTATTTATTTATTTGAGGCGGAGTCTCACTCTGTCACTAGGCTGGAGTACAGTGGCGTGATCTCGGCTCACTGCAACCTCCACCTACCAGGTTCAAGCAGTTCTCCTGCCTCAACCTCCCGAGTAGCTGGGACCACAGGCATGTGCCACAATGCCCAGCTAATTTTTGTATTTTCAGTAGAGACGGGGTTTCACCATGTTGGCCAGGAGGGTCTCTATCTCTCGACCTTGCGGTCTGCCCACCTCAGCCTCTCAAAGTGCTGGGATTACAGGCATGAGCCACCGCGCTTGACCTATTTTTTATTTAGTAAGAATGTTGTTTAAATGTTTCTTAAATATCAGTTATTCTGAATAAGTAACTACATTTTACTTCTCAGTTGTTAGTTGTTAAAAATTCTTTACAGTTAAATGATGCTGGAACCCAACTAGTAATAACCATTAATCAAAAAGCCTCATGTAAATAGGATCATTATCATTTATTTTACATACTATGATATTCCAAAATAGATAAGACATCCTGAAAAGCTTTGTGAAAGAGTCATGTGGCTAACTAATGTTTTGAAAGATATCTAGAAGGTTATATTCTAATTTTAAATGGTAAATATTCTGACTTCAAATTGTGAACCCCAATTTTTTTCATGTTAATTTGGACTTAATTTATAGATTCAGCAACTCAAAGTCAGTGGAGGGTGAGAAGGAGTCTTAAGAACAAATCTAAAGGAAGCCTATTGTCTTTCTTGCATGGCTATATTTGCTGTACTCACTTATCTGTGAGGAGTTTAATCTGTATTGTCTCAGATTTTACTTGTAATAACTTGAGTAGTAGGTATTCTTATGCATATTTTGAGGATGAGGAAACAGGCCCCCAGCTACCCCAAGGGAGACTTATGCTGCTAACATTCATATCCAGTGCCTCTTGAATTAATAGCTACTCACTTTCAAGCACTGTTATAAACAATTCCATACCAAGCATATTGACAGTCAGATTAGATAATTTTTTAACATTCCCCACTGTGGTAAAACTATTTTCATGAATAATCACAAATGAATTAATAATACTGGCCAGAAAATAAATATAGACTGTGAAAATTTTCTATTATTAAACTCTGTGTGTGTGTTAAAATAGTAGTAAAAAAATCTCAAAATAAGAAAACAAATATTAAAGTACCAAAAAAAAGATGAAGTCATACATTCGTTACATAAGTGTATTTTTTTAATGGGAAGAAACACACACTGAAGTTTGGACTCTATTTTAGTCTTCTAAATTTTAAGCAGAAACAAAAAATACAAGTGGTTACATAGAATTCCATCACTGAAATAAGTCAAGTTCTATTTCTTTGTCTTACAATTACTGTTCCATCATATACTGTCTGAATGCACAAATACATAGTAAAATGGAGCTGGAGACATAAAAAAAGTGAGCTGCAATAGTTTCAAATCATTAAAACTTTACTCTGAAAATGATTGTTTAGCTTAATTCTAGTGTGTCAAGGACAACAAATAAAATAAGATAAAATTCCATTGGTGAATTTGAGTGTGTGTGCAGGGGGTGGGGAGTGAGGGTGAAAACTTTTTTTTAAGCACATTTTAATAGGTAGTTGGTATTGATTGTGAACCTTCTATATTTTTTGGAAACAATTCATTTCATCAAAGCAACTAAATATAAACATAGTCATGTTTAATTATTTTACTGTTAAGTAAGAAAAGCTGAAACAACTGAATTATTCCATTTGGTAAGGAATGCCTGGCCACTCTGTGACTCTTCTTCCTGAAACCCATGAAGCCAGACTTCACAGATTGATACCCCCAAGAGCATCTCCTAATTGTGATTTTTCTCCCACTTCTCTGACTTTGCTTATGCTAGACTATCTGATCTTCTTAGCTAATGTCTATTCATCTTTGAAGACTCAGCTCTGGTGAGCTATCACCAGATACTATCATTACCTCAGAATTTATCTGATTAAGGTTTGCTCAAATACTTTTCCATTGTATGCACTGCTTATTCTGGTCATATAAATTATTGCACTATTTTGAAATTCTGACTTACATATATTTTTCCTTCACTACTTTAGATTATTCGTGTATTCCAGTAACTACTTCCCTGGCACTAACAACACCTTTGTGCAATGAATGTGGAAACTCCAATTATGTACAAAAAATAAAATCAGAAATGCTAAGACAATGTTTTCACTCTTTTCAGGTAATCGTGATACCTTGCAATCATTTCAAATACCAGGTGTTCAAAAGTATTGTGTCAGCATGGCTCTCCTTTTTCATTTTATTTGTTTTTACCCACAAGTAGTCAATATTATTTAAGCAAATATCAATCATATCTGACAGAGCTTCCTTAAATATAAATTGAGCTACCACAAGTTACTTTAAAGAAATAACAAAAATGAGGATATTTAGTTCAGTTCACTTGTGATTGATGGCTTCCTGTCTTGAAGGAGGCAACACAGAGTGCTACAAGTCAAATACAAACAAGCTGCCTGTCTACAACTAAACTCATCTTTGTCTCCCAAGTCTTTCCTGACTTGATAAAAGATATATGCTGATATGGTTTGGTTGTGTCCCCACCCAAATCTCATCTTGAATTGTAGTTTCCATAATACCCATGTGTCATGGGAGGGACCCAGTGTGAGGTAACTGAATCATGGAGGTGGTTACCTCCATGCTGTTCTCATGACAGTGAGTTCTCACGAGATCTGATGTTTTCATAAGGGGTTTACTGCCCCTCTCCTTCACACTGCATTTCTCCTATGCTGCCACCACGTGAGGAAAGACATGTTTGCTTCCCCTTCTGCCATGATTGTAAGTGTCCTGAGGCCTCCCCAGTCCTGAGGAACTGTGAGTCAATTAAACCTCTTACATTTATAAATTACCAAGTCTTGGGTATTTCCTTACAGCAACATGAGAACAAACTAATACATATGTCTTGTCACCAAATTCATTCATCAACATTTATGATGACCTACTGTGTTTCTATGCTAGGCTGTGAGATGCAGGGTCAGCTTCATGGAGCTTCATCCTACAGTATATCTTTCCATCAGCTTCATACATAGAAGCATTCAGGTCATTACTTTGTATCTTCTAAATGTGTCTTGATTCTCATCTACCACATTCTCATGATTCCCTTCATTACATCTTCAATGCAGGCCCACACCATCTCTAGCCTCGTAAGTAAAGTTCCTGTGTACAAATCCTGTCCAAATCCAATTTATTCTCCACACTTTTATGGAAGTGATTAATCTAAAATGCAAATATGATCATGTCACTTCCCTATATAAGGCAGTTTTGCTGTGGAATTGAGCAGATGGGCTGCATCAATAGTTTGATATTTTCACATTTCCCCCAGCTATTTCCTTGGCATTTAATTTCTAAAGTCTATCTAGAATCCTGGCACCATCACTGCAACTACTATTTAGAAAAGGATTCATGTATGCTTTTTAATTTTCTGATGTAAACTCTAGGTTATTAAATTCTATTAGTGTTTTATTAATGCTTGTTAAGCAACAACTGTTTTACAATTTCAGTCTTTATCTGTAATTTAGTTTCTGGAAAAGGGATTTGGACCAAGCTAAAACAGAGTATACAAATGTAAGTACAAAAAAATATATTCTCAAAACAGAGATATGTTAAAGATGTATTCTTAACATAGAGAAAATAATTTCATCACAGAGGGTAAAAACTTGGATATACCAAACAACCATGGGAGATATGATCTGGGGAAAAAAACAAGAAAACCTGAAAACTTGATCTCAAATTTGCAACCACATTAGAAACCAGGTTAATATCCAATTATTCAACAAATATTTATTGAGAACTGATAATGTACAGTGTAAATGAATATTCCTGGAGCTGAGAATATACAGCTCCTGCCTTCAAAAATTTCACAGGCTAGTGGAGGAGTCCAATACATTAGCAAATACTTACCACCCTGTATGCTAAATTCAGTGGTGGAAATTCTTTTCTTGGTGTTCCATTCATGTGACTCTTTACTTAGAATGACTTTTCTCTTCCCCTCTACATATATGACATGTATCACTTTGCCAGCAGAGAATAAGGCTCATCTGTTCCGTGGATCCTCCCTGAATTCTCATTATTCCACCCTACCATGTTCATAAATCACTTGAACTTAATGGGCATTAATACTGGCACCACCCATTCTGATCTGCATGTGTTGTCTTTAGTTTTTTCTTTTTAATTAAATTTTTTTGAATTGATAGATACAATTGTATGTGGATATTTATTGTGTACAACATAATATTCTGAAGTTTACATGAATTGTGGAATTGTTGAACCCAGTCAACTAGCATATGCATCACCTCACAAAGTTGTCATTTTTGTGGTGAGCACATTTTACAACCACTCTCAGAATTTTTTCAAGAATCCAATATATCTTTAACTATAGTCACCATGCTGTATAATGTATCTCTAGAATTTATTCTTATTATAGAACTAAAATTTTGTATCCTTTGACCAACATCTCCCCACCTTCCCACCCCACTAAATACCTCAACCCCTGTTAACCATCATTCTACTCTCTAATTCTGTGAAATTGACGTTTTTAGATCCCACATATGACAGATCATACAATATTGGTTTTTCTGTGCTTGGGTAATTTCACTTAACATAATATCTTTCAAGTTCATCCTTGTTGTTCTTATTTAAAGGTGATGTCTGATGGAGAAACTCTGTGCTTCATGTTGCATGTGGCATTGGGGACACAAGCAAAAAAGATATATATATATAGTTCAAGGTTTCATGAAACTGTGGTCTAGCATGAAAGACAGCCATTAAATATCAAAACATAGACATATGAAATGAGTGCTATGACCCCAGAGTGTGGCAGGACAACATAAAGGTACAACTAACATATTTTTGTTATTACTAGTATGAAAAGCTGTAAGAATGACTTTAAATGGCTCCTCCTACCTGGATTTCAATTAGGCAGAGAGTTTGAAAATAATTTTGGTCATCATTAAAAACTGTGTGACACATAGCCTAAAGTCACATTGAACTTTACTAATATGCAGACAATTGATAATTTAAAATGCTTATGATTAAAATATTAAAAGCAACAAACTCATTTACAAACATGAAAGTGTGTAACCTCTGCTGGAATAGATCATCAGAAATTTTTTTTCTTTTTTTAATAAAAACTTAAAGTTTAAAAATTATCAGTGATTTTTCAGTAAACAACATTCACAGAGAAGCCACTATCCTGTGGACTTTATAATGATAAGAAGAAATTGAGGTCAAAGTTTCTGTATTTTAGCAACAGGTGGGATTAAAAAACAGTAGTGTCTGGTGGTATTATCTCTAATACTTCTTGCATAAAACTTTCTTACAAAGACCTCTTAGAATGTATTTAATTTTGTCCTACACATCCAAGGCTGGGAGAAAAGCAAACCTGTTTTTGAATCAAATACTTGTACGAGGAACATCAGGTAGGAAGCGTCTACAACCAGTTTTCTAACTCCGCTTCCATATTTTCCCTATTATTACTCTCTTTCCCAAACAAATCCAAGAAATTAGCCATAAAGAGACTCAAATGAAGAGTGACAAAAAAACAGATTAAGTGGGAAAAAAGAAAGCAGTTATTACCAACCCCCAGAAACTTCCCCATAACTCTTCCCAAAGATAGATACATTATCTCATGTAAGAAAATGTTACATGATTAAATTCACTCATTTAGGTAATCAGTTATAATAATCACTATATATGCCAGATACTGACGGCAGGCCTGAAGCATGTGCGAATCCTCAACTAGCTGATAATTTGTTGCCTTTTCAAATCAATACTATTTAATTACTAACTGGGATCAGGAAGAAACTGCTTTTTCAGTAATAAAAATTATATATATATATTTTATGTTTAGGATATGGGATTTATTATATGAATATCAATTCATAAAAGAACACTTATGAACTAGAAGGTAAATATATTAAGAGGTATAGTAAACTGGTCACATAAATCACTTGGAAAAAGCCTATGCCAAGCATTAGTAAGTTTCAGAATTTCAACTGATGGCAACTGCTGATTTTGGATAATACTCAGTTCACTGGTCTAGAGATTGATGGTGCGGACTATAAAATGTAATATGGAGCCACATTAGCCTGTCCTAAATGTACTCAAGAGAGACAGGTCAACAGAGGGAAAAGGGATTTAATTTAGTTGTTACGGGTGTTTGTGTGTATATGTGTGTGTGTGTGTGTGTGTGTGTTTACTTTCACTTGAGGTAATGAAGGATTCTAGATGAGGATAGGATCAATTTTTATTTCTGTGATTTAATGCTCTGACTAGTTGTGCAAGCTCTGCCAGCCCCAAAATGTGGCTCTGAAGATAACTTTAGAATTATTGTTGTCAAGTCATTCCCTGCCCTCACAGATATTTAGGTTAACTTCATTAGACTATAGGCTATTGAAATAACAAAAGGAAGAAATGAAACTGAAAGAAGCTTAAACTACCTCTGGATATTGACATTGATGTCTCCTTTTGGTTTTAATGTTTAAAAGGTTAACCTGAAAGTCAGATTCTACTACTAAATATAAAAATTAATTTTTAAGTTTACCAAAAATCAATTATACTTTTTGAATTTTATTTTTGTTTTAAGCTGACTGGCAATATAAAAAATAGGTGAATATTTTTGTTTTAAGCTGACTGGCAATATAAAAAATAGGTGATAAAAAATAGGTGATTTTTTTAAGAATAATTTTCTAAAAGGTAATTTTCTCACTGTATATGTATTTTATACATAAAACATACAGTACACTAAAAGTTGCAGATTGCTAGTAATGACTTAGAGAAAAGGGCAATAGGAAAAATGAATGGTGATGAGGTATGGTGCGTGTCTACTGTTCAATTTCTTTAGAGAGGTCGAGCTTGAACAGCGAAATGATGGATGAATTCTGTATAGTGCACTACTCAATAAATATATGAAGGCCACCTTGAGCTGTGAAATCTACTCTCTCTACAAAGTGAAATTATTTTTAGCTGACCCATGCTTGTCACCCTGAATGTGAAACTTGCTGTACTTTACAGCTACATACTCCTTTTTGAGGATTGACTGCCTCTGTGGCAATTGTTCATGAAGTTCTACATATTGAGTCATATTCACCACAAGCACAAATATACCAAAAATGGGATAGACAATAGACAAAGCTTAGTAACTTTTTTCTTTATTTTCATACTAATTTCCACACCTCTATGCACAGCTTGAAAATCTTTTCTCTCCTCTCTCTTGGAGAATCTACCTCTCCTAGGCCCCAGTCATAAACTTTGACACTTTGAAGGTTTTTACTTTCCTTTCACCTCTCTAGTTTTGTCTCCCATTCTCTCATCTTTTGATTCTACATTACACAATCCCACTGAATCATTTGAGAACTAACAAATACCTCCTACAGGTGAAAAAAAAAATGAGTGAGCAAAGCAACAACCCAAAGCAAGGCAGAGGGTAAAGCTAAGACTATTCCATATGTTAATAAATATTTTCCTGTAATGCAAGAGTTGGAGATTCATGCCTATGTCATGTTGTATTGTTCTTCACTAAACACGGAAGATTGCACAAACTGAAGGTCAAGATTCCTTAATAAGTTATAAAATTTATTCAACTTATTTTACTTTATTTTAGGGTCTTGCTTTGTTGCCCAGTCTGGAGTGCAGTGGTGCCATCATATCTCACTGCAGCTTTGAATGCCAGGGCTCACGTGATTCTCCTGCCTCAGCCTCCTAAGTGACTGAGACCACAGGTGTGAGCCACCACACACAAATAATTTATTATTTTATTTTATTTTATCTAAATATAGAGTCTCACTATGTTACTCAGGCTGGTCTCAAACTCCTGGGCTCAAGTTTTCCTCCTGCCTTGTCCACCCAAAGTGTTGGGATTAAAGATGTGGGCCACTGCACCCAGCCAGAATCAATGTATTAGATCAGGACATGCATTGCATTTTTAATGAATTAGACTAGTAAGGTATAGGATAGGACAGAACAGAACATAGGACATCTCAGAAAGAAAGAGAAAGTAAGTATGAACCGGTTTGGGAAGCAAAACACATTTTTTAATGTGGGTCTCAGTTGAAAAGTTTGGATATTTGGCCATAGGTGGTGGCTCATGCCTGCAATCCCAGTAGTTTGGGAGGCTGAGGTAAGAGGATGTCTTGAGCCCAGGAGTTCAAGACCAGCCTGGGAAACGTAGCAAGGCTCCACTGGAAAAAAAAAAAAAAAGAGTTTGAATTTTTATAATGATATCAGGTGCTAAACTATTAATTTCCAAACAGTTACAACTTAATTCTGAAGAATATGTTAACTTTTTTTGTAACTATTAACTGAGATCAAATTACATTTTTGGCATGAATTACAGGAACAGAAAAGAAACTGTGACTTCAATTAAATTATAATTCCAAAAGTACAGGCTAATCAGTTCAAACAGAAGTTTGTATGAAAGCAATGCTATCATTGTTTATTTAGAAATAAATGTATACAGTAGGCTCATATTCTGAAAAGACAGAATAACTTAGCATTGCAAACAGCTACCTTTCAAGGGCAGAAATAACAAAGAAATAATACTTCTTTTATGTATTTTATCAGTTGTGTGGGACAGAATATCTGTTCTTGTGGGAAGAGATGTCTGGGGACATATTTAGGTCTAATTGTTACCTTTAAAAAAAAAAACACAGCAGGGCAGGTGGCTCATGCCTGTAATCCCAGTACTTTGTGAGACCAATCCAGGAGGATCCTTTGAGGTCAGGAGTTCAAGACCAGCCTGGGCAACATAGTAAGACCCTGTCTCTACCAAAAGTAAAATGAAATTAGCTGATATGGTGACGCATGCTTGTGGTCCCAACTACTCAGAGTGTTGAGGTAGTGGGATCACTTAAACCTGGGTGGTCCAGGCTGCAGTGAGTCAGGATCATGCCATTGCACTTCAGCCTAAGCAACACTGAGAGAACCTGTCAAAAAAAAAAAAAAAAAAGAAAGAAAGAAAGAAAAAAGAAAAGAAGAAGAAAAAAACCTACAACAAACCTATTTGAAAAATAATCATAACTGTTTGCTTTACAAATGACTACAGCAGACTTTTTAATCAAGCTAATAATTATTAACTTTTGTATTTAGTGAGTTAAAAAGCATAGAAAGCCATCTATTTTAGTGCTAAGTTTTTTTTTGTTAGAATCAATTACTTCTTTTATTTATTGTATGAATCTCCTTTATGGTTATTGTTGAATTTATTTGCAAAATTCCATTAGTGTGTGCATATGGTATAATAGCTATTTTGTTTTTTCAGTGGGATATGTGGGTTTAAGTTGTCAAGGAATTGGGTAGGTTTTCAAATATACTAACTCCAGAACACATTCATTTGCTTCCAAAACAAACTTGGAGGTGTTTACCTGTGCCCAAGCATTTTTGAAAAGTTATTCCAGACAGTGTGAAGTGGTACTTGGGAGTAAAATCTGACAGATGTGAGCTGCAAACTCACCACTAAGATTCCCTAACAAAGTAACTTTGGACAAGTTAATGAAATAAGACTACCTTATTCAATTGATATAAATATTAAATAAGATAATGCAAACCCCTGGCATAATGCCTGGCATAAGTTCATAATCACATTTGTTTTTATACAATTTACGAGGCAGAGTTGGCATTTATACCAAATTGGTTGTTTGATTTATAAATGGAAATTTCAGTCTACTATGCTAATTTGCTATCATCATCATTGCTGTTGTAAGCACTCTGCAAAGCATCTTCCTTTAACTTTCCTCCAAAAGTCTACCAGCATTTTTTTCTCCTTTATGAACTCTTCAGTACTTATAATCTATGCCACATAATACCATCTAAAATGCTGTATTGTTATTAATATTTGTACTTTGCTTTTTCCCAGAATAAGATTGTAAAGTCTTCCAGAAGAGAGAAGAAAACAAAATCACGTAATTCCACTTGGCAGACGTAAATTTACTGTGAAGTTAACAAAGCTCCTACCTCGCACAGGCTCCTTCTAAGACCCTAGAAAGGAACCATCAATGTGTTCACAAGGATACATTGTTTTATAAAATTTGCAAAAAAACACTTTAACAAATTCTTTTTCTTAATGAGGGCTCCCCAAGTAATAAGCTTTAGTACACACAAAACTTGTATCCATTCTCACCTCTGGACATGAACTCAATGAAAAAGCTCATCTATTTGTAAAGTTGCCTCATACTTGAAAATCTTTGACCTAATGTTTTTAAACGAATTCAATGACGAGTTCACCAGAGTAGATCTTCAGTCCATGGTACATCTTGACTGACTGCATACTTTCAGCAAAAAGCAAGGTGCACTTTGTTTTATCTATTCTTAAGCATGGTAGAGCAGCTACACTCAGAGTTGGCAATCAAAATAGCACTGAAGATTTTGCAGGGGAAAAGAAACCACAGACACTGTTACCTTTGGGACAATGTTTTTGAAATAAGCATAGATGTGATTCCAGAAAAATAAGGTATGGAAAAATGTAGAAAAGTAGTTATTTTTCTTGAAAATAGAGAATACCTTTTTGTGCGGGTAGATAGCATTGAATTCTCAAGTATGCCAATTATAATAACAATACTTTACAAAAACAACAAGAATAAGGCAAAGTGCTCTATAACCATTATCTCTGAACAACTCTGTGTGGCAGGTATTAACATTCTTGTTTCATACATGAGACAATTGACACTTAGAATTAAGTAATTTGCACATGGCTGCACAGCTAGTAAGAGACAAGCTAGTACTAGAAGCTAGTCTAAATTTTAACCATTATATCACACTGTATATGATGTATGCCAAAACTGAAAATACTGGCTTTTAAAAGTAGAATTCATCATGAGCTCATTTCTAAGATTAATTTTCTCAGGTACATTTCAATGAAGTCAGACCCAGGCTCTGGAAACTAATGAACTTGGGTATGATGCAATAACTTAAAATGTTTTTTGGTAAGTAATCATTTTTCACAGCAGTTAGTGGAATGCCTACTAAGACAAAAACACAGATGGGGCACATTTTTTAACTTGTATACTTTCAAGATAACTTAAAAAATGATTTACGTCTTAGATTTAAAAACTGTGTCTGATATACTATGCTCTGAAAACAATGTGCATTTTTCCTCTCTGTATTTTTTCACTGAGTTGTCACTGCTAATTGGTAGAGATACAATCTTGATTATTTCTCAAAAACTCTGAAAAGATGTTTTCATTTTTTTGTATTTATGACCATAATGCATTTACTATAGGCATGAAAATTATATTTACACCATTAAATTTGAACATAATTTGTGGCAATGCCCTAAATACCAGAGGATAAAGATAAATCAGACATGACACACTCTCCCAAATGACTTCCAGTCTAACATAATGATTGTCAAATAGAGTGCATATGAGAATCATCTTGGATGCTTTTAATATTTGTGAGGGAGCTGTCCCCAGAGAAGATTAGTTACAAAATTGAACTAGAACCTAAGAAATCTAAATTTTAATTGCTCCTCTGATTCCTAAATGGCTTATCCTATCTTGAGAAACTGATCTAATGAAAAAGACATGTGTGCAACTAATTTCCATATAAATGTATATTAAAGTAAATATAATAAAGTTATAAAAGATATTTTTCTATGCCTTATTCTGATTAAAAATAATCAGCATATTCAGTTTCCATTTAGAAAGAGAGTTACTAGGACAAAGACATGAGGTATACAGGAAAAGGTCCCCTTCTTTTATCCATGATTATATGAATTAAAGTCATTTTAAAATCATAAAACAGAAAAATATTGATAGTACTATATACTACATCCTATACTGCTAAGTACAATAAATTTCTCCCAGCTATAGTAGTTTTTCTGCTTAAAGAACAAAATTTGGAGGATAAGCTAGATTTTTATGTATATATATGTATACAAAAAAGTGTATGCATGTATACATATTTGTGTATACATATAAAAAAATATACACAAATACATATACAAAGATATGCATATACAACAACTGTGTATACATATACAGATATACACACACACATTTCCCTCCTACTTGCATTGTTATTCAGTAGTAATTGTTTATTTCTAGGTTCTATATAAATTTTATGTTAGCGTAGTAGGAGTCTACTGAAATGCTGACATTTCAAATATATTATTGGAAATGAAATCAGTCTATCAATAAAAGGAAATGTGTTACAAATGCACACAATGCAGAGACATATGGCATTTGAATGAATGTGAATGCCATTGTGAGAAGTCAACTGTGGATGCTCAGTGGGAAATCCTCATCATTTTGTATTTAGTCTTTATCCAATGTGGACTTTAAACTTGGCTAAAAGACGGGTTCTTATTTGAGCACAGCTAGAGACTGATTAAGTTATGTTTTTACCATACCCTAATGAAATTCACTGGATTTATATAAGATTTAGTGCCTAAACCAAAAGGGATATGAAGAGATATATCAACATTCTAATGTTAAAAAGGAATAGCTTTTGGAGTAAAATCAACAGTTGAAAGCAGTTGTATTTCACTGTTTTAGATGTTTCAGATGTAAATCACTAGGTTTAATTATTTCCAACATGTTCCACATGTTTCTATCAATTTAATATCATTTCCAACAAGCAAACACATTTTGTTACATTTCATTGATTTTAAATGTCATAAAAAGTAAGAGTAAAACAGTAGTTCAATGTATACTTATTTACAGAAAAAGTTTATGATTTGAATATGCTCTTTCAGAAGACGAAATTGCAGACAACTTACATAGCCTTTGTCACGACGGAATATGTATTCACTAAATGGATGAACTAAGGAATCTCTGGATTCATAAACAAATATGTCAATAAAGCATGGGAATTCCATGTGACCATATTTTCCTCTCTTTGGAGCCATATATATATGTGTGTGTGTATGTATATATATATACACAGATCTGAATTATATGAACAATATAATTTGGATATTGAAAGCTTTTCTTTTATAACAAAATATACTCTTTTTTTCTTTTGTCAGATTTTAGTGCTCTTGAAAAACAATAGTACAATTGGTAGCTTTCCAGTAATTTTTAATGTTAATTCTTACAAAAATGTCACAAGTATGGTGAATTCAGTAGCATTATTCAGAGCAAAAATAGCGAATGTTTCAAGCTCGTATGGCTACATGAAAGCCCAAGAGAGCTCCTCTACCTTCAATTAACTTATACGTCAGCGATGTCTCTCTCCTTTCCCTCCCACTTTATTTGTGGTCCATTCTATATTACCTAGCACTTGAGGATACAGTTTTATTTAAAGTTTTCTATTTGCTGAGTCTCATCTACCCCACATTATTAACCCTCGAAGGGCAGAAACATGAACTTCCCTCACAATTCTCCATCATATCTAACCTCTCCAACTATGCCCAAGCAATTACCAGGACCAAAATAATTATCTCTGATATGTTTCTTGCTTCTGCCTTTTTCATTCCATTCACCTTGAAATTTTCATAGCATTTCAGTGACAGGAAACAAACAACAAAAAGAAGGCAAGTGAAAATTTACCCATTTAAATGTAAGAGCCTGAGACTAGTTGTTGCCATTTTAAGAGGTGACTGTTGCTGAAAACAGTTGATCAGGAGGTAGAACTTCTTGGAGATAAATTTTGATTTCTGGTTATAAACTCTAACATGTGACAGAATGCTGACAGTTCAGAATTCTGCTGGAGTCACTAAGGTGGTATTTTGAGTTCACTGTCAACTTCTCTATTTAAATGACTAAATTAATCTCATTGATGTCTCATAATGTCCTAAATTTTCAAAATGCTGACATTAGTACTAATTTCAGCATCTCTTTTAACAAAATTTTCTGACTTTGTCTTGGATTTGCTATTTGAAATATGAAGCAACTGGGTATGGCAGAGCAATAGTTACTTTAAAAAAAATAGTAAACCAAGAGAAAAAACTCTACTGGCTTTCAAAAAAATCTTTTATAAAAGATCTACCATATAAATCAAAGAGAACCTCTAATTTTCTCTAGACAATGTTAAATTGGCCAACAGGGTCATGAATCATGTTATCCATCTAGATATAGCTAGTGCTCAACAGGAAAGACTCATAAAAGGGTAGTTAGCATTTGGTTAAATAAATGAAAAAATAATTATAACCCCATATAGCTACTACCAAATTCAGTATAATTGTGTAATAAGCTTTTACACCACATTTCTAATGAGTTTATTAATACTCTTTCTGAATCTTTTCCAAAGTAGGCACTGAATTCTGAGGAAGGAAGAATGAGAATAGGTTTTAGCCCTTAGTCATTGTCTTGTACTCTTGCTAATTTTACAAGCTGTTGAACCTCCCTGCTTAAATTTTCTCATAGGTAAATTGTACCAATCATACTTCCTCTGCATGCTTCACAGATATATTATGATAATAACATGAGATTCTGTACCTGTAAGCACTTTGAAAAATATAATGCAGTGTGATATACTTTTGTTTTGTTTGTTTTGTTTGAGATGGAGTCTCGCTCTGTTGCCCAGGCTAGAGTGCAGTGGCACGATCTCATCTCACTTCAAGTTCTGCCTTCTGGGTTCACGCCATTCTCCTGCCTCACCCTCCCAAGTAGCTGGGACTACAGGTGCCCACCACCATGCCTGGCTAATTTTTTGTATTTTTGTAGAGACAGGGTTTCACTGTGTTAGCCAGGATGGTCTCAATCTCCTGACCTCATGATCTGCCTGCCTTGGCCTCCCAAAGTGCTGGGATTATAGGTGTGAGCCACCGTGACATACTTTTAAAATAATAATTCCATTTTGGAGAACAGGAACTTAATAATGATAGCATAAAGGCATATAATCTGTAGGACTTTATATATTTATATATACCTTTGTATACAAAAATACAATTAATTTTGTACTAGTCCATTCTCACACTGTTATAAAGAACTGCCTGACACTACGTAATTTATAAAGGAAAGAGGCTTAATTGACTCACAGTTCCTCATGGCTGGGGAAGCCTCAGAAAACTTACAATCATGGCAGGAGAAAGCAAACACATCTTTCTTCACATAATGTCAGGAAGAAGAAGAATGAAAGAAGTGCAGAGCAAAGGGGGAAAAGGTCCCTCACCAAACCATCAGCTCTTATGAGAACTCACTCACTATCATGATAAAAGTACAGGAGAACTGCCCCCATGATTCAGTCACCTGCCACTAGGTCCCCCCCCGCCAACATGTGAAGATTACAATCAGATTACAATTCAAGATGAGATTTGGGTAAATACACAAAGCCAGACCATATCATTCAAGTCTGACCCTGGCCCCTCCCAAATCTCATGTCCTCACATTTGGAATAACAATCATACCTTTCCAACAGTCACCCACAGTCTTAACTCAGTCCAGCATTAACCCAAAAGGCCAAGTTCAAAGTCTCATCTGAATCAAGGCAAGTCCCTTCTATCTAAGAGCCTGTAAAATCAAAAGCAAATTAGTTACTTCCTAAATACAATCGGGTTACAGGCATTTAGTAAATGTATCAGTTCCAAATGGGAGAAATTGGTCAGAACAAAGGGACTACAGGCCCCATGCAAGTTCAAAATCCAATAGGGCAGTTATTAAACTTTAGAGTTTCAAAATGATCTCCATTGACTCCATGTCTCACATCCAGGTTATACTGATGCAAGGGTTGGATTCCCATATCCCTGGGCAGCTCTGCCTCTGTAGATCTGCAGGGTATAGCCACCCCTCCTGGCTGCTTTCATGACTTGGTGTTGAGTGTCCATGGCTTCTCCAGGCCCACCGCTCAAGCTGTCAATGGATCTACCATTGTGGGATCTGCAGGATGGTCGTCTTCTCACAGCTCCACTAGGTAGTGCCCCAGTGGATACTCTGTGTCGGTGCTCAGATCCCACAATTCCCTTCCATACTGCCCTAACAGAGTTTCTCCAAGAGGGCTCCACCCCTGCAGCAAACTTCTGCCAGACGATCAGGTGTTCCCACACATCCTCTGAAATCGAGGCAGAGGTTCCCAAACCTCAATTCTTGATTTTTGTGTACCCACAGGTCCAACGCCATGTGGAAGCTGCCAAGGTTTGGGACTTGCACCCTCTGAAGCAATGGCCCAGGCTATACCTTGGGCCCTTTTGGCTGTGGCTGGAGCTGAAGCAGCTGGGATGCAGGTCATGATGCCCCAAGGCTGCATATAGTAGGGAGGCCCTGGGCCTGGCCCATGCAACCATTTTTCCCTCCTAGACATCCAGGCCTGTGATGGGAGAGGCTGCCATGAACGTCTCTGATGGGCCCTGGTGATATTTTCCCCATTGCCTTGGTGATTAACCTTCACCTCTTTGTAACTTATGCAGATTTCTTTAGCTGGCTTGAATTTCTCACCAGAAAATGACTTTTTCTTTTTACTTAATTGCCAGGCTGAAAATTTTCCAAACTCTTATGCTCTGCTTCCCCTTGAATGCTTTGCTGCTTTGCAAATTCTTCCACCAGATACCATATATCATCTCTCTCAAGTTCAAAGTTCCACAGATCTCTAGGGCAGGGGTAAAATGCCACCAGTCTCTTTGATAAAGCATAGCAAGAGTCACCTTTGCTCCCGTTCCCAACAAGTTTCTCATCTCCATCTGAGACCACCGCAGCCTGGACTTCATTGTCCATATCACTGTCAGCGTTTTGGTCAAAGCTACAAGTCTCTAAGAAGTTCCATACTTTCCCACATCTTTCTGTATTCTGAGCCTTCCCAGTTTCTAAGAAGTTCCAAACTTTCCCACATTGTCCTGTCTTCTTCCGAGCCCTCCAAACTGTTCCAAACTCTGCTTGTTATCCAGTTCCAAAGTCACTTCCACATTTTTGGATGTCTTTCCAGCAGCACACCACTCTTTGTAGTACCAATTTACTGTATTAGTCCATTCTCATGCTGCTATAAAGCAAACACTGGGTAATTTACAAAGGAAAGAGGCTTAATTGACTCACAGTTCAGCATGGCTTGGGAAGCTTTGGGAAATTTACAATCATGGCAGAAGCAAATACATCCTTCTTCACAAGATAGTAAGAAGGAGAAGAATGAGAGAAGTTCAGAGTGAAGGGGGAAAAGGCCCTTACAAAACCATCAGATGTCATGAGAACTCACTATCCTGAGAACAGCCAGGGGGACCCCCCACCACCCACCATGATTCAATTACTTCCCATGATGTCCCTCTACCAACCTGTGGGTATTACAATTCAGATTACAATTCAAGATGAAATTTGGTGGGGACACAGAGCCAGACCATATCAGATTTTTTTTGGTAAACATTTGAGTACCGTTTATGAAGAAATGTGTATTATTCCATTTGCATTGCTATAAAGGAATACCTGAGACTGGGTAATTTATAAAGAAAAGAAGTTTATTTGGCTCATGGATCTGTAGGTTAGAACTTCAGGAAGCTTATAATCATGGCAGAAGGCAAAAGAAGAATAGGTATGCCACATGGCAAGAGAAGGAGCAAGAGAGAGGAGGTAGAGGTGCCACACTGTTTTAAACAACCATGTCGAGTGTGAACTAATGGAGAAATAACTCATTCATTACTGAGGAGGGCACCAAGACTTTCATGAGGGATCCATCCCCATGACCCAAACACCTCCTACTATACCCCACCTCCAATATTGGGAATCACCTTTCAACATGAGATTTGAAGGAGACAAATATCCAAACTATATCAGCATGAAGTGTAGTAGAAAAACTACAAGGTTTAGGGACATAATCATCATTATCATCAGCCTTGCAATATTGAATTTACATCCAAACTCTAGCACTTACTAGCTGTAGGATCATAGGCAAATTTCTCTAATCCTTGATATCTCCATCTTAAAATTACATGATTTTTACCTCTGTATCACAAAGATATTTTTCTTTTACTTTTACTTCTTTTCCTTTTTCCTTATAACTGAGACAACTTAATGTCCCACAATATCCATTCTCCCCTTTGTCTTTTTAGTTTTAAGTAGGGCAAATGATCATCCAGCTCGAGAATCCATTCTCTGAACTCAACTCCCTGCAGCCTAACGTGTTTCTCTGACTCAGCTCTCATCAAAAAAATATGAGCAGAAATGATTGGTAAAACTTCCGTGTCCCATTCTTAAAAGAAAAGGACTTTACTTTGTTTCATTCATTTCACCTTTCCCACAAACAGGAATGCAGATGTGATACAAGTGAGTCAGATTCAAACATGCAGACAAGGCCAACAGCCTGGCCTAAGGGATGTCAGAGCAGAATAATCCCTGTAGCACCTGTCTACTATGGAACTGTTATACAAGAGAAAAATAAACTTCTGTTTTGTTTAACCCACTGTTTTTGGGGGTCTCTAGGGTGTACTTTCTTAGTCTCTATCCTAATAATATAATCCCCTTTTTCCTTTTTCTTTGTCCTTCTCATTCTAATGTTATTTCTTGAGTGCCTCCCTGGTGCCAGGAACTTAGGTATGGATTTGGTTAGAAACTTATGTAAAGTGCAAAGTGGAGTGTTTAAGACACTAGTGTTAAGTGAATGCTGTTCTTCCCTCACTAAATGCCAAGAACTATAGTGACACACAGGAGACATACAATGAATAAGGCCTAACTCTGATTCGTGAACCTTACAGGTAATAAAACATACAGTAGCAAACGGTTATTTTGAAATGACTTATCTCATGGTTATTTGAGTATAATTTGGCCAAAGTCCAAATAGGAAGAAAGAATGAATGATACATTAAGAGCTGAGAAATATGAATTTTTATAGATAAAAGACTATATTTCAACAAAATCAAATTTGCAAAATATATTCATACAAAAAATCTATCTCAACAGTTCTGAAAATGTCCACAAGAAAAGAGTAAAATATTTATCTTTACACTGTACAGGGGTGCAGCCTATACAATTTCTTGGTCAAAGATGTTAAACATATAGTTTTATAATTTCTTTTTATGTTTTTTTGGTTCATTTGTTTATAAAAGAAGGGAAAAAAGTAAAATGAGTAGAGAAAATGCCCTAGTTATCTTTATATTAAATGTCTATCTTTTTGTTAAAGTCAGCCATATTGATTTCATTGAGAATGAGCTTCATTAAGGACAGGTAATATCTGGCTTAATAATTTTTCTCTCAAAGGATGGCAAAATGCCTGGCCCTTAATATTAATAATAGTTACAATGCTATTTATTAATTTAATTTATTATTAATGAATTAATAGTACTAATATTGCTCATTGATTGTTTATTATGTGTCAGACCCTGCATCATTATGTTGACACATTTAATCCTCATAACAGCCCTATAAAGTAGGTACAATATCTATTCTCATTTTGCAGAAAAGAAAAATGAAAACAAAGAGTTTCAGTAATTTTCTCAAATTCATATTGTATTACAATGTAGTAGAACTGAGTAACTATTTTTGAATGCATAAGTTCCACATTATTTTTTGGATTCACTCAATTGAATTATTCTTTTATGTATGTAAAAGGAGCATATGGGAAAAGGCTTCAAAATGAAGTGTAAGGACAGGTAACATCTGGTTTACCAAACAGAATGGCTGAAATTAAAAAGACTGATAATATTAATGAGCATGTGGAGCAAATCAAATTCACACACTGTTAGCAAGTGTGTAAAATGGTTAACCACTTTGGGAAACTATTTGGCAATTTTTATGAAGTTTAACATACACCTTCCCTGTGACCCAGCAATTTCATTCGTAGGTATTGACTGAAGAGAAATAAAGAGAAATGACAACAAAAAGATTTAAACAACAGTGTTCACAGTGATGTGGTTCAATATAGGCTCAGACTGGAAATAACTCAAATGTCTATCACAAGGACAATAGATAAATGCCCTATGGTGCATACAATGGGATATTACCCAGAAATTTAAAAAGTAGAGCAAACTCCTGATGCACACAATAACATGAATGAATCTCAAAAATTTTATGATAGCAAAAACATAAGGCAAACAAAATAGTGCATACAGTAATATTTCACTTGTGTGGCATTCAGGAAAACATCAAACTAATTTAGCAGAATAAAATCACAACTGTGCTTCCCAAGGAATAGAAGGGAGAGTTGGGGAAGCTGATGGCAATGGGGCACAGGAAACTTTTGGAAATAACAGAAATGCTCTTTGTATTGATCTGAGTGATGGTTATAAGAGTGTACACACTTGTCATAAGTCACTGAGCTGTACACTTAAGATCACTGTATTTCATTACATGTAAATGATATCTAAAAATGTATGATTGAAATGAAAAAGAAGCTTAAAATAGTAAGATTCGTTTTAACAAAGAAAAATGTTCAACAAAAGACATAGCAGGCCAATTGTGGTGACTCATGCCTATAAACCTAGCACTTTGGGAGGCCGAAGGGGGCAGATCACTTGAGGTCAGAAGTTCAAGACCAGTCTGGGCAACATGGTGAAACCCCTTCTCTCCTAATAATACAAAAATTAGCTGGGTGTGGTGATGTGTGCCTGTAATCCCAGCTACTCGAGAGGCTGAGACACGAGAATCCCTTGAACCTGGGAGACGGAGGTTGCAGTGAGCCAAGATTGCACCACCGCACTCCAGCCTCGTTGACAGAGTGGAGTGTGGAGACTCAAAAAAACAAAAAACAAAACCTGGACATTGTTAATAAGAAAGGGAGAAATTTTTGCTCCATTTTTGTTGCTATGAAGGACTACTTGAGGCTGGGTCATTTATAAAGAAAATAGATTCAATTGGCTCATGGTTCTGCAGGCTGTACAGGATACATGGCGCTGGCATCTGCTTCTGGTGACTGCCTCTGGAAGCTTCCAATCATGACGGAGGGCAAAGGGTGAGAAGGTGTGTCATGGTGACAGTGAGAGTGGGAGCTTGGTGGGGGAAGGTGCCACATTCTTTTAGACAACCAGCTATCACATGAACTCAGAACGAGAACTCACTTAACACCAAGGAGATGGCACTAAGCCATTTATAAGGGATCTGCTTCCATGACCTAATCACCTCCCACCAGGCCCCACTTCCAACATCAAGGATCACATTTCAACATGAGATTTGAAGGGGACAAAACATCCAAACCACAACACAGAGAAATACACTGAGTCATTTTTCTGTGATGAGATATATGTGGTACAGCCTAAAAGCAACTAACTGACTTTAACAGGATACAATTTTTATGAAATCAAGTCCCAAGCCAAGTGTATATTTCATAATCTAGTGCCTACTATTTTAATTCCTTCTGTATACCACAAAAATGCACTTAAAGAATCAAAATTTTAAATCACAGAGAAGGAACTAATTTCAGCATTTGTTAGTTCTTTTGTAAACAGAGCATATATTATTAAAACTTTTTCTTAAATAATTCTAGAAAGAGGTAAACACATATCTTTTCTTCAAGAATATTTTACAAAACTTAGAATTTAATATTTTCTATATTTTATTCTTGAGTCAACTGAGACTCAGAGAGATCAATGAACATCCATGATAACACATAGCTAAGAAGCATTGGGAGCAGAATTCAAAATTCTGTAGTCTAGAAACACAGCTTGTACTCTTAATCCATTAAACTATCTTGTGCCCCTTGACTACAATGTGTCCCCTGATTGCATGCCCAGTGACAAACTGTCTTACTTAAACAAGCACTGTATAAATCCTTTTCCAAAGCATCAAAAATATTGTTAAATATGGCACTAACTCTAGCACAGTGGCATGCTGATATTGCCAAAACTTGAGGGTGACAATAATCAATCACATTATATAGGATTTATAAATCAGCTGACTCTCAAACTTAAATGCACATAAGAATTTTTACTTTAAATAGGCAGCCAAGTAATTCTTATGAAAGCAGTTCACACTTTAAGACATACTGCTAAAGGCATTTTAAAATTTACATGCAAGAATAGATTAGCATTCAGTCCTATTTACAACATACTGGAGCAGTTGCTCATCTGATTTCTACCTATGGCATGAAGGCTTCAGAATGAAATAGGTTTGCTGATTTTTGTAGTTTTTAGGTTTTTCATTATTTTTGTACACTTTTGGTCTTTTCAATATGTTCATATAGCACAAGTTTATAATTGCATATATTAAATTTGCATAAAATGACTTCAATATAGTTTGCTTTCAGGGTTTACTGGAGGCTTTTTGCTTTCGAAAACCAGATTATGAAAATCATGTTTTCTCTGTGGAGACTGGGCAATGGGCCGGGTTTCAGTTTTGATAGCCTCCTGTTACAGGTCTCCTTGACATTCCCTTGGGCTAGTTCTTATCATTTGGCTGCTACTTCTTCCATCATAATGTAAGTATTTATTGGTCTTTCAGATATTTCTGTTTTCAGTTCTATTGATTGAGGTTGTTGTTCATAGTTATTGTAATTAGATAAAGGATGAAAATGTGGGAACCAATTATTTTAAAGAGTGTAATACTCATTATATCTCCCTACTGATCATTTTAAAAATAAAATATAGTAGCAAATTTATCAAATTTTATGTCAGTAATGTATTTTTTAGAAATTAAGATAAGTCTAACAAGATAAAAATCTCTTTGAGCCTTTGGATAAATATTCAAACTAAGTGATATGTCAGGTATTTTTCTGCTTTATTATTTTCTGAAGTCTTATATTTTTAAATTTTTATAATGGAAAAGTTTATACATGTAAGAAAAATAAAGAACAGAATAAATAAAATGAAACTCATGTAGCCATTACCCAGCTTCAGCAATTTTTAATTCATGGCCTATTTTGCTTTATCTATGACCACATCCCTTGGTGTTTCAAAGATCACATCTAAAATATTTTAATAAGTCTCTTTAATAACTCCTATCCCACAAATAAGATCACTGTAGTTCCTGAAACTCAGTGCCCTTTTTAACCTTCATATAATAAACTTAGATTTTGGCTCTATGATGACAATACAATCATAAGAAGTATATAGATTCTTTGGCAGTCTCTCTAAGTGCTCCTTTTGGATATTTGTTTTAGGCTCTGTGGACCTAGCTATCTGGAAATAGGCTATTACTTGGTATAATCTTACAAAATTCAGTCTTTGATTTAATATATACATGCAAAAATACATGCAAAATACCATTTGTGCACAAAAATAACTGTTGCCCAAAGTTTGAAATGTATTGAATTTATTTAGGACTTATCTTTTGCTACCACATACTAAGGTGTTAATAAATTGAAAGCCTGGAATGTCTCTTTTTTAACAGAAACACATTGTCATAACACAAATTTCTTAGAAAGATTTAAACAATAATATAATCTTCTGGAGTGAATTGTGTCCCCCCAAAGTGTAAGTTGAAGTCCCACCCAGCATACCTGTGTATGTCACCTTATTTGGAAGTAGGATTTTTACAAATGTAATCAAGTTTAGATGAGGCCATACTAGACCAGGCTGTGTATTAGTTAGCTCAGGCTGCCATACAAAATGCCATAGACTGGGTTGTTCAAACAGCACCAATCTTTCCTCACAGTTTTGGAGGCTAAACATCTGAGATCGGGGACAAGCATGGCTAGGCTCTCATAAGGGCTTTCTTCCCAGCTTGTTAGACTACTGCCTTCTTGCTGTGTCCTCACACAGTAGAGAGAGAACATTGATGCCTCTTCCTCTTTTCATAAGAGCACCAGTTCTATTGGATCAGGGCCCCACCTTTATGGCCTCATTAAACCTTAATCACCTCTTTAAAGGCCCTATCCCCCAGTTCCATGGGGGATTAGAGCTTCCACATATGAAACTGGGTGGACACAATTCCCACTCATAGCAGGGTGAGCCCTAAATCCAATGGCTGGTGTCTTTATAAGGAAAGGAAGATTTGCACACGTACACACATACAACAGAGGAAAGATGTTCATGTGAAAACAGAGGCAGTAATTAAAGTGATACAGCTACAAGCTAAGGAATGCTAAGGACAGCCAGCAAGCACCAGAAACTAGGAAGAGACAAGAAACAGATTCTTCTCTACAGCCTTCAGAGGGAGCATGGTCCAGATGATACATTGATTTTGAACTTTCAGCCTTCAAAACTGTGAGAGATTACATTTCTGTGTTAAGTTGCCCAATTTGTGGTAATTTGTTACACCAGCCCTAAGAAACAATCCATATGAGTCAAATACTTTGGGAGTACAATCTATTAAAAAAAAAAAAAAAAAAAAAAACCAAAAACCTCTACTGGAGTTCTAGGATTAATTGGTTTCTTACAGCATTACATTGGGAGACAGAAAGGAATTCAGGTTAATCCTTTACCGCTCTTCAAAACAGGCCAAAGTGCTAGAAAGTTGAGGGTGGATATTCAAGCTGTTCTTTGATAGGAACTGAAAGGGATCTTGAGATCTGGAATCTATACATGGAATGGATACATGTTGTTTTGTTTGCTACTCTAGTTCTGATTATATTTCTTCAATTAAAGGGTACTTTCAGGGTTTTTCTTTGTTTTGTTGTTTGTTTGTTTGCATTACAAACCTCATTCTCAATCTACACGATTTGGGTGAGAATGGTTCTATATCCAAGCCAGCAGTAACCTGAATTGGCTTAAGTGAATCAATATTCCCCATTCACTAGCTTTAGAAGGCAGTTCAAGGATGATTAAAATGTAACCCCATCTTAGCATAGGAAATATTTTGAGGTAATTCATGAGAAAGGAAAAAAGATTTATTTTGTTTTTGTGTTTAAAACAAAACAAAACAAAACTAGAAGCAACCCTCGCTCTTCTAATGGTGTGGTATAAATTCATGAGATCTAGCATCAACACCATTTTACCGCCAAAATAGAAGAGCGTTGAGTTGTGGTGTCTGGGAGTGAGGTTGGGGGCAGGGTAAGGAGCATTGACAGGAGCCTGATGATGAAGCTAACCCTAAGAAAAGCTGAGTGCAGAGACAGAGAATATGCGCCGAGTGCTATGGTTTTATCTGTGGATACAGAATCACCTGACGCCTGTGCCCTTTGCAAATCCCAATTTTATTCCTTTGAATTTTCTAATGTGCAATCATATCATGTACAACATTTTGCTACTTTCTTCCAATATTCACACACCTGTCTCATATCTTATGGTATTTCTAATATAAGATTAAATAATAGTGCTCGGTCATCATTGTTTTGTTCTAAAGTTCTAATAGGAATGTTCTACGGATGTACCATTTGGTTACAGGCTGGAGTGCAGTGGCACGATCTCGGCTCACTGCATCCTCCGCCTCCTGGGCTCAAGTGATTCTCCTGCCTCAGCCTCCCGAGTAGCTGGGCTTACAGGCACCCGCCACCACGCCTGGCTAATTTTTCATATTTTTAGTAGAGATGGGGCTTTGCCATGTTGGCCAGGCTGGTCTTGAACTCCTGACCTCAGCTTATCCACCCGCCTCAGACTCCCAAAGTTCTGGGATTACAGGCATGAACCACCGTGCCTGGCCAATCATTCCTATTACACAGTAATAAAACTGATCATAGTTAAGAATTATTGAATATTTCCTACATTCTGGGCATTTGTGTTTAATTATTTATATTGACAATCCTCTCAATAAGTCTATAAGATTATTCACTTCATCTTACAAATGAGGAATTTGAGGCATAGAGAGTTTGGGAGACTTGTCCAATGTCATACTTGAGATTGGAAGTCAGATTTTCAAAGTAGGCTGTGTATAAATTTAAGAACCATACTATCAAAGGTTAATATGATTTCTGAAAAATGCACAACTAATTGCATTTTCTTACATTGTAATTAATATACAGAATGGTGTATATCACAAATAGTTTGATCCACCAGAAAATAGGGGTTTTAAAAATCTTCAGATGTTAGTTTTCTAAGAAGACTTTCCAGTCAAAAAGAGAATGCATTTGCTTGCTAAAATTAGTATTATGACCTACTTGGCACATGTAGTATGTAAATTAACAACATGTCATCTGATTCATACATCAGTATCTTCTAAGGGTGGTTGGAGAGTTTGAGTCCCTACAGACCAGTACAAACCTTACATCGGAAAACGCAGAGCTGAGGTGTGACCTTGGTGAGTTTATCCAGGTATGAGCAACTCATGAGGCTTCTATGGAATGTCTTTTTTCTCAAAAATTTAATTGTACAAAGTGCTTTGAATTTATAGCAGACTGCCCTTCAGTTTCTATCTAAATGCCATAAGCTTTGTTTCAAGGGATCAGTTGGAGTCAATAATCTGGGCAATTTCTTACACTTTCTTGAGATTGTAAATTGGCTAGACCTCTCTGGAAAGTATCTTTAAAATATGTATCAAGAATTTCAAAAATGTGCATGCTCTCTGATCTGGAAACTCCTCTTATAGGAATCTAGTCTAGAAACAAATCAGAGATGCCATCAAATACATATATAAACATGTTTATTACAATGATATTTGCAAAAGGGAAGCAACTTGAATGTCTAGCATTATAGAAATGGTTAAATAAACATTGGTACAAATATATGATGAAAAAAATATTATGGAACTATTAAAAATCATGATGATGAAAAATATTTGATAGCAAACAAAAATACTTAAAATACAGGTAGCTACAAATTTAAATATAAATGATGGATATTTTATATTTGCTATTTCATTACAATTAAATACAAAATACCAGAGAGAAAAAGCACAAAGGTTAACAGTAGTTATCTCTGGATAGTGAAGTTATAAATGACTTTAAAAAAGTGAATTCTTTGTATTTTTTAGAACACACATAAAAATATTTAAAATAAGAGGAAATGGCACGTGTTTTTAAAAGATTATGGAAGTATCATGGAAACATGAAATGAAAAAAAAGAAAAAATAATAGAGCATTATTCTTGAAGGTTTTAAAATGCATTCAATATGATTTAAAAGTAAAAGTTTTTTTTACATGTACTTTCTTTTTTGAGTCTGATTATATGGTCTTTTAATATTGTTAGTAAACAAAATTAACAATTATAAGTACAAATAATCTTCTCTTTTTTTTTTTTGAGACAGAGTTTTGCTCTTGTTGCCCAGGGTGGAGTGCAATGGCACCTTCTCAGCTTACTGCAACCTCCGCCTCCCGGGTTCAAGCGATTGTCCTGCCTCAGCCTCCCAAGTACCTGGGATTACACGCATGTGCCACCATGCCCGGCTAATTTTGTACATTTAGTAGAGACGGGTTTTCTCCACATTGGTCAGGCTGGTCTCGAACTCCTGACCTCAGGTGATCTGCCCTCCTCGGCCTCCCAAAGTGCTGGGATTACAGGCATGAGCCACAGCGCCTGGCCCCAAAGATTTTTAAATGTAGATTTAATGGTGTTTTATTTCATTTTGTGTAAAGATATTTATTATTTAGATTTTTTTAAAACAAAGGTTGAGATAATTTATTGTTTTGCTTAGATACTAACGTTTCCCATAACATCTGTTCATTTGGTTTACATTTCCACCACTGAACCAGTGACTGAAATTCTCCCCAGCTGTGATTTATGATCTGTTTATATACAGTCTGCCAGACCATACTGCCATAAAGCCTTCAAGATTCCCAGGTAGGAAGAAAGTGAGGTTTTACAATCTATCTCAGACTTCCTTATGTTATATAGTTTAAATCTTAGCAAACTACAAAATTGACCTTGAATATAAATAATCAGAATAGTTATAAAACAACCTATCTTTGGACTTTTCGAAACATATTTTATTCAGTACTGGATTCTAGTTTATACTATGCTGTTGGTGGGGACACATTTAAACTATGTACATCACACCAACACACAGTGTCCTGAAAATATGAGGATCCCTAATTGAATAATAAAATAATTGATGTAAAAACAATAGTAACTTTTCATGTCTAGTTTACATTATTTCTGAAAATGTGTACATGTTGATTAAAAAAATTTAGAGTAGACAAAAATGAAACCAGGTGTTCTAGGCTAGTAAAGTTCTGTGATTAAGTTTCTTTAAAATTTCTTTTAAAAACAGGGAAATGACTATTTAATCTAAGAGATGTAACTTCCTTTTCAAAGATGTAGAAGTACCTACCTACTGGTGAATAGACAATATTTTATTGCCTTTTTAAGGAATTTTCAATGACAATTTAACTCTATAACAGGTTTTCAGAGTTTTCACATAGCAATGGATTATTTGATTACATCACTCATCTGTTGCTTATTTAAATAATGCATTTTTTCTTTAATTACTGAATTGAGCACTCAAACAGCTAACCTACACATTCTAACACAGCTAACCTACACTCCATCCTTCTCTGCAAATTATAAAAATCTTCCTGAAATATTTTGTAGAATTCTGAACTGTTTTCTGAACTCTGATCTATGAAATACACTGAAAAGAATCACAAAACAAATCAACTACAGTTAAGAGAAAAGCAATGGCCTAAATGATGTTATTGCAAATACTGGTTAAAATTAATTGAGCGTTTTGCAAATGGCGTGTACTGTGCTCAATGCTTTAAATAAATTATATCTCATCAGATTCCTGACTCTTGGTAAAAAGGCAAGAAGCTGGACAATTATTTCCTCAAATGAAAAAACTTGAACAAGTAACTTTATCAAAGTTACCAGTAAGTAAATGGCAGAACTGGGATGAAAATCCACCTCTACTAACCTCCAGATTAGTCAAGAGAAACAGAATACAATCCATAGGTCAAAAGTATGCTTATTCTCACCACCCCTACCCAACACAGTTCTGAAAGTCCCAGTCAGAGCAATCAGGCAAGAGAAAGAAATAAAAGGAATCCAAGTAGGAAAAGAAGTCAACTTACCTCTCTTTGCCAATAATATGATCATACACCTACAAAACACCAAGAACTCTGCCAAAATGTACCTAGACCTGATAAATGACTTCAGTAAAGTCTCAGGATACAAAATCAATGTACAAAAATCTGTAGCATTCCTATACACCAATAACGTTCAAGCTGAGAGCCAAATCAAGAATGAAATAACATTTACAATAGCCACAAAACAAATAAAATACCTAGAAATAATCTAACTAAGGGGGTGAAAGATCTCTACAAGGAGAACTACAAAATAGTGCTGAAATAAGTCACAGATGACACAAACAAATGGAAAAATATTCCATGCTCATAGATTGGAAGGGTCAATATTGTTAAAATGGTCATATTGCCAAAAGCAATCTACAAATTGAACACTATTCCCATAAAAGTACCAATGTCATTTTTCACAGAATTAGAAAAAATATTCTAAAATTCATACGAAACCAAAAATGAGCATGAATAGCTAAAGCAATCCTAAGCAAAAAACAACAAAGCCAGAGTCATCACATTACCCGACTTCAAACTCTCCTATAAGGCTACGGTAACCAAAACAGCATGGTACTGGTACAAAAACAGACACATAGACCAATGGAGCAGAATAGAAAACCCAGAAATAAAGCTGTACTTCTACAACCAAAGTCGACAATAATAATCAATGGGAAAATAATTCTCTAATCAATAATTGGTGCTGGGATAAGTGGCTAGCCATTTGAACAAGAATAAAATTGGTCTCCTGCCTTTGACCATATATAAGAATTCACTCAAGATGGATTAAAGATTTAAACGTAAGACGTCAAACTATAAAAATCCTAAAAGAAAATGTAGGAAATACCATTCTGGACATCGGCCTTAGCAAATAATCTATGACTAAGTCCTCAAAAGCAGTTGCAACAGAAACAAAAATTGACAAGTAAGACGTAATTAAACTAAAGAGCTTCTGCACAGAAAACAGACAATAAACAAACAAACAATCAACAGAGTACACAGACAACCTAAAGAATGGGAAAAAATATTCACAAACCGTGCATTCAGCAAAGATCTAACACTCATAATCTATAAGGAAATTAAATAATGCAACAAATAAATAACCAATAACTCCACCAAAACATGGGCAAATAACATGAACAGGCATTTCTCAAAATATTTAAAAAATGCTCAACACCACTAGTCATCAGGGAAATGCAAATCCAAACTATAATGATATACCATCTCACATTAGTCAGAATGGTTATTATTAAAAAGTTAAAAAATAACAGATATCGATGAGGCTGTTGAGAAAATGGAACACCTATATACAGTTGGTGGGAATGTAAATTAGGTCAGCCACTATGGAAAACAGTTTGGAGATTTTCCAAAGAACTTAAAAATACCTAGATAGGCACAGTGGCTCATTCCTGTAATTTCAACACTTTGGGAGGCCAAGGCAGGAGGATTGCTTGAGCCTAGGAATTTGAGACTAGCCTGGGCAACATGATGAGACTCTGTCTCTACAAAAAAAAATCTAAAAAACTGGACTCAGCATCTTTTGTAGTGACTGTGTCTCTACAAAATATTTAAAATGACCACGACTGTGGTCTCAGCTACTCAAGAGGCTGAAGTGGGAAAATGACTTGAGCCAAGGAGGTCGAGGCTACAGTGGTCAGTATTCACAACACTGCACTCGAGCCTGAGTGACAGAGTGAGACCCTATATTAAAAAAAAAAAAACCAACCAATAAACACAACTACCATTTGACCCAGGAATCCCATTACTGGGTATATACCCAAAGGAAAATAAATTGTTCTACCAAAGAGACACATGCATTCATGTTCATCACAGTACTATTCACAACAGCAAAGATGTGGAATAACTTAGGTGGTCATCAATGGTGGACCAAATAAAGAAAATGTATTACTTACACATCATGTAATAATATGCAGCCATAAAAAGAAGGAAATCATGTCCTTTGAAGCAACATAGATGCAACTGTAGGCCGTTATCCTAAGCAATTTAATGTAGGAGGAGAAAACCAAATACCACATGTTCTCACTTGTAAATTGGACCTGAGCAGTGGGTACACATGGACAGAAGGATGGGAACAAAGAGGAAGAGAAGCCAGAGCTGAAAAACTACCTATTGGGTATTATGTTTAGTACCTGGCTGACAGGGTTATTTGTACCCCAAGCCTCAGTGTCAAACTTAATATACTCATGTAACAAATCTGCACATGTAGTCCCAAATCTAAAATAAGAGTTGAAATTATAAAAATAAGTAAGTAAATAAATAAATAAATAAATAAATAAATAAATAAATAAATCAAAGCATAATCAATGCCTAAGTCAGGGAAATTTACAGTGAAAGATTTTCCTAGCATTTTTTTTTCAACGTGCTCATTTTACAGATGAGGAAACTGAGACCCAAAGACATCAAGTGACTTGCTCAGTTTCACAGAGCTTCACATAGCTCTTAGATTACACAGCATGTTGCCTCAGTGGGAAAACTGTCTCATGGCAATTCCTCAATCAACTGTAGATGATGCAAGCTGGGATTTAAAAAAAAAGGAAGGCATAAATTTTATAGTTATTTTTTGTCTCATATTTTTGAAAATGCTGCTGGAAGTTCAGCTGATTAAAAAATTAACACAGCAAAATTTTTTATTTATCAATGGTCTAGTTTTATTCATATAAACCACACTAGCCCTATACTCTGACCACCTGAGTTCTACACTGGAATTATTTGGAAGTACATCCAGACAACACATAATTTCCTCAGTAAATGTAAAACAAAATTTGGAAGCCGGAAAAAAAATGTGGAAAAGGATTATGTTTGAAATATTATAGAAGAAAAATGAGCAGTAGAGAACTGAAAGAAAATATCTAATTATATGCTTTATAAGTAGGTAAGAACTATGAATGTGGACCTTATTTTTCAAACAGGAAATCCACAGAAAATTATAGCAGAAATCAGCAAAAATGAAGGGAGATAACTTGGTAAGTTTTAGAATTTAGCAAATAGGTGTGAAGGGCAATCACCAGACAGAGGAAACTTAGTAGCAGCAGTTTGTGGAACTCAGGTTTCATTAATTAACTGCAATAAGCACTGAGTAGAAATAAATAGTTCTATGAAATACTATTAAGAAAACATAAATGTGCTTTCTGAAGAGAGGGGAAGCTTATTATCTAAAGAAAATAAATGGAAAAAATACCTGTTTAGTAGTACAAAATATACTTAAAATCATATTTCTAAAATGTCATATTTCTTAAAATTAACCAACAAGAAAACAAAATATTGAAAAGCTATAACTATTACATTTCTTGTTGATACTTACAAAAATGTTATGGTTTAGGGTGGGTCAGATATAATTATCTCTTTTTTATAGATGAGATGTCAGAAAGAATAAATAACTTACATGAGATTACACATAAGGTCTATAATTAATACTGAAAGCTAGATTATATAGCTATAAATTTTGTCCTTTTACTGCAGGGTACATGTTTTAGGTTTGAACAAACATGTCTAGACACAAACCCTCATGAAATATGATTACAAACTCAAACATGATGCAAAGAAACCCAAAAGAGCTATTAAAGATAAATACAAACATTAACTTATCAGTCAAATATGAATTATAAAATGGATGTGTTCCTGAGAAATTATAGGCCAAATTAAAATTCAAATATAAATCTCTTTTACAAAACTGATTTATATGTCATGAGATAATATTATGTGACATTCATTAATGTTTTCTCCCTCTACCCACAGAACCTTGGACTTTGCATCCTTCTTCGGATAGGATTCTAATTCTAGTGCCCCTACCTCATTTTAGAAGTAACAGAAGAGAAGACACAGTCAAATTCAAGCTTCAAAGGGGAGGTGTGGGCATTAATATTGAAAATAATTGGACACATGCTTGGCTAGTCAGATGGAGTTTTTCCTCTGCCCTATTTATTTTGTACCACCAACACCCTAGATAGAAGTTTCCCTGCATGGGGAATGGAGTGAAGAGAATTCACAGGCGAGTGAGAGAACTGGATTGTTCAGAAATAGTAAGCCTGTACAATTTTATCAAGAATTTACAGTCTAAACTGAATTCTTAAAAGGTATAATGCTACTAGAATCCTACAGCATGCTCTGTGACCCATATTTCCTGCAGAATGATATTTCAGTTAATTCTACGGAGAAATGTCTTTTAAAGCTCTTATATGAAATGATACAGTTCTCATATCACAAATTTAAATGTTCAAGAAATGTAATTTCTCATCTTATCCAGAGTTTTATCTAAATGTCTAAAATGTAGAGAATGCCAGGCCAGAGTAAAGTTGAGGAATTTAGGAGCAGGGAATAGGTGAAGAGGAACTGGGAAGAGGCTAAAATGAAGCATTTAGGCCTCCTCATTCCTTTCTAATCTCAAAGTGTCAGTCCAGAGTTTGTGGCTCCATACTCCTTATCTTGGCTGTAAGATAACTCCTGGACTAGCTTCTCCCAGCTGCATATGAATGTCTAAATGCTTAGGACTGTGTCAAGATTGATGCTTACCCACATTTTTTCCAAGAATGGAGGAGTGATCAACTAAGCAAACATTTGGTTAATGATTAAGCTAATACCTTGGTAAATAAATATGGTAAATAAGTATCTGGAAGAAACATAGAAAATGTCCTCCTCACCCAGGATAAAGGATTACTTAATTCATTGATTAATTCAATTGTTTGCATTTTCAGTAAATACATATTGAGATTTGTTTTAATGTGCAAAAAATTGTCAAGCTCTTTTATTTTTTCAATAATAAAAAAATACAACCTTTGATCACAAAGAGATGACATATTAGCGCAGTATTTTCATTGAGCTGCAACTTTGTAAAGACAGTCCCCTTCAAATACGTACACACACACACACTCACACCCACACACACACAGAGAAACAGAGATAGAGAAAATATCCATATTGGCTTATTAAAGACACTTAGCATCCTTAGAGAAAATAAGCCTAAAATATTTTTTAAACCCCATGTTTCCAAATTTTGCTGGACTTTATGTCCCTGTCCTCTCACCCAGATATGTTAGTTTACCCTCCCAAAGTCTTGGGTAAAGTTGGTTTAGTGAATTCTAAATAAAGAAATGTCTCTAGAGTAGATAAGAACATTTCTTCCAGCTGTAGTAGTTTGAAATAAACTTTTCATTAGTACATCACACTACTTCCTGGTATCCTTAAATGTCAATAAGCTTGTGACTATAATTTTTAAAGTAATTATATGCTTTTGTCCAAGGAGTAGTTATTTCCACCAACATGAAGCGTTCTAGGCAAAAGGCCAAGACTGCCAAGCTTGCCAGATATTCTCTCACAAAAAGAGTTGGAAATTGGTATTGTGATTTATAAATCAGTCCCTTTGGGTTTGATGAGTGGAAAACAATGTGAACCTGTCTCCTGAAGTGTGAATACTTTCTGAGGTAGCTGACAACACTGAATTTCTGAAACTGCAAAGCTGGTGATTGGACACTGAATTCATATCTCAAGTCTAGACATCAGGAAGGGCTTTGACAGCAGTTCTCAAGGTCTTTGTAATATCACTTGCTCCTTTCTACTCATGTGCCTGCTGCCATCATTAGAGACCATGAATTACACTAGAATATTGACATACACACATACTCAGGCACATACACAGATCTCACTCATCCCTACTATCTTCTACAAACAATGAATGCTTCCTCCCTTCTCCACTGCCTAAATTAATCCCCTCATTGTTTCTCATCCATACCTCTGAAACAACCACTCTCTCCCTGCCACAAATAATATTAACTAAAATGTCCAACGGGTTTTGTTAATCCCCTGCAAAATAGCTTAATTAGTTACTATGGTACAGGAGATACATTTCAACCTCCTTCTCATCCTTCGATTTTCAGCATACTGCAGTTTTCACTCATCTCCCTAATCTAAATTTGATCCTCCTGTTATCCTTTCTCATTATACTTTGGGTTTTTTTTCCTCACCCTTCATGCTCACTAGCCAAATTTGTGCTCATAATTGTGTGTGTGTTGTGTGTGTGTGTGGGGGGGGGGGGTTTATTCAATTATGTTTACAAGGTAATTCTCAAAATATTTAATCAGTATGACGTGGGTACAGAAGAGTCAAAAGTGTTGCTAGGCTGGGGAAGGGCCAGCGGCCAGAGAATTATGGAGCAATTTTAGAGATTGGAAAAGTGGCTATTTGTCAGTACATGTAAATGTTTCAAAATTCTAACAACTGAAAATTGTTGTGCCCTTAAGTACCAGGTGAATATTATCCCTGGGTTATCTGACTACTCAATTAGACAATATACTAACAAGAACAATTAAGCATTTCTGTTTCATTGGGCATTAGGTAGCCTCAGCCTAGCAAATAATTCTCTGAAGCAAAGTGAGAACACAATAAGCATTTGTTGAATTGATTTAACATGGCATACCAGGCACTTCATAATCTGGTCTCTGCCTTCTTTACCAGTTTCAAGCATATTAGTTCCTGACTAGTACTTTGCTCTTCAACTAGAGATAAAAATATATAGTCCCTTTCAGAAAACATATGCCATATCTCTACATCTTTCCTTGTGTTGTTCTTTTTGGCTGGAATGTCCTTCTCCAGCTAACAATTACACATTCATTAAGACTTAGGTCATGTGCCATCTCATCAGATCAATGTTTCTGTCACGGTTATCCCCATTTCTCAAATCAGCCACCAGCCTGCCTTAGCTGTTCCTCCTCTGTTTACCCATAGCATGCTTACAAACGGTAGTTTCCCACATCGTAGTTTATAGCAGTTTCCACATTCTTCCTGAATAAACTGTTTAATTTTCTAATTCCTTTTCCTGTGATCTCCTAGAGGGCAGGAACCATTGTTTACATAACCTGAACATTCAGATTCTAGCTCAAGGCTGGATGTATACACACAGTGTAAATAAATAATTGAGCAAATTAGTGAATAATTGCCACTTACAAGCAATATAATATAGATCTTTACCCACAATGAGGTTAGAATTATTTATAGCACATTTCTACAAATTTAGAGATAGTAAGGAGAAGCAAAGGGGTTAAGTAAAAGAGAAAGCAGCATGAAGTTTCCATACCCCTACACTAAGAACAGCAAACATACTAGATTGAAAGTCAAATTCAATCTACAGCTGAGTTTTATTTAGTCCATACTGTGTTTTAAATGTTATAGAATTAAACTACCTTCAAGAAGGCATGGATTTTTTAGTTCACCACTGCACCCACCATCCCATATGATCTCTGTCCAGATATTGATTTCATTTATGTTATCTACCATTGAATGAAAGATTTTAATTTGAATTTTAATGGGCAAACTCTGTTACAATAAAATAAATATTATAGAAGATTGAAAAACATTTGTTATATAAAATATTGCTAAAATAAGCAGTATAATAGATGAAACTTTGATAGTTAGTCTGGTATTTTAGTATAAACCACAGCTTCAGTGAATTTGGAAAATATTCCAGTTAAATCTCTGTTCGAGTTTCTGCTTCTCAGCAAAAGCCGCTAGGTTGAAATGTTAAGGGTTTATAAAGTTATAAGAGAATACTATTCAAATCCCTCTAACTCAGAGACTGGAATCACAGATTTTTAGTGTGTGATGTGCACCATATGTTTGTATACCAAGCACAAAATAAGCACTATCAATCTTCTAACCTATTTGAAATATAATTTATTGAGTTTTCAAATACATTATTTCAAAATGCAAATGTTAGCCTTTGTTAAGTCTAAAGTAGGTAATTAAATCATATGAGTCACCAAAACAGAAAAAAACACCAAACATGTGTGTTTTAATTATAATCAGCATTGCATTGCAGTGTTAAACAATTAGAGATCGTTATACTATCCTAAAACATCAGTGGGATAGTGTCAGAAATGATGACTATTCCTTGTTTACAAAAGACTCCGCCTGTGGCATGCTGTGTGCTTTTATAAATCATTTATCTTCTAGCTTTAATCTGTCATGGTATGAAATATTACAAATGTGATTCTGCATGACAGAATAATGAAATACTAAAAAAGGCTGTATGTAATGACTTCTCCATAAAAAGTTTTCCAGAAAAAGTAATGCATCTATATTAATATATATGTATAACTTTTTTCTTTTTATTATTTCAAATATTTTCCCATATCAACATCTTAAAGAGAAGACCAACAATTTTATAGTGAAACTTTGCAAGAAATGTTTACTCTCTATATGAATATTCAGGCTCATTCAAGGAATTATTTTGTGCCTAAATACCAGCAGGGAAACAAAGTAGAAAGTCAATTTTCTAGCATTTGTAATGAATTGAAAAATGCAAAGTTATCTTGGAGGTATTTATTACACTTTAATGATAAGAGTGAGAAAGTTAAAACTGACCATCACGGATATTCCGATGCATTAAAAAAGAGAAAAGAAGAAAGAAAATTACAGAGAAGAATGTAGCATGCCATTGTTATATAACTAATCTTACTTTTGCAGAATAATAAAAGATTCAGAATTTAGGTTAAATTTATAGTTATCTTTGGAATTTAATGAAATTATATGAATCCATGTACTTCTGTAAGCAGATTTTTGGTGCAACTTTCCCATACTTTAATTCTCTAGCTTCCAGTAGCATACTCTTTAAATTCAAAAGTAGATTTCACCTATTTTTTAAACTAGGAAGTCCCTTGGGGACAAAAGTTTTTATTTTATATATCAAGAAAATGAGGACCAGAAAGCTTAAGTAATTTGCTTAAAGTCACATGGCCAATTAGAGGCAAACGACTGCAATCCAGACCTTTGGATCCCCAGTTCACCTTGTTTCCCACTATTTCGCAGTAACCGCTCAATCTTCTCTTCAGTTTACAATTGTTACCATCATTGACTTTATGACATTGAACCTCATGTCAAAATAATCTTCGGCAGCTTTATGCCACCTGGTATGAAATAGCCTAACAGGACAACTGCAGAACTTATCACATTGGTAAAATGAAGCAAAAACTAAAAACAACCATAAATGGGGAAAGTACTAATATGTTGAAATGTCATAACCACTGTTTAAACAAATTGTTGTAAAATGTCTAGCTTCATGTTCCTGCACTATATTTTTCAGCTTTCTTCTGAATTATTAAGCATAACTTATTTTCTATAACTGCCTTACAGCAGCAGAAATATGAAACATAAACATCGGCACTTATACACAATGAATGTGAATAGATAACCATCATATGAATCTAATCGATTATTTGACAGTTATTTTGAAAATTCAGCTAATCCCATTCTAGAGCATATTATAGTGAAATTCTTGCAAGTTGAAAGGAAATAACTTTGCTTAAAATGGAAAGATAATATAATAACAACAGAAAGATATATATGACTATATATATGATACACACGTATAAATTACAGCTTATATTAAAACATGTAAAATCATTTTTAATGTTTAACTGTTGACAACTTTCAAGCCCCACCACTCCTCCTTCCCCTCTGCCTCATATCTGGGCAAGCTGATTAGGTCACCTGAGTGCTGCCTCTTTGCCACCAGTGGTAAGTTTAAATCATGCAAGCACTCACCTGTACACAGAAACTCTCACCCCACTGCTACTCCATAATCACAATAAAACTCCACAGTCAATCTCCCTTCTCTGCTCTCTCACGCATTTTGAAACTGCTTGGCAGTTTGCCTTGCTCTCCCTAGAAAGTCTCATTTTGTGAGTAACACGGCTTTTCATACTTCCTTGTGCTTGTGTGGTATCAGTCTTGAAATCCAAACCAGGGCTGGGCGCAGTGGCTCCCACCTGTAATCCCAGCATTTTGGGAGGCCAAGGCCAAGGTGGGCAGATCACAAGGTCAGGAGTTCAAGACTAGCCTGATCAAAGTGGAAAAACCCCATCTCTACTAAAAATACAAAAATTAGCTGGGTGTGGTGGCACATACCTGTAATCCCAGCTACTCAGCAGGCTGAGACAAGAGAATCACTTGAACCCAAGAGGCAGAGGTTGCAGTGAGCCGAGGTCATGCCACTGCAATCCAGCCTGGGCAACAGAGTAAGACTCTGTCTCAAAGAAAGAGAAAAAAAGAAGTCCAAACCAACTGCAGAGTGACTACAACAATGAATGCAATGAGGAAGATGTCTAAGTGATGACTACAACCACTAGAGGTCTTTCTTCTCTTGTTTTCTCTTGGTAACTGGCTCTGCTGTCTGCTGGCAAACTTGCACTTAGAGCTATGCTGCTTTGTGCTGCATTTTCTGAGTTTTTCCAAGTTATCACAGTTTTAACCAATCTACATCAGATCTTTTAATAACTGGCATTTAGAACCAAGGGTTGGGTCCTCATCAAAGTGACCCTGTTGTATGTTGTAGCCTGGACTTATCTGTGTACTTTATAATGAATCACATATCTTGATTCCAGCAAAAACTGTGACTAATGTTAAGTTCAGAGAAACAACTCTTACTGTGTGGCTATTGGTTGTGTGTGTCAAGCAGTCACCGGCCCCTTTTCTAGAGAAGACCCAGGGAAAATATTGATACCCTGTGCAATACATGGGCTCACTGGATGGTGGATTGTGAGAAAGAAGAGCTACCATATGGTGTGCTGAGTTCTAACCTCCTAAAAGAAGATGACTCACTAAAACCCTATAAAATGCCTTTGCTGGCTGGGCGAGGTGGCTCATGCCTGTAATCCCAGCACTTTGGGAGGCCGAGGCGGGCAGATCACGAGGTCAGGAGATCGAGACCATCCTGGCTAACACGGTGAAACCTCGTCTCTACTAAAAATACAAAAAAAATTAGGTGGGCGTGGTGGCAGGCACCTGTAGTCCCAGCTACTCAGGAGGCTGAGGCAGAAGAATGGAGTGAACCCAGGAGGCAGAGCTTGCAGTGAGCCGAGATCTTGCCACTGCACTCCAGCCTGGGCGACAGAGCGAGACTCTGTTTCAAAAAAAAAAAAAAAAAAAATTGCCTTTGCTGATATTGCTATCCAGGTCTCTGTTGTAACAAAGAATCTAATCCTCAGGCTTTAGAGGAAAACACATATGGCACCTATGTGGAACAACTGATGAGTTGATGAAAACTTAAAATAAACCCAGAGTTCTTAAACCTTATAAAGCAACCATTGTTTCTAACCTTGAAGTTACTAATTTGAGATACTTTGGAGGAAGAAATTTATTAATTATGAAATAATTATGATTAATAATTAATATAAGTAGGGTAAGGAGACCTTCCCTCCTCTGAAGTTACATATAGTAACCCTTAAAGCAGAAATGAAAACAACAATAAACTACATACAGGTTGAAGAAATACAAAATTAAAAGAGAAGGATCCACAATTTGACCCAACTGGAAATCCAAAATTTACACAAAAACTTATAATGTAAAAATATGAAATGTCTCTGATTGGTTTTTATGTCTCTACAATATGGGTTCTAAATTAAGTGCAACATCTACTGAGATGCACCACTTAGCAAACCTTCATGGCCTTAATCTATACAGAGGCTCAGATACAGTTATTCCTGGGGATCCCACTAAATTTCAATAAGGCACACCCTATAATCTAAAGGAGATATGAAATATAAAATGGTGAACAAAGAAGTATGCCTCATTTTAATCATCAGCGTTATTGCCTTACCTAAATATCCCACAGTGGTCATGGAAGCTCTGACCAAAAAGGTAGTAAAATTAAATAAAGTCTTTGGCACTTACAATAGGCTTGACAAATTAGGACTCTATGGACTTTTATCTTCAGTTAAAAGTTAGTTAATATAGCCCAGTGTAAAATAACATAGGGCCTTTAAACATTAAAACCCATTTTAGAAAAAGTATTTAGAGAAGGGGTGATTATCCCCACTGTGTCTCCATTTAGTAGCCTATTTTAGCTGCTTTTAAGCCTGGAAAAAATTAATGCCCCCTCGTGGTGAATTACTGCAACTTTCATTCTGTCGTCTCACATATTAAAGGCCTCAAAATCAATACTATTGAAATTACTGACTCCATCCAATTATCAGATAGTAAATATTCTATTATCACTGATTTGAATCATATGTTCTGTTTAGTGCCTGTTTTAACAGCCTCTCAGCCTTTGCCTTTTATGGGATAGAATACTGTGGCCCACAGCCTTACCTCGCTACCCATGGGTTTTCAACAGTCTTTGAAATGTAGGTGGGGTGAGAGGCAGATCATGTTCAACCAAATGGCCAAGCCATGGCTTGAGATCTAATTATATAAATTATACCCTCCAAATTAAATAATATAATCATAAGCACACATGATAATCATATTTCCCTTCTCTAAAATGATAGGCTTAAAAAATAGGGGTTTCCTTTCTTATAGGCACACAAATAACATAGTAATTTCTGCTAATTTACATTAAAACAACCATCAGTTAGAAAAAAAGAGGCTGGGTGTGGCGGTTCACACATGTAATCCCAGCATGTTGGAAGGCCCAGGTGGGTAGATCACCTGAGGTCAGGAGTTTGAGATCAGCCTGGCCAACATGGTGAAACCTCATCTCTACTAAAAATACAAAAATTAGCTGGATGTGGTGGTGGGCGCCTATAATCCCAGCCACTTGGGAGGCTGAGGCAGGACAATCACTTGAACCCAGGAGGCGAAGGTTGCAGTGAGCCGAGATGGCACCACTGCACTGCAGCCTGGGAAGCAGAGGGAGACACCATCTCAAAAAAAAAAAAAAAGAGTTCCCTGTTCTTTTCGATTGCTCCAAATCTAAAAAGTAATGACAAATAGTAAACGCAAGTTTTGAATAAACACACATATTGTGAATATGTGTCATTGTTAGATAAATTCAGTATTTAAAAAAGAGTAATAATTGGTTTTAATGCAATTGTACTGTTAAAAAGTGAAGTGTCATATACTTTAAGTAAAAAATACATAAAAGCCTTTATTGATCTTCTTAAGTATTCATTCATTACTGAAAATTTCATACTGGGGAAAATAAAATGCCAATAAAATGGTTTACTGATTGAACAAGCAAACAAAAGTAATCTAAAAACAATCTGTCCCTAAAATATGGAGAAAATTGGTGGCAATAAATGATTGAATTAAGCATAAAAAGAGGTAACCACAACATAGACTGTGTTGCTGAATTGTTAAAAAAAACTCACAGACATAAGACCAAAGAGTAAATGGTCAAATATATGTGTGAATTTTAAGGAAAAATATACACAAAATGAACTGCTATTATTTTTAACATAAAAGATGAGAATAATTCATTAATACATATCCAAGTCAAAACTACATTAGCATGTATTTAAAAGTCCAGATGCCCAATGGAAAAACATATATGTATACATTTAGAGATAGTATGTATGCATCTTATTTTCAATCCATTGTTTTACTTTTTTCTTCTGAATTACAAGAATACCTAAATTCTCAGATTACCATTTACAGGTTAACAATTTATGCAGAAATGTGAAAGATGTGATATTGCAAAAACAAATCACACTTAATAACCACTATGTAATTACCTAAGTCTATCAGCCCAAAATAAAATACATTTAGTGAATATAATAAAAATTAATGAAATAGTTGCTACTTATCACTGTTTTAACATAATACTATAATAGAGCTATATTTTTTAAAAAATTATAATCTTATAATGTGAGTAATATCCTAAGGAAAGATGTTTCTAGATTAACTGGAATAAAAATACTTCAATGAGAAATAAGAAAGATAGTGGTTGTGAATAAGAAATAAACAAAATACATTAAAGTAGAAAAGAAGTTCAAGGCAGTGGCAGCTACTTTTTTAAAAAGCCTCTCCTACAGCAATATGCAAAAGGGTTTGGTAACTCTGTGTGCCATTTGCACATAGTAGACTAGATTGACAATTACTTCAGATGATTTAGGGATTCATACATTTGAAACATGCAACCAAGAGACTGTGCCAATAATAAAAGATAGGTGAGAAGGCAGATTACTGGGGCAAATGTAAGGTTTTTATGCCCATTTTGAACATACCAAGTGTGAAAACTAGTCGGGAAAGAATAAGCTCTGTACACTAACAAATATGTCTTCGGGGTGTGTCTTCTAGGAGGTAGAGCTATCTGGAATGCTAAACATGAAATTAAGTCACCATCGACTATACTGGATATCCTCAGGATGTTTTACATGTTGGAATTTTCCAAGAAATCTGAATGTCAGTTTGCAGTCCACACAGCTGATGCGTGCTTTATACAGCAACTTATATTAAGATTTTCTACATAAAATTATGTATATATATAGTTCACCCTTTATAGTGGATTGAATAGTGTTCCCCAAAATTTATGTTCACCAAGAAGCCCGGAATGTCACCATATCTGGAAACAGGGATTTTGCAGATGTGATTAGTTAAGGATCAAGATGATATCATATTGGAGTAGAGTGGGCCCTAAATCCAATAGGTGGTGTCATTATAAGAGCAAGAAAAAACAGACAGACACACAGAAACAGACAGTTAGGAGAAACGGTCTTGTGAAGATGACGTCAGAGATTGGAGTAAACCAGCTATAAGCCCAGGAACCTCAAGGCTTGCTGGGAGTCACCAGAAACTAGGAAGAAGCAATGAAGGATGCTTCTCTAGAGCCGCCAGAGGAAGTGTGGCATTACTGACACATTGATTTCAGGCATCCAGTCTCTAGAACTGTGAGAGAATAAAATGAAGCCACTAAGCCTGTGATACTTTGTTATAGTAGCCTTAGGACATGAATACATCCTCTTTTACAGATAATTCCTAGAAAGTAAGAAGAGGATGACTGAAGAGAGATAGAGGTGGGAGAATAGGAAGGAATGATAATTCCAACAATATTTCATGTGAATATTTCAATATTTCATGTGAAATTAATCCAGATATTTTGTTGCTAATTGCAAATTATTTCTTCTGAATTATAAAGAGGTCTTCCCTCTGTTTTTAAAATTTCATCTCCTCCAATTGCCTAAAGTATTTTTTTTTTTTTTTTTTTTTTACCAATTGATCCACCTCATATCTTCAGCTTTGTCTTCTCTACTGTGTCTTTCTCTTTGGGCTTTAAAATAAATACCCCAGTATCTGCTGGAGTAAGAGAAAATAAACAAAAACCAAACATTACCTGCTGATTTATACTCTACTTTGACTGTCATCCTATATATTTATGTTTCTTCTCAGCCAGGATTGTTAAAATAGAAATCTACACATTTATTCCCAAATTTTACTAATTCCTCCCTCCCCGAAATCTTATTTGGACTCCTATACTCTAGGTATAATACATATTAACAAAAAATTTTCCCTCTGACAATGTTAACAGTTCTCTTACATTCTAAAGCATGTTATCTATACGAAATGAAAAGTAAAATAAAATTGGTCTTCCATGTTTCTGACACTTAAATATAATTCATAAAGTCTTAGGCAACTAAACCATAAGAAAAAACAACTGGTGATTAAGCATTGAAAAATGAAGAAAAATTAAATATATTTTATTGATAGATAAGTAGGATTTTTTAAATCCAAAAAGCCAAATGTATTAGTCTTATATGTAGAATAAGGAGAGTAAAATATTAATAAATTCTATCTAATTGATCCAGAACTGTTATTTTTCTGAGAGTAATAAAACAAGTAGAATCCTGCAGGATGAATATTTCCAAAATCTGACCCCAATACCTGAATTCAAATGAAATTCAGTGATGCTCATGAAAACATTATGAATTGACATTTGTCTTATTTATAAAAACTAAAAGATGGCAATTGACTGACAAAGAGTATTTACTCAATCAACCAGTAAAGCGAAGTAATATTATGCACATATTTATTAGGTTGGTGTAAAAGTAATTGTGGTTTTTGCCATTAAAAGTAATGGCAAAAATAACTTACAGGCATTTAATTCTACACCAGGCAAAAAAAAAAAAAAAAAAAAAAGTAATTTGGTACCACATGACCTGTAAGAAACACAAGTAGTTCATGTGGAATTATCTGAAAACTGTCATCTGTTCTTACATTGAAGGAATAAAAATGTTCTGTTAGACTATTTCAGAGACAATATGGCATATGTAAAATCATGTAGATGATCTTTCATGGGTGATTTAATTTATTTTCATGTGTAATGTTGGTTATATGTGATTTTCTTTTTACATAAGGATGTTAGAGCCTTAACCCCTATGTAAAATGCAATCCAATGAATGCACTGAGTGTATTTGACAGACGTGCTAAATCAGTGGTTCCCAACCTTTTTGGCACGAGGGACAGGTTTTGTGAAAGACAATCTTCCCATGGGATGGTTTCAGGATGATCCACTTCAGATCATCAGGCATTAGTTAGGTTCTGATAAGGAGCGCACAACCTAGATCCCTCACATGTACAGTTCACAACAGGGTTTGCACTCCTATGGGAATCTAACGCCACAGCTTATCTGACAGGAGGTGGAGCTCAGGCAGTAATGATAGCTCACCTGCCACTCACTTCCTGCTGTGCGGCCCAGTTCCTAACAGGCCAAGGACCAGTACCAGTCCATAGCCCAGGGGTTAGGAATCCCTGTGCTAAACGATGTAAAAGTCATGTTCTAAGAGCATCTGTATATGAAACATATAGAAGAAGGAATGATCATAATTTGGGATAAATGACAGAAAAAGAAAAAAATGTGAGAAGTGATATGTGATGAAGTAATACTGAAAAGTAATAAATATAGCTCAACGTGGCAACAGAAAAAAATTATGGCAAAGTGAGAATGAGAGGAAGCAGAAGCAAAATAGAAATCTGATTTGTAGAGATCCAGTAACTACTGCTTGACCATCTGTCATCAAAGAGGTAAAGGAAGGTAATACGAAGAAGTCAACAGTCAGTATTTGTTTACTACCATTATCCTACTCCCAGAAAATTGTACGGGATCATTAGATGATTGAATAGTCACTGGGATATAAAACCCAAAATATTTGTTTTCATGCTTTAACTAAATAACACAAATAATTGTTTTATTTTAACCATGCTATTTTTAAGACCTTAGTTCAATCCAATAATGCATGTCATTTAATTTAACCTTTTTCGGGGGTGGAAGAGGGGATAGGGGAAGTTTTATATGAATGTGAACATAAAGAAGAATGTGTATATGTGTACTTGTGTATGCATGTGACTTACTATGTTATTACGCCAATCACTCACATACATCAAATTATTATAAAATAACCACATAAGGTAGGTATTTATCATTGCTACTTTAGAGATGTGTAGGGTTCAGGCTGACAATGGGACTTGTCCAATGAAAATAGCAAGTAAGTTAAGTTGAGCCTGAACCCAGAAATCTGACTTGAAAGCTGGCATTCGTTAACCCAATGATATTAAGCATGAAGTATGTTAGACATACTTCACATGTATATATATGTATATAATATATATATCTCATTTACTGCTCACATCTCTAATCTATAAACAAAATGATACCAAATTTACAAATAAAGAGGCAGTCTCAAAGAGATTACGTAACTTGTCCAAGGGCAGATAGCTAACATGTGACAAGGCTGAAATTAGAATACAGGTGCTTAAATATATATGTAACTTAAAATGAAGAATGATGCAACATTTGTAAAATAAAATTAGTTTTTTACTAATAAATCAAAGTACACTTTGTTTTGTCCACAAAAAAAACAAGAAGATTCATTTAAAAAAAACAGTTTTAAAAACCAACTATTATTGGCTCAACGTAGCAGTTTTTTTATATTAAGAGGATTAAATTCAACTTATATTAACCCTACAAAACTATAGATTTCATTCTTTAGGAATCTGTTAATTTACTTTTATTTCAATTAGTACTTTTTCTTTCTCTTTTTGAGCATACATAGGCTACAGTAATACATCTCCAGGATGACCAGCATGTCTATTTGTCAGGACATTAAATGGCTAATTTTCCTCTTTCTCATTCATTTGGCCACATGGCCTCCCAAGAACAGAGTATAATACGATAAATTAATGGCTTCCGAAGAGGACTCAGAGAGCCATGAAGTTTTCTGGATAATCATTGTTAGGATTCTGTCAGCAACCATGTAACATTTTTTTGCATCTGGGGAGCATAAAACTCTCTAGCAAAGGAAGGACTCAAAAGGCAAAAAATAAACACAGTTAAGTGAATGATATTTTTCTTTCTAAACTGTCGTTTTCTTCACTATCAAAGACCTAACCTTTGATTCAACCGATCAATATGTTAGGGGAAAGAAATACTTTGTAGAGTACAAAAACAGACACTTTGCTAATGCTGGCATCATCACTCTATTTCAATGTTAAAATAAAAGGTTTAGTACTACATTTCTGATGACAGTACTCTCAAATAAGTTGAAGATCTTGGACTTGTTTCAGAAGGATGAAAAGGAGGATATATAGGTAGTATCTGGTTATAAGAAATTGGACTGGAAGCATCAGCTTATTTTATATCTCAGCAGCAGAAATGTTAAGTCAAGATGCTATTCAGCTATCTCTAATGATAAAATCCATGTCCTTCTGCTGATATACTGAGTCATCCAGGCCCAGACATTCCTCATAGTTATAACAAATCCTTTACTATGTAACACAATGCTGTAAATCTAAATTTTAGAAGTCTGTGAACTTTCAGCCTCTCTCTCACACTTTACTGCTCTCTAAATTTCCCTTGCCTATCCATCTGTGAACAGAACTTAATCTAGGTTAGCTCCAGCTGGATCTCAGAACCAAAACCTTTAAAAGCCAGATAAGTGACTTCTAAGACGTGTGATCAGAAAGATGTGAAGGCAGCAAAGGACACATTGTCTTCTTAGTGCCAATGCAGAACAGATTGTCAGGTTGACAAGATGAGCTGAAATGTCCTTTGCTGTCTTTTTATATTTATTGCTGCCCCAGAAACTAGATGCTTAAAACCAAAAACTCTTCTTTCTGGAAATGTGTTAATAAACTATAAAATTGATATGATTGCTTTGTAAATACTTTTGTTACTATTGTAATAGTTCAATATTTGACTTAATACATATTTTACAGAGCAGCCTTGGCTTTATGCTCTGGTAATTTCCCATTTTATAAAATTCCAATATGAAGGCACTTGCAAGGTTACTGATATACTCATTTTTAAAAATTAAAAACAATCCTGTTTTCATTTTTGTATTGTTGTTCACCTGTGTACTTGACTGTAAATTCAGATTGAGTAAGATGACCTCAAAATTGTATTATTACAAAATCACTATCTAAAAAGAATTGCATAGTAAAATACTTTATGGATAGCACGTATTTTCATTTAAAATTTTTGAATAGCATGTAGTGAAAAATAAAGCATGTCTGGATGAAATACTACATAATGAGTCGAATCTTACTTACCAAACTCCTTTGGAACTGCTATAGAATAAACACAATTATGTCCCACACTGTAATTTTTTGGATAGTTTGGTGATAGAACAGTGCCTTCTGAACCTGTTGAACGACTTCCACAGGGCGCTAGGAAAAAATGGCAAAAATATCATTTTTAGAAAAAAGTTTTAAAAAATTCATACCATGGTTATCTTCTTCATATAAAAAATATATGGCTAATGGAATTTAAGGTGTATAATTTATTTGCATCTTATAATAAGATCCTCTAGTGTTAAATATTTGAAAAATAAAAAAGTGTACAAACAAAACTTTATAAGTATTCAAATTTACTGTTCTCAGAAACAAAGTATGTAATATAATGTTATAATGGTGTTACCTAGAAATATAATGGTGGCCCACCTTTCATTTGTGATGAGTGTGAAATTAATCATTTTTATAATAATGATAAAATACATATGCAAGTGGGAAATTGTTTTACTTGCTGGCAGGCTTTGGAATTCTACTCAGATTCAACACTGATTATGTGTGAGACATGGATGGCTGTACAAATACATTCACCCACTCATCTAAGTATTCTATTTTCTCATCAATCTTTATCTGCATATATAATTTACTTTGAAATCACAGGAGTTGTTGATTGTGCCTTGAGGCAGACTTATTGGCTACCTCAGGCCCAATGTGGTATGTTAAAAAAAAGATGAGGGTGAAAACAATGTTTCTGATAAACTGTATATGGGGGTCCTGTTATTCACAAGACAGGGGATGCATTAGGATTCATAGTTCTAGAACTCAAGAGAGACCTGAGATAAATGGAGATTTAGTACCGAAAGCATACGGATGGTAACTGGTATTCTTTAAGCGAATAAGATCACTCTGAAAAGTATGTAGAATGAGAAAAGATGGGCAAAGAGGAGGTTCTAGGAGACACCAAAGGTTTAAAATCAGATAAAGATTGGGTAGCTACAGAGAAATTATTATCCTGGGGGTCAAGGGAGAAGAGTTTCAATGAAAAACAAGTGTTCAAAGAGGTAAATGTTGCAAAGTGATTAATAAATGCAAAAGAAGTCTGGGTTGACTTGGCAATCTGGAGTGTAAGAGTGGAGTTTTTCTGCCCCAGGTGTAAGTTTGCAGGAAGAGGGATTTTTTTTTTTTTTTTTTTTTAACACCTTGCCATCTGGCCCTGCTCCTTCACCCTTGGAGTCAGAATGAGTTTCCTGATTGGTGAGCCCTGGACAGGAACTTGTACCTTTTTTCAGATTAGGAGCCATCCTTCTTGCAGAGCACACTGTCTGGTGTGCTCTTCTACACTGTAGGTTTTTTAGGGCGCCTTCTGAGGGTAGGGCTGAGCCTGTTGCCGACAGCTAGTAGGAAGCCTGTTGTCACTGCCACTCATATTTCATCAGTATTAAAGCTGATCGTTTGATTTCCTTTGAAGTTTTGCAGGAAGGACAGAGTACAATTTATTATTCCCCTCAAACACCAAAAGGAGGTTTTTTGGTGCTATTAATAGAGTAGTTTCAACTGGAGCAGCTCTCTGCAAGTTATAGCCAGCAGGCCAAATCCAGCCTGTGGACCAAGAAAGGTTTTTATATTTTTAAAGAGTTACAAACAAAACAAAAACTACAGAAGAATATTCAACAAAGATATATGTGGCCAGCAAAGCCCAAAATAGTATCTGGTCCTTTACAGAAGAAGTTTGCCAACCCCCGAACTAGAGTGGGGAGGGGGCAAGTGGGGGAGGCTAGATTATAGATGGATGGAGAGTAAGTGGTATATAAACAAATACAAAAGTAACAAGAATTATGACTATAAATTGGAGGGGAATGTATAAAGTAGTTTGGAGATGCAAAGTTGAATGAGTGTTCTTTGTCGATTTAATAGGGAGGAAGGAATCATTACACAAGGAAAATCAGCATTGACCTAGAAATAAGATCAAAAACAAAAGTGGAGTGATTCCCATTAGATATCAGTAGTGGCTTACCTCTGTGACTTGAGAAAAGGAGATTAGAAATAGATAGGTGTAGGTTTTATACTGGGAATTTATTGAAGTTAATGCCTGATTTTCCTTTTAAAGAGCACTGCATGCAGGGATGAATTAGGTACCTCCAGAAGAGTTATGACAGTTTGAAAAAGTAAAAATTTGTAATTAATTATTGATCAAAGTTTTAAAATAGAGCAATACAGTATAGTTAAAACACACACAACACAAACAGTACGTTGTATTGCGTTGAGTGATGAATATTCTGCCTTTTTTCTTTAATGTTCTATAAAAAGGTAATAGTTAGAATTAAACACACTAAAATTAGAATTATCTAGAAAAAACAACAAATTGACAGTGATTATAATAACCAAAGATGCACCCCTCTCATCACTCATTATTGTCTGAGATTAGAGCAGTCAGGTGTTATTCTTATTTCAGCACTGATAACTTCATTCAACTGATAATGCTACTGATGAGAGAATCATTCAAGAATGGGCAGTATGTCTTATGTTAATTTTCTTTCTGATTTTAAGGTGCTCCAGAATTAAAATTATAATACTTTGAATGAATGTGACAAAAACTATTAAACTCTTATTTTTATATTTGGGAAGTATGATAGAAATGGAAACTTCTAACTCAAGTTCAGTTCTGTAACTTAGTCATGAACATTGTGCCATCCTACATTAACACGTGTCTGACAGCCAGAATTTGTTTTACATATTTTATTTTGTATAACTGACATTTAGGACAGCTTTTATTAAAAATCATATTTAGAAATATGAAGGCTCTTTTAAACTACAAATATACTATGAGGTTGTAATTTAATCACATGTCCTTATGGTAATATTATGTTAGATTCTGTTATTTGTACTTGTAAACATAATTTTATGTTTATTCTGATGAGTGCCTACAGCGTGGCCTAATTTATAGTCAATAACACAGAATATTATAGTGAGTGATAATTATGCAGTGTGTTATTATAAATAAGGGAAAATTAACTATGCTCTGAGATACACATCTATTGTAATTTGTTTTACCTTAGGTTGGTGCAAAAGTAATTGCGGTTTTGGGCATTACTGTTAATGGCAAAAACTGCAATTACTTTTGCACGAACCTAATATTTATATAAATGGAATAATAAGTCAGGCCAACTTCACAGATTCTCCTAATATTGGTCTCCAGAAGCTTTTTATATTCTTACTTTCTGTTTTAATGTCATCTTATTGGCTAATGGAGAAAAGGGCAGCTTTTATCTTTCTGGCTCTTAACAACTGGTTGAAGATAAAAGCAAGTCAGACCTTTGGGTTCTATTCTTATTTTTGCTATTTGACATATGCCACATATACCTGTGGACCTTTTGTCAAATTGGCTGTTGTTTCTCTTAAAAGCCTATATTCTTTGTAATGCATTAAACATAAGAACCCACTGCTCCTGATTATAACTTATGTAGTTAATAAATCCATATTTGCATTTTTTAATTTATTTTTATTTTTATTTTTTGAGACCAAGTTTTGCTTTTGTTGCCCAGGCTGGAGTGCAATGATATCATCTTGGCTTGCTGCAACCTCCACCTCCCAGGTTCAAGAGATTCTCCTACCTCAGCCTCCAGAGTAGCTGGAATTACAGCCATGCACTACCACGCCAAGCTAATTTTTGTATTATTAGTAGGGATGGGGTTTTACCATGTCAGCCAGGCTGGTCTTGAACTCCTGACCTCAGGTTACCCATCTGCCTTGGCCTCTTAGAGTGCTGGGATTATAGGCGGGAGCCACCACGCCCGGCCTAAATCTATATTTTTAATAGCATGTTTGTAGAACATTTGAATTTAAGAAGACATGGTTCTATCATTAAGTAAGTGTGGGAAATACAAATGAAGGACTTGAGACTTTAGTAAGTTTTAGGGAATATCATGCTATTTCTCACAAACTTATTTGACCATGAAAAATTTTTTTACATGTAATATCTCACAGGACCTGCCTCCTTAAGAACATACTTTGCAAAAGGCCAAAGTGATGATTCTAAAATGTGGGGGTTTTTTGGTAATAATTTTAATGTTTATGTAATTGATAATAATTAATTGTAATTTTGCTGTACCAAAGAACTGTGTTTTATGTATGCCTATAGAACCCAATAATTTAGAGACTGAAAATGTCAAACTTAGCCTACTTATAAATTGCCATTATTCTAGATTTGCTCTCCCTGACTCTTGGCGTCCAACAAAGAATCAATTTGTTGCTCATAACCTTATGTGATTTATCAGCTTCTCTATCACCTCTGCCTCTATAACTGTCACAGTCCAGACTCCCATCAATTTCTGCATGTGCTCTTTGACTCTCAGCTCCACTCATCACCACAAGTTCATACCACTGGTAGCAATTTTTCTAAAACATAAGACTTATCATATTTCTCTTCTCTTCTCTTCTCAGGACAGTGTCTGTACATAGTAGGCTCTCCATAAATATCTGTTGGATTATTAAATGAACCATATCTGCAAGACCAGGCTACTATAAAATAATGTTCTGTAGTCAGCATATAACATAAACATTTCATTTGGTTGAAATTATCTCAGAAAAAATTACTTAAATTTAGTACAGAATCCAGATACACCCTCTTTCAATAAATCCATATAAGCCTATTTTTTTTCTTTCTGCGATGGAAATTGCTTGTTCTTTGCTTGATTGCTGTGCTTTACATTTGGGGGCAATACTATGTGAAAGATATGTATCTTTAAACATTAGAAATATATCCAATGGTAAGATGCTTATAATATGACTGCTATATGGATTCTGGGTTCTATTGAGGGAATAGCAAACCCATGTCTAATACCAAGCCCATAGTAGCAAATCCATGCTGATATAGTTTGAATGTTGGTGCCATGCCCCCCTCAAATCTCATATTGAAATGTAATCTCCAGTGTTGGTGGTGGGGTCTGGTGGGAAGTCTTTGGGTCATGGGGACAGATCCCTCATGAATGTCTTGGTGCTGTCCTAGCAATAGTGAGTGTGTTCTCCTGAGATCTGGTCATTTAAAGGTATATGGCACCTCCCCATTCTCTCTCTCATTCTCTATCTTGCCATGTAACATACCTGCTCCCGCTTTGCCTTCTGCAAGGATTGCAAGCTTTCTGAGGCCCTCACCAGAAGCAGATGGTGAAGCCATGCTTCTTGTACATCCTGAAAATCCACGAGCCAATTAAATTTATTTTCTTTATAAATAACCTAGTCTCGAATATTCCTTTATAGTAATACAAACAGACTAACAAATTGAAAGCAAAATTTGACTAGAAAATTCCTATCAAGCTGATATGGTTTGGCTGTGTCCCCAGCCAAATCTCATCTTAAATTCCCATGTGGTGTAAAAAGAACCTGGTGGGAGGTCACTGAATCATGGGGTCAAGGCTTTCCCGTGCTGTTCTTGTGATAGGGAATAAGTCTCACAGGATCTGATGATTTTAAAAAGAGGCGTTCCCCTGCACTAGCTCTCTCTCTCTCTTTGCCTGCAGCCCTGCAGCCGTCCACGTAAAATGTGACTTGCTCCTCCTTACCTTCCACCATGATCGTGAGGCCTACCCAGCCATGTGGAACTATAAGTCCAATAAACCTCTTTCCTTTGTAAATTGCCCAGTCTTGGGTATGTCTTTATCAGCAGTGTGAAAACGGGCTAATACACAAGGAGTGGGGTGTTACTATAAGGATACCTGGAAATGTAGAAATGGCTTTAGAAATGGGTAATGGGCAAAGGTTCAAAGAGTTTTGAGGCCTCAGAAGATAGAAAGATAAGGAAAAGTTTGGAGTTTCTTAGAAACTACATAAATGGTTGTGACAAAAATGCTGGTAGAAATATGGACAGTGAAGTCTAAGTTGACAAGGTCTCCGATGGAAATGAGGAAGTCATTGGGAATTGGAGCAAAGGTCACCTGTATTATTCTCTAGCAAAGAATTTGGCTGCATTGTGTTCATGTCCTAGTACATGTCCTAGAGATCTGTGCAAACTTAAAGTTAAGAGTGATGTCTTTGGGTATCTGGCAGAAGAAATTTCTAAGCAGCAAACCGTTCAAGAGGTGGCCTGGCTACTTCTAACAACCTACTGAGAGCGGCAGGAGGCAGCCAAATGCCCAAGAAGATAGGGGTGGGTCCGTGGTGAAACCCCACCTTCAAGCAAAAAACAGCTTGAAGGCTGAAAGACCAGACTGCTGGTCCTGGATGAAACCCGCGACCCAGAGTGAGAACTTCTGTTCCTGTTCGCCTGCCCTTTCCTAATTGATTCTTTCTAAATAATGTCTTTTACCCAATCGAATGCTGCCTTTTCCAATAGTACCTACAGCCTGCCCCTCCCCTATGCTGAGGCCATAAAAAGCCCCAGACCCAGCTATGCACAGAGGAGAGAACTGCCCGACTGTGAGATTGGGGTACCACCTCCTGCATCCCCTCTCCACTGAGAGCTGTTCTGTTGCTCAATAAAATTCGTCTTCACCCTCCTCACCCTTCAATGTCCAGAATATCCTCCTTCTTGGGTTCAGTACAAGAGCTAGGGAACTACCAACTGCGAGTACAAACTATAACAAAGGCAAGCTGGGACACATCAGCGTGGCCCAGTGAGGCCCAGGTGGGGTGTCGCTGGCCAGAGATTCACGGCTTTCAAAGTGTTGGAGAAGAAAATATCGTACATCACTATAGTTAGCTACAGGAGCAAAGACATGACTTAAAGTTGGAGCTTATATTTAGAAGGGAAGTAGAGTGTAAACGTTTGAAAAATTCACAGCCAAGCCATGTGGCAGGAAAGAAAAAATGCATTTTCAGGAGTGGGATACAAGCAGGCTTGTGGAGCAATCACTTGCTAGAGAAATTAGAATGAGTAAAAGGGAGCCAAGTGCTAATATCCAAGACAATGGGGAAAAGGTTTTGAAGGTATTTCAGAGATCTTTCAGGCAGCCTCTATCATCACAGGCCCAGAGGCTTAGGAAAAAATAATAGTTTCCTGTACCAGGCCCATGGCCCTGCTGCCTGCCTTGGGAGGCTGCTCCCTGCATCCCAGCCACTCTGGCTTCAGCCTTGGCTCAAAGGGGTCCAGGTACAGCTCAGGCCACAGCTCTGTAAAGTGCAAGCCATAATCCTTGGCAGTTTTCACATGGTGTTAGGTCTGCAGATGCTCATAATGCAAGTGTGAAGGACGCTTGTCAACTTCTGCCTAAATGTCAGAGAATGTATAGAAAATCCCGGGTGCCCAGGCAGAAGCCTGCTATAGGGTTGGAGCCCCACAGAGAAACTCTACTAGTGCAATGCCAAGGGGAAATGTGGGATTGTAGAACCCACACAAAGTCCCCACCAAGGCACTACCTTATGGAGTTGTGGGAAGTAGGCCACCACCCTCCAGACCCTATAATGGCAGAGGCACTAGCAGCTTGCACCTCTGCCTGGAAAAGCTGCAAGCACTCAACTCAAACCTTTGAGAGCAGCCACATGAGCTGCACCCTGCAAAGCCATAGAGGCGGGGCTGCCCAAGGCCTTGGGAGTCCACCCCTCACACAAGAATGTGGGACATGGAGTGAAAGAAGATTATTTTGGAACTTTAAGATTTAATGATTGCTCTGTTGGGTTTCAGACTTGTGTGGAGAATATTGACCCTTTCTTTGGGCCAATTTATCACTTTTGGAATGGGAATGTTTACCCAATGCCTGCACTACTATTGTATCTTGGGAGTAAATAACTTGTTTTGATTTTATAGGCTGATGGGTGGAAGTGCATGAGTCTCAGATGGAACTTATGACTTTGGATTTCATGCTGGAATGATTTAAGACTTTTGAGAACTATTAGCAGGGGATGATTGTATTTTTCAATGTGAGAAGGATATAAGATATGAGGGGCCAGGGGCAGAATGATAGTGTTTGGATGTTTGTCCACTTCAAATCTCATGTTGGAATGTAATCCTCAATATTGGAGGTGGGGCCAGGTAGGAGGTGTTTGGGTCATGGGGGAAAATCCCTCATGAATGGCTTGGTGCTATCCTTGCGATAGTGAGTGAGTTCTCCCAAGATATGGTTGTTTAACCATGTAGCACCTTCCCCCTCTCTCTCTTGCTTCCTCTCTTGCCATGTGATGTGTCTAATCCCCCTTCACCTTCCACCATGATTGGAAGCCTTCTGAGACCCTCACTAGAAGCATGGCAGACCACATTTCCTGTACAGCCTGCAGAATGTGAGCCAATTAAACCTCTTTTCTTCCTAAATTACCCAGTTTCAGGTACTCCTTTATAGTAATGCAAACAGACAAATACACATGCTAATATCTTATCAGTCTAAGGAATATGCTTATTTAGTGAGTGAAGTTTTATTCACACAGTTTCTTAGTTTTCTTGTTCTTTATTCTTCTATTTGTTTAATTTAAAAAAATTATCTTTTGGCTGAATTTGTTTCATTTGATTTGTATAAGTAAAATGTGTCCATGATCCAACTATATTACATATATTCTTGTTTTACCCATGAATTATGTATGCAATGATACAGTAGACAGATGTGATATTTCTGGAGAAATCAGACCATCACACCACCAGGTTTTAAGGTATCCAATCATCCACTGAAAATACCACTTTGAGCAGGGGTATGTATGTGGGATGAAGGAGCAAGACAGAAGAATAGAAGAAGAAAAGAAGAAGGAGGAGGAGGAGGAGCAGAAGAAGAAAAGAAGAAACTTATCACTGAGTGAATTAGAAGAAATTTCAAAACATTTATGTGGGAGAAATGCTACTTGAATGTTCAGGTATCTTAGAGACATTATAATACAGGCAACATAGCCTTAAGCTACTTGCAATTTCACATCTGTCTCTTCACTTGTGTAATGCATAATTTATTATCAAATATACTCTGTAATGAAAATTATTATATAATGTATAAATTATTCACAGAAAGCAAGTTAGGTACTTTTAAAAGTGATGACTTCTTGCAGGTCACAAAAGAGCAATGTGATATATTAAATCAATAATTTACTAGATGTGGCCTGTGACTCTTTCAGTTTGAAAGAACTGCTGTACCTTACAAAACTGCTAGTATATTTCTAGTAAATTACTTATGCATTGATATAGCCTGATTGAATGTCACAAATCATAAATCCTAGTATAGAATATGTTTGAAAGCTATATCTCTCATGGAGCATTTTTTAAGAGAAGGCTTTCCTAACCCTTAAAGTCTGTGATATGAATTTGAATTCAGACAGCTACTATTACCAGTATTGACTTTAAAATTAAAATTACTACTGTTTGTTTCTTTTGTTCAAAAATTTGATCTTAGTAAAAATACCTAACTATCCAGCCATTCCCTTCATGTCTTTTTATGTCTCCCCTATAACAACACATAATTCATTTTGTTTAACTGCCTTAAATGATAAGCCTCCAATAATGCTCCATTACATGTGAATTGACTTTGTTTAAATTTCACACTTCTTTTTAATACTAAAAAAAAAAAATTCCATATCAGTGTGGTAATCAGTGGCTTATAAACCATTTTAATGACTCAATAAGTCATGTTAGGATGTAAGCTTCTACACCTGTCATCTCACTGATTGCCTGGATTCATTCATTAGATTTCCCTGGCTAGGAAGCCATCACCTTCATCCCTCAGTGCTCTGTGAGCTGTTTTCTCCATCAGAGAGTGTGATCCTACAGAAAGAGTCATTCTATGACAAAGTCCTATGAACAGCTATATCCTTGAATAGATCTTCCATGTTACCACATACAAATTCTACTACTAGTAATAGTTTTGGAGGGCATAGACAGTTAATGTATGATACTATGTGACTCATTTTGTACCCCAATTAAAAAATTGGGATATAATTTACATACATAAAATTCACTGTTTTAAAGTGTACAATTGAATGCTTTTTAGCATATTCATGAGTTTTAAAACTAACACCATTTTCTAATTTTAGAACATTTCCTTCACTCCCAAAATAATTTCAGTACCCATTAGTAGTCGCACGCTGTTGTCACTACCCCCAAGTTCCTGGAAACAGCTAACTTTTTAGGAAACTGTATGGGAAGATAATTTCTTAAAAGATCTGAATTATTGGCAGTTTTTGAAACTAAAATAGCTTTTTATCACATAGTTGATGTCTTACTGCTTTTTAATGATGAAAACCTTTTACTATTTAAAGAAATTACTTAAAGCAACTAATATATTAGTTTAAAATGACTTTAAAGGGAAAAGCGCTCTTTAATAATTTGTTAACTTCTACCAAATCGCCTCAAAAATGTTGCTTTCTTGGGAATGTTTTCTCTAATTTCCAGACTTTTTCAGAAACCACCATTACTTTTAGGACAGTAAATGCAGTTTGTAATTCTGTATTTATTTTGTATGGCTATTTGATTAATGTCCATATCTATCTCTAGTCTATAAGATCTGTCAAATCAAAGTTTCCATGTCTTTTCTGCATACTATTTGTATCTCTGGAGCCTAGCATAGTACCTGTTTTTATAATAGGTTTCCAATAAATATATGCTGTATTAGGAAAAATGACAAAATGTAAATTATTAATATCTTGCTATTGACTAAATACATGGAGTATAAAACTCATAGATTTAAAAAATCCTTCCATTTAGGATAGCATGGTAGAGTACAACATAAAACTCAGCACATTGGAATCAGGTTTAGGTTTAGGCTGGGCGCGGTGGCTCACGCACATAATCCTAGAGCTCTGGGAGGCAGAGTCCAGTGGATCACTTGAGGTCAGGAGTTCGAGACCAGACTGGCCAACATGGCAGAATTCCATCTCTACTAAAAATACAAAAAAATTAGTCAGGCATGGTGGCAGGTGCCTATAATCCTAGCTACTCAGGAGGCTTAGGCAAGAGAACCAGGAGGCAGAGATTCCAGTGAGCCGAGCTTGCGCCACTGCACTCCAACCTAGGCAACAGAGTGAGACTCCACCTCGAAAAAAAAAGAAAAATAAGAGAAAGGTTTAGGTTTAAATTCCAGCTTCAGTCTTTACTGACTGAGTAGCCTTAGGACAGAGGGAAATACAAACTTGAACTGGAACAGGAAGTGTCTGTTAGATCTGGTATGTAGTGTGGGTTTAGGAAAATGAATTAGGGAACTGCCCTGATCTACTCCAGAATCTTCTGCTGGCAATATAATGAGGCTTTTGTAAGGCCTTAGGAAAATGAACTAACCTCATCAATCTCAGGAGGATACAAAGCTTAGAGGTAATAGCAGAAGAAACTTTCTTAGTAGTTTGCCAAACTGCTCCCTTGACAGAGGTAGGAATGCCTTTAAGTGATCCTACTTTGAGCACTGTCACTCTCTAGGAGAAGTTCATGGCTTGTATTTTCTTCTCTTAATTTTTCTCTAAGGATCAAGAGCAGAGTACTCCATCCCAAAGAGAGGAAGCCATGTCAATTCAGCTGTTTCTCAATGGTTGAGGTCACTGCCTGGCTGTTGAAGGTCAAGGTGGATGTGGTCCTCTATTTTTCTTTAACTCTTTATCTTCTAGAAGCCTGGGGTGAAATAAGACTACTAGTAGCATTGGCTGTTATTCCACCTCAGACTTCTAAAGAAGAGAATGTGACTCATCTTCTCCTTTCCGTTATATTCAGGAGCTCCTTTCCTTCTTCCAGAAATTTAGATGAAGAAGAAAAATGTCTATATTTTCTCTAGACTTTAACCGAATTTTTTTCTAACTGAATTTTAGCATTTCTCTTAATTACAAATGTAGGCAACAAAGCACATGAATAGTAAAAGTTAACTGGGACTTTGTCACCAGTAGAAATTATAGATTTTTTATACTGCATTATAATCGTTTCAGATACCTCAAAATGGTGTATAAGGTAATGTTACTATTACCTTAATACCATTTGAATCTTGCCATGACTACTAACAGTTACTGTTATATACTTTATTTTCTTCACTTGTAAGAAGATAATTACTAAGTTGATTCAACACACCCACACACACACACACACACACATATATATATATGGTCCAGTAAAACTGACAATACACCAGGAAGGTACATTTGAGGTCTCACTTAAATGTAGACTACATGGTAGTTGAGAATGGGGCACATCTTCGTACAATGAGAATCCATATGACTGTCCATCTGGAGATATGGTTTAAATATGAACCCCAAGTCAATGGTAACAATAAAATGCAGGTTGAGCATCCCTAATTCAAAACGCAAAATCCAAAATGCTCCAAAATCTGAAATTTTTGAGCACCAACATGATATTCAAAGTTCATGTTCAAAGAAAATGCTCATTGGAGCATTTTGGATTTGGGATTTTCAGATTAGGGGTGTTCAACTGGTAAGTATAAATGCAAATATTCCAATATCCGAAAAAAATCTGAAATCGGAAAAACTCCAGTCCAAGCATTGTGGATTAGGGATTCTCAACCTGTATACTCTGAATTATAGGCATTGATTTGCAAATTACTTCTTACATTGGCTACTCCACATAGTATGCTCCAGAATCCATAGCAGCAGGGATTTGTTTATAACAATGTTAATGATTCTCTAGACTAGCATCCAGGAGGCCAACTGGAGACAGAGTGTATGTAAGACTGTCAGAAAAATAGCAAGTGCTCACTAACATTAGCATCTCTTCTTGTTTCCATTTAAATAATAATTTTCCCCTATCGTATGAAAACAAAATATGCTTTGGTTTTATCCCAATGCAATGCAAAATACATTAAAATACATTACGCTTCTCTATTGAAAACCTTTCCAACACATAATCTGTGTATTTTATCCGTGAACAAAATTCCTGTGTGCTGCTGATGAAAAGCAGATATTTGATGATACACAGACATAATTTACCACTAAGCATTTGTTTTATGAATCTTTTGTCTGCATGCTTTAATTATATTACATATTTAAATGATTTCAAATGCCAATGGCTCAGTATATTAGATTAGATAATCTCTATATGCATTGATAATGGAATGAGACTCTAGACTTATTTCACACCCCCAAAAAATTTTGTAAACCTCAAGGACATTTGACATAAGGATCTTAGCACAAGACAAGTCATGCCATTTAAACAAAATATCTGAAATAAAAGTGTAGTTATTTATTTCTGAATTATATATACCCAAACAATATGATTTCATTAAAAGTAAGGCATATGAATAATTGGTAAATTAGAGATGACTTTAAAGTTGGAAAGCTGTAATTATAAAATTGACTTCTTATTTTTTGGTTTGTTTCAAAGCTTTCTCTTTAATTAACAGGGTAAGAGGGCTCTTCTTTTAAAAGCTTGTATCATTCCACATATACTTGGAAGTTGAACAGAGAATGGTGCCAGAAGACCGCTGGATGTCTAATCTTAACATATTTGTGTTTAGGCACTTTTGACAGACCTTAGAGGTCATCAGTGATTGAGTGACTTAAATCTTTTTTTTTTTTTTTGCATAATCCAGATCTTATATCAGCATATGTGAAACAAAGGTATTGAAAAGAACAGAGCTAGCGCTGGCTAAGTATATCTATATAGGCCTTTGTATACTGTCCAGAGTTGTATTTCAGATGAAATACAAAAATGCATTTAAGATGAAAAATTCTATCAGGTTTTTTTTTTTTTGGTAGGAATTTACATTCTCTTAATTCTCATACTTAGCCTGGAGGAAGATTTCAATCTCACCACTTATTCTTAGTGCCATACATCATTTGTAAAACATTAAACCAATTAAAATATTCCAGGCACTCTTTGGTTCTGGAGATATAAAAAGGTCAATACAAAGTCCTTTGCAGAATTAACCAGTCTACCTATAGGGCAGTGATTAAGATCATGGCTTCATAAGAAGACTGCTAACCATGTGTGACTTTGAACTAGTGGATGAACCTCTCTCTGTGTCTTGGTTTCCTCATCTATAAAATGAGAATATTAATAGTCTCTACTTCATGGCATTATGGTGAAACACAAAATAATATGTAATATTATTATTACCAGCTTGATACAGGTAAGCTGTCATCTGTCAACAATCCTCCTCCTTATGCTCTTGTTCTACTGAATTACTTGAAATTCCACCAGCATTTCCTATTTGCTCTTTACTTCTACATGTTTATATATGCTGAACCCTAGTTGTGAAACACATAATCTCTTTATTTCCTGTGGCTCACCTAGTTTCTTCTTACTTATACTTTTAAAATTCTGTTTACATATCACTTTCATAAGGAAGCCACCCTGATCTCTCTTCACAGCAAGATCAGATGTATATCCATGCTGTGCTCACAGTACTGTTTTTATTTCTAGCAATGGACTTTACCTATCTGTATCTCATCAGATTATAAACTCTCTAAGGGCAAGGACAAGGTTGAATTCATGTTGTTATCCCCAATTTTAAATGCAGGACCAGGCATAATGGTACTTTTAACACCTGACTAAAAGGAATCAACAAATGATATAATCTTTTCTTTGGAATAATTGGTGAGCTAGTAGTTCATTAACAGTCTAAATATGTTTATTCTTAGGGTCATATATTATAACTGCCTATTAATTGGATGCTCACTGTACGTTGTAACAATGGAAAAGATTAAGAATATTTCATTTGTACGGTGGTCAGTACTCTCTAGTTTAATGATTTACATTTGAAAGTTATGAGGTCCTGAAAGTACTTTGGGCTTTACATACATCAAATAAATCTTTATTCAGGATATAGAGTTGCAATTTTAGAATAGATATTGATTCTGTCCTGGGAGCTCTGAGGAGCACGGGGAGGGTAAATAGGAATTTTCTTCTAGTAAGAAGACAAGAGATTAGATGCCTGAAGAAAACAAGAGAGCTAGACAGCCAGAGAGCTGGGGTAAAAATAATCCAGGCTGAAAGAACAGCATGTGCAAAAGATGTGGGGCAGAAGTCTGATCAGTGCTTTGAGGAAATATCAAGGAGCCTGGTGTCACTCAAAGAATGTAGCAGAGGGAGGAAACAATAAAGAGGTCAGGGTGTGTATGAGCAGATGAAGTAGAACTTTGGATTATAAGATCTTTGGCATTTATTCTGATTTGGGAAGCCATTGGTGGATTTTGAGTAAATATGATATAATCTGAATTATGCTCCAAAGATCACTCTATTGTGTTTGGAAGATACTATATGGAGAACAAAGGAAGGAGAAAAACTAGTTAGGAAAGAGGAAAAGAGGTAAGAGACGGCAGATGCTCTGGATAAGGTTAGACCTGCGCCATTAGATAAAATAAGTCAAGGCAACATGATTAGGTCAGATAAATCAAGCAAATAATATTAAGGGGAAAATCTGGAATCTGTCACTATTTTTGTTTTATTACCTTTACCTAATATTGAGTGAGATTATGGATAAGAATGATATATGACTTCTACTTTTATTCAGTATGACTGTATATAAGTAAATTACTACAGAGTTTTAAAAGATACTTTTTAAAGTAAGAAAAATAAACAGGGAAGAAATTATTTTCTAAACAAATTTTTTTAATCACAAAAGGAATTGTAGGCACAGATATGCTGTTCTGCTATTATTTAATATATATGACAATATCATCAGCTAAACTGCAAAGTTTCTCATCACTGAACAGGACTTACCACAGGATGCAATCATTTTGGATTTACTTCTGACAAATATAATCTCCCAGTGTCCAACTTAAGCTCTTAAAAACATTTTCTTCAGATTTAACATATACACTTAATCCTAAATCATGGTAAAAATCTATCTTCTAAAATAGACAAACTTTATAAATTGATTTGGTTCGGTTTGAGTTTACAGATATTTAACAAGAGCCTATTTATATAAATTAAGGTGTTACACGCTAAACACGATATTATAGCCTATGACTGCATGGAGCTTATGCTCTTCTAGGGTGCGACTAAGGCAACATTATAAGAAAAAGCGAAATGTAGTTGTGTTCTAAGAGTCTGCAGAATATGATCATGTTGGTATTTGCTTCTACACTAAAAAAATAAAGAATAAACAAAGAAAAAGTTTTGCTTATTTTCACTCCTAGGAATCACAGTTAACTTCCTACGTATGCACTCAAAAGCAATGCCTACCAGTCAGTCACAGTTTCATCAGAGATTTTAGTCAGGATACCTACTGTGGGATGGGACCTCGGCTGAAAAGCAGCAAAGGGCCAGTCACCTAATTCTCAAACATTGATAAAATTAGAAATAGAGGCGTACACATATTAATGTATAGCAAAAGCAATCACTAGAATAACCCCAAATAATATAACACTGAAACATTGAAGAGAGGGATTGTGTCTGTTACATCATCTTTTGTATCAGGGAATAATAAGATATTATTATCTAGAATTGGTAAATAAAGAAACAGATCTTCCTATGTTATATGGAGTTTTGGGAGGGGCCATCATAGCAATCAGAACTAGAAATCAGAATCTTCAGCTTCTGACCAATAAGAGGATAGAGAGGGATAAGGCAGATGACCATTGCTTTAAATATGAGCTACTTTTTTATTATTTTCTTAGTTATCATATGCATATCTCAGATAAAAATAAAAAAATTATCTTAAAAAAATAAAAAATAATTTGTTTTTACGAACAATGAACCCTCTGGCTTATTACACATACTTTAAATACTAAATTTGACTTTTAAGTATTAAGTTAGGCCAGGTGTGGTGGCTCATGCCTGTAATCCCAGCATTGTGGGAGGCCAAGGCGGGAGGATCACTTGAGGCCAGTAGTTCGAGACCAGCCTGGGTAACATAGTGAGACACTGTCTCTGCAAAAAAAATAAAAATAAAAAATTAGCTGGGTGTAGTGGCACATGCCTGTAGTCCCAGATACCTGAGAGGCTGAGGTGGGAGAACTGCTTGAACCTGGGAAGTACAGACTGCAGTAAGCCACAATTGCACCACTATACTCCAGCATGGGTGACAGAGTGAGACCCTGTCTGAAAAAATAAAAAAGATATTAAGTTATTACATCTGAAAGTCAGCCAGTCCTGTGTATAAGTGCTGAAGAAAAATAATTTGATATGTGACATTGATTAAGAAACAAAAATATATCAAATTCTCCTTATTGTGTGACAGTGACAGCCACAGACCAATGTTTAAAATAAGTTATTTAATATGATTTTCTCAACAACCTTGCAAATTACACAATATCTTATGATTAGATATACTAAATAAATTGAAAAGTCACGCAGAAACTCAGACTTTTTTAAAAAATTCATTGTTTAGTATTAAAGATATCTAGCTCTAAAACAGGATTTTTTGTTTTACTATACTAGAAATTATTGGTTGCAATCATAAACTTATCTTGAACTTCTTTTCTATTAGCTTAAAGAATTCACTGAATAAATTTTATTCGATTTCCATAATATCATGTCCATTTTGATTAAAAGTCTAATGATACTTAACTGATGGTAACAATTATCTCTTAGGGAAATTTTTAAATACTCAACACCTGTTTTTCAGGAGTGAATGAATGTGTGTATTCACATCATAATATAGATAAATTATTTTTAATTAATATTAAAATGACAGAAGTATACTAGTTAACCAAAACATAACACCTGATGCAAGATGTGATGCATGTTTATCAGCACTTTGCTTCTCTTGGAACTCTGCGTTGGAAATCACAACTCCCATATATTTATATTCCAACTTTTGTCAGAAACTTTACTAGATTCTCTATATGTGTTGTGTTTACTAATTGAATCTTCACAATAACTTACTGAATTAATAACTATTAATCTAGTTTTAGAGATTTAAAAGTCAAGACTCAGCTTGCCTTAGGTCACAGGTGTCAGAAGACATCTATTTGAATTCAGGTCTGCTGTATGCTCTAAATTGTCTGTAGATATGAACTATTCAACCAACATTAAGTATACTTAATTGGGCCATAAGTGATCCTATAAAATGGTTTTGGCTCAAAAGGATTTTTAAAAAAATATTATGGCACATTTCATGTTGAAACTGACATTTCTATGACCTATTGGAAAGGAGTATGATTATATTAGGTGGGCATATTCTTAGTGAAAGCATACTTTAGTCTAGTGTTCCTGACTTTTTCACCTGTCATTGAAAGCCATCTACTTAATCATTTATCCCTGCGATTAACATCTATCTTAATAATCTATAGTTTTTTGTGTCCTTTGATATTTCTGCATCATGACTTTTAGTTATTTTGAATCTGGCTCCTGGAAATTTTTCAGAAATTTTCTATAGTTTCCAAATGATCATTGACAGTAAAATTTGAAAAGTTATTTTCTATGTTTAATATTTTTTTCTAGCTAAATTAGATTTTTCTAATTCTAAATTACATAATACTAATTTATATGGTTCTAAATTCTAATATGATACAGTGACCCTTTCTCCTAAATTTCCTATAAACTTCCATGCCATCAATCACTTTTTCTCTCTTTGGAACAATTAATCCCAAAGTAGTTATTACTCTATTTATTCCTTTTGCCTTCTGATAGATGAACCATAAATGCAAGTCAAAAATTAACCAGCTGTTCTGGTAATGATGGACCAATCAGAAGATGTCTACCATTTCTTTGTTTCTTATAACAATATTTTGAAGTAAAAAATGTTAATCATCTCTATTTCATAGATGAGACAAAATAAATCCAGAGAAGGGTAAGTCAGAAATTGGGCACATGTAATTCTTATAAGTGAATACATTCTACAACTAGGAAAAATTACTATGTGTATTAGATATCAAAAATTGTCATTTATTTTCACTGAAATTAATAGTAAAAAATGCAATTTATATCATAGACCAATTCAAACACTTGAATGCATGCAGGTAAATATATACACAGAGGTATATTTATTGTATTTTATTTATTTCTTTATATATAACAGAGAAAAGTTCCAAAAGTAATATGTACTCTCGGCCGGGTGCAGTGGCTCACTCCTGTAATCCCAGCACTTTAGAAAGTGGAGGTGGATGGATTTCTTGAGGCCAGGAGTTTGAGACCAGCCTGAGCAACATTGCAAAAACTCTACTAAAAATACAAAAATTATCTGGGTGTGGTGGTGTGCACCTGTAATCCCAGTCATTAGGGAGTCTGAGGCAGGAGAATCACTTGATTGCGGGAGGTGGAGTTGCAGTGAGCCCGGATCACGCCACTGCACTCCAGCCTGAGCAGCAGAGCCAGACTCCACCTCAAAAACAAAGAAAAAAAGTACTCTCTCTATGTTCCTTAAAGTATACTTTTTTCCTATTATTTTATTAACTTTTAATTTAATTTTATTTGATTAACTTCTATGTCTATTATAAAAATGCTGGTCACAACCCAATGAATTGATTTTATGATTCACTGTTGGTGACCTATAGCTGGGGAAATCTGTCCTAGATGATATCACTTCTGTGTTAATTTTTGTACAATGCACTAGGATCATTCAATGGATTAGGGAGTCTCTAGTAACCCTAAGCAATGATATCACTGTTTCTCTGTTTTTCCTTTCTTATATAGAGAGAGTTATATACAAGTATATGATTTTTAAATATGCAGTATTATATCTCCTTCTAGACAACCTAATTCCTAGAAGAAATACATATTCTTCTTTATCCTTATTACAGATAAAGATTTATCACCAGTTCTTAATAATATTTAAATTATTAAATTTATCTACTTGTGTTGAAATGTTAGTTTCAGTGTGTTTGTTCCTCATGTACTCAGCCAATATTTTCTGAGCACCTAACGTTTTCAGGTGCAAGTCCTGAAGGCACACAAATTAGCATAACAGGCAGTAACCCAGTTCTCAGAAAGTTTGCCTATTATAGTACACATATTGCTTTAGAGACACCTGGGAATATAAGCACTTTTCCAAAACCAGGTCTTTATTGAATTCAACTTTAAAATGTTTGATAAAATCTCTGCATTGCTAGTACGACACTTGTAGATTGTATGTGGAATAGTTGATGTTCTGAAACACAGAAATGTCTTTAAATATTTTTTGATTTTTTCTAATCATGAAAATTCAGCCAAAAAATATGTTCCTTACCATGACAACTTGGCAAGGCTCTATTCCATCCAGGTCTTCCATCATCTCCCATGATACAGGTGAGTGTTGAATAACCTTGAAGAACATAACCAGCATCACAGTAATAGGTGACTGTTGACCCTAATTTATAATCCATTCCAAGTCTGGTGCCATTCATTATATTGCCTGGATCAAAGCAGGACTCTCGCAGTTTTGCTGTAAAACAGTGTTAGTATAACATTAATTGCTTTAAAATACAGTTGGCACTCCGTAATACATGGGTTCTGCATCTGTGGATTCAGCCAACTGCAGATTGAAAATATTTGGAAAAAACTGTATCTGTACTGAATATATACAGACTTTTTTTGTCATTACTCCCTAAATAACATAGTATAACAACCGTTTACCTAGCATTTACATCATATCCTGTATTATTAGTAATCTAGAATGATTTAATGTATGTGGGAGGATGTATATAAGTTATATATTCACATCTGTGAATGTTAGTATCAGAAGGTTTGGAACCAGTTACCCAGGGATACCAAGGGACAGCTGACTGTTTTTTATGGACCTTTAAGACATGTTCATTTCTTTTTCTAACCCAGAAGGAAAAGCAGCAGCATCATTTCTGTCTTTTTGGGGGGGCTCAAAGTACAAAGGAGCCCTTGTGCATATCTGACAAATTGCTAATGCATATTTATTAGTAAGATAATAAATAAATTCTAAAGATCTTCATAGATCTTCTCATTAAATTTAGTATCCAATGCATATAGTCAAACATAGGGTTTTAGAATTTATTATAAATATTATGTGCTAATAATCCATGTGTAGGTACTATAAATGAATTACTTTGGAAAAAAAGAAGGAGCCCTTATAAAACGTCTTTATTTAAAAGATCTCCCCACAAGTAATGCCATGTTACTGAACCTAGAAGTGGTTTTTCTTCCTATGTTGAGCTCAGTTCATTTCACCACCTACAGCAAAATAAAAGGCCCTATTTGTCTGCCCTGCAACCATTTTTCTTACCCTATTTTCTCCAGTCATTCTCCACATTTTTATCATAGGTCTCCCATTGTAAAATAGCAAAATCCAAACCACAGTATTTTTTGACAGATTTTCTATCCCTATGCAAAACACTTTCAAAACTAGAGGTAACAGACAGATTAAAAAATAAAATCCTTTCAGAGCAGAGGAATTGTTTTCATTGTACCCAGATATTGAACAAAGAGACTGACAGAATAATTTGAAAATATGTAGAGAAATGGAAAGATTAGCTCATTCATTTTATGGCAAAGGTACTAGAACACTTTGTTGTTAACAGATCTGGATGAGGCCTTGAGATTATTTCCATTTTGTAATTATTGATTACTTAAGAAATAATAAAGAAATGTACAACGTAAAGGCCATTACAATAAATCAGGATAACAAATGTAGTGATTTTCTACATCAGAATTTGTTTTGTGCTAATAAGAAATCAGACAGTGGGTATATCTCTGAATATGAGTCATGGAATCTTTGAAATGTAAGTCAACGATATCTTGGTGTTTGGCTACTACAAACATATTTTTATATCAAAATATAATTAACTATACCAGTAAGAATATGTTTCTTTCATTCATAAAAGTTTGCAAGGAGTTTAATGTACTTTAGCATTTTTAAGAAATAATGAGAAATCTGTGCTTTAAGAAGAACACTATATATAATTTCTCCCAATTCAACTAAAGAGGAAGTGGTAGAACCACACATTTAAATAATTTTAATAGAATAACAGATAAATGAGGAAGGTTGCCTCCCTTCTTTCCTTCCTTCCTTCCTCTCTCTCTCACTTTCTTTCTTTCTTTTACTCTCTCCTTTCTTTCTTCCTTTCTTTTGTTCTTTCGTTCTTTCTTTCTACAAATACTTAAAGGCTCACGACCCTACTATTTTCTTTTTCTTTTCTTTTCTTTTCTTTCTTTCTCTCTTTCTTTCTTTGTTTTCTTTTGTTTCTTTCTCTCCTTTCTCTTTCTTTTCTTTTGTTTCTTTCTCTCCTTTCTTTCTTTCTTTCTTTCTTTCTTTCTTTCTTTCTTTCTTTCTTTCTTTCTTTCTTTCTTTCTTTCTTTCTTTCTTTTCTTTCTTTCTCTCTACAAGTACTTAAAGGCTCACTACCCTGCTAACTCTGGAAATGTAGCAGTGGACAATCAGAAAATGTTCTGGCACTCACGGAAATTACAGTCTCTTAAAGAAAGCAATTATATTAAATAAAGACTTGCGATTTTGGCATGCTGTATAAAGAGAAGCATTCAGGAACCTCACTAAAAAGTGGTATCTAAAGTGAGCATTGAGAGAATAAGGAACAGATTAGGTAAAAAGGCGATGGGAAACCTGTTGGGGAGGAGGTGTGCTGACATGTGCAAATAGATAAATGTGATTCCTGGGTTTCAAACCAGAGCTAAATGACTTGATCTTCTCCCAAGCACACATATACACACACACATGGATACACTTACACAAAATTTGCACTCCATATATTATACTCAAGCTGCTCTGTAAAAATTTTGTCCCAAACCATGGAATATATTTCTTTCACATAAAATATTCACACAACTCTTTTTATGAAAGAACCAGCAGGGTAACTACTTAATTTGGTCACTAAGAATGGGCATTTAGTGATGCAAGGGTTGATTTGTTTATTTATAAAAAATAAAACTTTACATTGTACCTTCCCTTAAACAAGCAGGAAAACGCAATGTAATTTTTAGACAGAACAGAAACCTGGCATTTATAGCTGGGCTTCGTAAAATTAAACTAAGTCCCTGGAGGGTAGAGGAAGGATTTAAATTTCTGTTTAAAAGGATTAATCTCGTTGACAAGTCTATTCTCCTAATATTCATCTTTTGAAAAGTTTGCTTTCTCCTTCTTTGAAGTTTTCCTCAATGTTTCAATATAATGTCAGTGAAACTGTAATGCAAGCATCCGGTTTTTTGAGGAAAGGGACACATGTTTGACAAATTTAAAAATAATGCCTCTGCAACAATTTTACATTGCTAGCCTCAATTTGAGAGAATGCCCTTATGTTATTATTATGTTTACATACTGCTTTAAATCCTTGGTGAATAGTTTTCTATGAATAATACTGTCTTTATTTATATCCACATATGCCATAGCAATTACACCTGGAAATTTTGAAAACACCTGGAGAATACTTAAAAAAATGTCTAGGCAGTAGCTGGAAAGTGATTTTAGTTTCTGAATAAAAATTATGAGGCAGACAAGTTATCAGCATTATTTTTATGCATAATTAATTTTTTCTGCTTAATAGTGATTTGCCTACTGAACAGATACTAGGTAAAAGAGTATTTTGCCTCCTTACAGTCTCCAAATAAGATATATCAGAAGATATATTTTAGATCGCTGCATCTAAAATATTTTAGTTTTCTTTTAAAATTATTTCTGCTGAATATAAATAGATGTATATGTATATATATATATTTATACTATATATGTTTTATTAGAGCTAGAAGTGAACATACACAATAAAGCTTACGTCTTAATTTTTTTTGTAGCCCAGGCTGGAGTGTAGTGGTGCGATCTCGGCTCACTGCAAGCTCCGCCTCTCCGGTTCACACCGTTCTCCTGCCTCAGCCTCCCGAGTAGCTGGGACTACAGGAGCCCGCCACCACGCCCGGCCAATTTTTTGTATTTTTAGTAGAGACGGGGTGTCACCAGGTTAGCCAGGATGGTCTTGATCTCCTGACCTCATGATCCACCCGCCTCGGCCTCCCAAAGTGCTGGAAATATAGGCGTGAGCTACCACGTCCAGCCACGTCTTAATTTTTAATTAAAGGCAATAACAAATACTGGTGAGAATGAGGAGAAAAGACAAACCTCATATACAGTTGAGGGGGATGTAAATTAGTACAGCCACTATGGAGAACAGTATCAACAGTGTAGAGGTTCCTCAAAAAACTAAATATAGAACTACCATATGATCCAGCAATCCCACTGCTAGTATATATCCAAAAGAAAGAAATCAGTATATCGAAGAGATATCTGCACTCTCACATTTATTGTAGTACTATTCAGAATAGTCAAGATTTGGAAGCAACCTAAAGTGTCCACAACAGACAAATGCATAAAAAAAAGTGGCACATATATACAATGAAGTACTATTCAGCCATAAAAAAGAATGAAATATTTGCAACAACATGGATGGAACTGGAGGACCTAAGTAAAATAAGTCAGGCACAGAAAGACAAATTTTGCATTTTCTTACTTATTTGTGGGAGCTAAAAATTAAAAGCAATTGAACTCATGGAGTTAGAGGGTAGAAGGATGGTTACCAGAGGCTGGGAAGGGTAGTAGAGGTGTTGGGGGGAAAGTGGGGATAGTTAATTGGTACAAAAAAATAATTAAAAAGAATGAATAAGATCCAGTATTTGATAGCACAACAGGGCAACTATAGTCAATAATAATTTAATTGTACATTTAAAAATAACTAAAAGAGTATAGTTTGATTGTTTGTAACACAAAGGATAAATGCTTGATATTATGGAAACCCCGTTTACCCTCGTGTCAGTTATTACACATTGTATACCTGTATCAAAATATCTCACATACTCCCTAAATGTATATACCTACTATGTACCCACAAAAATTAAAAATAACAAAGGAAAACTTTTCGTGTTTTTACTTATTTGTGGGAGATAAAAATTGAAACAATTGAACTTGTAGAGATAGAGAGTAGAATGATGCTTACCAGAGGCTGGGAAGAGTAAGGGGTGGGAAGTGGGGACAGTTAATGGTATGAAAACAAAGTTAGATAGAATGAATAGGGATCTAGTCTTTGATAGCATAACAGGGTGACTACAGTTAACAATAATTTACTGTATCTTTAAAAGTAACTAAAAGCGTATAATTGGAATGTTTGTAACATAAATAAATGATAAATGCTTGATGTGATGGATACCCCATTTACCCTGATAATGATTATGACACATTGTGCACCTGTATCAAAATATCTCATGTACTCCATAAATATATATATATATATATATATACCTACTATGAACCTGTAAAAATTAAAAATTTTAAAAAGGAAAAAGACCACTAATAACTTTACTTTTTAAGTGCTATAGAAACCAACATGCTTAAGTCAACATTTGTGATATATGTTACAAAAGACAAAGAAAAATATTTTTACTATCTAGGGCCTCAATTTATATGTCCATTCATTTGGGTGTGCATATTTTTATATTGAAAATAATGAGATGTTTGTTTTACAATGATCATTATAAACATCATTACAAGCATTGTTAGCCTTAAGAAACTGGACAATTACAGAGGAAACATTTACCAAAATAAGAATAGGAAATAAGGAAGCTGATAAGACAGACCCTGAAGACCCTGAAGTGGGCAATGAAATTTTCCCATAAACAGCGGGGGTTTGAGGACCAGGTAGAAAATTAATGAGATTGGATCTCGAGAACATTATTGTAAAGAAATATCATCTGGAGTATAAAAATAAGACCTGGTGGAATTGTGTCTAAATGTGTACTGGTATAATAGGTGAAGACAGTGGGTGGGGAAGAAGGATGTAGTTAATGGGATAATTATGTATTTCTCTCTACCTATACTTATATTTTTCTTTGCCTTTATTCTCAATGTAATAATAACTTATGTAGTCTTGTGTAAATCATTTTAACAATTCGATTTTCAATTTTTTGCTTTGTAAAATGGGGATAGCAATACTTACAATGCTGTTCTGTAATGTTTTTATTGCATTTATACATGCATTATCTCTGTCCTTCCCATACCTACTCATGAGGTCTAATCATTGAATCTAGAGTAGAGTAAGTGCATAGTAAACAACATCTCTTTTTAAAAAATTACATTTGTAGTTCTTTATCTATGACAGCATGAATCTTAAGTTTTTGGAAATGATGAAAACATTGAAATTGATTAAGCTGGGGAAATAGGGAGGGACATATATTCAGCTGAGATAATGGCAAATAGGTTTTATCTCAATTGCTTAACTACTAGGCTTTAGTAAGGGCTACATGGTGTGTTACCTAGAGAAAGCATTATAAGGTCCTGACCAGTTTCCATGAGAAATAAAGCCATAATCAGTTAGTACCATCTACCATTGGATTGCTAGTGAGATACTCTTGCTGCAACTTTTATCGTAGTGATATTTGGAAATGTTTTATTAATACTAATTTACAGTAGAACCTCACTTTATCTCTACAGATTTGTTAAAAGGTTTCTTTCTTTCTTTCTTCTTTCTTTCTTTTCTTTCTTTTTTAAACAGGTCATATGTATAAGCCTTTCAGCTTGCAGGTATAAGTAGCTATTTCTAAGCCAAGTTCTCATGTATAAAATTTAGAACAGGAATCAGCTCCAAGGTTTCTCACATTTAAAGAATGTTATTATTCTAATATTTGAATTATGACTTGATTTTAAAACAGAAAACACCTCTTTACGATGCTCAAAAGCAATCAAGTAGCAAACTGAATAATTACTGTGTGTAGGCACTATTCTTGGCACTTAGTGTATAGTGGTGAATGAACAGATAAAGGCTTTCCTCTTAAGAAACTTGTATTTTAGAATATGTGTAGGGGGCTACTGGAGTGAGGGGGATGCACATGGTAAGTAAACTTAAAAATAAATAAGCAAGGAAGTATCAGATATTGACATTATTAGGTAGCAAGTGGAAGATTTTGAAATTAGGAATACAGAAAAAGCAAAACAAATATGAAGCAAAAAATAAAAGAAAAAGGCTAATAAGTATAAATATACTAAATCCAAGGTATCAAAAAACCAGAAAAAAATGCAACTTATATGCACCTGAAAGCAGGCTTTCATAATATATAAACAAAGTGGTAAAGATTTTAAGAAAAATGGCAAATTAAGAATAGTAGATTTTACCCAACTATTTCAATAATTGCTAGACCGAGCAGGTCAAAAAATGGTGAGAAGATGAATATTTAACAATATAATTAGGGAGTTTATTGGATGTATATAAAAACTTGCACTCATTAGATGATACAAATTTCTCTCCTAGTACACAAGGAACATAAATATTAACGATATAATAGACCACAAAACAAATCCTATGACAAGCCAAAGAACCAGAATCATACATATCTGATCATGCAAGTAAATTAGAAATTTATAATATAATAAGTTATAGATTTAAATTTTATTTTGATAGTTTGAAATACTTTTAAGTAGCACTTCAGCAAAGAAAAATCATAATGCTATACTTAGAACCAATTTAGAATAAAATTATGATAAATCTGTACATATCAAAATGTTTGCATAGCAGCTTAAGAGGTTCTTAAATGAAAATGTGTAGATCCAAGAGAAAAAATGCGAATTAATAAGCAGTATTGGCCAGGCGTGGTGGCTTACGCCTGTAATCCCAGCTCTTGAGGAGGGCCGGATCATGAGGTCAGGAGTTTGAGACCAGCCTGGTCAACATGGTGAAACCCCGTCTCTACTAAAGATACAAAAATTAGCCAGGCATGGTGGCTCATGCCTGTAATCCCAACTACTCAGGGGGCTGAGGGACGAGAATTGCTTGAATCCGGGATGCAAAGGTTGCGGTGAACCGGGATCGCACCACTGCACCCCAGTCTGGGCAACACAGCGATACTCTGTCTCCAAAAAAAAACAAAAGCAGTATTTATCTCAAGAAATGAGAAAAAGGATAAGCAAATCTAGAGAAAATAAAACAGAGGAAATAACATAGATAAAAGCAATACTAATAAAAATATTAAACAGTGTTAACAAAAATATGCAGCAGCAAATAAAGTAAGAAACACTGTGAATATTTTCATGTCAATATGTGTGAAATCATGAATGAAAGGAACTAGTTTTTAGAAAAAGATTTTTTAAAATCTAAGATAAAAAAGCTAATCTAAATATATTTACAACCATTAAAATTCCACCACCTTAAATCACTGGGTCCATAGTTTCAGTTCTAGAAAACATTCAAGAAATAGATGATCCTATCTTATACAAACTATTCTCGATACTAGAAAATTAAGAATGCTCCTAAATTTAGGCAGGTAGTGTAATCTTGATATCAAAACCAGACAAAAAGAGTACAAGGACTAAAAATTATAGCCCAATCAGATGGTACTAAATCAATGATAATGATACAGGAGTTAATAAGAAATCACTTAGGCAGATAGTAAGGTTTTCCTTTTAATGAAAAGGAGCCATCATATCACTTTCTTTTCTAACAAAGAGCAGCCTGCAAAATGGAGCTGCAGACATAGCCAAGCAAGCCAGAAGCTTGCACAGGTGAATGCCCACAGTTGTGCCCATAGGAAAAGGCTACCTGGGACTAGGCATGTCCAAAATGGGGGCTTCATCTGCCCTTCTGTTTGCCAAACCATGAGTACAGTAAGGAGAAGACAATATAGCCCCTGCCAGGCAAAGCCTCCTTTTGCATAAGATTAGGGTGGGGTGACCAGCCTTCCCCGCACACTATGTAAATGTCATACCTGGTCAAACCAGTCTGTGGGCCCTATGTAACTCAGACACCGCTTCCTCAAGCCTGCCTATAAAATCTGACGCAGTCAACAGTGGGCTGGCTTTCCCCTTTTGGATGCCCCTCTCTTACGAAACAGAGAGAGCTGTCCTCCTTTGTCTTTTTTTTTTGCCTGTTAAACCTCTGCCCCTAAACTCACTCTTCATGTTTGTCCCTGTCCTTAATCTTCTTGGCGCCAAATGACAAACCCTGGGCATTTACCTCAGACAACATAGATATATTTTTGTAATATAGAGTAATAATTCAGTGGCAATATACACCATAGTTAAAACTCGGGACCATAGTTAAAACAATTAATAATAATTGAATGAACTCGGGAGGCGGAGGTTGCAGTGAGCTGAGATCACCGCTGCACTCCGGCCTGAGTGACAGAGCAAGATTCCATCTCAAGGAAAAAAAAAAAAAAAGAAAGAAAATCTCAGTATGCAAAATAGGAAAAAGATGCTCAACTTAATAGTAATAAGGGAAAAGGCAATAAAAATGACAATGAGATATCATTTAATACAATTAGCAACTTCCAAGTTTAACAAAAGCACTGGTTTTTAAAAACTGGAATTTCTGAAGCTCTCATCCTCTGATTTTTGAGTTTACATTGGTACAGCCTCTTTAGAGAATAATTCGGCAATACAGAGTTACATTGAAGAGGTTCATACCCTTTGACCCAGTAATCCCACTCTTTGGTATACAGATGTCCTAAAAAGAATCTCACAGATATGTTCATGAGGACATGTAAAAGAATGTTCATTTCATCGTCATTCATTTCTGGTAGTAATAAACCAGAACAACCTAAATGTCTATCAGCAGAAAAATTTATATATTAACTTTGATATAGCCATATGGTGGAGTATCATAAAGGACTTAATAAATTAAAGCTATATGTTTCTAATTTTGATAAATCTCAAAAACAATTTAAGGGGCCAAATCAATTTTCAGAAGGATACATACATAATAAAAATACAAAATTTGTATGAAAATAAGAAATATAAAAATATGTGCAAGCATAAATACATGGAAAAGATAAGTATCAACTTCAGGATTAGGGGAATACTAGCATGAAAAGAGCAGGAATATCTGAAAAATGACCTTGAATGCTCATTATGGTTTGCCTACATGGCCAGCTAGCCAGGTCCCCACAAATGGTAAGGGAATTATCTACCAGGTGGTTAGAGTGGTGTTGTGGTCAAGCTCACTCTCTCTAAAAGAGTTTCGAACCCATATTCCCAAGGTCTAAACTTCCCCCAAGCATCTTCTGATACAGAGCAGGTAGCATTTGCAGAAAACCCCAATAAACAGCCAACACCCCAAACCTCACTGTCTGTGCCAAATGGCCAGTATATTTTCCTACTAACAAGGCCATTTTCCTGCTTTTTCTTGTGAAATGAGAGACTTACGGAGGGATCAAGCTTTCCACTGGAATGAAAACTATACTGTTAATGTCCAGCAGATACCCTTGCCCTGGCATACAGTTCCAAGTGATGACAGAGATATCGGAGGACTCCAAGCCTCTGTTTCTTACTGACTTGTGAGTTTCATTTCCCTAAAAACATCTTTCTTACCCATATCATGTGTTGTGAAATTTATCGTGACCTCTTACGATAGCCCTGAAGAGACTAACCCCTGTTCCTATGGCAAATGCAAAAGGAGTTTCCATTGTATATGTAATATTTGATTTTTTAAAGTAAGAATAAAGAGATCTGAAGCAAATATAGCACAGTGTTAATTTTTGTCAAGTTGGCTGATGGATGCTTTGGAGTTCATTACTCTATATAATTTTCCATTATTGAAAATATTAAACAAAAGGTGGTAACAAATCAAAGCATGTGTTTTCAGAAATCAGTTGATAACTTGAGGTGAATTATTAGTATGCCATTCATGGACTCAGTAATTGAAAAATAAATTTAAATTTTACACAACCTAAATCTAAATCTGTTCCTATAGACATAAACTATAAAATTTTAGAAAAATATATTTATAAATATCCACAGGCATTCTAACATAATTCATTTAAACACTAGCAGAAGTATTCTAAAACATTATAACTATATTTCTTCTCTTTATTATGAATATTGACATATTTAAATATCTGTAGACATTTTCTTAGAGACACGGTCTTGCTCTCCCAGGCTGGCCTGCAGTGGCATGATCATATCTCACTGCAGCCTTCATCTCCTGGGCTCAAGTGATCCTCCTGCCTCAGCTTCTTGAGTAGCTGGGACTACAGACGTATGACACCCCTCTTGACTAATTAAAACAAAACAATGTAGAAATCTGCTCTCACTATGTTTCTTAGGCTGGTCTCAAATTTCTGGGCTCAAGTAATCCTCCTGCCTTGGCCTCCCAAAGTGCTAGGATTACAGGCATGACTGATGGCACCCAGCTTACATATTTTCTGAAATACAGTTATCGTCTACGTTGTTCCCTTTATCACTGAAAGTGTTCATCAAATTAAGGTATTTGACTGAAACTTCAGCTTCTACAAAATGAGGCTTTTTTTGTATTTTTTATTTTTTAATGTTGTGTGGCTCCAGCCAACTCCTCCAATATACTAATTGTTAATTTGTTTGCCTGATACCTTTCCTTTGGTAGTAATTAGAGAAATGCTAATTTCCTTCCCACTAATAAGAAAATTCTACAGTGAGAACGCTTTTATGAGATGAACTGTACATAATCTGCATTTAAAAATACACATAAAACTAACCACTAACAATGGGCCATACCAAATTATTCTCCTGTATAAAATATCTATAATTTAAATCATGATACTAACATGGAATGTTCATATTTACCTTTGTATTCTAGATGAAATCCAGTGTAACTAACAGATCCATCACTCCGAAAAGCCAAATGCATTGTATTTGAGCTGCTTTCTATTCTCTCTGGTAACTTGCTGTCTTGAAAACTTCCAATCAGTGGGCTATTACTGTCTGGTCCATCATAGATATAGAGGAAGTCATAGTTTGGTTCTATGCTAAAACTGAAAAAAAAAAGGAAAGAACAAAAGAAAGAAAGAGAAGTAGGATAATTATTATTAGGCTGTTAACCATAATAGTTATATAATCAAACATTAATTCAGTGCTTAAAAATAATAAAAGACGCTGTCAAAATAAGCTAATATAAAAAATCACCTGGCAACAACATATTTAATATAAATATCAAATAAGCAGGGGAAAAAGAAAAAAACTTGATATTTTTACATATTTTTTAAGTTGACATTGTATGCAGAGGAAATATAAGTGATTGTAAGACAAAGAGTTTAGTTGATGAAAAGATACAGGATTTGGAGTCAGAGAATGCAAGTTCAAGCCTTGTTTCTGCCCTTATTAGTGACATATTCTTATGCAAGTTACTTTATGTGGAGGATAATATGTATTTTTAAAACTTTTTCATCCATATATTTTGCATCATGAAAACACAAACTACTTTTTTCTTCATCAATAGTACTCCTAAAAATTTAACTCTACAATCAGATATGGACAAAAGCTGAAATCAAAAGTTGAAATATATTATTTACATTTAAATAACTCAAATGAAGCTTTGCACATTGTATTAGGCATTCTTTTTCCTGAAAGTAAATATATTTTCTTCTTTTAAAACCTAATGTAGGAGATATCAAACCAATACATTATCAGAATTAGGTAATGTGAAAAAGGATATTTTAGCATGTAAATGATTCAAATCAGTTGTGTTAATATTGCAAGATTTGCATAATAAACTTGCCTTAACAACCTTCAAAAGTATAACAATTGTCCCACAATGATCATGGAACTCATACATTTAGAAGACAGGGGACATGCAATCAATTTCTGTTTTTCCTAACTCATACTGTGGTAGAGAAATATGGGGTAAAGGATAGATTCATTTAGGTCAGCAAGAAAAGTCAACCAGTTTATGATATAAAATGAAACCAGTAAAACTTGCCATTGTTAAACATTCATCAGTAGAAAAACTATTTTGGCAAGTTTTATCATATTTGCCTGCATCTAAGCAATAGATTTGTTACGTGAAAGGCATTATTTCCGAACCCAAAGAATTTATAGAAGTTAACGTTCCACAATCTCATCCTTTACATATGCATGTACAAGAAAGAAGAGTCCAGCTGCTCAGTTTACTTGTGCATAAGCAGTGGTAAAGAAAGAATGGGATAGTGCAGAGGTTCCCAGACTTTTCTTATATATGGGCCCCTCTAACGTGAGAAAATTGGGAGACCATCACACTATTATATTTTGTTTTAATTTATTCAGTAGCTTCAACACTTAGTTCAATTAACTTATCCTGAAATTTTTCAGTGGATCTGAGGCCTGTATTTGGTAACTGTTGGTATAATAATATAGCAGAAGTCAGAAGATTAAACTTTATTTCATTACTTATTACCCTTGTTCTGAGATAAAACACAACTTCTGAATTTCATCTCTTCCAACATTAAACTTTGATGGTAATTACAACTTCCTTTTCTATATCTGTTGGGAGAATCACTAGAAACAAGAGCTTTGTAAATGACACAGTAGTATTTATTATGCACGGAAGGCTGAAAGCTTATTTAACAATGGAACACAGTACATTTCTTTTTAATTTATAGTTTGGGACTAAATCAATACTTCAAGTATTGTAACTTCTTTGAAAATGAAATTAAAACAAAAATATTCCTTCTAAGGAAATTTTAGAGTCTTAGTTATTACGTTTTTTTTCTGAAAAACTGAAAAAACAGTGCATGCTAATATTACCTTATGTTTTACAAGGTACTTTAATAAATATTAACTCATCTTGCCAATAGTCCTGTTGTATAAGGAAGAGATTATGCTTTTCATTTTACCAATGTGTATGTTAAGGCTCTTTAAAATCAGTGGTCTACCTAAGGTCACATAATAAATGATAGAGCTAGAAATCAAATTTAGGTCATGCACTTCATGTAATATGTCCTTCTACCCTCAAGTTATCAACTAGAATAATTTTATATGTAAACTAAGCCCTGTATCATCCATTTTGATATTTCTAATGTCCGTATTGATGTTTCCTCAATTGAGAAAATGGGGATAGTAATAGTACTTAGCTTGGGAATTTGTCTTACAACAGGATCCTGGCATAAAACTAAAATTATCATTGTTGTTGCTTTGGTATTACTAATTAGCAATGTACCACTACAAATCACAAAAATAAAATTTTATTTATTTACAATTATGCTAAATTTTTATGAGTTCAAATTATCTTTACTTAGGAAAAACAAACTGGCCTCAGTACGTTAGAAAATATTGTATATTTAAGCTTAACATTTCACATAAAAACTAAGGAGCTTTAACATACTGGTGGCAGAAAAAGGAATTGTGCTACTAGAGTCAACATAACTGATTACATCAACCTTAGATAATAAAGATTGGGGACTTTTCTACTTGGAAAATCACTGAGTTGCTATTACCTAACACTTCCAATGAAATCTTCAGGGAAAGAGGCTGGGTTTTGTGATGCCAGCTGTTAGCTTCATGCGGGAAAATGGAGGCTCACTCAAATAAATAACTTGCCCAAGGTAACACAAATGACAGTGGCAAAGCTAGAACAACTATTAGCACTGGGATAAGTAAAAAATAACAAAAAATGCTATATACAGAAATAGGAATTAGTCTAGTACAAATGCTAAAGCAAAATGGCCTAACAATATATTTTTTTAACGTGGAAATAAATATATAAGAACTCACCTGATGAACGCCAAGGAGATAACATAGTCTGCATTGACGGTGATAGTCCAGTCACAGTCTCTGCTATGCGGATATGGATGAGGGAAGTTTGGTGAAAGAATAAAGCCTGAAGATCCTGTTAAATTGCCTCCACAGGGTGCTTTAATTTAAACAAACAAATAAAATCTCTTTAAACATTAATACAATTTATTAGCTATCAATATTTTTGAAATCACGTCTCTAAAAGAGCTTATGAGGCTTTGTACAGACCTGAATTTTATAGTACTTGATGCTTGGATACAGCATTATGTTTCAAGAAAGACCATTAAAATATTGAATACATGCATACATACATGGATACATAAAATTTAGCTGCTTTATTGGCTTTAAGAGACCAAAAAGAATGCATATATACTTTTCTGTCTTTCTATTATTATTTTGTTTCATGTCAAAAGAAAAGCATTAAAAAAGTGATAAAGATGATTTTCCTCTGGTTACCAGAAAAAATCAGATCAAAGCAAAACAAAACCTCTAATAATAAATAGAAAAATAAGACATGAGACATATAGCTTATTTTCATGTCTCTCCTGGCACCTTTATTTAGTACAGTTATTACAGTTTCAAACAAAGGTTTCCATAACACTTAAATGGAGAGCTTCAAAAAATTGTCAGTGAAACTCAGAGAATAGATTCTTTAGGGGATTACTGTTGAAGTTTGCTAAACAGAGCTTGTGTTCAAGAAATTATACATTACACAGAAATTGACATCTTCAAAAAAATAGAGAAATGAAGAAAGATATGGAGGTCTTCGTGGTGGGATGGGAGAGTGGGAAATACAAATAAATACACACACCCAAGTGAGGGACATTAAGATTAGGATTCTCACATTCTCACAATGTCTCCTACACATAATCAGTACATCGGCATTCTTCTCTCACCTTGGTTTCGAAATTGTAGTTTTCTGAGATAAATATGAGCATTCAGTTATAAGGGAAATTAAATTTTTTTGTCCTATAAAACTGGTTTTGTAAGGAAGAGAATTTTGATTCTGGCAACATTTCAGCATTTCTGTTCCTTGCATGAGTTGAGATATGTAATATCATCACTACGGTTTGGTAATTTTTCCATTGTCTTTTGTCTGGTACTGCCTTCCTCCATGCACCTCTGCTACTCTTGTCTCAGTACCTGAGTCACTCTCAGAAAATTGTCTCAGCTCTTACTGCATTGAGAATATCTAGTTGCTCAGACTTAATATATTCACCACTACTTTCCTGTCGCTTATATGTTTTTGTGGTACATTATAAAATGATTAGACATAAACTGCTTCGATGTTCTGTAGTCCTCCATCTCCAAGCTTAAATGCCTCCTGAATATTTCTCTTTACAATCCCAGGATAGAGTCCCTCCTAATCAAGATATCACCGTCAACCTGGTCACATAATCCCTCTCCCTTATCCAAAACACTTGTTCAATTATTTGTCTCCCTTACTTTTCCTGGCTTTCTCCACTTTGTCCACAAACACGCTCAGGTTTCTTTCATCTTAAAAATAAAACAAACTTCCCTATGACCTACTTACTTTCACTTTTTTTAACAGAAAATTGTTTACTATAAGGAAACACCCTGCCCCATATAACTTAGATAAGACTCACTTATCATGACCTAGATAAGCTGTCTTTGTCACCCTCTTGTTTATGGCAAGACCAGACACAGACCCTACCAGTTCCGATTCTTTGCTTCTAGCTGAACTGCTTGGCTCACTGATTAATCTGAATAAAATTCTTGTGAAACAAACTTTGATTACGTTTCCCTCCTTATTCTAGGCTCCTGAACTTTGTCCCACTCTCAGCTTTAAGACAGCACAGGATATTTCCGGAGAATAGGTTGGATTCAGAGCACAACATTCTCTCATCTACTATTCAATCAGGCTGCCCTTTCCTCTGACTTCGTACCTGGTTCTCTCTAGCTTTGTTTAGCCTTCTCTAAAAAAAGAAAAAAAAGCCTTTTCATCTAACTCCTGAGATAGGTGCAGATCTTACAGCCTTAGTATTCCCTGTTGCAATAGTCCCTTCCCTGCTCCTTGCAATAATCCTGTCTGAATCAAAGTCTCTTCTTACTAAATTCTGATTTTTTTTTTAATTTGGCATAACTAAGCTTTTTGAAGGGGACATCTACTCTCACTGTCTCTTTCTGCACCCCTGTGCTGTATGTACCTATGGGACAGATTAAGATGACTAACAAGTCCAACAAAGCAGAAAACTAAAGGAGGAAAATGTTTCTTATGTTGTTTCTCAAAGAAAAGTGCCAAAGTATTCAACATGACAAAAATTATCGTAAGGTTTAAAGTTATTTTTATTTTAAATTACATTTAGAGAGACACAATAACCTTTCTATTACTTAGAGAGTCTAGATTAGATGTCTTTTTTTTTTTTTTTTTCGATACAGGGTCTCACTCTGTGGCCCAGGCTGCTGGAGTGCAGTGGCACGACCACAGCTCACTGCAGCCTTGACCTCCCAGGCTCAGGTGATCCTCCCACCTCAGCCTCCCCAGTAACTGGGACTACAGAGGTGTGCTGCCACATGCAGCTAATCTTTGTATTTTTGGAGAGACAGAGTTTTGCCATGTTGCCCAGGCTGGTCTTGAACTCCTGAGCTCAAGTGATGGGCCCACCTCAAGCCTCCCAAAGTGCTGGGATTACAGGTGTGAGCCACCATGCTTGGCCTCTAGATGTCTTTATATGGTCCTTTCTACCTCTCATTCTCTTCTCAACCATTGCCCCAATACAAACATTTCTTAGCTAGCTCCCAATACAAACATTTCTTAGCTTATACTTAAGTGACTTCTGCATTTATAATAATAATGAAGACTTTGCTGCCTTTATCTTTCTCTTCATATCTGTAGTCATTCTTAATTGTTGATCTTTATCTTAAATTCACCATCCTAGTTTCTGGAATCTTAGAAGCCAGTGTTTCTGGGGTTTTCTTCTAGTGTCTTTATACAGACTTCAGTCTTATTATCATACACTTCTTCCTTTACATCTCCTTATAACTTTGGTGATCTCCTAAGTTCCTTACATGGTTCTCTTAATTTCTACTGGTACATTTTTCCTTGTTGACCATATGTAAACTTATGATTTTTATCTTCTAATTTTTATACCCTGATAACACCTTTCCCTATCTCCTCCTACAGATTTCTTGGCTGAACTCTAAACCATATGCCAGAGTGTTTACTGAATATCTCTCTCTGTAGTCTATTGGTACATCAAATATAGAATAGCCTAAATACTCAACCTCAAATTAAATTGGCTTCTTTTCCTAGGTTCCTAAATTGTTAGATGAGCATACCATCCACCTGTAGTCCCAAGCTAGAGGCCTAAGAGTCTTCTCTTTTTTTCACTGCATCCTTATATCCAATCTATCAAGAAGCCCTGCCAGGACTCCACCCTGTAGCTATTTTCAACCGGTCCTTCTTTTCTTGCCTACTACCAATAGGTCTAACTCCTCTCTTTCTCGAATTATTACAATTGATAATTGAAACGATTATTCCCCATTTTTTTCCTCAGTGAAAACATCTAATCGTACTATGTATATGCATAAAATTCTGCAACTGTTTCACATTGTCTAAAATATAATGTCCCAATTCCCATACAGCCTTCATGATCTGACCCATACAGTCTTTCCAGTTTCATCAACCATCAGTGTATACACATAAATTATACTCAAATATTATCATACTGCTTATATTTCCTTGTTCTTCCATGACTTTACTCATTTTGTTTCTTCTTCCTGAAATGCCTGTTTCCCTTCTACATTTATATAACTCTAACTTATGTTTTTAGATTCATCACTGCCTCCAGGAAGTTTTCCTGTAGACCCCAGAATGGGCACTACTTCATCTCTCTCTAAACCATTATGGTATCCATAGTAACCTCTGCCAATCTCTGTTGCTTCTCTTATTGTATTTGTTTTTAATATTCCACTCAGGTGTCAGTATTCATTACTAATATGTAATATTAACCCTCTGGTATCCATAGTAACCTCTGCCCATCTCGGTCATTTCTTTGACTGTATTGACTGTATTTTATTTAATATTCCATTCAGGTGTCAGCACTCATCACTAATATGTAAGCTAGACACTCTGTCTATATTTTATTTATTCCTAGAATTCAGTGCATACTATATATTTCATAACGTTTGTTGAATTGCTAGTGGTTCTTTATATTTGATTATGTAAATAGTGAAGATGACTGTAGAGATGGATGCACAATCTAATTTGTAGCTATGTGTTTTAATAAAAATAGCAACATATTTTACCTTTGGGGCTCTGAAAATAATATGTGAATATGAAAAAAAGTATAATAGCAAATGCGTATACAGGCATACGTTAGGGATATTGCAGTTTCAGTTTCAGACCCCCACAATAAACCAAATATAGCAATAAAGTGAGTCACAAAACCTTTTTGGTTTCCAAGTCCATATAAAAGTTATGTTTACACTATCTTGTAGTCTATTAAGTGCATAACAGCATTGTGTCTAAAAAATGTACCTAACGTAATTAAAAATACTTTATTGCTAAAAAAATGCTAATGGTCATCTGAGTCTTCAGTGAGTCATGATCCTTTTGCTAGTGGAGGAGGGTCTTGCCTAGATGTTGATGGCTGCTAACTGATCAGGGTGGTGGTTGTTGAAATCTGGGGTAGCTGTGGCATTTTCTTTTCTTTTTTTTTTTTTTTTTTTTTTTGAGATGGAGTCTCGCTCTGTTGCCTAGGCTGGAGTGCAGTGGCGAGATCTCAGCTGACTGCAAGCTCCGTCTCCCGGGTTCACGCCATTCTCCTTCCTCAGCCTCCTGAGTAGCTGGGACTACAGGCGCCTGCCACCATGCCTGGCTAATTTTGTTGTATTTTTAGTAGAGACGGGGTTTCACCGTGTTAGCCAGGATGGTCTCGATTTCCTGACCTTGTGATCCGCTCGTCTCGGCCTCCCAAAGTGCTGGGATTACAGACGTGAGCCACCACGCCCGGGGTGGCATTTTCGTAAAATAAGATAATAAAGAAGTCTGCCGTAGTACTGGATTTCCGCGTAGCATGTGATGCTATTTGATTGCATTTACCCACAGTAGAACTTCTTGGAGACACTCCTCTCAAATTCTGCCTCTGCTTTTATCAACTAAGTTATGTAATATTTGAAGTTCTTTGTTGTCATTTCAACAATGTTCACAGCATCTTTACCAGAAGTGGATTCCATCTCAACAAATCACTTTCTTTTCCCATCCATAAGAAGCAACTCCTCATTCGTTCAAGTTTTATCATGAGATTGTAGCAATCCTGTCCCATATTCAGGCTCCACTTATGATTCTAGTTCTCCTGCTACTTCTACCACATCTGCAGTTTCTTCTTCCACTGAAGTCTTAAACACCCCCTCATCACAGTCATCCATGAGGGTTAGAATCAACTTCTGCCAAACTCCTGATAATATTGATATTTCTTCTGCCTCTCATGAATCACAAATGTTCTTAATGGCATCTAAAATTGTAAATTCTTTCCAGAAGGTTTTCAATTTACTTTGCTCAGATGCATCAGATAAATCACTGTCTTTGGCAGCTATAGTATTGTAAAATATATTTCTTAAATAATGCCACTTTAAAATTCAAAATTACTCCTTGATCCATGGGCTGCAAAATGGATGTTGTGTTATTGGCATAAAAACATTAATCTCTTTGCATATCTCCATTAGAGCTTTTGGGTGAACAAAAGCTCATTTGTACATTTTCAACAAGCAGTTGAACAAGCAATGGGTACATTTTCAACGAGCAGTGATATTTTGAAAATCATCTTTTTTTCTGAACAGTAGGTCTCAACAATGGGCTTAAAATATTCAGTAAACCATAGTGTAAACAGATGTGCCGTTATCCAAGCTTAATTGTTCCATTTATAGATCACAGGTATAATTCTTAACAGGCCTAAGATTTTCAGAATGGTAAATGAGCACTGGTTTTATTTTAAAGTCACCAGCTGCATTAGCCCCTATAAGAGAGTCAGCCTGTCCTTTGAAGCTTTGAAGCCAGACATTGATTTCTCCTCTCTAGCAATGAAAGTTCTAGATGACACTATTCGAATAGAATGCTGTTTCATCTACATTGAAAACTGTTTTTAATGTAGCCACTTTCATCAGTGATCTTAGCTAGATCTTCTGGGTAACTGGCTGCAGCTTCTCCTTCAGTACCTACATATTCACGTTCCACTTTAATGTTACAGAGATAGCTTCTTTCCTTAAACCTTACAAATCAACCTATGCAAGCTTCAAAGTTTTCTTCTGCAGCTTTTTCACCCATCTATGTCTTTATAGAATTAAAGAGTTAGGGCCTTCCTTTGGATTAGGTTTTGGCTTATGGGAATGTTGTGGCTGGTTTGATCTTCTATTCAGACCACTGATTTGCTTCATATCTGCAACAAAGCTGTTTTGTTTTCTTATCATTCCTGTGTTCACTAGAGTAGAATTTTCAATTTCTGTCAAGAATTTTACTTTTGCATTCAGAACATGGGTAACTATTTGGTGCAAGAGGCCTAGCTATCAGCCTATTTGGGCTTTCAACTGGCCTTCCTCACTAAGCTTCATCATTTCAAGCTTTTAATTTACAGTGACAGATGTGCAACTCTTCCTTTCACTTGAATGCTCAGAGGCCATTGGTCTAATTTTAATACTGTGTATCAGAGAATAGGTAGGCCCAAGGAAAGAGAGAGACATGGAGGAACAGTCAGTTAGGGGAGCACTCAAAACACATATTTATTGGTTAAGTTCACTGTCCTACATGGGCATTTGTTTGTGGCACCCCAAAACAATTACAATAGTAACATAAAAGATCACTGATCACAGATCACAATAACAACAAAATAGCAATGAAAAAGTTTGAAATATTGTGAGAATTACCAAAATATAATACAGGGACATGAAGTGAGCAGATGCCATTGGAAAAAAAGTCTATTAGGACTTGCTTGGCACAGGGTTGACAAAAACCTTCAATTTGTAAAAAAACGTAATATCTGTGGCATGCAATAAAGTGAACTGTAATAAAATGAGGTATGCTTATATGTATGTATATATGCAAAAAAGACCAGAATGATAGCAAAATGTTCTTTGTGATTTTTTTCCACTTGGATTATGTGTAATTTTGGAGAGGGTAGGGGAGTAATTTTGTTTCAATTGTCCTTATTTTTTAGAAGGAACATTGGTCTTTTTTATTGTTAGAAACAGTATAGAGATGCATACATACATGTAGATGTTATATATGTATATTCCTTATCACAAAATATTTAAGAAAATTTATTACATATAGTAAAGTATCTATTATTTAGATATAAGATTCTCTAAAATGATTTTTATTCTATTACTTAAATTATTGTTTTTCTTCTAGAGACAAGGTCTTACTATGTTGCCCAGTCTCATCTCAAACTCCTGGGCTCAAGCAATCCTCCCATCTTAGCCTCCTGAGTAGCTGGGAACACAGGTGTGCATCTATTTAAATTATTTATCAAAGATTTCTCAATATATTTCAATGCTGTGGTTGATTTTGAAAACCTACGAAAGCCAACAAGAAAAGCAGAGACATTATCTGACGTTTGTAAATCCCAAACTCTTAGTGAGTAAAGAAAATTATCTTTAAATATACTCAACTTTAAATAGCATTTAGAAATGCATCTCTATTTTTGCCCATCTAACCATAAAGCATTCAAAATATAAGTCAGGGATTCATGAATTAAGTTTTCAGTAATTTGCTCTGAATGCAGTGTTTTCTGAGGCAGTTATATGGGCATCAACTATTGATAACTATTTTAAAATCTTCTTAATTTGTTTCTCAAATTCAATTTTATTTGTGTCTTCTTTCTATCTCAAAAGCCCACTCACATTAATGTCTTTCCTATTTACCTTCATATTGAATGCTTCTACTTTCCCGGGGGCAATGTCAAAGTAATTTACACGCTGTCAATTTTGTTGGAATGAATTTTATTAACTCTCTTAAAGATGACGTCCTTCTGTTTGGTACTTGCTATAAGACTGACTGTTTCTATATGCAAGCAAGCAAAACGCTTTATGCTTCGGGGTCTTAGACATAGAATTATGGAGTTTCTAAGAAGTTCAGGGTTTAATCTTTGGCATGGTATTTCCAATCATGAAGTTCTTTCTTATCAGTTTTAGAGGTCAAGCATTCTGCAGCCTTAGCAATTTTTCAGACTTTTTTTTTAAGGTTATTTTCTTCCCCAGAGAAGCTCTAATTTATATCTTCCCCTCAAGCTATCTTTTCCTACCAAAAATAATACACAGTATCATTATCTATAGAAAAACCTCACACAACCTGCTTAACTTAAGTAAGACTTAGTACTCAGCTTTTTTTTTTCTAGAATAGGACTTGCTAGCTAAAGCATATTCTTGTCTAAAAATGGAAATTTGTAATAGCAGATCTCAGAAGTTTTTCATCTTTTGCACCTTGGATTTTAGTGTTATCTAGAATTTTTGTATAAGCCATTTAATATTTTAGGATTTTATGTAAAAACAATTGTCATCAGTTGGCCCTTCTGGTAATTCTAATAAGCAACATCCTTTAGCCAAATCTAAGAATCACAATAAAGCAAGAAGTTCTACAGTAAGATTTTGGTGTTTTATAATTTATTCTTTACATAAATATGCTCTTCATGAGATATGTGGTCAAATTCCAATTAATTAGAATAAGAAGTTTTAATTTAGTTGAAAATTTTTTGGTTAATTGAGTAGTAAACAAACTTGAAAATTTTGAAACAGATACGAAACATTATTTCAATCTCTTTCTTTGCAAACATTTCTTAACAGTTGTTTCCCCGGATCGTATGAGTGCACTTACAGTAAATGTAAATTAATTGATGTTTGTTGATTTAGAATCTTGCAGTGGTACATGAAGAACAATATGGGTGTGAATAGAAATAGTGTAATGGGAGATACAGCTAAATCTGAACTGTTCAAGTGATGCCATTATTTCATGCTTTATAAAAGGGTCTCTAATAAATTTACTTCTTTGTCATTTGTCTTATTTTTTACAGCAGAGATCTAGAACTGTCCGTCTACTGCCTGGCTGGTTTGGGCCTTTTTATGTTGTTTGGTGCATTTAGTGTTTTCTTAAATCCAACTTTATAAAATAGAGAAAATGTGTTGTAAAACTTTTTTTTTTATTATTTCACTGCAAAGTAAGTTCATAGGAACAGAGTACTTTTCTGTCTTGTTTTATTGCTAATTTCCCACTGTTTAGAACAGTGCCTGAGACACAGTTAATGACTAATGAATTTGATTTTGTAATTTTGTGTGGGAGTTACAAGATGGGGTAAAATAAATCTGAATAATTGATTGAGTTTGTTCACTTCTAACTGAAGAACTAACACTCTTTTCCTATTTCCATGGGACTTTCAAAATAAGTCACTGTGAAGTTTATGGGTTAGGTGTAAGTGAACAAAAATAAGATTCTCCCTCTAAAACTTGATACATTTGCATGTACCAAATGCTATAAGAAACACAATGATGAACAAGTTATGGAATCTTCTCCCAAGTTGCTTACAGTGTGGTAAGAGAGAGTATGTAAATAAATAAAATTTTCAGTAGAGAAAACATAGTTTGTTCAAAATGTGTCGTAAATTCAAGATGACACAAATACTAAAGCACCTGAACAGAACAAAAAAGTTTAAGATTAAACTAGTTTAATGATATAGCATATTTTCTAACTATTTTTATTCCAAAAGCGGGACATTCCTCTAAGTCTTTCTCAGACCAAATCATAATTTGTTTTAATTTTCTAGAGTCTAACTTGGAGATTCAATAACAGAGCACGGAGACAAAAGACAGCTGGAAGTATGATCCAGGCGCTACAGCTTCTTAGATCTTCCAAATAAAAACCAATATTCCTTTGGATTACATGAATTAAATAGAAAGACAAAGCTTGGAAATTCTGACATAGGTTCTGACAATATTTTCTTTCTTAAATGAAATAACCATTTTAGAGACAAGATCAATATGACCCATTTTAATATGGGGTCTGAATCCACTCTTTAAGCAATGGATAACTATGGCTACATAGTAAATAAAGGGTGATATAATTTTCCAAGAGCTTTGATTCATAACTGTTTTAGAATCTTAGAAGCATTGAAAAAATTAATGAAATCATCAGCCTTTACCCCATGGAAAAATAATAATCATTTTACAATTTTGTACATTCTGCGGAGGTTAATAATCCTCTGAAATCTTAGACTCTCATATAGAATCTAGTCTAGAATATGGTTCTTAAGAACAATACCAGTTTTTAACCATTGTTTTATGTTTATATAAAATTTTAATTGTTCTTTAATTCATACCTATACAGACTGGTGGGCTGGGCTGCCAGAAGTACCGATTTTCTACCTGAATGCAGGTTATTCTTTCCTCTCCTTGAAGTTCATATCCTGGGTCACATTGAAAAACAACAGTGTCCCCAGGTTCTCTTCCATCCCCATTTCGAGTCCCATTCATGGGGACCCCTGGGTCACGACACGCAGTGGCAACAGAACCTATCAAAAGACAGAGACAAAATTTTAGTTTTGATAACTACCAAAATCAATTTCATATATCCCTGTGTTTTAGAAAATTAATTTTTAAAATTTTGGGGTCAATTTTTAAATGCTATACAATAAACACTTTCTCCATATTTTAAATAATTTATGTGCTAACTTATTTGAAAAAGTGGCATAGTATTTTAGTTACCAAATACTAGATTTACTCAACATTATTAAATGTATTGTGAAAGACACTGAAGATTATGAAAAGAAAGCTTCATACTGGGAAAATATATTTGTTAGGAACATATCCGCAGAGGACTTGTAGCTAGAATATATAAACAACTCTCGAAACTCAAAAAAAAAGGAAGAAAATTAGCAATCAATCCAGTTACAAAATGAGCAAAGACATTTTAATGAAAACGATATCAGAAAACACATGAAAAGATGTTGAACATCACTAACTAATAGAGAAATGCAAATTAAAACCACAATGAGATACTACTACATACATTTCAAATTGGCTCAATTTTTTAAAAAATATATGATAACAATAAATGCTGGTAATTATGGAGAAAACGGGATCATTCATGCATTGCTGGTGGGAATGTAAAGTGGTAAAACCACTCTGGAAAGGATTATGGCACTTTCTTACGAAACTAACCATTCACTTACTATATACCACAGCAATTGCACTCTTGAACATTTATCCAAAAGAAAATAAAACTTATATTCACATGAAAGCCTGCACACAGATATTCATAACAACTTTATCCATAATTGCTAATAACTAGGAACAACCCAAATGTCATTCAACAGGTAAATGTTTAAACGATGGTAAATCCATGCAATGGAATATTACTCAGTAATAAAAAAGAATGATTCATATATATGACTTGGATGAATTTGAAGGAAATTGTGCTAAGTGAAAACAATACAATATCAAAATATTATATAGTTTCATTCTTTTATATAACATTCTTGAAGTGGCAACATTTTAAAATTAGAGGCCAGGCATAGTGGCTCACACCTGTAATCCCAGCACTTTGGGACATCAAGGCAAGAGGATTTCTAAATCCCAGGAGTTTGAGACCAGCCTGGGCAACTAAGTGAGACTCTGTCTCTAGAAAAAATTAAAAAAAAAAAAATTAGCCCAGCATGGTGGTGCATGCCTGCAGTCCCAGCTACTTGAGAGGCTGAGTTGAGAGGACAGCTTGAGCCTAGGAGGTCAAGGCTACAGTGAGCCATGACTGTCCGTCTGCACTAAATTTATAAGTGAATTTGTTTTGTAATATCCATCAGTGTTTCTCAGCAGAGCACTAAATGGAGCATCATGCATCAAAGAATCTGAGGAATTATAGTCTTCCACTATGGATAGAGATCTTTTATAAAAAATGGTGTGTGTGTGTGTGTGTGTGTGAGAGAGAGAGAGAGAGAGAGAGAGAGGGAAACTTACTCATTAAATTTTTCTTGATTTGCTCTGGAATGGTTTCTACCCAAACTAAAATTGATATATTGTATTAGTCTGTTAACACACTGCTATAAATAACTACCTGGGAATGGGTAATTTATGAAGAAAAGAGGTTTAATTGACTCACAGTTCTGTAGGCTTAGTAGGAAGCATGGCTAGGAGGCCTCAGGAAACTTACAATCATGGCAGAAGGCAAAGGGGAGGCAACTACATCTTACCATGGCAGAGAAGGAGAGAGAGAGTGAAGGGGAAAGTGCCACACACTTTCAAATAACCAGATCTCATGAGAACACACTCTCTATCAAGAGAAGAGCAAGGGAGAAGTCCGCTCCTGTGATTCAATCACCTCCCACCAAGCCCCTCCACTGACATGTGGGGATTACAATTAGAGATGAGATTTGGGTGGTGACACAGATTACAATTAGAGATGAGATTTGGGTGGTGACACAGAGCCAAACCATATCACCTATGGATTGGTTTTATAAGTGGAGAGTGATGTTCGACTAATAAAACACATCTTTGTTTTATTAGATTTTAAGTCTGCCATTCATGCCTCCTTTTCCTTAACATAAATATGCAAAGTAAGCAGAAATTCCAACAAAGATAAAGGGTCTTAACAACCTTGTTGTCTCACTCGTAATAATATCATAAAAGGAACATACTTGAAAGTGAATAATAGGCTTATATGTTATAACATCAAAATATAATTCGAGTTTGACCTGTAAAATCCCATGAAATTGTCAATAAAAGATTACTTCCCTTTCTTGTTTTCTTTGCCTCAAAAGTGCTGGCCAATTTCATTTTGGTTAGTCTAGGAATTATCCAGTGACTAGTCTGTTACACAGATGTAGACTGTACTCCTTAAATTAGCTTAACACTCATTAGAAATAATAATAGTCACACAGAAAAAGTATACAAATAGAAGCATATGTCAATAGCTAATAATGCTAATATGTAATACTTGTTGAGCACTTTCTACATTTAAAACACCATGCTATGAGCTGCCTCTCGATTCACAGGAAGTCTGAGTGCTATTATTATCCATATTTTTCCATTGAGAAAATCGAGGCTTAAAAAGGCTAAGGTGCTTTCCCAACATCATACAATTACTTAGGGACAGTTAAAGAACAAATGCAGGTATAAGACCATATCCAAGGGACATTTTTGAAATAAAAGTCATAAAGCCTTTGTAATAAAATGTGCTTAAGTGTTGAATAGAGCGTAAAACTCAACGATATGGTTATTTAAATGGAAGTCTCTGAAACATGCTATTAATCTTTAAGTGTCATTTTAAAATCAGACGAGCAGTTATCCACCTATTATTTTCACTAAAGTAGTCCAAAAACCTACATATTTATAACATCTTAAATGTATTAATTTCTTTAAAAATATTTGCACCGATGTCAACATTAAAGCCTTATTAAATAGGGTTCTATTGTTATATATCAAATTGAATAAAGACCAGCTAAGAAAGAGAAACTTTAAAAAGGCAATTAATTCAGAATAGAGACCAATAAAATAATGATAATAGCAATAATTACTCTCTGTATTTAGAGCATATAGCATGCAAAGCACTTGACTAGCAGCTCAGTTTACACTCAAGCTAAAACACAGAATCCTTACAAAGTGGTATTTTCATCCCCATTTTTAAATGGGTAAAATGAGATCTTAAGATCTCAGAGATCTTAAATGCATGTTCTTAGCAGAGCTGGAATTTGAACTCAACCAGCAGGGCTCTTAACCATTATAGTGTGTTGTCTCAGCACAAACCTATCCCATTACCAGAAATAACATAAAGCCATATCCTACTAGTGGAACTCTGACAGCTGTCTATTGATGAAAGAATTGACCAAAAAAAATTCGACCAATTTGAAATGGAAAGGCAAGAAATATAGAACAATTTGTATCCATTTATTACACATAAAAATATGTTGCTGCCTACATTTTTACTATAATGGAAAGCAGAAAAGAAAGAGGCAAGGTTATATTTGTGGTTATTAAAAATAATAGAAATAAAATTTATTCATATACATATCCAAGTTTAGCCATATATATGCCAAATATATGTCAAATAACATTTTAAAGTAACTACAATATGAAGAACATTTCCACTCCAACTGCTTTTTCACTGTTTCTCCTTCTCATCCCTTATTTTGTTTTATTTCCTTCTTTATAATTTTTTGAGAGGGTAAAGCAATAGATAGAAGCACTCTCTTCTTAACACCATCAAATCCATCACCTCACTGGTATTTACATCCATATTTTGTTTCCTTGTCTTTTAAAATGGAGAAGTTGGCCTTGTTCTGTAAAAAGCCAACCCTAGTTCTTGTGTTGCTAGTATTAAACACTGTTAAGGACTTACTCCTAAATGTTCTTCATCTCCTCTGCATCACTAGCACATTGGATCATTCTCAGTCGCATGTACAGTACTATACTGGATCATTCTCAACAGCATGTAATTGTGGCTTCTATCTTCCATTTTAAATAAACAAACAAAACTTTATAATATCCCCATCCTCTTTCAGCTGCTTTCCCATTTCTCTGCTTTCTTTAATAGAAAATCTATTAAATATATCTCCTGAGAGAAGTTTCTATACAATTGTCTCCAGTTTTATCGTCAGTCTTTCCTCTATTCCACTGTTTTTAAATCCAGGCTGCCATATCCAGTGGTAACTTTTATGGTTTCTTTCAAAAACCTTTCAGCAACATTTATTAAAGCTGACTATTCCTTCCTTCTTCAAGCACTGTTTTTTATTTTGTTGTTTTGTTTTTTGGCCTCCGATTCATCAGCCTAGTCTGGTTTTCTTTCTGGCTTATTTGCTGCTCTCTTTTGGTATCTTTTGCTTTTGTTACTTGATAACCTAATGACTGAGGGCTGGAGTACCTTAGGAATTAGTCCTTAATGCTCTTGTCCCTTCTTTCCACAATTTCTCACTAAATAACTTCATAAGTTTAAGTATTATTTTTAGCTTGATGCCCCTGAAATTTGTATATCCAGCCTCAACTTTTTTCTGAGCTCTTAACCATTCTCTTCAAGTGCCTATTTAACTTCTGTACTTAGATATCTGGTAGGTTCCTTAACTTACTATGTCCAAAATATTGTAAAATTATAAAACCTTTTAATCTTCTGATTTAGAAAGTAAAAATGTAAAAAATAAGTATAAAATTTCACCTATATAAATTTTTCCTAGACAATTGATGTCATTGTAAATGTACTTCTAATTTATTATAATAACCATATAAAAATATGTTTTAGAAATTGTTCAAAATAGAAGGTAAAAATCGTTGACATAAGAAATAGAGTGAACATTAGCAAAAATATAAAATCTTCTAATTTTTACACTACTTTTTATGCCAGTGATTTTACTTTGTATGCTACCATTTATTTCTAATAAAATGAGTTTTTCTATCTGGTTGTTATAATAAATTAGAAATACATTTGCTATGACAAATTTTTACTTTCAAAATAGAACTGTTTCTATTCCACTAAAAACAAATAACTGTACCCATGGCTAAAATTCTCATTACCCCGAATGTGAAAAAAGATAGACATGTAAAAGTAATGCAATTTTCTAACTGCTTATACGTAGAAGAAACAATTTTTCAAGATATGTTGTTTTATTCTAATTATATATAAGGAATCTCTTTGAATTCATTGTAAAAGAATGTATGCTTATCTGAGAAAGCATATATTACTTAGAAATTGTTTTTACAATGCCATCAATCTTCTTCACTGATCTAAATCCACTGAAAGAGTTCATAGCATTCGTCATTAAGTAACACGTCCTTATCAAATCTAGCTTTGCTATGCCCTAGGAAGAAATAAATTGTCCATCAGTACAAGAATTTGAAGAGAACTTCTTATTATAGTTAAAAACAAATGAATGAATGAATGAATAAATGAATGAACAAAACTGTCATTTGTCATTTCAGTGTATGCTGAAGGTTTATTTATAATATGATATTATTTTGAAGCCAGGAGATGTTTATTTCAAGTGTGCCATAACAATATTTACATTACATTTTAATCGCTTTACTCTGTTATGAATAACCTAGGGTTTGTTCAGAAAATAACCAGATGGCTCTAACTACTGCAAAATATAACTGAGTTCTCATTATTGCTACTGTCAATATACTTCTCACTTATTTTATCTTTGCTTCCATCTAGTTGGGAGTATAATTTCACTGGAAATATGCACTTCACTTAATATAGATTTCACAAGCCGAGCTGGTGCATATGTAGTTTTCAACTGAAATATGGATGATTACTTGAAGTCAGAGATAAGTTGAATTACCATTGTGGTGACAAGAGCAAAAGAAAACACGCCGGTTTTCTTACTGCTTTGCTTGGTATAACAAAGAATAAATACACTGAAATCACTCTTAAGTTCTTATGTGTCCTTTATGTTCAGAAAATCGACTTTTTGGTATAAACTTGTTTATTTCAAGACCTTTCAAAGAAGAAAAATCTTGGATCTCATACAGTTGGATGAGTAATGATATCAGAAGCAGGAGACTTAGACTTAGTGTACCGTATTAAGAAAAGATATTAATCCCTTGTATTAGTTCCCTGAATCTTTCCTGCCTTATCTGTAAAACTGGCCTAGGAATATTTCATCTGCTTTATTTAGAATCAGACAAAATATTAAATTTTTATTCTAACAATTATATTCATAATCCTATGAAAATACAATTCTGAAATGAAAAAACACAAGTACACTTTAATATGCTCTGTATAGGTTTTCTAAGCAGTAATTTTATATTTTTTGCCATGTGTCAGGAGACTTAGCAAGGTCATGGGCCAAATTTGGTATTCACAGTTTCTCACATCCCTCTCTTTCAGCTTTATTGCCTTATATTTTTGTATTGGCTAAAAAATGACACTGTATTCTCCACTTCCCTATCTATAAGAAAATCAAGATGGGTAATGGGAATACTTAACCTGTGAGAAAAATCTCATCCAGAGTCAAATCAATTAGAAAATATTTGAAATGCAGATGGTAACCTAGAGGTGGATTTCACCCTGGAGAATTTTGCCCTTGATTGAGCCCTTGCTTTGTACATGATCCATCAATTTTATAAAGAATGTTCAACATCATTATTAGGCCCACACTCTGCCAGCTACTCAGAAATGTGGCTATCTTTAGAATTTCATTATGTTACTAAGGATACATCTAATGATATGGCAAGTCAGGTTAAAGTTGATGGCAGCATGACAGACACATTCTAAACAACCTAGGAAAGAAACAAAGCTGCTTAATGCATGGTATGGAAAAGAAACCTCAAAGCCAGTGTTGTAATATACTTCCAAGTATATAGAAATCTCTTTTTTAAAAATGCATATGCATTTATTACACCAAATAATTATTGAGCCAGGTATTATGCTTGATGTTGGAGATATTAACAGAAACAACACAGCCCTGCTTTCATAGATTCTTATGCTCCAGTATGCCTACAAAAGTTGTTGGCATTGTATCATATCATATCATATCATATACAGTCAATGATATAATTTTTGTGGAATCAAAGGCTTGTTAGGTTGAAGACTATCAAAAGGATCTGTACAAGAAACTCATTTTACATCCAAAGATTACAGAAAATATGAGTTGATTTGAAATAGAATTCTAGTATATGGGGATGACCAGTATTAGTAAGTAAAAAAAAAAAAGAAATAAAAATTATGTAAAAATGGTTTCACATTACTTCTGACTGACACTATACAGTATTTGTATGTTTTTAGTTTTACATTATTAGAAGATTTACCCATTCAATCAGATTCGTTAAATATTTACTAAGTACCAAGTACCAGGTACCGTGCCAAGTTATGGGGACACAAATATCAACAGGATGATATCCTTACCCTTCAAGGAACACAGGCTAAGAGGAATAGTAGATGTGAACATAGTTTTAAAATAATAACATGTGTATCAAAATCTGATGACTTTGTTATTGAAACTGAAAAAATTATTAAGCATGAAACAAGAAGCTAAAAGTAAATAAAATTATATAATTAAAATATGTATTGAGTAACATAATTGATATTATATTGATGTATGTCTCACAATAGTTATACAAAATCTATTTTAAAAATAAAATAATTTCTAAAAAATTAAAATGACATCTGTGTACAAAAAGCATCTTCTTTATATGAATTATCTGAATATTAAAATAACGTGCAAAATAATCATTTCTGTTACACATGTTCATTCTTTAATTGGTTTCTTAGCCACATTTAATGCCCTTTTTACTATTTTTTCTAAAGAATGTGTTTTTTCAATATATTCTTATTTTTATTAGTATTGCCAGAAACATTTTTATATATTTTAAACTGTCGGTAGCTCGACTGATATCATCATAAGCCATACTATTTTTAATTGAGAAAATTTCCTCTTTGTAAGTGTTAGCTACCTGGTAAGCTCAGGTTTAATTCTTTGAAATGAAGAAAAATTTCAATTTTATTTTTATTTTCATTAAGCAGTACGTAAACATTTCAGCTCAAATATTTTCACATGTACTGAATTTTAACTTCTTTTCAGAATACATTTTTGACACACTTTTATAATATGAAACTTGTCAAACAAGTTTTCTTAAATTATGTTTTGAAATATTTATCTACAAGCTGTATAATTATATACAAAATAAATTTTATATATAAAATTTTATTTATATATGATTTATATTAAATATACATTTTCTTAACTTTATTCTATCCCAGAATAAAGTAGAAGTTTAATCCAATTAAAAATAACTATCAAAAGGCCGGGAGCAGTGGCTCACGCCTGTAATCCCAGCACTATGGTGGACCGAGGCGGGCGGATCACGAGGTCAGGAAATCGAGACCATCCTGGCTAACATGGTGAAACCCCGTCTCTACTAAAAATACAAAAAAATTAGCCAGGCGTGGTGGCGGGCACCTGTAGTCCCAGCTACTTGGGAGGCTGAGGCAGGAGAATGGCGTGAACCCAGGAGGTGGAACATGCCTGGAGCCAAGATCTCGCCACTGCACTCCAGCCTGAGCGACAGAGCGAGACTCCGTCCTCCCAAAAAAACCCCAAAAACCATATATATACATATATATATATATATATATTTATATGTGTGTGTATATATATATGTATATATATATATACACACACATATAAAAAATATATATATATATATACAGGGTCTTTATATATATAGTTTTTGTTTTTTATATATATAAATATATATATTTTATATATGTATATATATTTTATATATATAAATATATATATAAAGACCCTTTAACAAGTCAAGGCATACTAAAATACTAAAGTTTCAAATTTTAATATTGTACAGTGTTTGAACTTTCATTCTTCTAAAGAAATCACACTTAAGTGTCTTCCTGTTTATTGTTTTCAATAATTGCTTTCAATTATTGTTATTGTTTCAATTTCAGTTATTGTTTTCAATAATTGCTATTTACTTAAAATTGTAAAAACTGAAGATTTTTAGCACTGTACTAACTGAATATTTTAAGATATTCAGTGGATTTTAATGAATAGCTATCAAAATGTAAACGTTTTATTTTCAAAATCATTCAATATCATAGTAGGGCATTTTAGTTTATTTGCAAAATAGTACTTCAAAAACCCAAACCTTTCTAGGACTTATTGACAATGATCTGGAAAAAGAGAACATGGTACTGGCATACTATGTTCTTTTATTTATTTTTTGAATCAGCTTTACTTTGTCTCTCTCTCTCTCTCACACAACCACACCCACAACCCACAAACACACACCACTTAGTTCAATTATTTCAACTGCATATAAAAATATTTGTATATTTTAACAACAGTTTTATTGTGATGGGTAATTATTACAATTTTATTGGTTGCAATTATGAATTTTGTGTATACAACAACCAATTCCTAGTACATTTCTGTTTTTTAATTTTATAAGAGCTTTGCTTTTATTATAAGGTTATGTACCACCAAAATTTACATTTGTATTTTATCACAAAATAAATAATTTTATCTTTAATATTAAATTTTAATTTGTGGCCTTTGCTCACTTTAAATATTTAAAAGATAATTTTTTTGCTTAAAGTTTTTTTAAAAGGGTTGTGATGTTTATAACATATGTAAAAGTAAGATAAATGAAAACATGCCCCAAAGAACTGAAGAAGGAAATGGAAATACACTATTAGAGGGTTCTTACATTATATGTGAGGTGGTATAATATTATTTAATGATAGGTTTGTCTATTTGACATAATGACAGGTTTTCATAAGCCAAAGATACACGTTACAAGAGTTAGAGCAAATGCTTTCTTTCCTCCCAAAAGAGGTATAGCTAATAAGCTAATAGAAGAGAAAAAAATGATGGTAAGAAAAAAGTAACAATTAACAGGTGGATTCAATAAAAAAAATAGCAATATGGTAGACAAACTTTAACCAAGTGAATAATTATATTAAATATAAGTAGTCTAATGGTTAAAAGACTCCAACTAAGGGAGAGAGATTTTCAAACAATAAAAAATCAAGATGCAACCATAAGCTATTTACTAGTAGTCTACTTTAAATATAAAGACACTGATAACTTAAAAGTAAAAAGATGCTAAAAGGCATCATATGATATATATATAGAAAAAGTAAACTTTAACACAAGGAAAATTACCAGAGAAAAAGAGACAGATTTCATATCAATAAAAGGGTCAAAAAAGGGTCAAAAAAAACCCATAGCATCCAAAATGTATGCAGCTCATAACATATCTTCAAAACACATGAGGCAAAAAATAAAAGTAAGAGATAAAAAGAATAAATAGACAAATGTGAAACTGCAGTGGGGCATTTTAACACTTTTCTTGAGTAGTTGATAAAATAAGTGAAGTAATGATATTGAATAATTAACACTATCAACAAAATTGATATTTATAAAACACTTCAAAAACAATGGTAATATACTTTTTTTTAGGTAGGTGCACAAGGTATTTTTTTTAAAAAAACATGTTGGGCTATGGTTTTCTCAGTAAAACAAGTCTCAGTAAATTTAAAACTAATAAAATATTAATTTTTAACTGAATGTATAATATATGTTTATCTTTAACACAATCAACTTTCAAAGACTTTATTTTGACTTCATGAAATGAATACAAAAATAAAACTTGCATTGGAATTTAAGTATTTGAGGCAATCAATGTTACTGATTATTTGAAGCAATTGATGTGACTCACATAAAAATAGATTTATTCAACTATTTGTGAAGTTCTGCTAAGGGAGCTGGCATATTAACACTCTTCATACTTTCTCAGAAGAGAATTTAGAATACAAAGTGATGAAATTCGTATAGTATTCATCTGACCTAAATACAAGGTCCTGCTTTTTAAAACATATTTGTGTCTTCTGGTTTTCACATCATCAGTGATAACACTATGGTCCTCATGTACATTAACTAATACACTGTATGCAAGTTGCAAGTTCATCACCACTTTTTAAAAAAATTTTAATTGAGTTTTTTTGTAATTAGTGTGCAGATATTATTAGCAGTTTATACATACTCCTTAATATAAGTACTAAAAATTTAAAAATCATGTAGCCAATCCAAACATCTATTCTAATGATTTATCATCTTAAAGATTGTAGGCAATTTATTCATTAAAAAAAACCAAGTAATAATATCTTAAAATAACTAGTTATACACTCTTAGGTCTAAAGTCCCAACATATACCAGGATTTAAACACAGTAAACCAGGATTCAAACACAGTAAATTCTCAATCAAAATATCCCATTCTTCATAACATGCTAGCAAGTAATTAGGAAAAAAAAACCTGTTACTAACAAAGATGTCGTGATGCCAGTGATAAATTGAATACCAAGGAGCACTTTAATTTAGGAAATAATTCCAATAAAAAGAACATGACAAGTGACATCAGCACAATGGCAAAGTAGAAAGTCCTGTACACTCTACCCCAAAAAAACACAAATTCAGGAACAAATCATCGACAAATTTCCTTTATGAGAAATCCAGAAACTAAGTGAAAGGCTCCTGCAGCCCAGGTGAATGTGAAACCAGACTGACCAAAACTAGCAGAGAGATCCAGAACACCCTCTCGCCAGACTCCTCACCACTGGCACAGTGACATATAATCAGGAAGCGATTCACTCCTAGCTCCCAGCTTCTCCCAGAGGAGAAAGGCCTTGGTTTGCACATGTAGCACCCCAACCATTCCAAGAGGACTCCACAAAGGTCTGGCTTCTGTCTTGCCAGTCTTGGATCTCTGATGGGACCAGCGCAGTACACCAGCTGGGGAAAACAGAGATGGAAGCTAGGGGCAATTGATGCCCCTAGCTTCAAGCTTCCCTGCTGCTCAGATGTCCCAAGTCTTCTTTGCTGCTCAGCATAACATGAGCAACAACAGCAACCACAAAAAAACAACAAATAAACAAACAAAATCAGCTCTCAGCTTCTCTCTGAGAAGAAAAAGAGTTGATCTAAGCATCCAATGCCCCAACTTTGCCGGGATTGCCTAAAGAACTGGCAACTATTTGCCAGTCTTAGAACTCTAACTGGTCTGCCACAAATAAGGGATAATGGAAATAGTGGTTTGGACTGGTAGTGTCATAGTTTCCCCCAGTGGGTCAGCACAGAGCAAATACACAAAAAGCACAGTTAATGCGGTACAGTGGCTCACACCTATAATCCTAGCACTTTGAATATTTGAAAGGCCGAGTTCAGGAGTTTGAGACCAGCCTGAACATCATGGCAAAACCACAACCCTACAAAAAGTACAAAAATTAGCCAGCAGAGTGGTGCATGTCTGTAGTCTCAGCTACTCAGAAGGCTGAGGCAGAAGGATCAGTTTGAGCCTGGGAGGTTCAGACTGCCGTGAGCTGTAAGCATGCCGCTGCACTCCAGCCTGGATGACAGAGCAAGACTCTGCCTCAAAAAAACAAACCAACAAAAATCCAGCTGTCTGTTTCTCCTTGTAAAGGGAAAGAGTTGTTGGTAGAGACTCTAGAATCTCTGGCCAGGCTGGTTGATGGTGGTCTTCTCTGGTACAAGCAGAGTCTGGGAAGACGGGATGCAGTGTGTATAATTGGATAATACACATATGCCAATGCAGAGCATCAAGGAAAATTAAGAATCAGAAAAAAATAATTCAAACAAAGGAATAAGATAAATCTCCAGACAGCAGCCTTAATAAAATGAAGCTATATAATTTATCTGACAGACAAATAAAAATAACTATCATAAAGATGCTCAGAAAGCTCAAGAGAATCATGCATGAACAAAATGAGAATTCCAACAAACAGATAGAAAATATAAGAAAGTACCAAACAGAAATCATGCGGCTGAAGAACACAATAACTAAAGTGAAAAATAACTAGCGAGGTCCAGCAGCAGACTAGATCAAGCTAATAAAAGGACCAGCAACTCAAGGACACATCATTAAAAATAATTCAGTCAAAAGAGCAAAAAGAACAAAATAATGAAAAAAGTGAAGAAACCTTAAGGCTCACAATTTAGGGACCAATATTTACATTATGAGAGTGTCAGAAGGATAAGAGAAAAAGAAAAACAGGACAGTTTACTCAAATAAATAATAGCTAAAATTTTCCCAAACCTGGAGAATGAAATGAACATCCAGACCCAAGAAGTCCAAAGAACACCAAATAAGAGTAACCTAAATAAATCCATACTGAGACACATTACAAGCAAATTGTCAATAGTCATCAAAGACAAAGAAAACATTTTGAAAGCAGAAAGAGAAGAACAACTTGTCACATATAAGGGAAGCTCCATAAGAGTAGCTATTTCAGCAGAAACTTTGCAGACCATAAAGGAGAGTGATGGTATATTTAAAATGTGGAAAGAAAAAATAGCCTGCCACCATACACGGTCAAACTGTCTTTCAAAAATGAAGGTTGGAAAAAGACTCCCAAACAAAAGCTGAAGGAGCTCATCACCATTAGACATGCCTTAGGAGAAATGCCAAGAAAGTTCTTCAATTTGAAATGAAAGGATTCTACACAGCAAACGTACAACACAAGAATATATAAAACTCAGTTGGGACTTTGCATTAGAAGTCCGTGTTGATCCTACCACAATGTAACACAGCATTGGGCAGAATTCCAAAGCCCTTGACTCCGAGCCAATACCCACAGAGGGAATACTTATTCTTACACCAGGCAAGATAGAAATCTGTAGCCACAGCCACGGCAGAAGGGCTTAAGCCCTAGCTGACTGAAATGGTCTTGGGCCTCAAATAAATTTCAGTGGCAGCAATTCTGTAGTGACCATGGTCTTTGGGTGAGCCCCAGTGCTGCAATGACCTGGAAGGCTGTGGGCTTATGATGCAACCCAGTGTGACATCAGCTGCGGGGGCCACAGAAGTGCCTATGTCACCCCTCCCCTAACACAGTTACCCCTCCCCTAGCACAGTGCAGAGACAAACAGAGAGACATCTTCCACTTGAGGGAAGGAGAGGGAAGAGTACGGGGGACTTTGCCTTGGAAACTAGTACAGTGCCACCACAGCACAACACAGCATGCGGCAGATCCCCAAAGCCCCTGATTTCAGGCCACTGCTCCCATCAATTCTTCTAGATCCACCCCATGCTAGAAGGAAATCTGCTACCCTGGCAGGATGGAACAAACCCAAATCTGAGCTGGCTTCACTACCAGCTGCTTAAAGAGGCCTGAGGCTATCAATAAACATCAGCAGCAGTCAGGCCATGATTATGGGCATTGGGTGAGCCTCAGTGCTGTGCTGGTCTGGAAGGTTGCAGGCTTTGGGTGCCAGTTACAACAGCCACAGGAATGGCCATGTAACCCCTTCCCAAACTCCAGGCAGCTGAGTATGAAGAGACTCCTGTTTGAGGTAAAGAGACGAAAGTGAGTGAAGGATCATCCTGGCAACCCAAGAAATTTTCCATGATCTCCCAAAAGTCCATCAGAAATAAGTACATAGAAGTCCACTAGATGGTTGCAGTGCAGTTGGACTTAGAATACTCTCTAGTACTAAAACAGCTGCAGTGACTACAAGCTTGGGGAACTCAATAATAAATCCTATTTGAATTTTTGAAATGTTCTCTGAAGAAGGATGGGTACTAACAAGGCCAGATTGTGAAAACTGGAATAAATAACTAACTCTGAAATGCCCAGACATTGATTGACACATGTCCACAAGCCTCAAGAACATTCAAGAAAATATGATCTAAGCAAACAGACTAACTAAGGCGCCAGTGATTAACCTTGGAGTGCCCGAGATATGCAACCTTTTGGTGCATTCAAAATAGCTAATTTGAGGAAGCTCAGTGAACTTCAAGAAACTCAGATAATCAGTTTAGAAGTTTATTAGATAAATTATATATATAAATATAAATAATTTAAAAAATCAAACAGAAACCTAGAGATGAAAAATACAATTGATGAACTGATGAATGCAAAAATGCATTAGAGTGTCTCAACAGCAGAATTGATTAAGCAGAAGAAAGAATTCATGACATGGAAGATAGGTTATTTGAAAATACACAGTCAAAGGATTAAGAAGAATAAAGAAGGCTTACGAGATTTAGAAAATGGCTTCAAGAAGGCAAATCTAAGTGTCATTGGACTTAAAGAAGGAGTGAGAGGTAGGGATACAAAATATATTCAAAGAAATGATAACAGAGAACATTCCAAATTTAGAGAAAAATATGAATATCCAGGTATAAAAAGGTCAAAGATCACAAAGCAGAGTCAATCAAAATAACACTATCCCAGGGCATTTAATAATCAAACTCTCAAATGTCAAGGACAAAGAGGATTCTACAAACAGCAAAAGCAAAGCAAATAACATATCAATGAGCTATGATACATTTGGCAGTAGACTTCTCAGCAAGCTATGAGAGAGTGTCATGGAATATTCAAAGTGCTAAAGGCAAAAAAATTTCTAACCAAGAATATAGTAGTGAGAAAAACTGCCTTTCAAACATGAAGGAGAAATAAAAACTTTCACAAACAAAGTTAAGAGTCTTCATCATCATAACTGTTTTACAAGAAATGCTAATAAGAGTCCTTCCATCTGAAAAAAAAAGGATGTTAATATACAGCAAGAAATCATCTGAAAGTATAAAACTCACTGGTAAAATTAAGTTCACAGACAAATTCAGAATATTCTAATACTGTAATTGTGGTGTGTAACACTTGTGTCTTTAGTCTGAAGAAGAAAAGACACATCTATCAAAAATAACAACTATAACAGTTTCTTAGGAGATAGACAATATGGAAAGATATAAGTTGATACAACAAAAAGCCTAAATATGGGGAGGAGTATGAAATCAAAATGCAGGGCTTTATAGATATTTCTTTGTTTGTTTCTGTGCTTTTCTCTGCCACTAACCTTAAGTAGCCATTAGTTTAAAATAACTTGTACAACTAAAAGATTTTCTTTGTAAGCCATACAGTAATCACAAAACATAGACTTATAATAGAGAAAGTAAAAATAAAAAGCAAGGGATTCAAACATACTAACTTTGTGGTTAAGAAAATCACTTAACCACAAAGGAAGTGAAGAAGAAAGAAAAAGAGGAGTTATAAAATAACCAGAAAAAAAAGTAACAAAATGACATTTGTAAGTCCTTATCTATCAATAATGGCATTGAATGTAAATTGACTCAATTTTCAATTGAAAAACAAAGTGGCTGAATGAACGAAAAAATAAGACCCAAATATATGCTGCTTACAAGGAACATACTCATCTATAAGGACATGCATATACTGAATGTGAAGGAATGAAACATGTATTTTATGCAAACGGAAACCAAAAAAAGAGCAAGAGTAGCTATACTTAGATAAAATAGATGGCAAGTCAAAAAACTGAAAAGATACAAAGGAATTCATTATGTAATAATGAAGGGGTCCATTTATCAAGAGGATATAACAATCATAAATATATATATATGTACCCAATATCAAAGCATCCAAATATTTACAGCAGATATTAATACAGCTAAAGGGAGAGAGAAAGAACAGTACAATAATAGTGGGGGACTTCAACACTCCACAATCAGCAATAGATAGATCATCCAGACAGAAAATCAGCAAAGAAACATTGGAATAAAACTACACTGCACACCAAATGGACCTACTTGACATTTACAAAAGATTGTATCCAGCTGCTGCAGAGTATACATACTTCTCATTAGCACCAGGAACATTCTCTGAGATAGAGCATAGGTTATGCCACAAAACAAGTCTTGACAAATTCCACAATATTTGAATCATCTTTTCTGACTATAATGGAATAAAACCAGAAATCAAAGACAAAAGAAACATTAGAAATTGTACAAATAACATGGAAATTAAATGACATGCTCCTGAACAACCAATGGGTCAGTGAAGAAATTAAGAAGGAAATTAAAAGATTTCTTGAAAGAGAAAGCAGGAAAGATAAAAAATTGACACCCTAACATCACAATTAAAAGAACTAGAAAAGCAAGAGTGAACACATTCAAAAGCTAGCAGAAGGCAAGAAATAACTAAAATCAGAGCACAACTGAAGGAAATAGAGACACAAAAAAGTCTTCAAAAAATTAATGAATCCAGGAGCTGGTTTTTTGAAAGGATCAACAAAATTGATAGACCACTAGCAAGACTAATAAAGAAGAAAAGAGAGAAGAATCAAACAGACACAATAAAAAATGATAAAGGGGATATCACCACCAATCCCACAGAAATACAAACTACCATCAGAGAATACTACAAACACCTAAATAAACTAGCAAATAAACTAGAAAATCTAGAAGAAATGGATAAATTCCTCGACACATACACTCTCCCAAGACTAAACCAGGAAGAAGTTGAATCTCTGAATAGACCAATTACAGGCTCTGAAATTGTGGCAAAAATCAATAGCTTACCAACTAAAAAGAGTCCAGGACCAGATGGATTCACAGCTAAATTCTACCAGAGGTACAAGGAGGAATTGGTACCATTCCTTCTGAAACTATTCCAATCAATAGAAAAAGAGGGAATCCTCCCTAACTCATTTTATGAGGCCAGCATCATTCTGATACCAAAGCCAGGCAGAGACACAACCAAAAAAGAGAATTTTAGACCAATATCCTTGATGAACATTGATGCAAAAATCCTCAATAAAATACTGGCAAACCGAATCCAGCAGCACATCAAAAAGTTTATCCACCATGATCAAGTGGGCTTCATCCCTGGGATGCAAGGCTGGTTCAATATATGCAAATCAATAAATGTAATCCAGCATATAAACGGAACCAAAGAAAAAAACCACATGATTATCTCAATAGATGCAGAAAAGGCCTTTGACAAAATTCAACAACCCTTCATGCTAAAAACTCTCAATAAATTAGGTATTGATGGGACATATCTCAAAATAATAAGAGCTGTCTATGACAAACCCACAGCCAATATGGGCAAAAACTGGAAGCATTCCCTTTGAAAACTGGCACAAGACAGGGATGCCCTCTCTCACCACTCCTATTCAACATAGTGTTGGAAGTTCTGGCCAGGGCAATTAGGCAGGAGAAGGAAATAAAGGGTATTCAATTAGGAAAAGAGGAAGTCAAATTGTCCCTGTTTGCAGATGACATGATTGTATATCTAGAAAACCCCATTGTCTCAGCCCCAAATCTCCTTAAGCTGATAAGCAACTTCGGCAAAGTCTCAGGATACAAAATCAGTGTACAAAAATCACGAGCATTCTTATACACCAATAACAGACAAACAGAGAGCCAAATCATGAGTGAACTCCCATTCACAATTGCTTCAAAGAGAATAAAATACCTAGGAATCCAACTTACAAGGGATGTGAAGGACCTCTTCAAGGAGAACTACAAACCACTGCTCAATGAAATAAAAGAGGATACAAACAAATGGAAGAACATTCCATGCTCATGGGTAGGAAGAATAAATATTGTGAAAATGGCCATAGTGCCCAAGGTAATTTATAGATTCAATGCCATCCCCATCAAGCTACCAATGACTTTCTTCACAGAATTGGAAAAAACTACTTTAAAGTTCATATGGAACCAAAAAAGAGCCCGCATCGCCAAGTCGATCCTAAGCCAAAAGAACAAAGCTGGAGGTATCATGCTACTTGACTTCAAACTATACTACAAGGCTACAGTGACCAAAACAGCATGGTACTGGTAACAAAACAGAGATATAGATCAATGGAACAGAACAGAGCCCTCAGAAATAATGCCACATACCTACAACTATCTGATCTTTGACAAACCTGAGAAAAACAAGCAATGGGGAAAGGATTCCCTATTTAATAAATGGTGCTGGGAAAACTGGCTAGCCATATGTCGAAAGCTGAAACTGGATCCCTTCCTTACACCTTATACAAAAATTAATTCAAGATGGATTAAAGACTTAAATGTTAGACCTAAAACCATAAAAACCCTAGAAGAAAACTTAGGCATTAGCATTCAGGACATAGGCATGGGCAAGGACTTCATGTCCAAAACACCAAAAGCAATGGCAACAAAAGCCAAAATTGACAAATGGGATCTAATTAAACTAAAGAGCTTCTGCACAGCAAAAGAAACTACCATCAGAGTGAACAGGCAACCTACAAAATGGGAGAAAATTTTCGCAACCTACTCATCTGACAAAGGGCTAATATCCAGAATCTACAATGAACTCAAACAAATTTACAAGAAAAACTAAACAACCCCATCAAAAAGTGGGCAAAGGACATGAGCAGATACTTCTCAAAAGAGGACACTTATGCAGCCAAAAACCACATGAAAAAATGCTCACCATCACTGGCCATCAGAGAAATGCAAATCAAAACCACAATGAGATACCATCTCACACCAGTTAGAATGGCAATCATTAAAAAGTCAGGAAACAAGTGCTGGAGAGGATGTGGAGAAATAGGAACACTTTTACACTGTTGGTGGGACTGTAAACTAGTTCAACCATTGTGGAAGTCAGTGTAGCAATTCCTCAGGGATCTAGAACTAGAAATACCACTTGACCCAGCCATCCCATTACTGGGTATATACCCAAAGGACTATAATTCATGCTGCTATAAAGACACACGCATGCGTATGTTTATTGCGGCACTATTCACAATAGCAAAGACTTGGAACCAACCCAAATGTCCATCAATGATAGACTGGATTAAGAAAATGTGGCACATATACACCATGGAATACTATGCAGCCATAAAAAATGATGAGTTCATGTCCTTTGTAGGGACATGGATGAAATTGGAAATCATCATTCTCAGTAAACTATTGCAAGAACAAAAAACCAAACACCGCATATTCTCACTCGTAGGTGGGAATTGAACAATGAGAACACTTGGACACAGGAAGGGGAACATCACATTCTAGGGACCATTTTGGGGTAGGGGGAAGGGGGAGGGATAGCATTAGGAGATATACCTAATGCTAAATGACGAGATAATGGGTGCAGCACACCAGCATGGCACATGTATACATACGTAACTAACCTGCACATTGTGCACATGTACCCTAAAACTTAAAGTATAATAATAATAAAATAAAAAAAAAGATTTCTTGAAAAAAGGAAATGTAAACAAAACACCCCAAATAAAACCTAAAATATACAACAACAGCAGTACTAATTTATAGCAGGAAACACCTATACAAAGAAGTAGAACGTCTTCAAATTAACAATCTGATGCTCCTCAAAGAACTAGAAAACAATGACAAATCAAACCCCAAATTAGTAGAAGGAAAGAAATTATAAAGATCAGAACAGGAAAAAAAATTGAGAGTGAAAAAAGATACAAAGGATAAAATGAAAACTCTCTTTTTGAAAAGATAAACTAAATTAACAATTTTTTCTTAGCTAGATTAAGAGAAAAGAGAGAAGCCTCAGGTAAAAATCACAGCCAAAAAATGAGACATTAAAACTGATACCACAGAAACACAAGGAATTATTAGAGACTATTATGAAGAAGAATATACAAACCAATGGGAAAACTTAGAAGTACATGAATTTCTAGACACATAAATCTACCAAAATTGATCCATGAAGAAATAGAAAACTTGAGCAGACCAATAACAAGTAATGAGTTCAAAGTAGTAAAAAAAAAAAGTCCCCCATCAATAAAAAACTCAGGAACGAATGGATTCACTGATGAATTCTACCAAACATTTAGAGAAGACCTAATACCAATTCTAATCACACTATTTCAAAAAACTGAAAAGGAAGTACCCTTCCAAACTCATTCTATGAGGCCAATTTACTCTGATACCAAAACCAAAGACACAGCATGAAAAGAAAACAAAGAGCCTCAACCAAATACTAGCAAATTGAACACAATAACACATTAAAAAGATCATTTACTGTGATCAAGTGGGATACATCCCTGGGATGCAACTATCATTCAACATATTCAAATCAGTGAACAGGATACATCTCATTAGCAGAATCATGGACATAAACTATATGAAGCATTGCAACAAATGCTAAAAAAAAAGCAGTCAACAAAATTCAGCATCCCTTAATGATAACAACTCTCAACAAACTGGTTATGGAAGGAATATATCTAAAAATAACAAAGGCCATATACAACAAACCCACAGCTAACATCATCCTAAACAGGGAAATGTCGACAGCCTTTTTTCTAAGATCTGGAACAAGACAAGGCCAAGAATGACCACTTTTATAACTTTTATTCATCATAGTACTAAAAGTCCTGCCCAGATCAATTAAATGAGAGAAAGAAACAAAAAGGCATCGAAATTAGGAAGAAGTAATATTGTCCTTGTGTGCAGATGACATGATCTTATATTTAGAGAAACCTAAAAGATTCAACCAAAATGTTGTTAGAACTTATAAATAAACTCAGTAATGTGGCAGGATACAAAATCAACATACAAAACTCAGTAGCATTTTTATATACGAATAACAAACCATCTGAAAAAAAATCATGAAATAAATCCCATTTACAATAGCTACAAAATATATAAAATACCTAGAAATAAATTTAACTAAAGGAGTGAAATCTCTCTACAATGAAATTTATAAAACACTATTAAAACAATAGGACACAAGAAAAATGGAAAGACATTTAAGTGTTCATAGATTGGAAGAATTAATATTTTTATAAGGTCCTTACTACCCAAAGTCATTTACAAATTCAGAGTAATTTCTTCCAAAGTACCAATGCCATTTTCTTGCTCCTTGGCCATCTTGGTGGGTGCTCTTGAGTGGGGCCTGTCCTGCACCTAAGGCAGGAAGATGGGGGCCACAAAGAAGATGAAAACCTCACTGGAGTCAATTAACTCTGGAGTCCAACTCATTATGAAAAGTGGAAAGTATAGGCCAATATCTCAGATGAACATAGATGCAAAGAGCCTCAACCAAATACTAGCAAACTGAACACAACAACATATTAAAAATATGCTAAGGTACAAGCCAACTCTGAAGATGATCAGACAAGGCAAAGCAAAATTCATCATCCTTTTTAGAAACTGCCTGACTTTGAAGAAATCTGAATTAGAGTACTAAGTATTGTTGGCCAAAACTGCTATCCACCACTACAGTGGCAATAACACTGAATTGGGTACAGCATGTGAAATATACTACATACAATGCATACTGGCTATCATTAATCCGGGTGATTCTGATATCATTAGAAGCATGCCAGAATAGTCTGGTGAAAAGTAAACAATGCAAAATTTTTATTTAGTAAAACTTGCCAGAGTTCATTTTTTTATTTAAAAAAAAGTACCAATGCCACTCTTCAGAGAAAATTTTTTAAAAATTCTAAAATTCCTATAGGATCAGAAAAGAACGTGAATAACTAAAGCAATTTGGGAGCAAAAAGAATAAAGATAGCTTAGTGGCATCAAGCTATCTGGCTTTAAAATATACTGCAAAGCTACAGTAATCAAGACAGTGTGATACTGACATAAAAATAGACACACAGACGAATGGAAGAGGAAAAATAACTCAGAAATAAATCCATACATCTACAGCCAACTCATTTTTAACAGATACACTGTGAAAGGACTTCAATAAATTGTGCTGCAGAAATTGGATATCCATACGTAGAAGAATAAAACTAGACCCCTATCTCTCACCATACACAAAACTAAAATCAAAATAGGTTAAGACCTAAATGTAAGTCCTTAATCTATGAAACTACCAGAAGAAAACATTGGGAAATACTTCAGGACATTAGTTCTGGCAAATATTTTTTGCATAAGACCTCAAAATACAGGCAACACAAGCAAAACTAAACGAATGTGATTATATCAAACTAAACAGCTTCTGTAAAGCAAAGTAAACAATCAACAGAGTGAAGAGATAACCTACAGAATGGGAGAAAATATTTGCTAACTGCCCATCTGACAAGGGACTAATAACCAGAATATATAAGGAACTAAAACAACTCAATAGCAAAAAAACACAACAAAACAAACTAAAACAAAAAGAAACCCACAAATAATCCAATTAATAATGAGCAAATGCTTTGAATAGGCATTTTTCAAAATAAGACATACAAATGGCTACCAGGTAAATGAAAAAAATGCTTAACATTACTAATAATCAGGGAAATGCGAATCAAAACCACAACGAGATATTATCTCACGCCAGTTAAAATGGCTATCAGAAAGACAGAAAATAACATGCTGAGAAAGATGCAAAAAAAAGAGGGAATGCTCATGCACTGTTGGTGTGAATGTTAATTAATGCAGCAACTATATAAAATAGTATGGAGTTTCCCTTAAAAGCTAAAAATACAACTACCATATGATCCAGCATTACCATTGCCGGGTATTTATCCAAAAGAAAGAAAATTAGTATATCAAAGAGATAGCTGCACGTGCATGTTTATTGCAGCCCTATTCACAATAACGAAGGTATTCAATCAACCATCATTTGATGAGTGGATAAAGAAAATGTGCTATATATACACAATGGAATGTTATTCAGCCACGGGGAGGAAAAACATAAAATCATGTCATTTACAGTAACATTGGTGGAGCTAGAGGACATTATGTTACGTGAAATAAGCCAACCACAGAAAGACAAATATTGCAAGTTTTCACTTATATATGGGGGCTAACAAAAAATTGATCTCATGGAGGTAGTGAGTCAAATGGTAGTTACTAGATACTGGGAATTGCAGCATTCCAATGGGATGAAGAGGGTACAAAAATACAGTTATACAGAAGGCACAAATTCTATTGTTCAATAGCACAGTAGAGTGATGATAGTTAATAAGAATTTATTTTATATTTCAAAATAGCTAGAAGAGAATATTTAAAATGTACTACACAAAGAAATGACAAATGTTTGATATAATGAATATTCCAGTTACTCTTATTTGATAATTACATATTGTATGCGTGTATCAAAATATCCCTTGTACTCCATAAATATGTACAACTATTACATACCAATAAAAAAGAGAAATAGAAAACACCTCAAGATGAAACAAAAACACGATATGCCAAAATGCATGGGAAACAGAAAAAACAGGACTATGTAAGAAGTTCATAGCAATAAACACCTACATAAAAAGGAAAAATGTCTCAAGTAAATAACCTAACTTTCTCCTTCAACGAACTAGAAGAACAAAGAAGCTCACAGTTAGCAGAAGGAAGGAAATAAGATTAAAGAAAATATAAAAACATAATAGAAAATAGAAAAACAATTAAAAAATAAAACTAGAGTTGGTTTCTTGAAAATCTCAACACAATTGAGATTCCCTTAGCTATTCCAAGAAAAATGAGATAAGACTAAAATAAATAAAATCAGAAAAGAAAGAATAATGCTACAGAAATAAGAGACATAAGAGACTATATTGAACAATTATATGATTACAAGCTGGATAACTTAGGAAAAAAAGTGGACACATTTATAGAAATATACAGTCTACCAAGACTAAATCATGAGAAATAGAAAGCCTGAACAGACTCATTATTAATATGGCCATTTAAGCAGTATTTTAAAATCTCCCAACAAAGAAAAGCCCATGACCAGATGACTTCACTGGTGAATTCTACCAAACGTTTAAATAAGAATTAATTTCTATCCTTCTCAAACTCTTCCCACCAACCCCCGCAAATTGAAACAAAACAAAACAAAACCAAAAACAAACAAAAAAATTTCCAAATTAATTTTGTAAAGGCAATATTCCCTGATACCAAAGCCAGAAAAATACATCACAAGAAAAAAAACTAGAGATCAATATTTCTGATGAATACATGTACAAAAATCCTCAACAAAATACTAGCAAACTAAATCCAACAGCACATTAAAATGTTAAAAGGATCACACACAATGTCCAAGTCGGATTTATTCCTGGGACAGAAAGATAGTTCAATATACAAAAATCAATTATTTTGATACACCACATTAACAGAATAATGGATTAAGATCACATGATCACATGATAATTTCAGTAGATGCAGAAAAAGCATTTGACAAAATTAAATGCCTTTTCTTAAAAAAAAATCCTCAATATATTAGGAATAGAAGAAGAAAAATGTTTCAACATTATAAAGGCCATATATCAAAAGACCACAGCTAACATCATACTGTCTGGAAAAAAAAAAAAACTGAGAACTTTTCCTCCAAGATCAGGAATAAGCCAAGGATGTTCACTTCCCACTCCTATTCAGCATAGTACTGCTAGTCCTGGCCAGAGCAGTTTAGGAAAGAAAAACAAAAGGCCTCCAAAATGAAAAAAAAAAAAAAAATAGGTAAAATAGTGTCTGCTGGCAGATGACACAATCTCATATATAGAAAATCCTAAAGACTTTATCAAAAAAACTGTTGGAACTAATAAATTCAATAAAGTTTCAGGATACAAAATCAACATACAAAAATCAATTGTGTTTCTATATACACTAACAACGAACTATCTGAAAAGGATACTCAGAAAACAATCTAATTTAAAATAATCTCATAAAGAATAAAATACTTAGAAATAATTTAACTAAGGAGGTGACAGACTTGTATACTGAAAACTATAAAACAATAATGAAAGAAATTAAAGATACAAACAAATGGAAGAACAGCCTCTGTTCATGGATTGTAAATAGAAAAAAAAATTTCTACTATTCACATGAAACCAAAAATAACTTGAATAGTCAAATCAGTTTTGCAAAAGAATAAAAAACTGAAGGCATCAGACCTCCTCATTTCAAATATATATTACCAAAGTACAATAATCAAAACTGTATGGTACTGGCACAAACAGAGACATATAGAACAATGGAAGAGAATAGAGAGACCAGAAATAAATCTATGAAACGGTAACAGGTCCACACCATAAGACAGGGCAACAAAAAGGTGTGGACAGTGGTGGAGGGGTACCAGGAATGCACAAAGGGGAGAGGATAGTCTCCTTGACAAACGGTATTTAGAAAATTGGATATCCAGAAGCAAAAAATGAAATTAGACCCTTATCTTACAGCCTACACAAAAATCAACTCAAAATGGATTAAAAGCTTAAACGCCAGACCTGAAACTGTAAAACTTCCAGAAGGAAATAAAAAAAAGAGAAGAAAGCTTTATAACGTTGGTATTCACAATGATTTCATGGACATGACACCAAAGGCATAGGTGACGAAAGCAAAAATAAACAAGCAGGAATACATCCAACTTAAAAGCTTCTGTACAATCAACAGGGTGAAATGGCAAGCTATGGAATGGGAGAAAATATTTTCAAGCCATACATCTAATAATAGATCAATATCCAAAAGACATAGGGAACCTCTACACCTCAATAGCAAATGACTGATAAAAAACAGTCAAAGGTCTTGAATAGGCATTTCTATAAAAAAGGCATACAAATGGACAACAGGTATATAAAGAAATGGTTAACATAACTAATCTTCAAGGAAATGCAAATAAAAATCTCAATAATATATTACTTCATACCTGTCAGGAGGGTTATTATTTATTAAAAAAAGGTGTTGGCAAGAATATGGAGAAATAGAAACTCTTACATGCTATTGGTGGGAACGCAAAATGGTGCCAGCCACTATGGAAAATATTATGAAGGTTCCTCAAAAAATCTAAAAATGAAACTACTTTACGATCCAACAATCCCATTTCTAGATATTTATCCTAAATAATAAAAATGAGGATCTCGAGGAGGTATTAGTATTCCTAAGTTCATTGCAGTATTATTCACTATAGCCAAGATGTTGGAAACAACTTAATTGTCTAATGACAGATTAAGAAAATATGGGAAAGACACACAGTGGAATACGATTTGGTCTCTAAAAGAAGGATTCTGCAATAGTCAGCAACATGAGCGAACCTTGAGGACACTATGCTAAATAAAATAAGCCAGTCACAGAAACACAACTACTGCATGACTTCACTTATATGAGGTATCTAAAATAGCCAAATTAATAGAATCAGAGCCTGAAATGGTTTTTTCCAGGGGCTTAGGGGAGATGGGATATGAGAGTTACTAATCAACTGGCATAATATTTCAGTTTAGCAATATAAATAAGCTTTAGGGACCTGCTATATAGTGTTGTACCTATAACCAAAATAATGTACCCTACACCTAAAAATTTGCTTAAAAAGTAGATCTCGTGTTAATTGTTCTTACCACAGTAAAATAAATTGAAATAAAAATAATGTGGCTGTTGAAGATAGGTACTGTAAAATGATTAACACATATTTAATATATCAGGTACTTTAAAATGATGAGGATGTATTTAATGCATTATTATGGCTTCAAATAACCATTCAATCTGATCCATATTTTGGCATATATTAATAAAACTGCCCTCTTCACTAGCCTATAAAATGTAAACATGATACACAAAATAATAGTGTTTCATTTAATTCAATGTTTTACTAATTTCTGTTCACACAGCTAAATAAATGATCAGTGCATGATTTTCCCTCTTAAAAAAGTTTTATCACTTATCTAAATAAGTTTTATTGAAATGGGATTATGTGCTACTCTCTGCTTTTTAAAAAAATTTGTTTCTGGATGTATGAAATTCTTGGATTTACAAATAGTGATTAAAAAACTATTCTGGATCATTTTCTGTTATCTTTTTGGTTTCGTTTCAATTTTCACAAGGATTGGTTTTTGTAGAATCCTTGCTGATCTCTGCTTGGGTGTTTCTTGACAGCCCCTTCAGCAGAACTGACTTTCCTTTTGGACATCTTAGTGGATATCAGCTTTCTTAAGAAATGAATGTTCAGTACAAACTTTTTCATTAAACATTTAATTTTTAAAATCTCATTGCTGCCATAAAGGTCTATTGCAAGATAATAAAGCATATTTCAATGATAAAGTAATTAGTTCCAAATTTACACAATAAAATAAACAGCATATATACTCGTGGCATGAGTATTCAGGCTATATTTTGTAGGTCTGTAAATCAACTGCTCAGTCTCTATTTCTACACATACTTCAAGAACACATATTTCCCATATTTCCCCCTAATCCTGCCAATTCATGGCCTGGCAGTCTTACGTATCATTCAAACCACAATACATGCTGTAGCATAACTATCTGTTATACAAAATATCTGTCAGGGCAACAATGTCAAATGCTCCTCCTGGCCAGGCACAGTGGTTCATGCCTGTAATCCCAGCACTTGGGGGTGCTGAGGCGGGCGGATCACAAGGTCAGGAGATCGAGACCATCTTGGCTAACATGGTGAAACCCCGTCTCTACTAAAAATATAGAAAATTATCTGGGCCTGGTGGCACGCGCCTGTAATCCCAGCTATTCGGGAGGCTGAGGCAGGAGAATTGCTTGAGCCCGGGAGGTGTAGGTTGCAGTGACCCAAGATCGTGCCACTGCACTCCAGCCTGGGCGACAGAGCGAGACTCCATCTCAAAAAAAAAAAAAAAAAAAAATAATAATAATAATAATAATAATAAATGCTCTTCCCACCACCATCTAGGGTCAGAATGGGTGACCTGTTCATATCTAAGAATGCTTCATTTTATCTCTAAGTGTCCTATGTTCTATCCTTGAAAGGTAAGTGTTAATCACCTGGCATCTGGAAAAAGTTGAGAAATAGATACAAGTTATTATGGCAAAAACCACAATTACTTTTGCACCAACCTAATAGTATTTGTCTTTCAGATGTAACCATGCATTATAATTACTGAGCACTGCAAACTTATGTCACAAAGCGGGGATCTAATAAATACACTGTGGCTTATTTTAATGAACTACTAATAGTGATACTTTGTTAAAAAGGGAAAATACAGGATAAATGTCAACACAGTCAGAATGCCAGGACAACAGGCATAAATAAGGACTGTCCTTAGTAAACCAGGGAAGAGCAGTACATATGTGGAAATGGAAATAAGTAATTCTGTCTAGTAGTTCATTGCTACTAGAAGTAGCATTTAGCCTATGTCCTGGAAAATGACTAAAATTGTACAAATTTTGAATGTAGGTACAAGTGTTTCAGGAATATGGAAGAGAGTTTGCAAAGCAGTAGAAACGTGCGACGATATTGTCCTTTCAGGACAATTTAATTAGACCTCTGGATGTATATAAATGAATAGTGAGGAGTGAAGCTGGCAGGTAGGTTGGGACATATTCTGGAGGCTTTAAATGTCATGCCAAAGTGTTGAGTTTAGATTTGTGTGGCCATTAAATAATTTTCAACAGAGAAGTGATGTCCAATTTTGTATTTCGGAAAGATCAGTCAGGTAGAAATGTGGAGAAAAGTTTTGCTGGAGGGATAAAGAAGTGAGTGGCTAGTCGACTGTTAGAGCAGTGCAGGGAACAATAATAAGGATGAGAACAAAGGCAGGGGCACCATGCAATTGGTTAAAGCTGGGGAACTTCAACCTCTCATGGCTAAGGGATATATTTCCTTGAGATTTTTCAACAGTATTAGCTACGGGCCTCAGCATTTTGTATTACCCAGCAGGGGAAGATTCTCAACAGAGAGGTCAAAGAGTGAAGAGCATAGAAAATGCTCTGTCAGAATCTACTATTCTGTGGGCAAATGACAGCATGATACCCAATGATATCTTCCCTGGGGAACTAAAGTGGAATGAGACAGGCAGATTAAAATGTAAGCAGAGGATATAGAAGCTGACTACTGAGAAGTGAGGACAGCACATAGGACAGCGTGAAGTGGCAATGTTAGACTTAAGTAGCTCTGATTAAGCAAAAGTGCCTTGCAGACAATAACACCAAGAGATAAAGCAACAGACTCTACAAAGGATGAATGGATCATGAAATAAAAGTCATGAGGCTGCCGACAGTGGCTTGATGATTATCAAGTTGGTCTGTGGCCTACATTTCTGTTAAATTTACTTTGCACCAAGTTTGGGGAAACACGTATCACCTGTTACATTCATTGGTGAAGACTGTTCTGCTACTATTGCCTGATTTATTATTTTTAATTAATTATTTTGACTTTCAATGGACAGCTATTTGCTCAAAAGAAGAATGGAATTAAATTGTACTAATCGGGGAAGGGGGGCTCAAATAAAATCTGACAATTAAAACGACAATACTTCCTGATTTTGTAGGAGCATCCTGGTTTGTGCCTATTGCTGAGCTTAATTTTTATTAGCACTTGCTTTTAATCTCCAAAATACCTTAAGTTTGGATAGTAAATTATATTATCACCCTGTACAAAATATGTGTTTTATATAGACATTTTAAGAGACAAAGGTATCCATGATATTAATATATTTGGGGGCGCAAAGGCACCATAATTAAAATACCATTACCAGCCTGGCCGACGTAATGAGACCTCATCTGTACAAAAAAAAAATAAAAATTAGTGAAGTGTGGTGCACACCTGTAGTCCTAGCTACATGGGGGGCTGAGGTGGGAAGATCGCTTGAACTTAGGAGGTTGAGGTTGCAGTGAGCTGTGATTGTGCCACTGCACTGCACCCTGGGTGACAGAGCAAGACATTGACTCTAAAAAAACAAAAAACAACCAAAAAACTTCTAGAACAATGAATTGCTACGCCTTTTATACTGGTCTTTATTTGGGGAAAAAGAAATACAACTACTGGAAGGAGCATGAGCTAGAATAGTAAGAAAATATTTTACTGAAAAGGGATCTTGGCACAGAGTCTGGAAGAATGAGCAGAATTTAAGCACATGGGAGCAGAACTAACACTAAAGAAAAAAGAAGGTTTGGTGATGGAAAGCAGCAGAGAGAGAGAGAGTGTATGAAATTAAGAGTTGCTTGAGTTAATGAAAAGATGAGTTTGAGAATTAATTAGTGATAAATATGTTTAATACCTGGTTCTTACTAGACTCTCCTAGGATGAATGAGTGAATGAATTAGCGGATGAACATATGAATGAATGGGTAGGATGAAATAGATTTATCTAGGGAAGAATAATTTAGGTAAAGCACTGAAGTGGCAAACATGATCCCACGAGCCAAGTTTGACCCACGGTAGTTGTTTAGTGGCCTATAGTCCATTTACATTCTCTTTAATACCACTTGTATACTTTAGAAACTAGATGACTTTAGATAAAATTTCTTATTTCAAATTCCACTTTAAAATTTTCCTGTCTTCCTATAGGGCAAAATGCTTAGAACCAGAGAGGGCATCTGTCCCTTTCAGATGGGCATGTATGTACTCCGGCTTTCCTCCATTTCTTCTCACGGTTTCACTCATATTTCATCTCCTTTTTTAGATTGGGACCTTTGATGTGGTGCTTGGAATTATAATCAGGAAACCAAATTGATTAAAATGTAGAACTCCATTGCAGCTAATAATATATAACTGAAAGCTTTCTATTCCCCCTGGCATATTAATGCATGTATCTAGAATAATAATACTGTAATAATAACTACTAAGCATTTAGTATGTACAAAGCATGACATTAATCTCCTTTCAGACATGTGAGTTTCAGTTATCACTCCAGGCATCTGCTAGTTGTATGATCTTGAACAAATTAACTGACTTTCTGAACATTAATGTATTTCTTTGGGCAATGAGAATGATAACCATATCTTATATGGCTTTTGTGAGAATTAAATGAGATTATGTATATAAAGCATTTAACTTGATTCTTGGCACCCATCAAGACTTCATTCATGAAAAGAATATTTTCCCATTTCAAATCTGAACACTTGAAAAGCTGTGTAAGCACATGTTTTAGAAAAGATCTCTAGCCAAGAGGTTAATTTTTCATTCACAATGTAGTAACCATCAATGTAACTTTATTTCAATAGGTTGATTTTAAGGCTCAGATCAAATTTCTATTCATCTTAAAAAAAACTTATGAAGGCAGAGTTATTAAAGCTCTAGTATGAAATATATTGTTTCTATAACTTTAATGTGCCCTACAAATATAATAAATATAAAAATGTACTGCTATTTTCACAGATTATCTACAATAAAAATTCCCAGAAATGCATCTAAAATAGTGTGTTTCCACTTAACCAGATAAGGTTGAGTGTAAAGTGTAAGTTGCATTTGCAAACACTGAGCTTGAGACACCTTTCCATATTACTGTATGCAGATATTTAATTGCAATAACAATTTAAGTGGAAAACACTATGTATTACTAATCTAAAGTAAAAGCAAGAATTGTTTATTGCTAAACTACAATAGAAATAACTAAAATTAAGCCGCTCTCTGACAAATTGTTCCCACTTAAAAAAATAAACAGTAGAGAGTAGAATATACAAATATGAAGAATATTTCATTGGTAAATGTTTTCTAATTCGGAGCCATTTATATTCACCTATTATATGATTATTTTCTTATTTTATTCCATTTTCTCAAAATATATATTTAAAGTGCAAATTTAGAGATATTGACTTTTCAGTTTATACCTCTCTTTCACATGAACTTGGGTCATATAGTACAAAATAATTTGTTTGTGTTAGTAGGGAGAATAATTGTGTTCCATAAACAAAAAGTCAGCCAAGACAATTGTTTAACTGTATAATTGTTTACTTAAAACGGTATATTTTGTTGGCACTGATTTCAAAAGTCCTTCCTTCATACTTTTTTAAACTATTTGTATTATTTATTTTCAAGACATTTCAATGTTACATTTATTTATGTAAAAATAATAGTTCATTAGGTACCAGTTATCTACTCAATACCAAATACTGTGCACACATGATTCTGTTAGATTTAATAACTTATTTATGAGATGAGCATTGTTATTCCTACGTCAATTAGAAAACCCAGTATCGGGTCACTAGGTAACGTGCCCAAAATTAGCAGTTAGTAAACAGCCAGAATTTGAATTCCGACACATTTGAAGAGTACTGGTTTTCACTCATAGTTGATCATAGAAACATTGACACATTTCTGTTAATAGGACTTTTTAAGACTATACAGATAAAAAATCTATTAGATAATTTTCTCAAAGAGATAATGTGCATTAACAAGTTAAAACAGCATTTAAACATTTTAAGTTTTTATTCATTTTATCCATCAACTAAACTAAAATTTCTTTTACAGAACAACATATATTTAGCCACTTAGCAGTGCCATGAGAAGAAAAAAATTAGCAAGACAAGAACACTGGTAATTACTTACAAGGAATGCTATTTCATTGTCATATTATTGTTATAGAAAATCTTTAATTTAAAAGCCATCTGAAATATTTTGTCAAAGATGTCTGTGAATACATAATTAAGATATTTAGATAATTTTTAAAAAACAGGAAAAATGTAGGGTTGTATTTTTTGTAATAGCAAGTAGTCATTTCCTTCCTCATCTGCAAAACTTCATATTTTAAAACTTCTACTTTTATACTATTTCCAGATTATAAGCTTTTGTGATGTAATTTTTTTTTTAGCTGAGTAATTTAACACCACTTTTACTTTAAGAATAAATGATTTTACAGGTGGAGAGAAGTCTCAACAATCAATATTCAAAGTTAGTTGTATTACCTTTTTCCCATGTATATTTTACCTTTGCTGCAGAAATATAGGAAGACTAGAAACACGAATATTTAAAATCATTAAAATTTTAAAATTAAAATTTTGAACAGTAAAGTTAACATGACTATTTACATCACCTTCCTATTTTGCATTGAAGAAATTTTTTGAAAAAACTTACTTGAAAACTGAATTGCAAATCCAGATTTGCTAATATAAAAATCCGTGTCAAACTGGATGGTTACTATATTGAGGGTGCTATGAATTCCTTCAGGAATAAGAGATCCACTAATTTCCTTTAAAAGCATATCATTTTCTGGTGGACCGTCCCAGACTCGGAGTATATCATGTGATGCTTCCGTATCAAAAGCAAGAAACTGCAAGCTGTGGGAGAACCATATTTCTCTGATTATTTTAAACAAGGATTCAACTTTAAAGAAAAAATAGAACAAATGTGCATTATGCCTTTTACTAGATAGTTCTTTTTTGCTATGTGTTAAAAATGAATTACATAAACAGCATATATTCTTAATATATTTTTCTTGAGACATATAATTTGTTTTTTTAGAATATTATTAAATACAATATTACATCACCTTTGCAAATTGTAGAAACTTCAGGCATACATTCTTTCCCGTGTTCATGGATTTAACTAGGGCAACAGCAGGGGACATTTATAGATAATCTTCTACATGCTAGGCACTGTGCAAAATGCGTTACATATATTTTATTTGTTTAATTGTTATAATGACCCAATGAAATATGAATAATTTTTATCTTAATTTTACAAATATGGCAAATGGAGTTTAGATAAATGAAATAATTTCCCAAAGAGTGGCATAGTCAAAAATTGAACTCAAGTTTTCTGACTCTACAGTACATGCTTTTGCCACGTTTCATGTTAAATCTATTCTGTTTTAAGTTTAAGCTAGACAAAATTAGAATCGGGTGCTTTTTGTGCTTGGTGCAAAATTTAGAAATCTAATTATATTGACATGCTCAACTCTACATACAATACATTTATGTTTGATACATGAATCGTTACAGCTTTAAATTTAAGTTGCAATTTAACATCAAATAATGTTTAATTTTTAGAAATTGCAGAAATCTGGTGAATTTATTACTTTCAAGTTTAATAATATTTATATAAAACAATGCACGACTTAGACTAAAGAAAAATAAACTGGGGATGATATAGTGTAGTCTATTTTCAGTTTGCACATTGCCTTGCAAAAGTAATGTACCAACTCACACTGCATCCATCAATGCATAGTAGTATACCACCTAGAAGCCTGTCTGAAATTCCATTGTATATAAATGGAATTTATATTACTACTTTATATAAGTAGTAATTCTTAAGTTTTAAAGTTATTGTTTGTTATTGAAAACACACCAAGTAGCTCATATGTCAAGGATGATTCTAGCCAAAGCTGCATAGTAAGGCTGGGACTGAGAGCCTGTGATAGCTTTGGAAGTCAGACTGGTGTTGATTTGAGATAATGACTCTGTACTTATCTAAGGGGTAGTAACAATGTGAGGAACTCTGCGGAAAAGGGAAATCTAACATGATTACATGGGCAGAGAGCAAGTGTTTCACAAATGTGTTTAGGGACAAGGACAACAGGAAATGGTATTCAGTCCCCTTCTATTCTTATTTCTCCTAATTGTTAATGAGGATGCACTAGGGTAATAATTTGCAAAACTCTGTATATCAGTCAAAATGGGCCAGGTGTAGTGGCTCACACCTGTAATCCCAGCACTTTGGGAGGCAGAATTGCTTGAGCCCAACATTTTGAGACCAGCCTGGTCAATATAGTGAGACCTCGTTTCTACAAAATATTTAAAAATTAGCCTAGCCTGGTAGCACATGCCTGTATTCCCACCTACTGGGGAGGCTGAGGTGGGAAGATCATTTGAGCCTATGAGGAGGAGGTTGCAGTGAGCCGAGATCGAGCCCTGCCTTCCGGTCTGGATGTCAGAGCAAGACTCTGCCTCAAGAAAAACAAACAAACAAAAAATGAAATAAATGGATATTAATTTTATATAGGGGTTGGTTAGGCACTTCAGATTCCCTAGTAATGTTGAGAAAATGAAATTCATTTACCTGACAATATTTCCAGGATCTACCTCAATCATCCACATGCAACGCAGGTTATTGTCATATGGAAAAGGATAGCCAGGAGATAAGATTCTTCCTGATGATTCTCCTTTAAAACGACCTCCACATTCAGCTGATAAAAAATAATAGAAATTTAAGCCACAATTTAATGCCAATCTTTTCAAAACAATCTACAAATTTCTCATGAGTAGACAAAAGAATACTGATTTTCTTGTTTCTTTAAAGTATACATTTGTATAAACTTTTAAAGTATCAATTGAAGCAAGAATATATAATACAATCAAATAATAGAGTCTCAAGTTAGAGCACAAAAAAGACAACAAAACTGAAACCTACTTAAAGAATTAAAACAAGACACACTCAAAACCTCTGAGTTAGGATTCCAAACATTTTAAGATGTGTTGTTAAATAACGATAATTTTAAAAGGGAAACAGATGGCAAGTTGCTCACTGCTAACAAATTGCAGGCTGAATAATTCATCATCTTGCTACCCCGCCTTTGAGAAAAACTAATCTTTACTGCAGTCCCTCAGGCCTTCTAAATTTCATTGTCCTTTTATTTCCCCTTTAAATCATTTTAAACCCTTTCCCTTGTACTCTCCCAAAAGTCAAAATGGCATTTTTTATTAGATTCCTTACTTCAGTAAAATCTAGTTAGGTTTTGATTTAATGTGGTCTCTAATTTTTATAAAAATTATCAAACTAAGAATGTGAGTATCGTCATGCAATATAATTAAAATTTTATATTTTAGGGGATTCCTTCTCCATTTTAATACTATTTAATACTGTTGTGATAACTGGAGTGATTTTACGTCAGTGAACAACCTAGAAAGAGTCTCTGTACTGGAAAAGAGAGAAACTAAGTATTTTAGTTAGCATATTGCTCTACGTCTTTAAACCCTAGAAACAAGGAAAACACTGTGGAATGCCTTACACATTTGAATCTTTTGTGATAGTTCTTGTTATCAGGCACTTGTGCATGAGAACCCTCCCCTTATGGCTTTCCCAGCTCTGTTTGTCAGAGTTTTTAAAACAAGTGACTCCATTTTGATTCTGACAACTTTCCTATTATCTTAGATTAAATAACTGAATTAAACTTTTTATTTTTGATTATTATTATTATTAGACCAAAGAAGGTCAAAGCAGGAAAGTTTTAGCATTTGGAAGAGACCTGATAACACTAGAATCTAATGGCTCAAATTTGTAGGCTGCATATATGTTAACTTGTTTTAAAAATTTTAGATACTATATTGCACCAAACTGTGATGGATAGTTTTATGTGTCAACTTGGCTGGGCTATTAGTGCCAGTTATTTAATTAACTATTTTATAGGTATGGATAACATCTACACTCAGTTGACTTGTAGGCCTCATCCAATAAATTTGAAGACCTTAAGAGCACAACTAAGTTTCCTGGGGGGAAAAAAAAGAAATTCTTTCTCAAAACTTCAGCAACTCCTGCCTCAGTTTCTAAGCTATTAACTTGCCCTATGGACTTTGGACTTATCAGCCCCCACCATTGCATGATTCAGTTCCTTAAATTAAATAAAGCTCTATAGATAGATAGATGGATAAGGAAGACAGAGAGAGAGAGACAAAAGAGAGAGACAGAGACAGAGAGAAAGAGAGATATCCTATTGGTGCTGTTTCTCTGGAGAACCCTGACTGATATACCCATGGAGGGCTAAGGGAATATTACCTTTTATTGCAACATTAATTTAATCTAATTTACAATAACACACTCGGGAGATTTTTAAATTAAAAAGATATTAGTATTTAAGATGTTATCACCATTTATGGTTTTTCATTTTTTTCTAACAAAAATTCTTTTGGACAATCTGTAAACATAATTGTATTAATTCATTTTTCATCATTTATTTATGATTTATCACTATTTGATTACATTTAATTTGAGAACAGAGTTGATACTTATTCTTCTTGATTAATTTATAGTCAATTAGAGAATTTTGCACTATATTGCATCTTGAACTTAAACATAGCTGTTTCCCCCCATATTTCTTTGTTATAAAATATTACCTGGCATTTTTGACCTCAAATGAGCCAGTGTCATATGCTGTAGTACTGGAGTTCATATTCTATATAAAACTTATGTTTGCAGAATAAAATGAAATTTAGTGTTTAAAGAAGAGATACAGGTTAAATCCTTCCAGCTATGGTGCCTCAAAAACTAATTTTTGTTTCATCAATGAATAAGATTCAGAAATATAATTACCTATAAGTAATCTAAATAATTAAGAAAAGTTTCCTTATTTGACTGAGGCTAAAACATAGCTGTAGAAGATATTTAAGGTTAATGAGCACAGGCTATTATAATCATAGGCCAAGTGTTAAAGCTATTAATCATTGCGAGTAGAGAACACCATCTAAAATAGAATTTCATCTTCTGTTATCATCAAATTATTCAGTATCACTCACCATATGTCCAACTGTTTATAGCTGCTAAATTTATTTGATCATCCATCATTAGAATTTTAATAAAGAAGATTACCCTACCTGTGAAATCTTGTGCAATATCAAGTCAACATGTTTTGATTTTGAGTACTTGTAAACATAAAATGCATTGATTTGCTGCGAACATAATTAAAACCTTCTGATCTCATACTAAATATCCTTCCATTTGTATAAAACCTTTCCAAAAAGTAGAGAATATCTTCAGCTTGTTTCAACACACATAAAAATATATATGCTTTTAATGTATTTGTTTGTGGTTTTAATTTTAAAAACAGCATGGCAAGTCAATATTTATACATTTATGGTATTGTGCTATTAAACTCTTAAAGCTTTTCTGAACATATTTCATAATCACATCAGAGAGAATTAGTCAGTGGTACATTTTTCTCATAACCAATGCCAATGGGCTGATTATTGATCATATTCCAGCTTTTGGCAATTTAATTTGATTATTATTTTAGGTATCACCCTCACAATCTCTCCAAAATTCAGATGCCGTCTGAAAAGTAAGAACTGTGATTGCATTTTAGTTAGATAAAACCATGTTGTTTTCTGCATGAATCAATGTTTTAATAAACCAACAGAGGTCTCATAGCATCAAAACCACTACGCAATTAGTTGCAAGGCCTATAATAACTAGAATTTCATATTTTCTATTTGTATTCTAGCAAGTTTTATGGCAATTCCTATGCTGACCACATCAAAAAACGACAGAAATATTCTACTTTTGTCAAAAGGTCCAGGTCTTAAAAGGTAAGTCAAATTGCACATTAAATATGTGTAGTTTTTTGTATATCAATTATACCTCAGTACACCTTCTAAAAATAAAAGATTTGAGTCAATTTTATCCATATAGGCCTGACACAGAATGGATTTCTGCCTCTATAAATGCCATCAAAAAAAGAAAGGCTGAAGAATCACTGCATATATGTTCTCTGCTGGAGAGTTAGTGTTTTGCTACAAAGTTGTTTTCCTTTGTTGTCCTAGTATTCCAATCTGACACCTACTTGGTCTTTAGAGCAGAAAAGAAAAAGAGAAAAAGAGAGATCTCTATCCACACCTGTCAATATTTGTCTATCTACCTTCCCACCCCCACCTACCCATCTATGCATTAACTAATCTACAAGATGGTAGGAATAAAATGGTACCCCAGCTATGCAAAGAAGACAGAAAATGATCATTCTCTAGCTTCACGAAAGCAATATATCTTATGTCACTCTCACATTCCTTTTCCTACTGAAATTGAGTGCTATGCTGTAACATGCATGAGAAAAGAGAATAGGTTACTGTTTTCTCTAATCCACCTTGATTCCACAATAGGTAATAATTTTGTAAATTAAAAAAATCTGGCCAATGCAATTCAATAAATGTGTATAATTAAAAGTCTTAACATTTTAGTAATGAGTTCCATTTTATGTCGAGGTAGCAGAAATAAAATGACTTCAAAGAGACCATATTGTCCCCCACAAACTAGAAGATTATGGGAGGAATAATGAATAAAGTTATGAAAAGGACCTTTTCATTTTCCATTAATTTTCTTTTGACAAATTCAAGCTATGAGTTCATTAATTTCTCGATATAAAGTGTTAGTTCTATGAGGACAGAAAGAATTTCTTAAAAATGCAAAGAATTTGATAAAGTTTTCACAGAAATATTCAATGAAAATCTATGACAGTATCCTACCAATACAGGAAGGCAGAGGATAGTCCCATGCCCTTCTCTCCCCTGTCATGCACTTGAGAAGGCTACTTCCGTGGAGAGTGTAGCCTGGATTGCATCCATAAATGATGGTGCTACCAGCAAAGTGGCCTTGGTCACTGATCTTGTATCCAAATTGTGGAATGCCAGGATCTTCACAGTGTGAGAGTTCAAAACCTGGGACAAAAATATAAATTGATTAAAGGCAAAATTTAGGAGGAGGATTTAAATCTATACAAATCATTCCTTTCCTTTACTATTTTTGATGATTACATACTTATTCTTAGTCATATTGCCCTTACCATATTTAATTTTCGTATCATACAACAACCATGCAGACCTTTTTTTTTCTTGAAAATTAAAATGTGTTGTGTTTTTGAAGTTTATCAATGATACCCCATGGTCTATATAATTACCATGGCTTGTGGTACTAAGCTTCCTGTCTGCTTCAAGTGATTTAGAGTTAATAGTAGATTCTGAGTGATACCATGATATAACAACAAGTATATATTTGTTCTTTGTCCCTGATTCCTGGCACAGAGCTCCTAAAAGTCTTGGAATTTCTTGAGTGATAAGAGTGAGAGTACAGTTTTTGTTACTTATCATAAGCCATCCATACCTAAGTTTCTATAATGAAGTTGTTCCTGGAGGATGGGGGCTTATCGCCAGAGAAACCAACCATATGATTAGAAGGTTGTGTTGGAACTTTCAGTGCCGTCCCCATGGCCGGGTCATATACATACATCTCCGTGGAGGGGAGAAGGACTGAAGGTTGAGTCAATTACTGAGGAGCAATGATTTAATCAATTATGCCTATGTAATAAAATCTCCATAATAATCTTAGACAGAGGGGTTCTGAGAGTTTTCAGATTCATGAACACCTCCACATGCTAGAAGGGTGATATACCCCAAATCCCCACTCCATGGGGACAGAAGCTCCTGCACTTGGGACCCTTCTGGACCTCAGCTATGTACCTCTTCCTTTGGTAGCTCTTCGTTTGTATCCTTTATAATAAACCAATAAAGGTGAGTAAATGTTTCCCTGAGTTTTGTGAGCATTCTAGCAAATTATCAAACTCAAGGAGGAAGTTATGGGAAACCCCAATTTATAGCTCGTCAGTCAGAAATACAAGAGGCCTAGATTTTCAATTGGCATCTGAAGTGTGGGCATTCTTGTCGGATTGAGCCCCTAAACTGTGGGGTCTATATTAACTGCAAGTAGTGTTAGAATTGAATTGAATTACCAGACATCAAGTCGGTTTCAAGTGTTGGCGCTCAGAACAATATACTCCAAAGTATGGCACTTTGGCATGCTGAGTGCTTTGAATGAAAAGTGATTAGAAGGCCTCAGAAGCAAGGTCTCTCTGCCCTTCTTCTGCCCTTCTGCCACTTTCTCTCTCCCAAAGCTAGTCATACAAGCCAGAATTCTTCTTCCCCAAGATGCATCATAAAAACTAGAAAACCTCTCCCCCAAAGCGAGCCACAGAACCTAGAAAGGTCATTTTCTTCCTTCTCCCTTGAAAACCCTCATTCCATAGGGGTCCTGCCCCATACCCTGGAAAGGAAAGCTCCATAAAGAGGTCAAGAAGAATTTGAACAAACAGGCTTGCTGGGTTTCCCATTCTCAATCTATTACTGATAGATTATACCTTTTATGTCCAATTACATTTCTACGTAGCTGACCATTCATCACTGAACCGCAGCATAAAAACAGACAGTTTTTACGGGTTCTTTGGGTCTTTATTTCTGAAGGCTCCCATGTCATATAAAACCATGATCCAATAAATTTATTATGCTTTTCTCTTGTCAAATAGGAATATCAGCATGACACATATGAGGGTGACGAAAGGTATCACATCTTTCTATCCCTACACCAGAGAGCTGGATAATTGGTCGGTGCGAGGAAGAAACATACATATATGGCGTCAGAAGGGGTGTGAGCAGAGAATTGGGTTTTGCATTACTGATCAACATAACTATTAAGATCATATCATCAACATTTTAAAATTAAGACAAAATATGTGAAATAATAACTAGCCAAATGACAAATAATGTCAATTGCAAATATAACTGGACTGCTTTAGTTGTATAACCTTAGAAGAAAGTGAATACTCTCATATTTAAAATATACTTTATCAAGCTAATATACTAATCAGCTTGATGAACTCTAAATTTTTATATTCTACTTTCTCCGGAAAAAGCACAGTTCTTAGAAATTCTCACAGGAAAAAAAATAGAGGCTTCCCACGTGTTGTCATTCTGAGATGTAGAGATAATATTTCTGTGTTTCTACAGGGTTGGGGCTTTCTGAATGAATTTGCTAAAAACTGAGATCCTGGGCTAAGAGCGACACTTGAGAAGTTAATTTACAACTGTATGAATAGTGAGAAAACTCCAGAGAAATTTATGTAACTGTGAGGAAGGTTTATGTTTACATTTCAATGAAGAATGAGGCCCAGAAATTTACAGAAATCTCTAGGTTATAAAAGTTTGAGATATGGGAGATTAATATGTCCCTTAAATAGATATATTTACATTACAAAAGGTTAGAGTAAGAACACATGATCCTTTCCATCCAATCTCCAAGGAGCATAGGTTTTTCTCCCACCTTCCAGGAGAGGAGAGAGAGAAAGCAGCAGAATAAGCTCATTTGTTTTTCTTCCTTTGTCTATGAAGCCCCTGGCCACTTCTGTAGAAGATTTTTTCATTAGGTATTCATGGTGTTGCCCCCAGGAGTAAGGACTAGGTGAAAGGAGAGCTGACACAGACATCATCATCATCATTATATTACTTAATAAGAATCTATCTGCATCCTGAATACCTCATTTGCATATTCAAAGTAAAGTTAATAAAGGTGAATGCTAAAAATCCCAACAGTCTTAACACAACACAATTAAGATTCTGAAGGAACTGGAAAAGGACACTTCAAAAGATAAACCAAACCTGATATGAACAAATCAAAATCTAAGCTGCCGTAGCTATATAGTTTCTTCTGTTTTTAATATTTTGCAAAATATAAAAATGTAGGGTAAATGATGTAATAAATACACCAAGGACAATTAGGTGAAAACTTATATTAATTACAGCTTCTGAGGATAGAAAACCTTTAAGAATATTCTAGATAGTTTTATGAATAAGGAAAATCACTTAAGACAAAAATGCTGGAGAAAAAAAACTTTTACTTGTGTCCTAAATTATATGGTGATCAAAAAGAGATCTACATAACTTTTATAGGCATAGATTCTTGACCAAATTAATCTAGATTTGAATTAGAAAGCAAAAAAGTGTATATTAGCTCACTTGTGTCAAATCACTAATTTGCATCATTGACTTTCTAGATTGTCACAACATACATAAAGTCACAAGAACTTGTATAGTTCTAAGTACTAAGTTTATCCTATTATTTCTGTGAGTTGAGATAAACATTATCTCTCAGAGAACATTAGGAGTCTTTCCTAGTCTCTATTAAGGGGTCTTAATCACTTCCTCCTCTGTTAAATCATAGAATTATTTGTACCTTTGAATTCATTTGCAATGATTGTTTCTTTTCCTTGTTTTTGTATAGCTGAAATTCTTTCCTTTTTTCCCCTCCCTCTTTCTCACAGTACCTATCTAGCACAAATCCTGAGACAGGCTAGATGCTCAGTAATGCTCAGTAATGTTCATGATTGAATGTGGATTCTTAGAAACAATTATTTCTAGGAGACAACTGAAAAATAAAGTAATGCTGATAAGAAACTGAAATTTGAGAGACCATTTTTAAAAATAGTTTCAAGAATTTCCTGAATATCTCAATTTATGATAACCCCATTTGGGTGAACATGCAAACAGCATCAGAGACATAGCCATAAAGAGGTTAGCAGTCATTAACTCAAATCATGACATATATAATGAAATGCAATGAAAAAATAGTCAAACAGGTCAGTCTCTCAAACACAGAAGAAACAGCAGAAGTAGTACTTTAAAATTTCAGAACATATTACTTTGCATGGATCTGCATACTTAATACTACATTTAAACGTCTTTGCTCAAAAATTACAAGTTTGCATTTCTTCCAGCAGATATAATATTCAGTTTATCATTCAAGATGCAATGTATTTTGAGTTTTACCATATATCATTTCTCAAAATAAAAATGGAAATCAAGCTCTGTTTTCAAGGTTTATTGCCAAATTCATCCTTCCTTAATTTGAATTTTCTGTAAATGTGGTTGGGCATTGCTGGTGATGAGGTAAAATGGATATATTCTTTGTAAATTAAGACAATTTATAATATTTTGCATTGTAGCTGAAAATGCACATGGACAATAGTATATAAGCTACAAAGCACAACATAATTTTGTCCAAATTGGTGGAATTATTGTTGCTTATTCATAAATATGCAGAAATGTCTTATCTTTATGGAAACGTTCAGCTGCTAGTCTTTTCATTGAAAAGCTCAAATACTTGAAACTGACAATTAAATAAAGATGTGTATGAAAAACCGTATATGCTATAAATATTCAACACTGCTTGTGAAATTTTATACGCTGGTGAAATGAAAATTTCTAGAACAAAAATGAACTGATAATCCCCATTACCTAGATGTTTTTGATTTTCTGAATACCTTAAACTGAGATTTCATTCCTTTCCTGCCACCGTGTAGCATATTTCTCCAAAGATATCTAATATATTTGTAAGTTATTTGAAATCTACAAAAAAATATAAAGGATGACAACAAATTCAACCACTAGCTCTATCAGATTCTAGTTTTGTATCATAGTTGTGTCAGACTCAAATCAATGTTAATTCAGATTAATATTCAGATTACCATTCATATTAATTCATCTTCACGTTAATATTATTATTACAAAACAAGTTAAAGATTCTTTTGTACTCCTCCCCAGTCTTTCTCTGTTTCTTCCCTGAGAGCTAGCAAATATTCTAATTCAGTTTATTATTCTTGCACATATTTTTTATTACATATCTATACATCAATGAGCAATATATAGTGTTTTGCAAGTGTTCATACATTTTATAAATTATATAATGGTTTTAAAAATTCTGTGGCTTCATTTATTGCCTGGTATTGCGTTTTATCTTTATAATTATATACCCAGGCATGCACACATGCGCACACTCACACACACACAAACACATTGTATTCATTTTAACTACTCTGTGGTATTCCGTTGGTGACATATTCCCAAACTAATTGATTTTGCAGCATTTATATTGTTTCCAATTTTTTACTGCTATGAAAATGCTATACTTCTATGTCTCCTTTTGCACATGTACACGTGTTTTTATAGGGCATGCACTATTTAAAGATATAAAGTTCACTTTGTCCTCAAGATTCAACCAAAATCTCCTAATCAATTACTTAACTTCTGTCTTGGCTTACTAAAAGATAAATAGTAAAATTTTGACCTCAACATAATTTCTCTCAATTTGTTTATGAGTAACTATGTATTCACATAGGGTAATGTCATACCTTACTAGCAAAACACTACCAGTAATACAAATAATTTACATCATTTAAAAATAAAAGTGACATGTGAAAATTCATTTTTAAATGTAATAAAATATATTTTAAGTAACTTAAAAAGACTCTTACTTGCTTTATTTTTTTAATTCAGTTAAAACATAAATATATACTTTATAAGTTAAATTCCAGAGTATTTAACGGTCAATGAAGATATGTTAGTTTCATGTGCTAATAGTAAAAACTTCCAGATTGCTAAATAAAAAAAGAAATAGATTGTTAAAAAGGAAATTGGGAAAGTATGTTAGCTAAATACATTAGAGAAATATGCTTGCCAAAACCATATATATTAATAAAAGTTGATATAATGCAAGGAGACATGAATATTATATTATTATGCAATAATTTTAACCTCTATAGAATTGTTGGTGAACTTAATTCATAATATTAGGCAGAATAATTTGGGGGAACTATATTTAATATTTGGTGATTAAATTCCATTTTGGCCATGAGTCTTGCAAGAAAACATCCTATTTTAAAATTCTTTATATTTAAGTGAAGACCTCTTCATTTATATCAACTTTTATATCAACTTCATTATATCAACTTTTATTAACATATATGGCAAGCATATTTCTCTAACGTATTTAGCTAACATACTTTCCCAATTTCCTTTTTAACAATCTATTTCTTTTTGTATTTAGCAATTTGGAAGTTTTTACTATTGCCACATAAAACTAACATATCTTCATTGACCATTAAATACTCTGGAATTTAACTATAAAGCAGAATGTCAACTGTGCCACCTCAGAATTCACGAACAGGGAATACTTCAAGATAACAAACAACAGCTGCAATAATCCTCTGTGATTGAGATATAATAAAGAATATAAAGGGAATAAAGAAAAAAAGAAAATGGTGAAGAAGAGTTATACTCTTTTTCTCATTAATAGAACTAATAAAAACAAATTTGACACAACATGTATTTCTCACTAATCAAACTATACAAAAATCAAACTTTAAAGCTACAACTTTAGAAGAATGCTTTAAGAAGACAATCCCTTCCAGTTTTTAGTTTATGGAAATTAAGAATTTAAGCAAAAAAAGCTTGTGGAAATTATTACTATGCATTTCCAATTGCTTTCAGGAGTTAAGATAAAAGGATCTTTTTTTTTTTTAATGGCAGATGCTTTCATTCCTACATATAAAGTTCTTACTAGAAAATACATTACTGACAGACTTTCCTAAATTTTAATCTGTTAGACATAATCTAGTAAGTAATATTAAACGGGCTAAGTTTGTATCCTGTACATCATAGATTTGTACCACATTCTAGGTTGGTGATGTTCATCTTTGACTGAATATTAACTTGGTCAAAACCAATCAGCATTGGGCATTTGGCCTAAATGTATAGTTGGTGTAATCTAAATATATCCAGAAATTGAATTTTATTAGATATTGCCAAATTAATCTTCTAGGTGACTACCAATTTACATTCCCCAAAGTTTATAAGTTTCAATTTCTGCAAATTGTCATCAGTACTTGGTGTTGTACAGCTTTCTAACTTGTATTTACTCTGTGAGGGTGTCATAGCATCTTATTTGGGTTTCCATTTTCATTTCTTTTTTCTTTCCATGTCCGATGGGTAATGTGCAGACGTTGTAACAAGGTTTGAGGAAGGCACATCTCACACAAGTGTGAAAACCTAATCATCACACTTTTAAACTAAAAAAGAATTGAGGAAGGCACAGCTCACACGAGTGTGAAAACCTAATCACCACACTTTTAAACTAAAAAAGAATTTTTCATTTCTTAATACCTATCAAGTTAAGCATTTTTTTATTCTGCTGAACTTCCCTCTACTGTGAAATTGGTTTTGGCCCATGTTTTTGTTTTAGGTTATTTTTTTTTTTTCTTATTGACTTGTAGGATTTCTTTTTTCTAGAGAGTGCATGTTTTCCATTATATAAATACCTCCTTTTAAAATGTTTCACTTCTGTTTACAGTGTCCCTTTCTATAGGGAGGTTTTCTTGGCCCTTTCCTTTCCTTCTTCCTTTCCTTCTTCCTCTCCTTCCTTCTTCCCTTCCTTCTCCCCTCCCTTCTCCCCTCCTTTCTCCCCTCCCTTCTCCCTTCCCCTCCCCTTCCCTCTCTTCTCCTCTCCTCTCCTCTCCTTTCCATTCCTTTCTTTTTTTCCGGGACTTGGTCGGGAAAACAGAAGCCTCTTATGTACTGTGTGTAGCTAAGATTCAAAACAAGAAATTTGAGGCCTTGATGATTTTGGAAATGCAAAGTGTGTGAAAGTCAGAAGACCACTGCTGGCTTTCAGGAAATTCAGCAGTTCAGGGAAACTGCTGCCACATCCAACAACCTGACAGCACCATACTCCTGCCTGTAGCTGCTGGTGGAAAATAATGGCTTCTCCATCGATCTCACCTTTCAGCTCTCACAGGTCTGCCTTTAATTGGCAGAATCTAAGCAGAGATATTTGTTGGCAAGAGAATCTGAAAAATGTAGTTGCCAGATTTTTGGTTTCTACACTTCAAGGAGTGCTTAGAAGGTCAGAAATGCTACTGATTATTGATGAATTTTTGCTTGTGTATCTTATTTCAGAAATCTTCTTCTACCTTAAAGACACAGCTTTTCTAAGCCACACTTTTATTTTCTAAACATTTTAAAGTTTTGATATTTACATTTAGGTCTTCAACTTGCCAGAAATTAATTGTATGTAACATGTAAATTAGCAGGTCCTTAGATATGTAAGTTTAAATTTACTAAACTTCTATGATGTGAAGGCTATGAAAATAATGATACTTTTATTATTCTAGTATGAAGAAATTTAATATTGTCTATGTAAATGACAGTTAATTAAGAAATTTTTCTTTAGTATTTCAGTTAGAATACTTTGGACTATATCACGCAGCATTGATCAATACCTCCCTTATCACCCAGTTTATTTTGATATTTTAAAAATGTAAGAAATGTCAAATGTATCTGCTAACTGGTTTGTAGGACATAGAACCACATGGAGGGGCTTTGTTGCTCCCTTGTAATTTACTTATTTTCTACTTGCATTTGCATTAAATGAGTTATATAGTAAGAATAAAGGTAGAGTTAATAAGTCATCTGATAATTTTTTACGATTTACATTGCCAACAACAAACCGGTAACTAAATTAAAGACTAATTTATTGTATATTCACAAGGCTAGTATGCAAGAAAAAGCATCACAAATTAGTTAATGCCCATCTTTAATTTGAATATAAAATTTGAAATGGCCATGCTCCATGTAGATTATTAAATGATTTCAAGCAACAAAACTGGAAGGCTGAGAACATCCAAATATATTTACAGTTTTCTCTTGGGATAATGAACATTTCTCCAGTGGGATTTTTTGTAAATTAAATGTGCAGAGGAGATAATAAGAAAACATCTGAGCCCAGAGTACTGACTAATGGCTGGGCAACATGCATATTTAGCAGGTCAGCTTTTGATAAGACAATAGTATAATCCATCAATAAGTTGCAATTTGGCTCTGTAATAGATGGCTGTTAAAAATACTCAATTCCTTTTTACAAAATAAAAGTAGTATAACTACAAGTATATAGGGCTAAAAGAATCTGTAATTAAATAATCTTCAACAAATAGAGTTTAGAGATTTCATGAACAATATGAATGATAGCAGGAATAAGTCTTTCCCCGATAGTAAATGTAACAAAAATAAAAAAAAATTCAGATTCTCAAAAATAAAATGACAAAAGTTTCTTTGGGAAGAATTGCACTAACATTATTTCTCTCTCTCTCTTTTTTTTTTTTTTACTCTTACCTGGACAGTTTTAAAAATACATTAAATCTATAAAACTTGAAATATATATAAATATATAACACTTCAAATCTATAAAACTTGAAAAACTCAAATCTTGAGTTCAGAGCTAGTATAGCATAGTGGTTAGAGACATGGATTCTAGAGGCAAAGACTCTCAGTTCAATTTCCATGTCTGCACTTGTTAGCTATGTGACCTTGGGTGAGTAAGGTAACTTTGCTATGCTTTTTATTTCCTCATTTTCTCCCTGGGAATAATAATATTATCTCCCTCTTTGGGTTATGCCTTGCATCTGGTAGGTGGTAGATAAATGTTAGCTGTTGTTATTTGTAATTCTTATATTGAACATTATGATAATGACCAAAGTCTCTATGTGCCTTTTAAATAAAATCCAAGCCCGTACTATACTCCACCTTGCCCCTAATGATATAGGAGTTAAGAAATTATTTAGGCAGATAGTGAGGGTATGGGAATTCTTGGTAAGTTTTTCCTTTTAATGAAAAGCGGCCACCAAATCATTTTCTTTTCTAACAAAGAGCAGCTTATAAAATCAAGCTGCAAACATAGACAAGCAAGCTGGACACTTACATGGGTGAATGCTGGCAGTTGTGCCAATAGAAAAAGGCTATTTGGGACTAGGCATGTTCAAAATGGTGGCTCCTTCTTCTCTTCTCTTTGCCAGCCATGCATACAGTAAGGAGAAGGCAACATGGTGCAGGCCAGGCAAAGACCCCATTTGCAAAATAAGATTAGGGTGGGGCAGCCAGCTTCTGGTGTGTTATGTAAATGTCATACCTGGTTCAACTAATCTTTTGGACCTATGAAAATCAGACACCACCTCATAAGCCTGTCTATAAAATCTGGTGTACTCTGCTATGGGCTGGAAGTCCCATTTGGGAACCCCTCTCTCTCACAAGAAAGAGAGCTGTTCTCTTTGCTCTTTCTTTTGGCTATTAAACCTCTGCTCCTAAACCCACTTCTTGTGTCTTTGACCTAGATTCCCTTGGCATGAGATGATGAACCCCGGTTATTTGCTACTGCTAGTTTCCAACTTTATCACTCATTTTGTCTCATTCTCCTTGCTCATTTAGCTACAGGCATATAACTCAAGCTCAGACTTCTTTTAGGCCTTCGCACTTGCTACTCCCTCTGCCTAGAACCCTTTGCCTGTATGTGATTATTCTTTCTTATCACTCAGGTATCAACTCAGATAACATCTCCTTTAAGATGGAGTCTGAACAAATTAGCTAAAGTGGTCTCATCTGTACTATCTATCCCATTGCCCTGTTTTAAATTACTTCTAAATGTAGTTCTCTTACCTTTTGTTCATAACTTTCTTTTATGTCTTGCCCCACTAAAAAGTTAGTTTGTTATGGGCAGGAACTTTCTCTTATTAATTGTTCTCTATATTTTCAATATATAATATTCCACTGGGAAAAGACAAAATTTAAGCCTATGACCAGATTAATAATTTCAATAATAAATAAATTAGTAAATTTCAATAGAAGAGTAAAAGGGAAGATATGCCAGGTGACCAAGTAGAAATGATATCTCTATAACTTAGCCTTTAGAGAGAGAGTAAAATACACCAGATTTAGAAATCATTCTTGAAATGTGTGTTGAGAGGTTGAAGGGATCTGGGCAGAATAACCTACTGGGTTTTGCTGAATTCTGCTATAGGATTATGGAGAACAGAGTGATGTTTTAGGAAGGATACTGTATTGTGATCTCAATTTCTGATCTGTTTCCCAACTCTAGAAGGAAGTAGTAATTTTCTCTTACCCTACTCCCTGTTCTCTCTCAGAAGAACAGGTATGCCTTTATTGGTTCCTCCTCACAGGGAAATTAACAAGTAACTTGTGTCGCGTAAAGTACCTGACATTATGTCTCATTCGGATATTTATTTGGGATGAGTTTCAGATTTCTCAAAAGCAAGAGTAAATGACAGTAATTGTTTTGAGAATAATGAGGAAGATTAGCCTGACTCAATAAGGGAGTTGGATTCTGGGAGGTTTGAGGGATGGAAGAGCAGTGAAATCCCCTAGAGGTCATAAATATCTAAGTGTATCTCACACATGTTTTATATTCAACAGTATAGCTGTCCACACTTTAATTGTCAGATCAAACCAGAGTTGACTGAGAAATTTATTTGGGAGAAGAATATTTCCCCAAAAAGACTACATGAGATTTTTCTTGACAACGCTAAAGATGAAGACTGAACAGATTTAATTTGCTTTAGAAAAAGGAATGGGGCTGGCATGGTGGCTCACACCTGTAATCCCAGCATTTTGGGAGGCCAAGGCAGGTGGATCATTGGAGGTCAGGAGTTCGAGACCAGCCTGGCCAATATGGCAAAACCCTGTCTCTATTAAAAATACAAAAAAATTAGCCAGGCATGGTGGTGGGCGCCTGTAATCCTAGCTACTTAAGAGGCTGAGGCAGGAGAATTGCTCGAACCCAGAAGACAGAGATTCCAGCCTGGGCGACAGAGCAAGGCACTGAAAAAAAAAAAAGAAAAGAAAAGAAAAAAGAAAAAGAAAAAGGAATGGGATATTTTCTCCCTGTCTAGTGTGGTATGGTATTTTCATACTAGGTATGCATATAATTTATTTGTTGGTGGAAGAAGGTGAGAGAAGCTCACAGTCTTCTTAGCATAGTAGAGCTAAAAATATTAATCATGAGTCAGCCAAATACTTTTCCTTTATAAACACCCAAGAGTTTCTGGGCTTCCATGACACCATTAATCATAGAAGCAGATATTAGTTCAGTATCTTTAACCTAATTTTTTTAATATTCGTGACAGCTGTACATTGTAGTAAATACTGTAAGTTGTCTTCTCAATATCTCCCTTCTTCCTTGCTAACAACTCTGATTTTGTTCCCAGCTATAATCTAACGATATACAGCAGTGAATCATGATGGTCTAAAGTTAAACCAATTATTTAGTCTTCCACATACTGAATATTCCAGGCTGCTTTGCTGGAAAATTAAGGCAGAACCATATGGTCCAGTTTAGGATAGAGACATAAGAGGGTATCTTACAGGGATTCCCAGGAAAGATTTTGTATTTCTGATAAAAGGAGTATATGCGGTTGGCACTGCCCATTTTTTCCTTTCTTCATGCCTTAAACATGCCCATAGTTACAGTAGCCAACTTGTGACCATGTCACCACAAACATGAAAATAAAAAGTGAACCCTCTAGGCATGCCACAGCAGAAAGACAGGAGCAAAATCCTTGTTGATCTTGTTAAGTAGTTGAATCAAGATCTACCTACTTTCTCACTCTTCACTTTTTCTTATATGAACAAAATAAACCCTGATTGTTTAGGCCATGGTAAGGTTTTCCATTAGTTAAAGCCAAAAGCAACATTTAAGTCACTGTGTCTACCAGGCCATTTACTATACTTAGCAATTACATAATAAATGGACCAATAAGATAATTGAAATAAAACGCACTTTAAAGGTCTGTTCTAACATACTTTTTTCATTTTATCTCAGCCAAATGCAGTTTTATCTACCCAAAACTGAAAATAATCAGACAATGGCAAGTGTTGCTAACTCAACAAAATAGATAATGGAATACAGGGTGACTATCATTAAATAGGGCAGGTATCATTTGATAGGATGGCCAAAAACAGCCTGCTTGTTCTCCCACTAGAAATTGTGAGAAGCATCAAGATACGTGGGATTAATCTGAATTAGATTATTTTCCTTGAATGTTCTTCCTAATCTCTGTGTCTTTCCTCATTCCTTTCTCTTTGCCTGTAATACTTCCCACAATTATTTTTCTGTGAACCACCAACCTGACCTTTAATACGCCCTCCTTTATGAAGTCTTACCTGATCCTCCCTAGACAAATGTTCTCGCTCCTGTTCTGATTCTGTCAATGTGAGTACTGTGACCTCCTCTGCAATACCTATGATTCTCTCTGTTAGATATTTCAGAAATGAAACTGGAATCATTGTAAGGGAAATGTACCACAGAATGGACAGGGTTAGAGTTGGCCTTAGGAATAACTGGATATGAGGATTTAAACACGAAATCCTGATGCACATTCTATCACGTTCAGGAATTGAATAATTACTGCTTCCAAGAATTTTGTGAATATTTAAAATATGTGGCTTAGTAGAACTGTTTTACTATCATGAAAGCATTTTATAAAATTCATATTCAGATGACATCTTAATTCATCAAGAGTATGTAAAAAGATACAATTGAACTAAATGGACTAAAGATGCTATGAAGGAAAATAGCGTGTTGAAGAACGATGCACATATGTTCGCAAACAAGTATAACCACAATGCAATGTGATAACGGTTATATTAGTTGCATATATAAACTACCACAAAAGAAACATTGAAACGTCTGTTAATTCCAGCTGATAGAATCAGGATAAGCATTCATGAATAAATATTTGAGATGGATCTTGAAGGTTAATTGGTATCCAAAGTCAGTAGGACATGCACAAAATAGAAAGTAGCCTGGGCACAGGTGCTATGGTTGGAAAACAAATAGTATATACTTGGAGGATGGGAACAAACTTCTTTTAAAGCTAGGAAATCTGTGGGTAACTATTTAGATAGTTGCAGATATGCAGAAGAATTGCCACTGTAAAAATAAGAAGTAATATTTAGGAACAAATACACTTAAAAACAGATGCATCACTATTTCTAAAGCCCTTTCCGAGAGAATACAGCTCAGAACCCAGCTGTTGGTTCACAAAATTGTCTACTGATATGCCAAGATACCTTGGAAGTAGGCTATAAACATTTTGTTTACAGATATGATATGGAAATTTTTAGTTTTATCTCTAAGACTAAAAAATATTTATAAATGTATGTTTTCCCTTTTTAAGAATGACAGCTTTATACTCTCTTCCCACTTCTGTAGTTTCCAGTCTCCATAAACATACATTTCCTTTAATGGACAATTATTAATTTTTATTTTATTTTATTTATTATTTTGAGACGGAGTTTCACTCTTGTTGCCTAGGCTGGAGTGCAATGGCGCAATCTTGGCTCACTGCAACCTCTCCCTCCCAGGTTCAAGCGGTTCTCCTGCCTCACCCTCCCTAGTAGCTGGGATTACAGGCATGTGCCACCACGCCCAGCTAATTTTGTATTTTTAGTAGAGACGGGGTTTCTTCATGTTGGTCAGGCTGGTCTCAGACTCCCGACCTCAGGTGATCTGCCTGCCTCAGCCTCCCAAAGTGCTGGGATTACAGGCGTGAGCCACCAAGCCCAGCCAATTAATTGTTAATTAAGAAAAGAAATGTGACTTCAAATATTTGCTAATTAAAATATCTTTTTAAAAAAATTCTACAGTTCACACTAATGACAATAAAGTCAATGATCTTACTCATTCCAGTCACCTGAGCACCCCATAAAATTTCAAATATAGGTATGCCCTACAATGGCTACTATTTTGCATCAGTAACCTCAAGTTACATAGATATTATGTATCAAAACAAAAAAATCCAGGTTTCTTCTGTGAAACCCACAAATATTTCAGACAAGCAGAAATGCAGGCTGGGCATGGTGGCTAATGCCTGTAATCCCAGCACTTTGCGAGGCCTAGGTGGGAGGATCGCCTGAGGTCAGGAGTTCAACACCAGACTGGCCAACATGGTGAAACACCATCTCTACTAAAAATACAAAAATTAGCCAGGCATGGTGGCGGGTGCCTGTAATCCCAGCTACTAGGGAGGCTGAAGCAGGAGAATTGCTTGAACCTGGGAGGGAGAGGTTGCAGTAAGCAAAGATCGCGCCATTGCACTCCGGCCTGGGCAACAAGACTGAAACTCTGTCTCAAATAAAAAAAAAAAAAAGAAAGAAAGAAAGAAAGAAAATAAAAGAAATGCAACATGATGCAGAACAAAAACCATTACGTAAACATTGTGTCATGCATTTCAATATTACTTCAAAATCATCAGTGGCCCTTTTAGAAAACAGAGAAAGAGAAAGAGGACAGCATATTTAAAAAAAAAAAAGTTTGCCCATCTGAGCAGATCACACCAATTATATTTGAGCAATAGTATATTGCTCAATATCATTACTCAATATCATTACTCAATATCATTACAATATTGATATTGCTCAATATCATTACTTTTAGTCCATCACATAACAATACTTGTAAACACAATTTGTCTGGACTATTATTTTTCCTTAGGAAGACTCATAAGAAATCACATTGTACACACAGTTCTGAGAATTTAAAAATATGTATTCAGCATTCATTTTGTTAATTTATGTTTAGTTAATGTTAGTGATGTAAAAATTTTAACAGGTAGAAAGAAAAGCACTGAAATAAATAGATAATCTCAGTATTATGGACAAAAATGTTTTCATACAATGAGTCATTGTATTCTCTTGTCTACTATTTCTTATACCATTAAGATAGACTCTTTACACAAATTATAATTTGATTCAAATTCCCTTTAAGATCCTATATGATTATCTTTGATACTGTAACCTTTTTAACTTCTTAGTTTCTATAATAATTTCCATTCATCTGACTTCTTGAGAAAATTTATAGGAGTCAGTAAATTTTGTCAAGCATTCTAGCAATAAAGATTTCTGAGTATTGCTACTTATTTTACTATACAACATTAATGAGTGCTCTGACCTTCCAAGAATCAATTTGATCTGACAGATTGTAAATTTATCAAATACATAGGAAGTAACACCTGTTTTACTCGCACTTTAATTTATTAGCAAAGAATCCTGAACGGAGTAGAAAATCAAGAAATATATTATTTGAATAGAATTTATTTTTCATTGGTGTAACTAGTCTGTTTCTTATATAACGGTACTAGTAAAACACATCCATTTAATTCATATAACAATTGATGAAACCCACCCTACCCCTGGTTCTTAGTGTTTGAACTTCAACTTATTTAAATAGTCAAAATAGCTGACTTTAACATAATGAGATAATAGAACTGTGAGAAAGTATTTGTTATAAAACAAGTCAACACAAAAGCAGAACAAACTAAAAGCTTTAGTTACTCTTTAGTGTGAAACAACCTGAAGTCTTTTAGTTATCATTTATAACTGACCAATAATAATCATTGCATCTTTGCAGTTCAAGATGAGAGTTCAAACATTGGATTTCCATCTAACAAAAGTTTCATTGTATTTCTTAAATACTGGATGAATAGAATCCTGCTACTTAAAACTACCTAAGTAAATAAACCCGAAGTCAAAAATTACTTAACCTCTGTAAAACAAACTGAGTCGTTTCAACTGTAAAATGGCAATAGCTAAAATACCTGTAACTTACCGGGCTGTTGTTAGGGTCAAATAAAATTATATATGTAGAAAGGAGCTGTAAATTAATAATCAAATATTGGATATCATTTCAATTTGTGCAATGTAATTATTTAATATACATGCAGCACCCCAGTGTTTGGCCATTTTACTCTTCTAAAATACTTACTGGTATACACAAGTTGAAAGCCTTCATCTGTCCCTTCAGTATCGGAATTAAATTCTAGCCAGAGTTGATTTGAAGTACTACTAAGTGTCAGTCCGCGCATAGATGCACCAGTAAAAGCACCTAGTAGATGAGTCGTTTTATCTTTTCCATCATAAATCTGCAAAATATATTTATAATTAAAATGTAAATGTGCCAATAATAATCAATTCAGAGCATGTATTTGTATCTATGAAAAAGAGAAAAGTGTACTTTTTCTAAATCAGATCAGTACATTTCCAAAGGGCAACTAAATATATTGGTTTCTATGAACACAAGGTTAAGGAAGTTAGAATTCACATGTATAATTTTAAAATTCCAAGCTTAGTGTACTTTAAGTAATACTTGAATCAGGTGATATAGCTTCTTTTCTTATTATTTTAAAAATGCTTTTTCTGGGAGACAATTTAAAATTAAGAATACCTACCTAAAGATTGGTTTCTAAAGTTGGTTACTTGGTTACTTGGCTGTTTCTCTGCAACTTTCTCAAGATCAAACATTTACTTTTCCAACAACATGACTAACATAAAATATATTTGTGTCTGGTGCAATTGTAACTTTTCCATGCTCTTTAACTTGTTTCATATTTGACATTTTTAAAATATTAAATTAAAGGAGGTCTAAATGCTTTTAGAAACTAATTTAATAAAGCAAAAATACACAAAAATGAAACTGATAAGCTCCCACACATCATTCTCATTTTTCTGAAAGTATAACTGCTTATTGCACTCTAATTTGTTTTTCTTTTATCATTATAGACATCTCTTCAGGTCAGTAATATAGATTCTTCTGTTTGAGAGATGTATGGTGACTCCATCATAACTTGCTCTACCGTTCCCGTATTAATGAACTCAAGTTTTTGCCACTACAAGTAATGCTGATATAAACACTCTTTTACGTGTAACCTCATGTTTTTTGGTACTTGTACTTCAGCAAAAAAGTTCTAGAAATATGAGATATCTAGAAATACGGGATATGAAATATGGGACATGTTCATATATTTCTAGATAGTTTCCTAAAAAGTGTGTAGTAATTAAATCCAGGGTTTACCAACAATGCATATTACCATTCCTTTTCCTGTAAGGCATGCATTCTCAACATAATCATTATGACCCCCAAAGGTGTAAAAATTGGTTCTTGGGAGCAATAATATTTTAGGTATCACAATGATTTGTGGTTTCCCAAAGATCAACTCTCCCTGACAGACTTTATTCCATACTATTTTGTTTCATGGAGTTTCATGGGCTTCTTAGGTGAACAATAACAACAAGAAAAATTGGAGAATACTGCTTGAAGTTACTGATCTCTTAGCTCAGATTGCCTTACTTACTCATGGCCTGGTATTAGAGTAAAAATTATGTTGTTGGATTCTACATCTAGGGATCTTGCCATAGCATAAATGTTCCTCCATAATTACATTGATGTCACCTAAGAGATGATGTTTTAGGTGGTACACAATGGAATGTTTTATTATTATTATATTAATCTGAATAATATATTTTTTCTTATACTAGATTGTTGGTTTTAAACCGATGATTTATTTAGAACGTTTCAATATGATCTATAAATAAAAACTTGTGAATAATTAACCTTTCTTTCAAAGTAACTTTATTAGAATTTAATGTTAAGGTTATGCCAAATTTTTTTCCACGGCTCCTAAATGTTCTCTTCTAACCACATTAACCTAAACATTTTCTACACAGAAATTCTAAGTCTCCACTGACAAGGCCTTTCTTGCACGCTCCATTTGTAATTGATGGAATCTATAGACTCACGTGTACCCTCTAGGCTTCTACAGTTTGTTTACTTGTTCTTTACAGCAGAGAGAGAAGGTAGAAATAAGAGAAAGTAAGGAATTGAGAATCTTAAGTTCAAGGCGACATGGTCATTGAATTCCTAACAGCAAACATTACTTGGTCTCTCTCTTTTTATACACTCTGTCAAGTTTTTAAAAAATGTACATTCACTCTTGAGAGTATTTGGATACTAGAGGGCTGTATACACAAATTTCCTAATATTATAAGGGAATATCTTGAATCCCTGGAGGAATCTAATTTATCATGCAAATAAGTTTCTGTTTTAGTTATCAGCAAGAATGTATCTGTCTTCAACAAAACCAAACCAAATGTTGAGGTTGGTAGCTCAGGCATGCATGATTTTTGTTTGATTACATAACATTCAACTTTTCATTTCTTAAGAATAGTAGTCATTGGGATAATGCAGAGGTAAGAAAACCTTGCTTGTGGCAAAATATAACTTGTATGTCTGTGAGTCTGAAATGTTCAATATTCTCAAAAGTATGCTTCTGAATACATTCATTTTATGATTCTATATTACATAGTAAATAAATTCTTTGTTTAGAGCTACACATTCACAATCAAATCATTTAACCACTAGATCCAGTGGATCTTATTTGTGGTAATATTATCAAGGTATCCCCAAATAATATTTTCCTTGTGTTCCCCTTAACTTCTCACCAACATATAATTTAATTGCTATGAAAAATATAAATATAAATAAAATACAATCAATTGTTTCTTGGATAAAACTATTTCTCTATTTATGTGTGGATACATTGTAAGAACTTTCAGTTTGCCAAAAATAGTCAAATAAAGGGAGAATATAAATGGAACAAGTAATTAATGTAACTGGGGAAATAAAAATTGGATGTTGAAATTTGTTTCTAATTTCTTTAAAAAGTCTTTCCTAATTTTTAAAAAATCTTCAGGAGTAATGAAAAGCAAAAATTAATGATAGTAGAAACTATTACTTGATACATATAAATTTTTCCTATATATAACAATGTAAAAACTAACAAAATAAGTCAACATTTAGTTATTTAGTTCTAAGCCTTTGTTAGGTGCTGTAACTAAAATTAAAAAAATAACATAGTAAGACATCATTCTTAACCTGAAGATCAAAAACAAATTAACACAAAATTGTCTGTATATTAGATTAGAAGCACACAGCATACATTTTTTTTCCTTTTGTTTTCTTTTTTATTTATTCATTTTTTTGACAGGGTGTCTGTTGCCCATGCTGGAGTGCAATGGTGTGATTATGACTCACTGCAGCCTCAACATCCCCCAGTTCAGGTGACCCTCCCATCTCAGACTCCCAAGTAGCTTGCACTACAGGCACACCCCACCAAGCCTGGCTAATTTTTGTATTTTTTATACAAATGGGTTTTGCCATGCTGCCCAGGCTGGCCTTGAACTCCTGGACTAAAACTATCTCCACACCTTGGCCTCCCAAAGTGCTGGGATTACAGGCATGAGCCACTGCACCAGGCAGCATACATATATATATATATATATATATGAAAGAAGCTTTTTATAAGACACATTAAAAAAATAATCATTTAAAGAAAGGGCATGATAAAAGAGCTAGTACTTTCAGGAAAGAAAAATTATTTTAAGTACAGCTGGGTGAATATAATTCAGTAACAAAATCTGCTAACTACAATTTATTTAACACTGTTGAGTCAAAAGGTAGAAAACAAATACTGCTGAAGCTCCACTATAATCATCAAAATAAAATGAAACTGGATCATTCAACTGTTAAATTTTGGAAGCATGCATAAAATTGCTTAATCAACATGAAAGGCAAGTATTAATTAGGAAGCCCTTAAAAAGAGAAGATTTTTATAGTAATGATCAAGTCAATGCTATTTAACTCATAAATAAAATCCTTCAAATTTAGTCAAATATATGAAAACATAAAGGCAACAAAGGGAGAAAGCAGTGTAACCAAAGATAAATTACTTTTAAAGTGGTCATGAATACAAGCATACAAATAAGAAAACAAAACAAACAAAATATGCCTTTTGTTCAAAAGTAAATAAACAGTACAGAGTGATTAAATTGGGTCTGACTAGAGCCGTAGGACTTTTATTTGAGACTCTTAGTGCTCATATTTCTGTTCTAATTAAAATCAAGACCTTTAAGTATGTTTTTGTTTATTTAAGCATAATATCCCCTTTCTTTTTGTTTAATATGTATTATTATTATTAAGTTGACTTAAGGATTAATATCATGAAAGTTATTGATGGCTTTTATAATGTTAATGAAATTCTTTGCTGAGACTTTAATTTGTTAAAAGGTTGCAATTGTCTGATTACTTACACCAGAACAAACTAAAACTTAACATTGCCATGTTTTAATTGCCAAAACTTTTTGTAATAAATCTAGGCCTGAAATTAGTTATGGTGTACAGACTCTCCTGAATCCAGTAGGTTGAACCGTATTACAACAAACTACTTATCAACACTCAAAACTCTTGCTGTTGTGAATGATATGATAAATATATAAATAGAAGGCATATTCTAACTCATTTATCTAATGAATTAGCAATTAAGGTGTTAACATCAATCCAAGAGCAAAAAGTAAATATAAAAGTAAAATGTGAAGACAGAAATTACACATGAACATATGTATAATCATATAAATCTCCAATTTATTCCTCCTCTTGGATCCTAGCATTTTTACTTTTGGTCATTTGTTTTATAGGTTGATTTGGAAATTAAATACATTTTCTAAAAAGGTGAATTAGATGTCAAGTTTGCATATAAAATAAAGAACAATTTTTATAATGGTCAATCAAAAAAGTCTCTATTCTAAAACTTTTAATATTCTCTCCAAAGATAATATAAAATAGAGTAGAGAACTTTTGTTTGCATTCAATTATTTAGGTTTCTAAAACAGCTACATAATGTATTCTCAATTATACGAGCTAGTATGTTTTAGTGAAGGAGAAGGGGCACAACGAAGGACCAACTTTACAGGGGCATTCGGTTTTTTGTTATATAATAGAGTTGAACTTCCAACTCTACATTAAAGTTCTGCAGCTTATTACAAATCATTTTATTTTCCTTATCCTTAATGGAAGAGGATGAAGGGTTTTATGAGGCCTAACATAGCAGTCTCTACAAATTGGCACTTTGAGAGTGCTTTTGAAGGGAGAGTTAATACAGAATTCCAATGAACAGCAAGCAGAATTGGCAGATATGTGTGCTGGACATATAAGATCACCGGTGTGCTGGAAAATGTTTAACAACCAACTCTCAAACAAACAACAAACAAAAAACTGCTAAATGTGTATACTTGTACATAAGGTTTTTAAAATAACATTTATTGCAATACAGAGATATTGACAAACTTTTTCTAAGAAGGGTTAGATAATAAAATTTGAGGCTTTGAGAAGCATACCATTTCTGTCACAACTACTCAGTCCTGACATTGTGGCACAGGAGCAGCCATAGACAATATGCAAATGAATGGACATGGCTTTCTCCCAATAAAATTTTACTTACAAAAACAAGTGTCAGGCCTAATTTGGCTCACACACTGTTGTTTTCCAATCCCTGATTTTAGGGAGGTGTCGAGCAATGTACAAATAGTAATAAAATATACAATATTCATGACCATACATTTCATATAACTAATTGATTTTTACAGAATGCTTTTATTGTTTTTGCCAGACTTTTGTGTATGCAATTTATGATTGCAACTGACAAACAAGAGTATTTCCTAAATAAATACTGCTTGATCATCTTTAATGTTAACAAATAAAAGGAAAGTGAAAAATCAAAAACAGGATTATGTCAGAACTTCATTAGTTTGTAAATGATATGAGCAACTAATTTGGTTAATTAAATAATAGTTTTCAAATACTGAAAAAAATATTTCTTCAATATATAGTGCTACTCATAATGTAATGGGCACAGACACAACCCATTTCCACTTAAATCTATGTAATAAGCAAACAACAAGTTAAGCCATGTTTTGTAGCATTTGCCAATTTCTACAGTGTAAATACTCCCATTGGCTGACATCAAGCTATCATTGAATGTGAATGTGATGTCATTGAATGTGGAGTTGGTTAGAGACCACAGTGTGGCATGGTATTTCTACCATAGGGATACAATATACATAAATAACCTCAAAAGCACAGATAATAGTAAAAGTATTCCAATAATTAGAAAATTTTAAAAATTATATGTATTGCTCTTGTTTTTAATATAATTTAAGTTAATTTAATTGTAGTTTAATTACAATCTAATTGTAATATAACTTAATTTTTGGCACTGGCTATGTTCAACAATCAGCTCTCAAAATTACTGAAAATTTAACAATAGCCTGTCATAAGTGCTATTCCCAAAGACTCACACATAGATAGGAAAGAAACTTGAAAATAATACACTTTAGAAAACAACAGGTTAATAACTTTATCATGTCTCTACAAGAATGTTATTAATCAAGTCCTTTGAGTATCTAATTTTTCATAAATGTGACATCATTCCTCCTAACCTTTTCTTTCCCAGTTTCAAAAGCAATTTTGCGTTACTTTACTGGCTTTTCTCCATAATCATCCATAGTCTACATTTTGCATAAGAAATAAATCTTTAGACTACACAATTGTAACCGTGGTAAAAAGATTGCCTTGAATTTTGGAATAGAATAAATTCTTTTCCAAAGAATAAAGGAATGCCCTGCTACATTCCTTTATTCTGAACATTGTCCTTAGTTTTTATTTGAAAATAACAACAAACACAGCAACAATGAAAACAGAAAATAGTATTTCTCATTGGTATTCAATTTTCATTCTACCAGGCTGACAATGGGAGCTATTTGATGTTAATTGCACAGAGCCTACATATAATAAACCCCTCTTATGAATGTTAATTGAAAGAATTAATTAGATTACATATTTACAAGTAAGGGTGAGGGAAGAAGTTCAGTATTTCTGCAATATCCTATGCCACTTTGAAAAAAATAAAACAATCAGACCCCAAACAAACTAGAGAAACATTCCCTAGATGAGTTAAGCGGAGAACAAATTAGTTAGGTTCTGATTTAGGTTTCTTAGACAGGACCTTGCATCTTACCCTTTTTGTAGGAGGAATAATAGAATGCCAATAATTAGACAATAGAGGGAACATGTACCTGGCTTTCTATCTGGAGCCCAGAAAGGTGGCAAACATGCTTGCAGAAAAGAGGTAGGAAAAAAAAAAAAAAAGATACTGGGGGTTGGTCAGGCAATTGATCCTGAGCCAGCCACATGGAATTCTGGTGTAACTCAGTGTCATATACAGAGTAATTGAAAAATGCTTCTTATGAGCAGAGCAGAATATACTACAGAGAGCTGGTAGATGCAAAGAGGTTTTGCAGTTGGGATAACTAGGATCCAGCAGTGGATGCCCAATTGTACTGCTGACTTCAGACCAAGTAGCAAATGAGAGAGCTCAGCAGCTGTTGCCACAAACAGATAATGCCCTAGGACAAAATGCACTTTTTATTTTTGACAACTTGAAGTCTTGATGCCAAAATATGTGCAGACGTTGAATTGGCAAATACAGAATTGACTGAGTTTATCCTGAATTGACCTAGATTAATTTTCCCACTGCCCAGCAAAAAGGTTGTTGAAAATAAAAATTAGGTCATTTATACAAAAATCTTTTGCTACATTTCTTGCAAATTTTGATCCAGACTCTGAAATGTATTCCTATTACATGAATATTCACTGAATATTTTTGCAGGGGCAGGCATTGTGCTGAGTGCTTTATAAACATCATTTAATTTAAAAACATTATCTAATTTAGTCATTACAGCAATCCTGAATTTAAGTTTTTATTATTATCAGAATGTTTCAGGGGAGGAAGGTGAGATTTAGAAATCTGGAGTAATTTTTTCAATAATTGTGTGACTATTAAGTGACAGGTTTGAGATTTGAACCTAGGTTTACCTGTCCCTAAAGCCCATTCTTAATGACAAAATAGGTGTGTAGAAAAATAATCCAAAGCACAATATGTTTTCAAAGGTTAGAATAAATTTGTGTAATGTTGATTGAGTGGGCATGTTTATCTAATAATATATCACCAAATATAACCCTAAATTTTATTAGCTATATTTGGACAAAATAACATGGCAATGGGGGAAATATTTAAAAGTAACTATGTTTTATAAAAATATATTCACTTTTATTAGATTAGAAACAATAACAATTGAACTTAATTAGAAAGGAAATATGTTTCTCTTGCTTTACATAGAAAGTAGCTGAAATTATATAGTAAATTTGTCCTTTCTAGAAGAAAAGAATGTTTATGGAGCATTTACTATACGACAAGCATTGTTCCTAGATGCTGGAGTTAAAGTGGAGTTAAATAGTTCCTGCTGTCTTATAGCATGCGTTCTATTGGAGAAGACAAAAATTAAAGGAATTAACTATGAATGCATAATATTTCAGGTTGTAGATCAGTGCTATGAAGAAGAATAAATCAGATTAATAATGGAAAGAGATGATGGAGGTGAGTTTACCAGTTTATAGGAGGGCCCATTGAAGACTCTGATCATATGACATTTGAGTAGAGACCTGAAGGAAATGAGGGACACAGCCATGTGGTTATCCTGAGGAAGAATATGTAAGCAGAAGAAATAGCCTGAGCAAACGGCTTGGTGTTAGAGCATGTGATATGGTTTGAATGTTTGTGCCTTCCAAATCTCATGTCGGAATGTGATTCCACTGTTGGAATTGGGGCCTGGTGGAATGTGATGGCATCATGGGGGCAGAACCTTCGTGAATGGTTTAGCACCATCCCATTGATATAAGTGATTCTCTCTCAGTTAGTTCACGTGAGATCTGCTGGATTAAAAGCGTGGAACCTGTTGTCCCTTTGCTCTCTTGCTCCCTTTCTCACCACGTAAAACACCAGCTTCTCCCTTCACCTTCTGCCACAATTGTGAGCTTCCTGAGGTCCTCACCAGAAGTCCAGCTGATGTTGGTGCCATGTTTGTAGAGCCTGCAGAACTGTGAGCCCATTTAACCTCTTTTCCTTATATATTATACAGCTTCAGGTATTTCTTTATAGCAATGTAAAAAAAAAAGAGGGAGGCCTAATATAGCATGCTTGGTATATTTGAGATACTGCAGGGAGGCCATTATGCCTGGAGTGGAGTGAGCTAAAGGAAGAGTGGCAGGAGAAAATGTCAGGCACAGTAAAATTACGCCAAATCATAGGGCTATCTAAGCCATGGTTAGGGCTTTAGATTTTACTTATAATGAGATGAGGAACAAAAAAAGGTTTAGAGCCAAAGCATAACATGAAAAAGGGTCACTTTTGTTGTTGATTTGGAAACAGTCTATAGAGTATGCTATGGTCTCAATATTTGTGTCCCCCCAAATTTGTATGTTAAAATCCTAACCCTCAAGGTGATGGTATTAGGAAGTGAGGCCTTTGGGAGGCTAACTGGTCATGAGGGCAGAGTTCGTAAATGGAATAAGTGCCCTTGTAAAAGATACCTCAAAAAACTTATTCATCCCTTTCACCATGGAGTTCACAATATGAAAATGACTCTTTGAGGAAGGTGGCCATCATCAGACATAATCTGCTAGTGCCTTAGTCTTGAACTTACCAGCCTTCAGAACTTCAAAAAATAAATTTATGTCGTTTATAAACCACCTGGTCTATGTTATTCTGTTATAACAGCTCACATGATCTAAGATGGTGGAAATAGGGTGATCAGTTAGAAACAATGTCAGTTATCCAAGCAAGAGATAATAATTTAGACCAAGGTAATTTACAAAGGTGAGAAATGATTGGTTCCGGAAGTGTGAAGAAAAGAACCATAGAATTTGCTGAGGAATAATATACAAAGTGTGAAAGAAACAAGGAAGCAAGAATGAACTCTACTTCGTCCTTGAGTAACTAGTTTCTATCTACTGAAATAGAGAAAAATGAGGAGAGAGGAGATGTGTGTTTTGGACTGGTGAACTTTGAAATACACATTAGTCATTCAAGTGGAAATAGTTGAGAGATCATTTAGATAGAAACTGGATCTTATCACAGGTCAGAGCAGATTTTGCACTGGTTGTGCTGTTCTGTCAATGTACTTTAAGGCATATATGTTTCAAAGTTTTTTTTAATGTGAACATTAAAGGATTTTTTATAAACAAAATATAGTTCATATATCTTTTTATATTCCTTAAAGCTGCAGTGTCAAGTGAAATCCAAACCTACCTGTGGTGTGTCATTAAAATTTTCCAAAAATAAGTAAGTAGCACACAAGAAAATTGTCACTTAACCCACTTACTATTCCTATATGTAAACATTAATAGCAGAAGGCATCTAAAGTGTGAGTTTCCTATACATTAATGGATAGAAGGGTATATATTTGTTCTATCACCATTATAAAAACACATAATCAGCCAAGGTTGGTCATAGTGAACAGGTTAAAATACCCATTAAGTAAGCAAATTGAAAAGAAAAGATACATTCCTAAATGATCATTTTGTACCAGTTTTGTTCAATTCAGAATGGATGCAGTGAAATTTCCTTTCCACTTTAAGTAAGAATCACACGGGAATTTTTATTTCATTTATTATTACTATTATTATTATTGCTTTTTCATGGCTAGAAAATGTTCTGTTTGCCTAAATAGGATTTTCTCAGATGTTATTAAAATTATTTATCCACCTTTGACAAATGACACAAATGAACAAAAATGTTTTACAAAAAAAAAGTTTCAATCTGGTATAAAGTTAATGACTCAAAATTATCTAGTAATATTGAGATCAATTTTTATTATTTAGAGTAACAGTGTGCTACCTTGGAAGCACTACAGTAAAATATTTTGATGTATAAACTTTCTTCATTTTAACACTAGAGCCAAAGAAGGATATAATCATAATTACTACATTGATGGTCATCAGATAATCTGGAGAGCTTTATAAAAATCCAAATTCCCACATGTAGAGGAACTGAATCAGAAAACCTGGGAGGCGTGCCAGTAATCAAAACTTAAAAAAAATCTAGAGGAGTCATATGATGGCTTACACTTGGAACTCACTGGTGTAAACTCTACTGGTATGGTTTTAAATAAAGTTGTTTATAGAAAGAAAGGAGGAGAGAAGAAAAAAGACAGCAGATAAGTGAGCAAGTGAGTGCCATCCTGGACACTGAACTCTGAGATAAAAGTTGTACACGAATGTTTGCATGGAAATAGATGTAGATACACACATATATTATTGTTGTTATTGTTATTTTTGTTTTGGTCAGAATCCAATATAGTTATGTCATACAGTAAACGAAACCAGAAAAAAATCTCTCCTCCTAAACTTGATTCTCATATAAGGATTACAAGACAGTGTCATTCCAAAAAATATAATCAATGCTACCACATAAAAGAAAAAGCAATGATTTTAAATTCTCTCAGTCAAGGGGCAGCAGATTTTATAATGGGCTATTTGTTTTTATTCCTTATTATATGCTAGTTTAAATATAGGGATCTAACTGACTCCACTATGTTCGATATTGTAAAGTACTGGAGATGGGGATTAACTTTCATGGATTAGTTTTCAGTTAGGCAAATAACTTTCCACCCTAAGATGACTTTAGGCTCTACAATTTTTGAGAATTAATCATATGTCTTTTTGAGGGTTCATCTTTCTGCTTGTATATAACTAAATGTTTCCATGTCAAAGGGTATCTTTCAGCTAATGGTTTCTCGTTGGATTAATGGGAAGAATGAGGTAACATTAAGCATCTTACCTCTTATTCTGGCAGAGAGACCATGAAGAAGACAAATAAGGAATCTAAAAGTTCACCCTAAATTGTCTCTATAGAGTGGCTTGCTGAAATTGTTTTAAAGTAATAATTCAGAATAAATCTCAGGCAAGCCTATGAATAGAAGGATAATTGAATTGGTGTGTTTCTATTATAATATTTAGTATATAATATTTTCAACTTTGGGGAAAATATATTCTTGGAAAATTACAGAATTCTTAAAAGTTCTTGAGGACATAAATTTTTTAACTTTTTAAACATATAAGAGAAATCTGTATTTGAAGAAATCATTTAAAGGGCCTTACATTGAGTCTTTTTTTTTTTCTGCCTTCTTTTGTTGTTCCCTATTACATCCCCTTGTGTTGTCACTTATGACTGAAGCTCCACCCTTCTCAAGGTAGCACATATCAGAAATGCATGTGGCTTTACTCCAAATAAGTAAGACCTTTTAGAAAGTTTTATTTTATTACTGAAAAGAATCATTTGTTATCCCAAATAAATTACCCAAATAATACCAGTATAGGAAAGAAATGAATGAATTTTAAGCATCACAAAGAAATATTTTAGGTAGAACAATAATAGGCATGAGTGAAGATGTGAAGAAACATTTCCTGAATTTTAGCTCACCAATGCATGTTTATTATTGTTGCTTCTGCATTACAGAGTAGTAGCTAGATTAGCTTACAGATCTTATCTATGCATTGATACATTTTCCCCCCATAATTTGCTTGAAAATAAAAAGCACTGCCTCAGTTCTATATACAAGCATCCTATTAATCTCAATGTTGGCTCCAATTGAAAAAACATAACTTACTTTAACAGAAACACCCAAACAATGAACTAGAGGTGGGAGAGTTTTACATAGTGAATTTTGTTGCCAGTTGGAGAAAAATGCAGAAAATAAGAATGCATATATTGATCCTAGATTAATGTTGAAATTGTATACATCTAGATACATTGTGAGAAATTTTCCCCAAAGCCTATACAAATCTTATAAGCATATCATGTTATTGTGTTAGAGAGCCATCAATTACCATGAAATAATATTTTTTTAAAAAGAAACTAACCAATAACATTAAAATCAATCATTAAAAAAGAATTCTCCTGCTGCAGCCAATTTGGAATAACATAATTTTTTTTCAAGATTTGTGAAAACAGAAGTATAATGAATTTTTCACCTGGCTTTAGAAAAACTTAACAATTAGAAAAAAGCTACATAACTATTTTAAAAACATTTAAATGTGATTTTTGGAAGTGTTTACTTTTACTCTAATGATAAATATAAACTATATTTACCAAAATATTTATATTCAAAATATAAATCAGCAACTATGAAAATATTTATTTGCCAAAATGTTATCTTTTTAGAAAAGTAGATATTTGATTATTTCAAAGTGTTTAAATAAATAATGTTTACACCGATAGTCATTATCAACAAAGTATATTTTTTCTTAATTGATAGACATTGACTTGTTAGGTTTATATATTCATAAAATGTATCCATAGTCATAAATGCAAAAGATTCTTCACGTATTAACAAAAATAAATAAGTTACATTATAGACAATAGAATACAAATAGAAACAAGTCACTATTATATTTCTTAAAGAAATGACTATCACATTACATGACGGTCATTTGATGATGTTTTATATATAATAATTTATTAGACAAGATATTTGACATTAAAGTTTTCTTATTTTGGTATTATTAAGACATTAAAATTTATGTATCATAAAACAAAAATTTACCTTTTATTATAAAAAAATTGGAAACAAAACATACTATTTCAATGAAAACAATAATAGAAAATGAGAATTAATGTATAATTTGAATGTGTGAATGGTAGAATCAACTTACGGTTAATACTATATACATACACATATATATATAGATGTATATATTTATCTATTGATGTATATTTAATGACTAAAAATGAACAATATACAAGTATGTCTGAGTTCACCTACCTTAAGAACATCTCCTTGTGCTAAATGAAATGTTCTGGCTGAAATATTGATTCCCTTTCCTGCTTGAACCTGAATACTATAAATGCATTCATGGTTGTTTTCATAGTTGAGTGGATAATTTGGAGACAGCAAAATTCCTTCATTATTCGTTGCAGATGCACCACATTCAGCTGCAGGTAAAACAGAATATTGAAGTACAGTTTAATAGATAGCAGTATCATTTTCAAGCAATATCATGTATGGAAGTGTTATGCATTTTATTTTACCTAAAGCCTAGTAGAAAAATAATATACAGAATGGCTTTATGTTGTAAATGATTAATTCCCTCCTCAAATAACATATGGGTGGAAGAGACTACAGCCCATGGAGAGGACACTGTGTACAAATGAAAATATACAATAGTTGTAGTAATTTTCCCCCTGGATTAAAGGATAGCATAGGAAAGGGTGAGAGCATGAACTTAAGAATGTATTTTACATTTGTGATTTCTGATAAATGTAATACATTTAAATTTATAATTTAGCTCTTTTAAATGAAAGGGTTTTGAATAATTCTAACTTCATCTTTTAAAACATTTTTACCTTTTTAATTAATTTGACCCTTCTTTTTTCTCCTAATACTCAGTATTCCGCTGACACAAGAATTTCAATAATAAAAAGGGAATCAAATATTACATTATCTTTGAAAACTGATATAATAGTTAAACCCCCCTGGTAATAACAATTAAACAATAATTGTAACAAATTAGGGATCTTTAGAAATTATATCACCTTTCTCAGTATAGAAAATTAGACTAGATTAAGGCATTCTTATAATAGATAAAATGGTACTGCTAAACCTTCAGGACTAATTTTGCAAAATTTGAGGAACTGTCTAAACATTTAGGAAAATGTGAGAATTTCTCAACAAATTTAGTTCGAACTTAATTTTAATGTATTTAAATATAAAAAGCTTGTGGCAATATTGCAAAAGAAAACAATAAGTCCTTCAAATTCTTAAATATGTTTCAGAAATTCAATAAACTAAGTTTTCTATCTTATCTAATAAATTACTTCATATTACCAAACCATAGGGCAGAAATATTTACATTTTCAAATATTTAACTGAAAAGGAAAAAAAAAACAAGTTGTTATTTTCTAGAAATAAGATTTTAAAAATAATGATTTATGGGAACAGTCAGAGAAAGACAACAAGGTGAATAATGAATTGCTTTACCTTTTAAATGCTTAAACATTAACAAAAATAAGGCAAAGGAAACAAAAGCCTAATGAAATAAAAATGATCAAAAAGAAGCACTCAGTATAATATCAACATTGTGTGAAATAATAATAAAAACTAATGTTATGGTACTAATAGCCAGTATTACACAATAAAAGTTACCCCTAAATTCCTTTTAAAGAAAAAAAAAAATCAAAGTTCCAATATTGATTTAAATTACTTTATTTTAATGTTACTTAAGCATGTTCAAAAAATAGATATGTCCTTATGCTTTTAGCTGCGTACAATTATAATACCAAAACCAGTTTACAAATACAGGAACAAAATGACAAAAACAATAAAATAAAAAATAGCAACATGTATCTAATAAGGCATAAGATTTTGTTTTCCTAAAATTAAATCGCCTTTGGCAATGTGGATCAGGTAACAGCTGCTCCAGTGTAGGCTTTTGAAGTTTGTTATACCTTTAATTACTCTATGCTGTGTAACAACTTGATTCTCATTCATACTATGCCTCTGTGAACTGCTGAGAAACTTTCATCCATATAGTGCAACATAATGCCAGGCGTCCATCACTTAGTGGAAATCATTTACATTTTAATTCTCCTTTATTTTTTTCTACTAGGTTTTTGGAATACAGGTATGTTTGTGGAGGCATGAAGACAAATGTAATCTGGATTACACAGGTGATCTAAAATGCACATATATTTTTGTCAATTAGATTATTTAGAAGAGAATGCAAATTATTTTGAATTATTTTACAGAGACATGAAGTTTTGAAAATACAAATGGTTTTAGTTCTTCTCTGTAATAAACTGACACAATATTTTTCAATTGCACGTCTAATCTTGCACTTTCTGGTTAAAATACACTGATGATCAGCAAGTCAAAATCCAGAGAATGTCATACAAGGCCATTTACAATGCGATCCCAGTGTGCCTGTCCAGCTATTACCTACCCTTCTCTGCCATGGACCTTGCAATTTAGCTGCCCTGAGCTACTACTGGCCCTTGGCCACAGTCTCACAATCTGAGCCTTTGAATGTGCTATTTTCTCCGCATATGAACACCACCTCTGGTCCCAAGAGATGTGAATAAAGAAAATTACCACCCATAAGGAAAATTACTTGATATGAAATTAAATTATTATGGTTCTTTTCAGTATCCGGTGGCTGTGATGGTATATTAAATTGAAAAAAGCAACAACCCATTAAAATATTACGGATAATTCTCACGAATAATAGTCATGGTTCCATGCTTATGAATGCCCAGCAAAAATATCATAACTTCAAGATTTTCATTATATATAACATGATTAGCACAGCAAGTTTTCATAAAGCTTATTTAAACTGAGAAGATAAGTGTTGGCAAACTGTGACTGAATATTCTTAAGATATGTTAAAATTGAGAAAAGGAACTAGCAGCAGAACAGCTAACCACAAGAGAGAAGCATGGTTAGTTGATACAAGGAAGACAAGGGCATATATGAAAACGTCAACTACATGAGAAAGGAGTTTGAGTAAAGCAAGTCCTAACGATCCAACCGGTAAAGGCGAGTTGAAAAAGTTATCTGTCAGCCATAGTGACATTTATGGAGAGTATACCGCTATCACTGAACAGTAACAAATGTATGACTCAGAAGATTATGTCAATGTTAAGGTTTTCAGTCAGGTGCTATAAGGAATAGCATATGTAAAATAAAACATGCATGTGAAAAATATGTTACAATAAAAAAGCTACAAGGTCACTGTAATACAAACAATTTATTTGCTTGGTTGAGAATGTACTGTAAGATATTTGAAGTGGCTAGAGGCAAATGATAGAATGCTCTGATTTGGAAAAAATAAATTTATAGGTTGATTCCATAGATAATTATGAAATATTTATTATGTACTGGGTGGTGAGGGGAATAGTTGAAGCTCCTATGGGACCTACTTTCCAGTGGAAAGGATGGATGTCTATCATACAATCACTCAAATAAAAATATAGTATGTGAAAGCATATAACTGAGAGCCCTGACCTGTCCTGAATAGCCAGGAAAGACTCTCTGAAGTACTGCAACTTGAAAATGGATGAGTAAATTAAAGGTGAAGGGAGAAGACAAGTGGGGTAAAAGAATATTCCAAACAGAAGGAACATTATATCTAAAAACATTATTGGAGGGGGTGGGAGACAAAGGAGATAATGACAGGTTCTAGGAACTGAAAGACCTGATATGAAAAAGCTTTCTTTGTGCAAGGTTGATCTAGAGGTAGATCTCCGAGGATGTTTATCTGGTGTGATAGCAGAAGAAATGTTCTTTCTTAGGTGTGTATGAATGGAGAAGTCATTAGGTGTGAGCTGCTTGTTCTTGTGATGGGGAAATACTTTTGTCTTTAAGGCTTGGAATGTTGGTTGCAGAATTTGAAGAGGAAAAGAGGAGACTGAATGAGGTACATTTATAAAATTTTTTGAGATTTTGGGTCAGAAAACCACTGCTTCAGGGTTTAGGGGTTGCAATGTTTTCTGGAGGTGAGGTAAGCACACTTCTTCCTACCTTAACATAAGCCCAGGATCTTGTTTCTCTCATGTCTTGATCCAGAGTGAGTTTTAAGTTCTTGATAACTGATGCTACTAACTGATAAAGCCTATGTTTGATAATAAGGATTTCCTACAAAATAATAAATGTAAAGCTATTAATAGGTAGTAATGTTTCCTCTCTCTAATTTGAACTAGGGGGTGGTGTCATCTTTAAATCATAAAAATTAATAATATGAAAACATTACATAATTTAGCAGTGTTAGGAAAATGTTTGGAGAATAAGTACTTAGTGCTCTTTTTAGCATATAAATATTTTCTGTGCAATTTCCAGTGTACACATTGTATATGATGACTTTTCTGAAAAACAAGTCCTATTCATATAAAATATTTTTTTATTTAAATGTACAGATTAAGATATCTATTCGAGTTACCAATATGAAACTCTTTGCTGAATATGAAAATAATATGATGATAAATGTGGCTTTAGTTGGATTGAAGTGGGAAAGAAATGTGTACTGAAATTTGATGATAAGAGTCACTGATACAGTGAAGAATTCACTAGAGCAGGGATACCCAAAAACAGACAAGACATGCATCATTAATCTCCATTACTGGGATAAGAAAATCTGGTAGCATCTATTGTACACATACAGTCATATAGTTTTAGATAAACTGAAAAAATGCTTTTCAGCAATTTGACTGGATATCTGAAAAATGTCTAGATCAGTAAACTTCATAGTTACTTTTTTAAAAATGTGCATTACAACTGAGTCTTTTTATTTTTAAACTGTTTTGTGAAAGCAGGCAAAATATACTTGATTTAGATTGTTCAAAAAACTTAGAATGTTTTTAAACATAAACATATGGTATGCAAGTCAAATAAGGAGTAGCATTAAGCAGAAATATATTTTTCCATATGTTTAATTATTACCAGAAGAAAAATAATAATACATGATTTTGCTCATAGAGGATCATAGGAGGATCAAATCCAAATCAATCATTTCTTTTCTGCATGTGAATTCAGATTTTTTTTCATTTTTATCAGCTATTTTAGCCCATTATGTTCCAAATATAATTTAGATTTCATTTCATTAAGTTAGGACACCATTGATTATAAAAGGCATCTTTATGTGTCCCTAAAAAAGCAAAAATGTTGCCAATACACTATAATAGTCATTGATTGTGAGATACACACATATTTCACAGCTGTTAGTTTTTTAAAATGGGGCATCTAAAAATTGTGAAATATGGTAAAATGTGTTAATAAGATTAATTTGTGTGTGTTTTTTTTAGCACTTCTCCTAAGATGCCTTCTCAACTTGGCAGTATTAATAACACTTTGTTCTTCAGAAATTTTTAGTCAAAAATATTTTATTTTCTTAAATAGGCATTTCAATAATACTTGGATTTTCAGAAGTGGGTAGAAATTGTAGGGTAGAAAGATACATTAATTTCCTTATGCCCCTACTGAGAATATGAGAATCCATTGGTATTACTTGCATACAGTCTTATTTTTTCTTTCTTTTGTTCTTCTTAGGCAATAATAGTACTTAACTGGCTTTCTCCTTTTAGCCTCTCTAAATACAATACATGTATGTATCCAAGGGCAAACTAGTGCTACTGAAAGTTATTTTAAAAAAAGAGTTTAAACATTTTTTGAAGAATTTCAAAAAAGTTTCATAGCTACTTTTTCCCCTTAAACATTTGTTTTTAATGCATTTTCTATAATCATTTTTTACCATACAGAATTAGGGTAATCTTTATTACCATGTGGAATTATATTTTTGTGTGTGAATTGCAGTCATAATTGAAACGCTTAAATTCAAAACTTTTTAAAATCAATTATATCATTTTCTGTCAAAAATATTGACTATTTCCCATAATCTGACATTGTCTTTTCATTTTTTCTTCTTTCCATGAACAGCTACTGAAGGTCTACTGTGCTCAGTTATTTATTAAAAATAATGTTCTTAATAAAAATAACTATGGATATGCCTGATACCGTATTAGGTCTTGGGGATAGGTCCTCTTCCTCATGTGATATGTACTCCAAAAAAGAGGCAGACATGGAAACTGGTACATGCACTAACATGTAGTCTCTAGTATGATACAAGTTCATGTAATAGGCTGAGATGGCACAAATGAAGAAGTAGTATATTTTAAAGAAGCCACAAGAGAATTACATTAAGGCAGACTTCATGACTGTGTTTTTCTTGATTTGAGAAAGAAATGTGGTTCCAAACGTAATCAAATTGTACAAAGAAGGGATTCCAGGCAGAGTGAAATACTTGAATGAAAGTATAAATAGGTAAACCAAATTGATACTAGTTAGAAGAACCAGTGATTCATACGCCATTCTAAGACATTTGAACTTTATCTTGTAGGCAATGGAGATTCATAGAAGAGTTTTAAAAAGAGAAAAACATGACCAACTTTGAGAAATCCATTAGGGCAGCTCTATGAGGAATGAATTGTAGTCTTGGGTTACTAGAGGATGAAAACCCTAGAGAAGATTGTTGTAGTGCTACAGACAGAAGATGAGAGCTTCAACTAAAGCAATGGAGGAAGAGGAGATGCCAAAGTAAAAGTTAGAACTTGGAGACAAGTTCGATGTGGGGGCATGAAAGAGAGGAAAAGGTAGAGAAGACAATGAGTGGCTTTGATTATAATGCTGATGAATGTATTTTTGCACAAGATAAATTTGGTATGCCTGTTGGACGTCAAGTAAAGTACTCCAAGCAGCTAGACATATTTGTACCCATGAGATTGATCTTTTAAAGCCACAGACAAAAAGGTTTATCCAGAGAATACACACATATATATGTACACATATTGAGAAGAGAAGCAAAATAAGACCAAGGTACACTCAGCAAGAGAATTTAACAGGTAGACAAAAGGGACATTCAAAGAAGGTAGTATCATGGAATAGTAAAGAGAAGATAGTTTTAAGAAAATAATTGTCATCAGTGTTAAATCAGAGTTCAATTAAAATGAATACTGAGAGTACATTGATTTGGGCAATTAAGAGTTTGGGAAGAAAGGAACTATAATATTGTCTGTAAAGGGTCAGGGGTGATACAGGTTTGAAGGAAGGGTCTTTTTGTTTTTTGATGTTTTTGTCTTTGGTTTTGTTTTGTTTTTTGGTTAGTTTTGAATTAAAAACATTTCAGTACATTTATATTTTAAGTGAAAGGAATAGTACAGGGGAGGAGCCAAGATGGCCGAATAGGAACAGCTCCGGTCTACAGCTCCCAGTGTGAGCGACGCAGAACACGGGTGATTTCTGCATTTCCATCTGAGGTACCGGGTTCATCTCACTAGGGAGTGCCAGACAGTGGGCACAGGTCAGTGGGTGCACGCACCGTGTGCGAGCCGAAGCAGGGCGAGGCATTGCCTCACTTGGGAAGCCCAAGGGGTCAGGGAGTTCCCTTTCCGAGTCAAAGAAAGGGGCGATGGACGCACCTGGAAAATCGGGTCACTCCCACTCGAATATTGCGCTTTTCGGACCGGCTTAAAAAACGGCGCACCACGAGATTATATCCCGCACCCGGCTCGGAGGGTCCTACGCCCACAGAGTCTCGCTGATTGCTAGCACAGCAGTCTGAGATCAAACTGCAAGGCGGCAGCCAGGCTGGGGGAGGGGCGCCCGCCATTGCCCAGGCTTGCTTAGGTAAACAAAGCAGCCTGGAAGCTCGAACTGGGTGTAGCCCACCACAGCTCAAGGAGGCCTGCCTGCCTCTGTAGGCTCCACCTCTGGGGGCAGGGCACAAACAAAAAGACAGCAGTAACCTCTGCAGACTTAAATGTCCCCGTCTGACAGCTTTGAAGAGAGTAGTGGTTCTCCCAGCACGCAGCTGGAGATCTGAGAACGGGCAGACTGCCTCCTCAAGTGGGTCCCTAACCCCTGACCCCCCGAGCAGCCTAACTGGGAGGCACCCCCCAGTAGGGGCACACTGACACCTCACACGGCAGGGTACTCCAACAGACCTGCAGCTGAGGGTCCTGTCTGTTAGAAAGAAAACTAACAAACAGAAAGGACATCCACACCAAAAACCCATCTGTACATCACCATCATCAAAGACCAAAAGTAGATAAAACCACAAAGATGGGGAAAAAACAGAACAGAAAAACTGGAAACTCTAAAACGCAGAGCGCCTCTCCTCCTCCAAAGGAACGCAGTTCCTCACCAGCAATGGAACAAAGCTGAATGGAGAATGACTTTGACGAGCTGAGAGAAGAAGGCTTCAGATGATCAAATTACTCTGAGCTACGGGAGGACATTCAAACCAAAGGCAAAGAAGTTGAAAACTTTGAAAAAAATTTAGAAGAATGTATAACTAGAATAACCAATACAGAGAAGTGCTTAAAGGAGCTGATGGAGCTGAAAACCAAGGCTCGAGAACTACGTGAAGAATGCAGAAGCCTCAGGAGTCGATGCGATCAACTGGAAGAAAGGGTATCAGCAATGGAAGATGAAACGAATGAAATGAAGCGAGAAGGGAAGTTTAGAGAAAAAAGAATAACAAGAAATGAGCAAAGCCTCCAAGAAATATGGGACTATGTGAAAAGACCAAATCTACGTCTGATTGGTGTACCTGAAAGTGATGGGGAGAATGGAACCAAGTTGGAAAACACTCTGCAGGATATTATCCAGGAGAACTTCCCCAATCTAGCAAGGCAGGCCAACGTTCAGATTCAGGAAATACAGAGAACGCCATAAAGATACTCCTCGAGAAGAGCAACTCCAAGACACATAATTGTCAGATTCACCAAAGTTGAAATGAAGGAAAAAATGTTAAGGGCAGCCAGAGAGAAAGGTCGGGTTACCCTCAAAGGGAAGCCCATCAGACTAACAGCGGATCTCTCGGCAGAAACCCTACAAGCCAGAAGAGAGTGGGGGCCAATATTCAACATTCTTAAAGACAAGAATTTTCAACCCAGAATTTCATATCCAGCCAAACTAAGCTTCATAAGTGAAGGAGAAATAAAATACTTTACAGACAAGCAAATGCTGACCGATTTTGTCACCACCAGGCCTGCCCTAAAAGAGCTCCTGAAGGAAGCGCTAAACATGGAAAGGAACAACCGGTACCAGCCGCTGCAAAATCATGCCAAAATGTAAAGACCATCAAGACTAGGAAGAAACTGCATCAACTAACGAGCAAAATCACCAGCTAACATCATAATGACAGGATCAAATTCACACATAACAATATTAACTTTAAATGTAAATGGACTAAATGCTCCAATTAAAAGACACAGACTGGCAAATTGGATAAAGAGTCAAGACCCATCAATGTGCTGTATTCAGGAAACCCATCTCACGTGCAGAGACACACATAGGCTCAAAATAAAAGGATGGAGGAAGATCTACCAAGCAATTGGAAAACAAAAAAAGGCAGGGGTTGCAATCCTAGTCTCTGATAAAACAGACTTTAAACCAACAAAGATCAAAAGAGACAAAGAAGGCCATTACATAATGGTAAAGGGATCAGTTCAACAAGAAGAGCTAACTATCCAAAATATATATGCACCCAATACAGGAGCACCCAGATTCATAAAGCAAGTCCTGAGTGACCTACAAAGAGACTTAGACTCCCACACATTAATAATGGGAGACTTTAACACCCCACTGTCAACATTAGACAGATCAACGAGACAGAAAGTTAACTAAGATACCCAGGAATTGAACTCAGCTCTGCACCAAGCGGACCTAATAGACATCTACAGAACTCTCCACCCCAAATCAACAGAATACACATTTTTTTCAGCACCACACCACACCTATTCCAAAATTGACCACATACTTGGAAGTAAAGCTCTCCTCAGCAAATGTAAAAGAAAAGAGATTATAACAAACTATCTCTCAGACCACAGTGCAATCAAACTAGAACTCAGGATTAAGAATCTCACTCAAAACCGCTCAACTAGATGGAAACTGAACAACCTGCTCCTGAATGACTACTGGATACATAATGAAATGAAGGCAGAAATAAAGATGTTCTTTGAAACCAACGAGAACAAAGACACAATATACCAGAATCTCTGGGACGCATTCAAAGCAGTGTGTAGAGGGAAATTTATAGCACTAAATGCCCACAAGAGAAAGCAGGAAAGATCCAAAATTGACACCCTAACATCACAATTAAAAGAACTAGAAAAGCAAGAGCAAACACATTCAAAAGCTAGCAGAAAGCAAGAAATAACTAAAATCAGAGCACAACTGAAGGAAATAGAGACACAAAAAAGTCTTCAAAAAATTAATGAATCCAGGAGCTGGTTTTTTGAAAGGATCAACAAAATTGATAGACCGCTAGCAAGACTAATAAAGAAGAAAAGAGAGAAGAGTCAAATAGACACAATAAAAAATGATAAAGGGGATATCACCACCAATCCCACAGAAATACAAACTACCATCAGAGAATACTACAAACACCTCTATGCAAATAAACTAGAAAATCTAGAAGAAATGGATAAATTCCTCAACATATACACCCTCCCAAGACTAAACCAGGAAGAAGTTGAATCTCTGAATAGACCAATAACAGGAGCTGAAATTGTGGCAATAATCAATAGTTTACCAACCAAAAAGAGTCCAGGACCAGATGGATTCACAGCCGAATTCTACCAGAGGTACAAGGAGGAACTGGTACCATTCCTTCTGAAACTATTCCAATCAATAGAAAAAGAGGGAATCCTCCCTAACTCATTTTATGAGGCCAGCATCATTCTGATACCAAAGCCAGGCAGAGACACAACCAAAAAAGAGAATTTTAGACCAATATCCTTGATGAACATTGATGCAAAAATCCTCAATAAAATACTGGCAAACCGAATCCAGTAGCACATCGAAAAGCTTATCCACCATGATCAAGTGGGCTTCATCCCTGGGATGCAAGGCTGGTTCAATATACGCAAATCAATAAGTGTAATCCAGCATATAAACAGAGCCAAAGACAAAAACCACATGATTATCTCAATAGATGCAGAAAAAGCCTTTGACAAAATTCAACAACCCTTCATGCTAAAAACTCTCAATAAATTAGGTATTGATGGGACGTATTTCAAAATAATAAGAGCTATCTATGACAAACCCACAGCCAATATCATACTGAATGGGCAAAAACTGGAAGCATTCCCTTTGAAAACTGGCACAAGACAGGGATGTCCTCTCTCACCACTCCTATTCAACATAGTGTTGGAAGTTCTGGCCAGGGCAATTAGGCAGGAGAAGGAAATAAAGGGTATTCAATTAGGAAAACAGGAAGTCAAATTGTCCCTGTTTGCAGATGACATGATTGTATATCTAGAAAACCCCATTGTCTCAGCCCAAAATCTCCTTAAGCTGATAAGCAACTTCAGCAAAGTCTCAGGATACAAAAACAATGTACAAAAATCACAAGCATTCTTATACACCAACAACAGACAAACAGAGAGCCAAATCATGAGTGAACTCCCATTCACAATTGCTTCAAAGAGAATAAAATACCTAGGAATCCAACTTACAAGGGATGGGAAGGACCTCTTCAAGGAGAACTACAAACCACTTCTCGAAGAAATAAAAGAGGATACAAACAAATGGAAGAACATTCCATGCTCATGGATAGGAAGAATCAATATTGTGAAAATGGCCATACTGCCCAAGGTAATTTACAGATTCAATGCCATCCCCATAAAGCTACCAATGACTTTCTTCACAGAATTGGAAAAAACTACTTTAAAGTTCATATGGAACCAAAAAAGAGCCCACATCGCCAAGGCAATCCTAAGCCAAAAGAACAAAGCTGGAGGCATCACACTACCTGACTTCAAACTATACTACAAGGCTACAGTAACCAAAACAGCATGGTACTGGTACCAAAACAGAGATATAGATCAATGGAACAGAACAGAGCCCTCAGAAATAATGCCGCATATCTACAACTATCTGATCTTTGACAAACCTGAGAAAAACAAGAAATGGGGAAAGGATTCCCTATTTAATAAATGGTGCTGGGAAAACTGGCTAGCCATATGTAGAAAGCTGAAATAGGATCCCCTCCTTACACCTTATACAAAAATCAATTCAAGATGGATTAAAGACTTAAACGTTAGACCTAAAACCATAAAAACCCTAGAAGAAAACCTAGGCAGTACCATTCAGGACATAGGCATGGGCAAGGACTTCATGTCCAAAACACCAAAAGCAATGGCAACAAAAGACAAAATTGACAAATGGGATCTAATTAAACTAAAGAGCTTCTGCACAGCAAAAGAAACTACCATCAGAGTGAACAGGCAACCTACAACATGGGAGAAAATTTTCGCAACCTACTCATCTGACAAAGGGCTAATATCCAGAATCTACAATGAACTCAAACAAATTTAAAAGAAAAAAAAAACAACCCCATCAAAAAGTGGGCGAAGGACATGAACAGACACTTCTCAAAAGAAGACATTTATGCAGCCAAAAAACACATGAAAAAATGCTCATCACCACTGGCCATCAGAGAAATGCAAATCAAAACCACAATGAGATACCATCTCACACCAGTTAGAATGGCAATCATTAAAAAGTCAGGAAACAACAGGTGCTGGAGAGGATGTGGAGAAATAGGAACACTTTTACACTGTTGGTGGGACTGTAAACTAGTTCAACCATTGTGGAAGTCAGTGTGGCGATTCCTCAGGGATCTAGAACTAGAAATACCATTTGACCCAGCCATCCCATTACTGGGTATACACACAAAGGACTATAAATCATGCTGCTATAAAGACACATGCACACGTATGTTTATTGCGGCATTATTCACAATAGCAAAGACTTGGAACCAACCCAAATGTCCAACAGTGATAAACTGGATTAAGAAAATGTGGCACATATACACCATGGAATACTATGCAGCCATAAAAAATGATGAGTTCATGTCCTTTGTAGGGACATGGATGAAATTGGAAATCATCATTCTCAGTAAACTATCGCAAGAAGAAAAAACCAAACACCGTATATTCTCACTCATAGGTGGGAATTGAACAATGAGATCACATGGACACAGGAAGGGGAATATCACACTCTGGGGACTGTGGTGGGGTGGGGGGAGGGGGGAGGGATAGCATTGGGAGATATACCTAATGCTAGATGACGAGTTAGTGGGTGCAGCGCACCAGCATGGCACATGTATACACATGTAACTAACCTGCACAATGTGCACATGTACCCTAAAACTTAAAGTATATATATAAAAAAAAGGAATAGTACAGAGGTGGAGGGTGACTGGGGTTTTAAAATGCTATCTCTGAGTCAGAACACCCAAAAATCGAATAACTTAAAACTAGGCTAAGAAGTCACTTGAAAAAAATCTATGTGATTTTTAAATATAATAACTCAAGACATGGATTTAAATTCCATGTACACTATAATTACTACTATAGAACACGATATATATAATAAAAAATGCTACCAAAAATGACAAGAAATTCTACAGTAGTTTTCAAATAAATGGCTCTTTATTTAAAATTCACTGAAAAAATATGAACATTGTGCTCAAAATAGATTGCTTTGTTTTCATTATTTTTTGAATACTGCATATTGGGCCAAGAGTATTATTGATTTATAACGACAAGACCTTTAGAGAGTAGACCTTTGACTACCTCATTTAACGCAACCGATAAGAATGGTATTATAATAAATATGGCTATGTCAAAAATGTTTCTATATAAATATTCCTTCCTCCTTAAAATACATTTTATACATTTTTGTGATGCAAAGAGAAGGCAATCCTTTATGCAACAGTTTTGTTTTCATGTCTTTTAGTCAAACGGTCAAACCAAATTGTAGTGTTAAGTATCCTGAGAGTAAGGAAACATGTCATAATATTTCTTATATCTCATGATTTTTTTTTCTTTTCTTTTCTTTTTTTTTGAGACGGAGTCTCCCTCTGTCACCCATGCTGGAGTGCGATCTCGGCTCACTGCAAGCTCCACCTCCCAAGTTCACGCCATTCTCCTGCCTCAGCCTGCTGAGTAGCTGGGACTACAGGCGCCCGCCACTACGCCCAGCTAATTTTATGTATTTTTAGTAGAGACGGGGTTTCACCGTGTTAGCCAGGATGGTCTCGATCTCGTGATCCATCCTCCTTGGCCTCCCAAAGTGCTGAGATTACAGGCGTGAGCCACCGCGCCCGGTCCCCACGATCCTTATATACTTCTCTAGACCCTGTGAAAACCCAATAAATACTGCTAATTCAATAACAAGGAGGTAGGAATACTAAGAAAAAGAGAGATTCATTATTCTTGGAAGTGTGAGAAGCAGTAATTGCTGAAAACAAGAACAAAATATACTTCTTTTATCTAATAGATATTTTATCTAGTATAGATTTTTTAATCTAATAGATTAATTTCTCTGCATACTATATGCACACCTTATCTGAAGGTGATATGAGCAATAGCAATAGCTAGTAGTAGTTGTGAAGTGCTTACTATTCTAATTCTTTAAATGCACTTCCCGGTGAAGTAACCCTGTGTTTTGGAGGATAAATTTAAAAATGTGAGTGGTGGAATAAGGTGCCCAAGATCACATAATGGGTGAACTTTAAGCACAGATAGTTCTGTCTCCAGGCCCAAGACACTCAACCCCTTCATGATATTTCCACTCAGAGGCGAATAAGATACAAACATACAATCAAGGAACTTCACTTTCTCAAGGACTATAGGAATTTCTATAAATTACTATACTACAAAGCAAAAGGTGCAAGAAAGTAAGAGATAATCTGCACAGGTTTAAGGAGATAGATATTGCTTCTGATGAAAAAGTCAGAGAATGCTTCATCAAGAAGGTAGCATTTTGGTTGCACTTTGAAGAATTCAAAGTGGGATTGTGATTGGCTGAGAAAAGAAAAGACAGATTCAGGGGAAAGAAGGCAATTCAATTTAAACATATTAATTTTCCTGGTATTGGGGAAAAAGGGAAAGGCAGGAGTAACTTTTAGTTTTACTTAGTTCAATTAATATTTTTATATAGTGTCCCTTCTAATTTCATAACTGCCTTGGCACCATGGAAATATGCTCTCTACGATGAGTTAATTAAATACTTAAAATTATACTTAATCCTAAACCATAGGTATTAGGGATGTTAAAAACAATTTTTCTATTTATAGATTGAAATACAAGTTTCAGGTTAAGCATAACGTTAATAAAGTTCTCTAGCAGGGCAGAGGAAAAAGAGAAGCCGATGGGAGCAGATAGCTTCCTGTGCATTTTCTTCTATTACTTTAGAGTGGTCACTGTCTAACAATTTTTAATGAAATGATAAGGAAGCAAATAAGCCAAACATTCTTAAATATTAGGATGATTTTTATGTTATTGGGAGACCCCCAATATCTAATTCAATGATCCAATGTTATAGCAAACAAAACTTTTAAAAGATTTTTTTCAGCACATTTAAAGAAAAGTTTATAACATAATCAGCACTTGAACAAATAAAGGGTTAGGGGATTGACTCTCTATGCATTTGAAAATTTGTCGCCTGTAACCCCAGCACTTTGGCAGGGCAAGGAGGGTGGACCACCTGAGGTCAGGAGTCCGAGACCAGCCTGGCCAGCATAGTGAAACCCTGTCTCTACTAAAAACACAAAAATTAGCTGGGTGTGGTGGCGGGTGCCTGTAATCCCAGCTATTCAGGAGGCTGAGGCAGGAGAGTCATTTAAACCCAGGAGGCGGAGGTTGCCGTGAGCCAAGATAGTGCCATTGCACTCCAGCCTGGGCAACAAGAGCAAAACTCTGTCTCAAAAAAAAAAAAAAAAAGAAAGAAAAGAAAATTAGTGTCTAACTTTTGACTTCCCCAAAACTTAACTCCTAATAGCCTATTGTTAGCCCACAGCATCACCGATAACATAGTCAATTAATATATATTTAGTATGTTATATGTATTATATACTATATTCTTACAATAAAGTAAGCTAGAGCAAAAATGTTATTAAGAAAATAATAAAAAATATATATTTATAGTACTGTATTTATTGATACTGTAAGTTTATGTTATTGGCTTCCAAGATGAATCAAATGTCTGAAATGGTAGGCAATCACAGCTGCAGACATCAGTCTATGGTACATATCAAGCAATTCACATTTTTGGGTAGTGGGGTGGGGAGAGAGACAAAGTCTTGCTCTGTCATACAGGCTGGAGTGCAGTGGCACTCTCTTTGCTCATGCCTCAGCCTCCCAAGTAGCTGGGACTACAGGAGCATGCCACCATGGCAGGCTAATTTTTGTATTTTTAGTAGTAAAGGGCTTTTACCATGTTGGCCAGGCTGGTCTCGAACTCCTGGCCTCAGGTGATACACCCACCTCGCCCTCTCAAAGTGTCGGGATTGCAGGCGTAAGCCACTGCATCTGGCCCAATTCACATTTTTTCTTGTAATGTAGTGACATTTTTCTGCTTCTTGGAAGTACTTCCAGCATTGCTAGTGTCACTTCATTCCCATGGCATTATTCAGTTTATTGTATTGCATTAAACAACAAAAAATATCTGAGAAATTACACAAATCAAATTTTACTGCACTATGCAGTTTACTGGAGAGACAAATTGCTGATGTGGAGATGACTGATGCTACATGGTACTTTAAGCAATACTTGCAACACTTGGGCTCACCATAATAGCAAAAAGAAGTGGCTAAGAAATTATTACTCTAGTACAGTATGTACTGTAGTTAATTTTGTGCAGTTGTGATTTTATATGGCATCTTTATATTTATTTACATTCCTCTCCACTGCAAATTGTGCCATGTATGGTCTGTAAGTGTTTGTGTGGGTAAGTTTGAAAAAATGTTAATTTTTTATAATAGATTTGTGGACATTTTATGGTAGTAAATGATAAAATAGACTGATGTATACATATATTTTATGCATTCATGACATATCTAAGTTTTTCTCTTTTTTTATGTTACATGGTTCATCTGTGAGTTCTTTCAAATTGTCACAAATCTCCAAAAAGTTTTCTAATATATTTATCCAAAAAAATTGCATATTAGTGAACCTAAATAGTTCAAACTTGTATTGTTCAAGTGTCAACTGCATGATGAATGTGTAAGGAATATATTAGGTAAGTTAAGGCACTGGTAACAAACAAAAATCAAATAAAACCAGGTAAGAAGTTAATTTATGAGAAATAAAATCTTCATTATGTAAATCTAGTCACTTAAACTGAATATTGATTCAGATTTTATTGAATAAATAATATTAATTTTTTTTCAATTTAAGATCATCATCCATTCCCACTTATGCTCTCCAAAACTAACATTGTTTAACATTTTTCAAACTGCAATTTGCAAACTTTCAGTTAAATGAACATTTTTTCAGTTGGAAGGTAGAGGGGCAAGGGAGATTTTTACTGCATTACTCATAGTAAATATTCAAAAAGTTCAGAAGACCTTAAGAACTGTTTGCAGTAGAGTTTGAAGCCAGGTAGTGTGATGCCTCCAGCTTTGTTCTTTTTGCTTAGGATGTCATTGGCTATTTGGGCTTTTTATTTTTGCATCAATATGAATTTTTAGAGTAGTTTTTTTCTAATTATGTGAAAAATGTCATTGATAGTTTGATAGGAATAGCCACAGATCAATACAATGAAAACAGCGTGGTACTGATATAAAAATAGAAATACAGACCAATAGAGTAGGTTAGAGAACCCAGAAATGAAACCATACACCTACAACGATCTGATCTTTGACAAAGCCAACAAAAACAAGCATAAGGGAAAGGATTCTCTATGCAATAAATAGGTAGTGTTGAGATGACTGGCTAGGCATATGGAGAAGATTGAAACTTTACTCTTTCCCCTTTCATCATATACAAAAACCAACTCGGGATGGATTAAAGCCTTAAATGTAAAACCTAAAGCTATAAAAGTTCTGAAAGAAAACCTAAGACATGCCAATACCTAGCTCCTGGCAAAGGTTTCATAATGAAGATGCCAAAAGCAATAGCAAGAAATACAAAAATTAACAAAGAGGACCTAATTGAACTAAAGAGCTTTTGCACAGCAAAAGAAAGTATTAACTGAGTAAACAGACAACCGACAGAATATGAGAAAATATTCACAAACCATGAATCTGACAAAGGTCTAATATCCAGAATCTCTAAGAACCTTGTTAGCAAGCAAAAAAACAGACAACCTTATTAAAATATGGGCAAAGGACATGAACAGACACTTCTCAAAAGAAGACATAAATGTGGCCAATAAGCATATAAAAAATGTTCAACTTCATGACTCATTAGAGAAATACAAATCAAAACCACAATGAGATATCATCTGACACCAGCCAGAATAGCTATTAATAAAAGTCAAAAAATAATGGATGCTGGTGATGCTTTAAAGAAAAGGGAATGCTTATACATTGCTGGTGGGTATGTAAGTTAGTTCAGTCATTTTGGAAAGCAGTTTGGATATTTCTCAAAGAAGTTAAAATAGAACCATTATTTGAGCCAGAAAGCCCATTACTGAGTATTTACTCAAAGAAATATAAATTGTTCTACCATAAAGTCACATGCATACATATGTTCATTGCACTATTCAAAATAGTAAAGACATGGAATCAACCTAGATGCCCATCAATAGTGGACTGCACAAAGAAAATGTGATACATATACACTATGGAATACTACATAGTCATAAAAAGGAATGAACTCATGTTCTCTGCAACAACATGGAAAGACCTGGAGACCATTATCCTAAGCAAATTAATGCAGGAACAGAAAGCCAAATACCACATGTTCTCACTTACAAGTGGGAGCTAAACACTGAGTACACATGGAAACAAAGAAGGGAACAATAAACACAAAGTGAAGGGTGGGAGGGCAGAGGGTGGGAGTAGGGCAAGGATGAAAAAAAAAAACTACCTATTAGGTACTATGCTCGTTACCTGGAAACAAAATAATCTGTACACCAAACAGCCATGACATGCAATTTACTCATGTAACAAACCTGCACATGTACCCCCTGAACCTAAAATAAAACTTGGAAAAAATACCTGTTTTCACGGCTCATTTTACACAAATGTAATCTTAATTAATTTATATTATGTTTAATTGTGATTAATTTATCACAAAGAATTTCTAGCATAATCTGTCAATCCTGCCCTTCATTCTAATAAGTTTAGGCCTTTAAAGCAGAGATATGGCTCTGTACCTTACACTTAAAGCAACACTAGCTAATTAGATGCACAGGATGGTGAAACAGGAGCTTCTATCATCATCCTCTGAAGCAGCCTCAACTTAAACAAGTATCTACAAACAAAAGTACCTTTGTGGAAATCTGGAAGTCCAGTGAAGAAGTTCCAGCAGACTGTGGCATCATAAAATCCAAAAACTGACTTATCAAAGGAAGAACAGTATCAGGTTACCTATGTCGCCTGTACCCCAGGGTGGCACAGGTTGATGCCAAGAGAAGCCCCTACAGCCCATGATTTCTCCTACATGGAAAGTAAAGGCATAGTGACTGAGTGCCTGACACCTCCAGCATGCAGAACACTGCCTAATAGACTCACTTCTATCTTGCTTCACCTAGAATCCTGAAGTGGTTGACACTGCTCAGTAACTGGGAGAGGCTGGAAAGAGAGAAGGGAGGCTGCAGAAGCTACTAATAGCTCCACTGACTCCATCAGAGACGCTACCATGAGATGTATGGGATGCTTTGCCTCCAGAACCCCAGATCATCCAGGCAGATAATCAACAAAGAAACACTGTACTTGAACTACCCTATAGACCAAATAAACCTAACAGATAGAGCATTTCACCCATCAGCAGCAGAGTACACATTATTCTTAAATGAACATGGAATATTCTTCAGGACATATCACGTTAGGTCACAAAACAAGTCCGAACAAATTCAAGAAGACTGAAGTTATACCAAGGACCTTTTTCAACTTAATGGTATACAACTAGAAGTTGGTAACAGGAGGAAAACTAGAAAATTCACAAATATATGGAAATTAAACAACATGATTGTGAGCAATAAATGGTTAAAAGAAGAAATCAAAAGGAAAATTTAAAAATATATTGAAGCAAATGAAGGAGGAAACATACAAAACCTTATGGGATGCAGCATTGTCCAAGAGAGAAGTTTTCAGTGATAAATGGCTGCATGAAGAAAATAGAAAGATCTCAAATAAACAATCCAACTTTACCCCTCAAGCTATGAAAAAAAAAAAAAAAAAAAAAAGCTAAGCTCAAAGTTAGTGAAAGGAAAAGGACAAAGATCAGAGCAGAAATAAATGAAATGGAGACTAGGAAAGCAATAGAAAAGATCAACAAACCAAGAGTTGGTTTTTTGAAAAAATAAGCCAAATTTGTAAACTTCAGCTATACTAAAGAAAAAAGAGAGTCTCAAATAAATAAAATTATAAATGAATCGTATCATAAGAGACTACCATCACAATTACATGCTAACAAATTAGATAACCTAGAATAAATGAATAAATTCCAAGAAAAACATGACTTACAAAGACTTATAAAGAAATATTAATATAAATAGATTAATAATGAGTGAGAAGTCTGATTCACTAATTAAAAATCTCCCATCAAAGAAAAGCTCAGAAACTGATAATTTCATTGTAGAATTTTATTTAACATTTAAAGAATAATTAACACCAATCTTTCTCAGACTCTTCCAAAGAACTGAAGAGGAGAGAGCACATCCAGATTCATTTAAAAGGCCAATATTAACCTGACACCAAAGACAGACAAGATACTACCAAAAAAATTTACAGGCTAATATCCATGATGAACATAGATTCAAAAATCCTAAAAAAATTTTAACAAACCAAATTCAACAGTGCCATGATCAAGTTAGATTTATCCCTGGGATGCAATATGTTTCAGTTTACTGTACAGATACTAATAAACATGATATATTACATTAACAAAATGAATGACAAAATTATCATCTCAATAGATGCAGAAAAATCACTTGACAAAATTCAATATCCTTTCATGATAAAAATTTCCAAAAGATGAGGTAATAGAAAGAATGCACCTAAACACAATAAAAGTCATATATCAGAAGCCCACAGCTGACATCAAACATTGAAAAGCTAAAAGCTTGCCCAACAAGATTAGGAACAAGACAAGAATGCCCACTCTCACTAATTCTATTCACCATAGCACTGAAAGTTCTAGCCAGAGCAACTAGGAAAGAAAAAGAAACCAAAACCATCCGAAACATAAAAGAAGAAGGCAATTGTCTCTGTTTGCAGATGACGTCATCTTACATATAGAAAACTCTAAAGACTCCACCAACAAAACTGGTAGAACTAATAAATTAATTCAGTAAAATTGCAGGATATAACATTAACATATAAAAATTAGTTGTGTTTCCATATACTAACAATGAACTATTCAAAAAAGACATTAAGAAAGCAATGCCATGTATAATAGCATAAAAAAGAATAAAATACTTAGGTAGAAATTTAACGAAGGAGGTAAAAGGTACACTGAAAACAATAAAACATTAATAAAAAAAATTGAAGCTATGAAAAAATTAACATCCTGTGTTCATGGGTGAGAAGACTTAATATTGTAGAAATACCTATACGTTCCAAAGCAGTATACAGGTTTAATTCAATTCCTATCAAAATTCCAATAGCATTTTACACAGAAATGGAAAATCAAACCAGAATTCATATAAAGCCATATAGCTAAAGCAGTCTTGAGCAAGAAGAATGAAGCTGATGGCATCATACTTCCTGGTTTCAAATTATTACAAAACAAAACTTATCAAAACAATATGATACCAGCACACTGGCATGAAAACTATATATATATATATACATACACACACACACACGTATGTGTTTTTATATAATTTATATATGTATATGTGTGTGTATATATATTTATAATAGAAAACCTCAAAATAAACCCAGGTATATATGGTCAATTAATCTTCGGCAAAGGCTCTAAGAATATATGAAGGGGAAAGAACAGTCTCTTCAATAAATGGTGTTAGAAAAGCTAATATTCAAATGCAAAAATATGAAACTGGCTCTTTATCCTACACATATGAAAAATCAACTCCAAATGAATTGAAGACTTAATCATGAGACCTGAAACCTTAACACTTCTAATAGAAAACAGAAAAAAGTGCTCTATAATTGTAATTTCAGAGATGATTTTTTGGATAAAACACAAAAATGCAAACAATAAAAGCAAAGATAAACAGATGGAACTACATTAAACTGAAAAGTTTCTGCCCAGCAAGGGTAACAATCAACAAAATGAAAAGACAACACATGGTGGCGCATGCCTGTAATCCCAGCTACTCAGGAGGCTGAGGCAGGAGAATCGCTTGAACCTGGGAGGCGGAGGTTGCAGTGAGCCAAAGACGCACCACTGTACTCCAGCCTGGGTGACAGAGAAAGATACTGCCTCAAAAAAAAAAAAAAAAAAAAAAAAAAAAAAAGAATAGAAGAAAATATTTGCAAAACATATACTCGATAAAGGGTTAATATACATTAAATTCAAGAAACTCATATTATTTTATTTTTTAAACCTCAAGCAACCCTATTAGGTAATGGGCTAGACGTTTCAGTAGACATGTCTCCAAAGAAGACATACAAGTGGTCTACATGTATATGGAAAGGTACTCAGCATCACTAATCATCAGAGAAATGCAAATCAAAACCACAGTGAGATACCACCTCACATCTGTTAGCATGTCTATTGTAATAAAGAAAAAAGATAAAAAATGTTGGCATGGATATGGAGAAAGGGGAACCCTTATACATTGTTGGTGGGAATTTAAGTTGGCACAGCTATATAGAAAACAGTAGGGAGGTTCCTCAGAATATTAAAAATAGAACTACCATGTGATCCAGCAATATCACTTCAGGGTATATAACCGAAGGACATAAAATCACTGATATCTGCATCCTCATGTTTATTGCAGTAGTGTTCACAGTTGCCAAGATATAGAAACAACCAACCTAAGTGTCTATTGATGGATGAATGGGAAAGAAAATGTAATATATATATATGGAATATTATTCAATATGGAATATTATTTAGCACTTAAAGAGAAGAAAATCCTGACTTTGCAACAACATGGATGAACCTGCAAGACATTATGGTAAGTGAAATAAGCCAGACACACAAAGACAAATGCTCCATGATCTCATGTACATGTGGGATCTAACAAACTCGAACTCACAGAAACAGAGTAGAAAGTTGGTTAACAAAGGTGGGGGGTAGGGGAAATGGTGAGATGTCGGCCAAAGGGTACAAATTTACAGCTGTAAGATGAATAATTTCTGGAGACCAGACACACAGCATGATTACTATAGTTAATAGCATTGTATTATAAGCTTAAAATTTGCTGAAGAGAGATCTTAAATATTCTCATCATGCACACACACACAGTGTAACTATGTGAGGGGATGGATATGTAAATTAGCTTGATTACTGCAATCATTTCACAATGCAGATGTATAATTAAAACATTACGTTGTATATCTTGAATACATGCAAGTTTTATTTGTCAATTATACCTCAGTAAAGCTAAAATTAAAAAAAAAAAACCCACAATGTTAAGGAGCCTCAGCAAAAAGTACAGGAATGTATTGATCTCTTTGGCTCCCTGTTCTTTGGGTCTCAAATACAGTTTCAACTGTCTAATATTTCCCTAGTTCCCACTATCACATTTCAAATGGCAGTGATCAATATGGGACTTCCCCAGCTGTTTGAAATACACATTGTTGCTGATTTCACCTTTTATTCTCTTCTTACTGGTAATAAAAAAAAATTGTATATGATCGTATTAACCAATAAATAAATGTCCAAAGACCATTTTTACTAGTGATTTTTGAGTTCTGCAGAATTCATAAAGCAGGTCTTTTTTCCTAACGCTTTGCAAAATGAAAGAAAACAAATAAACAAAAAAAGGCACATGAGGAAAGTGTCTATGCCTGACTGCCTCCTGACTGCATCAGCTGAGCACCATCTTCTGATTTTCATCTCTTAGCTCTTCTCTAGAGGCTGAATGGAGTGGACTTCATGCCCTGGGAGTATACTGAGCCTGCAATGATGGCCTTCTCTTTGGCCAATGTATTAAATATCACTATTTCAATTCAGAAAGAAGCTTCATGCTTTCTTCCTCTGTATCTTCGAGTTGCATTGAAATGCATCATGCAAAGTACTCAATAATTATATACTATAAAGCAAACAATAACTCTTGGAAAATGTGACATTATAGATGAATTTTTAAGATGTGAGAGGATTTACTATGGACTAAAGCTTTATTGTAAAATAATTATATGAAGAGGAAACAAAATCAGTATGTGAACAATTCTTCATTATGACAAATTTTAGCTCAAGTGTTTGAAATTTCATGGAGATGGAATGACTGAGAAATGCCACGCATAATGCAGGTAAACCTTGACTTTACATCTGTGAATACAAAAATTAGGAGCAAGCCTCCCAATCCTAAACCATATCCAGGTCAGTAAGGTACATCTGGTTGATGAATATCTTCCCAAAAGCATTTCTTATAGGTATCATGGAGAATATTTACATTCTCTGAAGTGTACCAAATTTATTCAAGGAAATAAACCATCTTGGGTTTAACCACTTTAATTTTACTAGTGAGTTATTGTCTTCTTTATGTTAATAGCCAAAAGAGACATAAAAGTTTCTTTAGAGACGAGTAGTCCAACTTTCAATGGGTACTTAGAATTTCTATAACAAAAATCTAAAAATTTTAAAATAAATAATGAGAAGCATGATAGCTAAGTATTGATAGTGTTTAGCTGTATGCTTTGCTCTAAAACATGCTCTATAATAGACTATTGGCTTTTTAGATGGCTGTGTCATTCAAACTAGATCTGACTCATAAGTACTAGGGTGGCATTTGTTGCTGGCAACAACACATGTTGAGTCATTTTATATTCCCATTACAGATTCTAGCTAATGAAATTAAATTCAGAATGTGCCTTCTTTGTCTACTGGACTGCAAGTGTGCATACAAAATACACAATTTGACAATATAAAACAAAATATATTCAAATTTCACTTATGCGACATAAATCTAAGCATGTAAAATATAGCATTCTGAATTAAAATATTACATTTTAAACCATTGATAGATTAATACAAATCCTATTACAAAGCAGTCACTTTGCTATTTGCTGGGAGTAAGAAGAATTAAACAAATAGATTAAATGATAAATTGCTTTGTGATGCGCTAAGTGCCATAAAAACAAATATGAACAAGTTTGGTGGGAGTACTGTGAATGAAATAACCAATTTTACCTATATTAGTTGAGGAAAGCCCAGAGATAAAGAGAACCTAATCAGGTTTTAAAAGCATAAAATACAACCTGCTAAAACAATTCTATAATGCCTTTGATTTTCCTGAGAAAAAAATCTCATTTCATTATGGTTCTTACGATCATTAGACAAATTATCAGCCAGGTATAACAGATATATGAACACTAAATTTTATTTCAGCAGACCTAAAGTCTGCATGGATGTAAATAAAAAACTATCCCTTTCATTGGTCTTCACCACAGTAGTTTCTTAGGAACAGTTGATGGGGTTCAGATTCTTTGAGGATTTTTCACCTTATATTGTAGCTTTGCATTCTCGTCTTGTATCCAAATGGTGTGGGATTAAGAAATCCAAAGAATTTAGGGAAGAGATTGCAGTATAGGGAAACATGCTAAGAGACTATAAATTATAGGATCAGCTGGAGAACGGCAAGCAGACCCTCTCGAATTCTTCATAGCAACACTAATAGTTCTAAAGTAGATAAGCTGTGATCAGAGTTGGGAAACAGCGTTCTTCTGAGGACATTTTCTTAAAAAAGAAAAACATTGTGATCCTGCATGTATATTTTTAGACAATCCCAGTTAAAAACATTTCTGAACTCTTTCTTTCTTTGTTCTTTTTTTTTTTTTTTTTTTTTTTTTTTCAGATGGAGTCTTGCTCTGTCACCCAGGCTAAGTGCAGTGGCTCCATCATACCTCACTTTAACTTTGAACTCCTGGGCTCAAGTGAGCCTCTAGTCTCAGCTTCCAGAGACACCGAAATCACAGGGGTGTACACCACCACCACCATACGTGGCTAATTATTATTATTATTTTTTTTTTGAGAGACAGAGGAGTGCAGCGGGGAGGGGGATGGTTGAAGGGGTGGTCTGAGATTCTTTTTTGCCCAGACTCACCTTGAATTTCTGGCTTCAAGCTATCTTCCCACCTTAACCTCCAAAAGGTGCTGGGATTATAGGCAGCAACTACCATGCCCAGCCTAAAGTCTAACCTTTAAAGGAAAGTCTATGTGTTATAAAATTACTGAGAAGAAGATCGTCAGTCTACAGGTGGTTTAATTGTTCTTTTAAAAGGTTGTCACCTAAAGGTGTCTTAATTTTATTATTCCTTTATCCATGTTTGCTATTCTCTGTTTTTCTCCCACTGCTCCTATTTTCTCCCCTACTGTTATTATTACAATAGAGGTTTTTGTTTTCATTTTTTTGGTTTGCTTGCTTAAACTTCTTTGGAGAAAAAGTGCTCTATAAAGCATAAATGGAAAGGAGAAATCCTCTTGTGGTAGATTACATATATGGAGTTTTATTTTATATTAATTTAAATCATGCACATTTGAAATACCTTAAAATATTAATTCTTACTTTACATAAACAGTTTCAATTTATGTAAATAACTCAATAAAAATAATAATCACATAATTTCAAAGATGTGAACCAAATTGGTTGTAAACCATGTTTATTTTGAAATGCCACATGGCCTTATACCTTCATTTTAACTGGAAATACCCTCCAGCCTTTGGCACACTACACTTTGCAAGAGAAATACTATGGAGTGATTGTAGGTGACATTCTTACATTCATCTCACAAATATTTGTTGAGCATCTACTATGTACCAAACACTATGCTCTGTGCTAGAGATCCAGCCATAAAAAAAAGAGCAAGAAAGATAAATAATAACTGCCTTTTTCATGATGTATCTATTCTCCTGAGCAGATAAGACAATAACCAAATATAGAAAAATTAACAGATTAGGCCAGGCATGGTGGCTCATGACTGTAATCCCAGCACTTTGGGAGTCCAAGGTCGGAGGATTGCTTGAGGCCTAGAGTTTGAGACCAACCTGTGCAACAAAGCAAAACTTTGTCGTAGAATTTTGTTTTTATTTAAAAACATTGGTAGATTAAACAATAAGTCAGATGGTTGTATGTGCTAAGGAGAATAAGCAAATTAGAAAAGGAGGATAGGAAGTATTGAGGGGATATTCATTAAAAGTCACTTTTTAGCAGAGAACTGAAGGAAGCAAATGGGCAACTATGAAGATATTTGGGAAAAAGCATTGCAGGCAGAGGGAATAGCAAATACAGGGCAGGAGGATGTGCTTGGCCTATTGGGGGAAATGGCAAGGGGAACCCTGCAGCTGGAGTGCCCTAATTGCCATGGTAGCAAACTCACCACTCCATTTCCACTTTTGCTCCCCAGAGTCTATTTGCAACTTAGAGCCTGAATGAGCCTTTTATGACATATATTCTAGGATCACTATATGTTTGTCCCTTTGACAAGCCTTTGCTCAGAATCCTTTAATGGCTTTCCATCTTATTCTGAGTAAAACCAAAGCCTTTGTAATGACCCACAGAACCCCACCCGGTATACTGTTATCTCTCTGCCCTCACCCCATCTTTTTCTCCTCCTTACTCATTCAACTTTCAATGTCCCCCACTCCCAGGGCCGTTTCCCCAAAACACAAATATATATACAGTAACAAACCACTTCAGGATGAAGTGAATACTTCTATTAGAGAGGTTCTGTGTATCTGTTCCATCTAGAGCTTTTTATTTTTAGAATTTCTTTTTTTAGACTTACAAGTAACCATTTCCTTTTAAAATAAAGTATTTTAAACCAAGAACTATACAAAGTTAGATATTGAATTTTATTTTTTAGTTTAAATCCCATGTTCTATTCTCCTCTCAGGGATCCGTTATCAGGATTGGAATTTGAATATTTCAAAAACCTCTTAAAAAGTAGTTTAGTACATAAATGCTACCTTTTACTCTGGCTGGTAATTCAATTTCAGATACCGTGTTTAAGTTTTTGAACTACTCTACAGTTGTTTTTATGGTCTAGCATAAAAATTGGAGTTGTTGAGTTAGTTTCCTAAACTTATCCATTAGATATTGAGACAACTGTAGACATAACAAGAAAAAAAAACTGTACTCATATCTTCTAGGGCTAGAAAATAACAACTGGTCTTATAGAATATACAGTTTAAAGTTTGTACCTAGTTTGAAAAGAATATAGAACCAATGACAATTTTTAAGTCTGTATTTCGTGAACAAATTTTGAGCTAAACTTGGAAAGTAATAAAATCTCCCTCTCCTTCCACTTAGATCATGCAAAATGTAGCATATCAAATTCTACCATAAAATGCATGAACTTGAACTGTCCGAATGCATAGTGGATGAGACTAATTTAGGAGCTTTGAACCATGACAGTATAGCATTTGACAAAAGTTGAACAAATATGGGCTCTTGTCCCCAAGAGTAAACCTAGTTATAGAACCTAAACACATTTTCCAAAATGCCTTTTTAAATGTCCATAGAGTAGTCATGATATTACTGAACCTGCAAATTTTAATTGAGAGTTTTTTTTATCTTTCCAGATAGTTAAGATAGCACAGTAATTGGTACCTAGAAGCATGCAGAAATCTACTTTGGCCCAAAGCAAAAAAGTTCAAATAAATGATTTTTACAGTCATGTTGGACAACATATAGAATACGCCTACATCATGAAATTTAACCAATAATATAACTACTAGATGCAATTCTATAATAGGCTGTCACCAAACATGGCTCTTAAAGAAAGACAAAATTGTAACCTATATACTATAAACCATACGAAAAAAGAGTTCTGGTATTCTGGAGCAGTTTTGTGGGCATATGTCTGTTGCCCTTTGGGACACTGGAGCTGCTATAGCCAAAATGTAACAAAGGAACGGTGAAAATAGTATATTCTATTACAGAAATTCCATCTGCACAAGGAAATATTGATGTAAAATAAGTGTTGGTCATGTTTTCACCGAAAGGCTCCAACAACTTATCTCTGGAATTGAGAAAAGAAAATCCCTTTCTTTGTTATTTAATTTGTAGAAGCAGATACTTCCATGAACAGTGGCCATGAAGCTTCTTTGTGCCACCATCGAAATGGTAATGTTTGGGAACTTCACTTTCATTAACTACAGGCACAACTTAATACAGTAATTAAAAGTGACTCGAGTCAGAATACCTGAGTCCTCATCTAGGCTTTACCTATGTGACTTTGGGCAAGTTACATAATCTCAAGTGCCTTCATCTGTGAAATCAGTATAATTACAGTGCCAAATTTGTGGTTGCTGTGTAGATTAAATAAGTTAGCATGCATAATGGATTTGGAACAGAGTCGTATAACTGGTAAGTACTCAAAAATTATATCTATTATTATCTCAGTTTATCTTCATGTATGACATAAGCATTTTTAGTGGTATTTTTATTTTAAAGATAAAGAAATATATATTTAATGACATCTACATATATAGCTTGAAAGTTACATATATTGTGATCTTCGAACTGCACAGCACTCCTACCATGTGAGATAAATAAGCTATGGGCATTTATTGAATGCTTGAATTCAGAACATTATATTAATGAATTATGGCATTGTCAAGTAGTCAAGTAGTCCCTCACCAACAATCAATCCAATGTCTAATCCAACCACAAGGGTCACAAGTGCAGCAAATGGAATGACTCACCACTCTTTCATGGATTTGGCTGGTAAGGTGACAACACATGGATTCAGACAGTTTATTACACAGACAGGAAACACAAGATCAGCGTAATGTCAGTTCCCTGAATTCTTTGTCCCCTGGGATGACACCAAACAGGCCAGATGGCAGATGGCATACAAAGAGGTACATAAAGCAGTAGTCCTGCCCAATCTCATTGGCAGCTGAAAGCATGTATATTGAAGGGAAGGAAAGGTCACTCTGTCATTGAGGAAATAATTCTGAATTACAGCCAAGCATTTTTAAAGGCTTATATAGAAGCCTGAAAATGTACCTTTAAGAGGGAAAATGTGTAAAGTCCTGTGTTCAACTGAAACTAGGGAGATGAATTGGAAAAGGCCTGGTGGCAATTCCACATTAGGCTGCTTGTCTCTCCTTATTACATAAGGAACCCCAGAACATTCTCTCAAGAATTGTGTCAGACTGAAGATGAGCCTCACTTATGTGACCTACGTGGAAATGTTCAAGGTCATCAGGACACTCATTGGATAGTGGAGCTGTTTCTCTATAGGCTTATCTTCCTTGACAAATTTCAGAGTAATGCATGTGCAAAATCTTCACAATAAAATAATATAGATTATGTATAGTTAGGTAAGCAATAGATTAATATTAAATGCAAACCTGATCTTCCATGTCTCAACACAAAGAGAAAAGAATATTGATTTATAACTTTTTTCTTATTTGGGCAAAATATTGGCAATCTGTGGTGTAAAACATGCATACTTCTGGCCCAGGCCATTATTAAAATGGACCAGATAAGTGCATGAATTAATGTTTAAAACACAAGTAAAATCTTTGTAATTTGGGGTAGATTATGTGTAAATACACCTAGGAGAAAACAAACCACAATAGCTAAAAATATTCAAGCACATTAGTAAAGTACATGGCAGTTTCAAATCTGTAATTATCTCATTGAATAAAAAGTCTCCTTTCTTCTGTTGTTTATTCCACAATGATTCTTGAAAGTCTAAAACTAAAAATTTCAGATTATTTTAAGAAAGAAATTCCATGGCCAGTGGACATACAGGTTAACTATCTTTTGTCTGTTATGAGTCAAGTTCTAGTATGTTACCAGTCATTGCCCAGTTGATTTCAATGATTATGATTTTTACTATCTATCTTAATGTACATTGATAATTACTTTCTATTCCAAGCTTTCAGAATAATACATAATGCACAGAACAGAAATTATCCAAGATACTTCTCAATGTATATGTTTTTAACAAGCCATTTCCAAGTCTTCACTTCAATTTACATACAAAGAAAACCTTAACATTTTCTTTCCTTCAATTCTCATATGTGTAGCTGCCAGTAGGATTGGACAGGGCAACTCCTTTATGTACCTCTTTGCATTCATGTATTTACATAGAAGCAGAAGAAACTCCTGCCAGAAAAAGTAATGAAACCTGATATCCACCAGAATACAAGAGAGAGTTTAAGGCTACTAAAGAAAATTCTCTGGATTAAGATGAAAAAGAGATCTCCAGGTTAAAATAAAATCACCTAAAAGATACTTTTTCCTACATAAAATCATGGTATACAGTAAGATTTAGTGTGATTCATTCTTCAATCAAAGAATGGTTTTTGAGAGTAGAAGTCTTTCACTTTGTAAAGGAATTAAACAGAAGACTTCCAATTCTTGAAGCTCTTAAGTTATCTCAAATTGAGAAATAATAATTAGGAACAGAAATAGAAATAAAAGAAAAAGAATATAAATATGGTTATTAAGCCATAGTCAAGACAGAAGGCTTATATTTTAAGGACTGTACTGTTCCTTTGCAAGAAAAGAAGGCACAACTTTTTTGTAGGAGGAAACATCCTAAACCAGACTTACAAATGAAGTTTATCTTCATTGTATGCCTTGGATGCCTGGGTTCCTTCCAAGGAACTGTTTCTAATTTCGCATTTTTAAAAAATTCTTCTTAGATAGTGCCCCCAAATCATTTGAGCTTTAAGTACCACAAAGCCTAGCTCTGTCTCCAAAAGCAACTGTTCAATCAGACCATCATGGAGTATAGACACAGACAATGTGGATTGGCAATGAGGAGTAAGGACCAACCATAAAGAAAGTTGAAAATCTAGGCCAGAACAAAGGCATTAACTGAAGTTATTTCTGGCTATAGGCTTTATCAGTATCATAGAGAGGAGGGCTAATACTGAAACCACTCTATTTATGCCTGAATATATTATAAAATATATTCATGATTAAGTTAACTCCTATAACTGTTTCTTTTTGGGCTTAATTCACTTCAAATAATTTTATGATTTACATCTTTATTTTGGTCCAGATCATCTTTTTATTAAAATTATTCATATGAGTTATGATTTCTGATTCCACCACTTATAAATTGCATGACATTTTACTTAAACTACCTGTGCCTCGGCTTCTGAAACTATACAAAGGACATTTGAATAGTGTCTACCTAGGACTGTTATGAGGATGACATATATGTAAAATTTTAAATCAGTGCTTGGTGTGTTATTAAGTGCTCAACAGCTGATAATATTACTTTTCCTGCTTTCTCTGAAGTTTTCTTAATTAGTGGCTATTCTCCCTCCCATACTCCATTTTCTACTGGGATGGAGTTGGGGTAGAATTGCTTATTGCTAATCACTGCTGTTAGGTAAACTATATTTCTTCCTTTATTTTTGGCTCAGATTACATATTATCATACTGTACCTCTCCTGTTGCAGTCATCTAGTAGCTGCCTCATACCTTGACAGGATTTAAGCTCCAGGTTTATTATCACCCTTTCAAAATGAAACTTCTGTCCCATTTTTGGTGCTTTCAATATATCCTATTCCATTCACTCTCCTGCTTTTTAACTACTATTTCATACATTTTCTCTTCTCTAAGATTCAATGTTTCCTTCTCTATCCTTTCTCTCAGCTCATGATCCTGCTTCCTACTTCACAGAGAAAAGGAAAGTAATCAAAAAAGAACTTGTACCATATTGTCCCACAGATTTGCATCTGTGGCCACCTTCTCTGATTTTCTTCTGATGTGATCCATTATTTGGGCTGATCCATTTGTGTTCCTAAGGCCAGCTACTCAGTTTGCACATTGCTCTTGCCCACCCAAAGGCATCACTCTACTAACTGGGTATTCTCTTAAATAATCAATTTCTCTTGCTCACTGGATCATTTTCATTATCATACAAACATGTTGTATCTTTCTCCTATCTTAAAAAAAAAAATCACTTTCGATCATGTGATCAAACAGTATCCAGTATCCATAATAGTGAGACATTAAGATATTATATAATACCCATGAGATCTAAAATGATGTTAAAGCATCACCCATGAAGGACTACGGTAAAAACAAACAACAAAAAAAGTTCAATCAGAATCTAATCAAGGCTTTAGACTTAACTTGCTGATTACATAATAAATAACCAGGGATGGAAGTGGAGTGGGGTTGGGAGTGGGGGTATAGTGACTCAAAATGTTCAATGTTACAACAAGAAAGCAATCAGAAAAATCCAGAATGTGGAATATTCTATATGACAACTGGCCCAATATCCTCAACATGTCAGGTCATAGGAAAAAAATACTAAAGAATTAGAATAAAAAGAGTACACTTGGATCTTGATTTAGTTCCTACTTTGGGAAAAACAAAGTAGCTTTGAAAGACATTTGGGGGAAATTTTTGGAAATTTCAGTAGGAACCGTATGTTAAATTATTCCAAATGTAGTAACGGTACTACAATGATGTAGGAGAATGGCCTTATTTTGAAAATAGACATATTAAAATATTTTAGAGTGAAATATCTGATGTCTGTGTTAAAGTATGTCCCAGCTGACAGACAAAATGAGTTCCCCATGGCTAATTGAGGCACTCGAAGTTAAAACAGAACCAGTAGGCCATGGCTTGGTGAGAGAGCAGTCATGTACTTTGTATTCTCAAAGCGATTTTCTGAAAGTGTCACAGTACCCTCCTTTCTACAAATAAGCTAAACCAGTTCCTGTTTTCAGGGCCAAGATAGATTGCAGATGGAAATTAATCAACTGACCACCAACAGACTTCCCGAGGCCAGCCAATAAAAAGAGATACGTGATGTCTTGCTTAAAAGCCATCCAGTCCAGACCCTGCATTTGATCCCCGCCTCCTACTGCATCTTGTGTTTTTTGCCTCTATAATTTCCTACTCCTTAATCCTTCCCGGGATCACACCTTAATTTTGCACCAAAGGCTGCATTTCTCCAATTTGAGGATTGCTTTTAGAAAATAAAATTCTCTTTTCGCCTCCTCATATCTCATTGGTCTTTGGTTAACATCTGAAATGTACTTTCAAATGTTACAGAAAATGTAACATAAAAACATATATGGCAGGCCAGGTGCAGTCGCTCATGCCTGTAATCCCAGCACTTTGGTAGGCCGAGGTGGGCGGATCACCTGAGGTTAGAGTTCAAGATCAGCCTGACCAACATGGAGAAACCCTGCCTCTACTAAAAATACAAAATTAGCTGGGTGTGGTGGCACATGCCTGTAACTCCAGGTACTCGGGAGACTGAGGCAGGAGAATCGCTTGAACCTGGGAGGTGGAGGTTGCGGTGAGCTGAGATCATGCCATTGCACTCCAGCCTGGGCAATAAGAGCGAAACTCTGTCTCAAAAAATAAATTAATTAATTAATATAAAAATAAAAATATATATGGCAAAATATCAATAATTGTTAAACCCAGATAGTACGTATACAGACATCCTCTGGCAATCTTGCTGCATATTTGACAACTTTTATAATAAAAAGTTAAAGGTAAAATCTCTATTAATTCAACTTTCCCCTCCAGCTAGCATTTCATTTCACTTCATTTCCTTCTTCTCAGCAAAATTCCTCAAAAGAGTTGTCTAGATTCACTGTCTGCAATTCTCCTCCCATTTTCTCAATCTCCACTCTGACACTGAAGCTGCCTTTATCAAGGTCACCAATGGTTTCCTTGTGGCCATGTATATTTGCATTTTCAACATTTTAGCAGCATTTGTGGAAGGGATTATCCCTTACTCCTTGAAATCATTCCTATTTAGCCTCTAGGACACCATTTTTTTACTTGTTTTTCTCATATTTTACAGACTCCCTCTTCTCAGTCTCCTTTGCTGGCTCTTTTATATCTCCCAGATTTCTCAACATTGCTGAGCCCCAGGGCTTGGCTTCTTCTCAGTCTAAACTTACTCTCTTGCTCATCTTATCCAATTTCTTGGCTTTCAAAAATATCTATATGCTAATATCCTGTAACTTTTTCTCAAATATGGACTCTCTTATGATCTCCAGACTGTGTATTCAACTGGAATATGCCTCTGTCTGGAGCCTAACAACCATGCCATAGGAGTAGTGAGTATTTCTCATTCTCTCTCTGTGGTACACTCAAAAGGAGATTGGCTCTTAGAAAGGTCTGAGGTCTAGCTAGCATATAAAAGCAGTGGAAGAACACATAAAACAGGAGCTGTGTGAATTCCGATTGGGAAACCAAATATTTGCGTCTGAATTGAAGATGTCTTAATTTATTCCAGGAATTGGGATCTTATTAGGGAATACCCGTTTCTGCATATAACTTAAACAAATTAAGGAGTATGTAATCAAACATTCTGAAGATCTTTAGCACCAATATTCTTCAATTCTCAAAAATGTCCTCTCCTGTCCAACTTTACTGTTCTGCCCCATGATGTTATGTATGGGGTATTAGAACCCCTTCCTAACAGGTTTCCCTAGCTTCAGTAAAGCAAACTAAAGCTAGGGAAGCCTAAATTTGTTATTCATAAATATAAGTGACTGAAAGATGTTGTAAGATGTAAACTTAAACATGTTATTTCTTTGCTTAAAACACCGTAATGGATGTCCATCACTTTTTAAACAATGTACAATGTTCTCCAACATCTAAGTCCTGTTTGCCTTTTAATTTGTCCAGTCCTTATCTTCTTAGACCGAACAATGATGAATGTTGTGTTTTCAACGTCACATTTCTTGAAGACAGATTAGGCCTTCTAATTTGGTCCGTATGCAAAAGAATGAATTTAAGTTCATTCATGCTGAATTAATAGGGACTCTATAACGATGTAAAAGTAACGCAATGAGTATTGCGTTATCTGGCACACGTAGCTATTTAAGCAACTTCTGTGTATCTCATTGGTCTCATTTGTATACTGGAGATGATGATGATAGTTTTTTGCATCACAGACTTGTTGAGAATACTGAATGGGTTGATACATGCAAATCACTTAGCATAGTGCCTAATCATCATAAGAAATCAACATACTTAATAAATTTTCATTATATCTCCATTTTACAAATGGGAGTCAGAGGGGTTAACTATGTTTTTCAACTTGCCACAGTTTCTAAGTTATGAACAAGATTTGAACCTGGGGAGTTTTTCTATCTGAGTCCATATGGACTATTACAGGGCTGCTGTTCATTACTATATCAATTCTAATAAAACATATACTGAGGCTTCAGAACAACATAGAAAAATGCATGAAATAAGACCTATTCATCATTGTAGAAACTGTGTCCTTCAAGGACTGATTAAAAAGCAAAAAAGAAAGAAGTGTTTGCTCCACATTGACTATACCTACAGTTGAATTGGGGATTCGAAAAAGAGCTGCAAAAAAGCCACTTAAGCCCAAAACAGATTTGTAGACACATCAGTTTTACCTGTTTTACTAATGTTATTCACTTTGCCTAGCGGGACTTTCTCATCTTTTCTATTTGGCAGAATCAAGCACATTTTCACAAATATGTCATTTTTGAGAAGCTGTTCCCTATCCTTCCACACAAAAAAAATACCTCTTTGCTACATTATGCATTTTATTCCTAATTCTCACATCATAGTGTCATACTTAGTCTTAGATATTTATTTTCCCTTACAATATAGTAGAACTTCATTGATGAGAATATTTTATTCATTTTTTTTATTATACTTTAAGTTTTAGGGTACATGTGCACATTGTGCAGGTTAGTTACATATGTATACATGTGCCATGCTGGTGTGCTGCACCCACTAACTCGTCATCTAGCATTAGGTATATCTCCCAGTGCTATCCCTCCCCCCTCCCTATTTTATTCATTTTTATCTTTGCTACTCAACTCAGTGCTAATTAAATATTTGTTGAATTATATTGATTTAATTTTTGTTGAATAGTGGGATAGATAAATATATCAAATCCATCATTTGTCTTAAAGAAATTGCTAATGTCTAGTTCATCTTTTCTATATCACCATCACCTAGCACAGCATGACAGTTTGTTACTTAAACTCAGTTTGGTAAATTAATGAATAGATGAGTGAATAAATGAATGAAGGCTAAATTTCAAAAGGCTGAGTTTAGAGTATCCCAAATCTAGATGTTAAGAGAGCTTAATGAGAGAATCCTGATCTGTTAATATGAACAACACTTATTCATGGCAGAGGAGGGGACATACTCCTTTAAAAAGTGTAAGTAATAGATATTAAAAGTTTTTTGAAAATTTTTAATGCTACATTATCACCCATGCACAAAGAAAAGAATAATTTTAATGTTGTAACAACATATTATGATATTCACTACAATTTAATCTTTTATTTTTATTTACATTTTATGTAGAATGCTTATAACTAGAAAGAAAGGTTTCTTAAAAGCTTTCCAAATTTGGCAATGACTTAAATATTATAGAAATCGATATCCTGAAATTCAGTAAACAAATTCAAGAAAAACTTCTTTGGCAAATTCTAGAACTTTATTTTTAGTCTATTTTAGTCTTCTTTTTTTCTCCTGAAGAAAATAAAACTATATAATGTCCACTGAAGGTGTATGCTGCTCAAAATGTTCATGCTGCTTGACTTCAAGTCATTATTACAATTCTGGACAATTCAAATAAACAAAGTATGAAGTAAAGAACCTTAGCCATGAGATCTGGAAGACAGACAAATCTATTCTTTACATCTAGCTTTGACACTTATCATGAATCACTTCATCTCTCTGATCACTGCTTTTCCAATATGGAAACTAGAAAGATTAGTGACTACCTACTAAGATTATTGCAAGTAAGTGAGAGAAATACCATAAAGTACCAGGTGAGATACTTTTATATAAATGAATAAAAGTACTAGCAAGGTATCACTATGTACATGCTGAACACTCAATAGTGTTATTTCACTTCTTTCTCCCTTATAGCTTTTGGCAGACTACTAAAAGCCTGAAAATTCTCTAAAGATATGAGATATGATTTCCATATCTAGGGCACTTGGTTTTGACAAGCCAGACTCACAAATGAGATGCCCATTAAATTTAAGCAATTTACATGTAATCTTTATTCCTGCTTGTTTCTTTTTAGGTATTTATTTGTATATTTATTTGTTTGTTTTTGCTTTTAGGAGAAAGGCATTGTAAGATCAATAAATACAATGCAATCAAATGAGTATGTTGCAGGGGAGGGGATTCGAGAGGAAAAAAAAAGAAAAGAAAACATAGTAAAGTCAGTGATGATATCCTTGAAATTTTACCTGAGAAACAAATCTGTAATGACATGTTAATATTTTTTTCCAAAGTCATAGGAAATTTGGGATAAGGTGGCATGCCCAGATTAGACCCTAGTCAGTGGAGTGTAATTAAAAATTTTCTAAATTGAAAACTGGTATAACCTACTTTACCTTTTATAGGTACAAGGCAAGCCTTAGTTCAGTATTTTACACAAGCACATTACATCAAGTCATCTCAAACATCATGATTGAACAAGTGAGAAATCATATTATATTATCAGAAAAACAAAGCAATGTCTGGAAAAATGAAAATCAAACATTTTTGAGGACAAAAAAGGCTCAGAATTTCTTTTAGAAAATAGTGATCAGATTCAATTGAGATTCAAGTTTTATATGATATGAAAAGGTTAATATTTTATACCTGCAACATTCTGTAGCAGATATAACAAAACATCAACTAGTTCAAATTCAAAAAGATATAGTAAAATGCATGAAATAAAAGCTATCCATCACCTTTGAAATACACTGTTTGTCGACTGATTAAAACACATGAAGAGAAATGTTACTTACACATTGAGCATACCAATAATTGAGCTGGGATTCAAAGAGTGCTACAAAGAGAGTACTTGGGTACAATACACAGATGTAGAAAAATGGTTTATAGCCAGAAAAGTAGTTTGGGGGAGGTAAATAATCCCCTAACTCCTTTTGAAAAACACCTGCTTGAAGTGCAATATTTACATTCTGCAAACAACTTCCTAAAGCTCTAAGTTCATTTGTCTCTATGTTTTCTCTGCAACTTACCTTGACATTTTTGATGATTACCAAAGATATTGTTTATTTAAATAAGCACACAGTCTCTACCTGACCCATATGTTCCTTCTTGACTTTGGATTTAATTTATGATGCCTATTTTATAACATTTTATTATTTCCATGGCAACTGTCTTGGTATAATAAACAAAGAATGACTTCAGCTACTTTATCCCGCAGTGAAGGAGCTGGATTTGAGAAGGGTAAGTTTGAGGTAAAGACAAAATATCAAAAAAAACCAGAAATGATAATGAAAAAATGAAATTCATTTTATCTCATACCGATAATATTTTCGTTAGGGACTGAATGCATTTACTAGGCAGAATAATGGCAGTCCTACTCTCTCGTATTCAACCGAAGCCCACCCCTGTTGATGCCACCAAACTCAAGGCCAGTTGGTCCCTCAGTATAATGCACTGTTACTAATTTATAGTCCTAGTTTGTTCCAATGTCCTTTTGTCTGTTTTCAAAGCCCTAGGTACATTTGAACCTATCTTAGCTAAGTGCATTACCAGATGACAAACAATAAAACCAATTATTAGAAATCAGCCTCTGTATTAATGGCATATATATTTTCTATTATTTTTAATATTATAAGGCTAAAAGTAGAAATAATCTATATACACACATATACAGAACAAAAAGACACATGGATTTTATTTTTAAAAAATGGAATTAGAACAAATTTTAAAATCTATTTACCTAATATGATAATGACCTTTGTTCCCAGCTTCAAAATAATTTTAGGTACTGTCAGTCTATTCCAATTTCAATTAAATCCTACCCTCTCCTGAGATATGACATCAAGATCTAATTCAGTTATAAGCAGCGTTATCATTTAATTATCTTCTCCAGTTATCTACACTGCCAAATGATAGTATTTCCTGAGAACCACATATGTCACTGTTGTAAGCAAGAACCAGTTTGGGGATACATACAGAATATTGAACTACACTGACTTATTTAATGTTTTAATTCTTACGACTTATAGCAAAAAATTGCTCCCAATCTAACTTGCTTTGAATAAAAATACCGTTAATATATTTTCCTAGTGAAAATTGCTTAACCTCCCTGTGTCTCAGGGCCCTTATTCATAGCTCATAAGACCAAACCTAGCATACAGTAAACACACAGCAAATATTAGCTTTTATTATTACCTCAGGTAAAATATTCCTTATCTGGCATTAATATATACTAGGGACAAGTAACCTAATTAAGTAAAGATATATTAAGCTAAAAACCAAAATTAGTTTGTCTGATGGCAAAGTTGATGAATATCATACTTTCTAGGTTAATATTATAACATTTATTTTTGCTTTAAAGCACTACTTTGAGGTCTATTATAGTTTTTCTTTTTTTCCAGCATATTTTCCAATATGTCTAGGTTAAATTTCTTAGACATAGCCAAAGAAAAAGTATGCTCTAGGTATTTCTGAACTTGGGCAAATTCCAAAACTAGGAAGAGGTCACCCAGAGTTTAGACAAAGAGCAAGTTTTTCTGGCACTTTCGTAATTCTTTCTCGTGTGAGAGTCTCACTCTTGCAATTGCTTCTAGGACATGACCCTCTGCAACAGAGATTCCACACAACACTCCACTCTTTGCCTCTCTTCTGTAATTCAAACTCTCTTTTAAAAAGTCTGTGTCCTCTCTGCAATCCCCAAACCTATCTTTGAACTTACCAATTAGCAGTCAAATTTTGGCTTGTAACAAGATTTATAGTCAGAGCATAAGGACATATATGGAGAATGAGGTATTTTTAGGAGTCTTCTATTTTAAGTCCTCATAAAACTCAAAAATTTTTATCCAAAGAGATTTGAGATTTTAATAACATGAGAATCAATGAAACCCTCCCTATGGGTGAATCACCATATAGATAGGTCAGGGTCTACTCTGTTAAGTTGGTTCCTGATGATCACATGGTGAATTAACTTTATACTGTCTTCTGTTCAGAATGAGCACCTGTTACTTGCCAAAGTTTGTGGCAGACACACAGAAAGTATAAAGAAAACTAAGATCCAGCCTCCACCTTCAAAGGACTTACAGGTATCAAGTAAAATCATCCTTATTCATGTGCCAGCTACAGTATAATAAAATAAATTCAGATATTTATCTCCTAATGAGCTGACTGGCTGCGTTCTAAAAGGATGTCTGTAAATTTGTTTGTCTACAAATCCCAAGTGAATAAGAATTGAAGTTCACAGTCCACAATCTAATTTCATTAAATAGGACATGTGTATTGGTCCCTCGCAATCTTGTGGATACTATTTCTATCACACACCTTTTTTACCTTACTTTTTTAACTCATTGAAAAAGTTTTTGAGTCAGCTATTTTCCCTGTTAAGCTCTGAATTTTACTGCATATTAGGGAAAGAATTATTCCATATACAGGTACAGAATTCATCATTTTCTCACCATATTCAATTTTTATAAATTTATCTTTTTGTTTCTATCAATCATAATCATAAGCTTCTTCTTAGTAGTCTTTTCAGGCATCTTAATTACTTGGTTGGTTGGTTGGTTGGTTGGTTGGTTGGTTGGTTTACTTATTAGACTTGAGAGATTGTGTGTAAATAACCCACAGCAAATGCATTATAGACTAAACAACAGTGTGACAGCTGAGGTTGAAATGGCAATTATAGTCCTTTATTGGAGTTAGACAGAATTGACTCTATTTTCCTCTGGAGCACAGCTTTGTTCATGTAAATGAAAGTTAGTAAGTTGAAAATGTGGAAGTAAAGGAGTTTTGTCGATATTATATATTCATTTCTTTATCAACTCAACAAATTTACTTAAAGCTTTCTATATGCTAAACACTGTTGTAGATAAAAAGGCAATTCAATATAGCATGATGAAATCTAGAAAGGGGAGATATGGAAAAGCTCATGCAACTCATAGGAAAGACATCTAACGTACTCTTGGGAGGTCAAGGGGAGCTTACCAGAATGATTAAATGAGGTGACTTTAAAGGATGAAGGGATTAGGCCAAATTATGGAGTGGAGATTGGGGTTAAGAGAATAATATTCAGAATTTATCTTAAGGGCAGTGGAAAACAATGAAAGATTTTAAGTAAGAGAGTAACATAATCAAATTTGCATCACAGGAGGTTCTTTCTGACTCCATAGTTTGGTTTAAGGAAAAAGGCACAAGAATGAAGATTAGAGTGCTGTTTAAACTATTACAGTAATAAGGTAGATAATGATAGATAATACTGTCTTGAACGATGACAGGGTAATGGGAATGGAGCTCAACAGATTAAAAAGCAAAGGCTGCTTCAGCAACTAAACAATGATTTCTGTGTTTTCTCACTGCGATTTTATTATTATTTATTTTTTTAGAGACAGCATCTTGCTCTGTTGCCCAGGCTGGAGTGTGGTGGCACCATCACAGCTCACTGCCCCCTTGAACTCCTGGGCTCAGGCAATCCTCTTGCCTCAGCCTCCCCAGTGGCTGAGACAACCGTCATACACCACAATGCCTAGATAATTTTTTATAGAGAAGGGGTCTCATTATTTTGCTCAGGCTGTTCTTACTGTACTTTTAAACCCATATTCTTACAGATTAAAAAAATCATTTGTTTGCTTATGTAAACACAAGTGAGAATTTGGTCATTTGCATGCACTAGACCTCAATATAGCCTTAAAATCATAAAGTATAGAAAATGGTTGGCATGTTTTCAAGTGGCATGTAACATCTTGTGGCTATATTCCAGGATGCATATAGCCATGTAAAGAAATGTCAGTAGAAGACGCTAAAGCCAACTCATGAAAGGACTTAAGAAATTGTGACTTTATCCAGTGGGCAATGTCAAACTTAGTGTTTTACGCAGGGAATAGACAGATGATCTGGTCTTTCAAAGGATAACTGGTATGGTGGACAGACTTTAAGTTGAACCCCATGATACCTGTTTTTTTAGCAATTATGCCTTAAGCCAATCTCCTTCCCTTGAGTATAGGCAGGATCTATGGCTTTCTCCTCATCACTCCCTGTATTATGTTACCTTCTATAAAACTTCATCTTCCTCGCAGATTCACCAGAGAGACACCCCTTGCTGGCTTGATGAAGTAAGCAGCTGTATTGTAGACCACATGGTAAGGAACTGTGGATGGAATTGAGCAAAGAATTGAAGCTTTCAGTTCCACAACACAAGAAACTGATTGCTTCCAATATAACCATGTGACCTTGGAAGAGGACCCTGAACCTCAGGTGAGAACTCAGCCCTGGTTAACACATTAATTGTAGTCTGTGGACCCTGAGAAGAGGGTCTAAACCATGCCCAGACTCTCAACCCACAGAAACCATGAGAAAGTAACTGTATTGTATAAAGTCTCTAAATTTGTGGTAATCTATTACTCATCAATAAAAATCTAATATAATTAGTTATAATATTGAAGATAAATTAGATGAGAGAAAGCTGGAAACAGGAAGTCCAGCTAGGAAAAAAGAGGTAACACAATGAGATTATATATATAACTGCTAAAATATGAACATGACAGTCAGAAAGAGTAGGTTTTAAGCTTTTTATCAAGTTCTGTAGTTAATCACCTAGTCACATTATAAAATGGAATGATAATATCTTCTTAAATGGTTTGTATAAAGGGTATGTGAAGTGAAATATTTACACAGGGTTCAACACAATGCCTGCCGTGTATTATTATTCTTATGCTACTATGTTAATCTTTTTGAGGACCAATGAGAGCTGGGCTAGGACAAAGGAAGTGAGAATGAAAATAGTGGTAAATTTGAGCAATATTTTTAGGTGGTAAGTCATAAGGACTGCTCTGATATGGATAAAAAGAGAGGGAGGAAGGAGTGAAAGATAATACAATTTCTAGCTTGGATGATTGAATAAGAATGATTCCATAACTGAAATAAAGAGTGCAGAAAGAAAGGCTGATTTGGCTGAGGAGATAATGAGTTCTGTCTTAGCAGTGTAAAGTCAATGTGCTTGTGGGAGGACATCCATATGGAGAGGTCCAGTGTACTCAGAAGAGATTTGAGTATACGGATAGATTTTGAGATGGTTGAGAATTATGTTACCAACAAACTACATCAGTATTCACACACACACACACACACACACACACACACACACACACACACTCCTAATAGTCTCTTTTGAAAAACATGAGAAATATTTCCTCTTAATAATAAATACATTATGAGTTTAATAAATGGAGCCCAGGATGAAAAATTAGAGAATAGGTAAAGGATCCTTTCTTCTTTCCCTAAAGGATCAATGACTAAGAAATGCCCAAATACAAAAGGGATATTTAAGTTGATTAAGCTTGATAAGTCTGTTGCAAGGGCCAGCAAACTATGGCTCCACAGCCATATCCAGATTATTGTTTTTGTAAATAAAGTTTTGTTGGAACACAGCCACATCAATTCATTTATGTATTTTCTATTGTTGCTTTCACAATACAATAGCAGAGTTCAGTAATTGTAACTCAAACCATGTGGCCTCAAAGCCCTAAATATTTACTGTGGAGCACTTTACAGAAAAAGTTTGCCCACCCCTGGTCTATTGTATAAAAAAACGATAGTCTTCTAACTTGAAAATTGTGCATCAATAAATAAGGTAATAAATGAATGTTGCTTGAAATGCCACAACACTCATCTAAGAATTACAAATCTTTGTTTCTCGTACATTTCTTTTATTTATTAATTGTAACATTTCTGAGCATGCATTTTCTAAACTGCTAAAAAGGAATAACACCTCCTCTGCTTACTTCATAAGGTTGTGAGCAATAAACTCTTTAAAAAATGTAGATAGCATTGAACAAATATAAGTTAATATTCTAGAAGCTTTTATATTGTTAAGCCAAGAAATCAATGCATTCAGTCCTAATCATACAAGAGAGAAGTAAATATATATTTCTTTATATTACTCACTAGAGCACTTTTCTTTCATCTTAAAAAAAAATTGGGTTAAATAGAACTCATACTGGCATCATCCTTTCCAGAAAAGAAAAATATAGAAAATTAAGGCATTTGCCTAAATTAACCAGCTAATTAATGGTAAACTCTACGATCAATCTAAGTCTCTTGATTTTTAATTTTCTTTCTACCAGGCCATATATCTGCAATGCTGACTAACTGGATAGATCAGTCATATTTGATATACATATGTGGGCATCTGATAGATATAATTTTAGTATAGAGAGCTTGGAGGTTAAGATAAAGTAAATAGAATTTGTTTCAAGAGAAATTGCCTCTTCAAATGCACTTTATTCTTTCATATTTTGAATTTTTAATACATTTTCATTTTGGAATAGTTTTAGGTTAACAGAGAAGTTACAATGATAGTACAGACAGTTCGCATATATGCTGCACATTCAGTTTGCTCTCTTCATTTTTAAACTAAGAAATAAATAACTATCATCATATATCATCTGAAAGGTCAGAAAAGTGAGAATAATATGTAGATGTGTAATATAGAGTTATCATTTTTATCATTTGACTCATGATTAAGGCAAGATGTTGTTACTTGTCCAAGGTCAAATAAAAAAATCAATGACACACGAAATTAGAAACAGAAGAAGATGTATTAAATGGGGGATTATGAGGATGAATGAATTAATGTCTTTGAAATCACTTCAAAATGTGTGGGCTTCTTAAAATATGTGGACTCCTGCCTAAAGACAAATCATTACTAATATTTAACTTGCTAATCTACTTTCCAAAACAACATGTTCTTTCATTAGCTCGTTGTTTATTTGCAACATGGCCTGGCTTGGTTCCTGGTATATTTGGATGCTGAGTGAAGACATGCAAGTTTTTCCTGATTTAAAAAGATAGCAACGTAAATGACAGTGTTTTTGTAATGTAAACTTTAGAAAAAGAAATCATGTACTTATATCTTAAACAAAAAAGGAAAGTGTTTCTTATTTTAATCAACTTATCAACTTACCGGTAGTTTTTAATTTTTTTATTTATTTATATTTGTTTTATTTTACTTTATTTTTTTGCTGTTGGGTATTTGGTTGCCACTTAAACAAGTGATCAGATATTCATTCCTGAGAAACATGGCTCTCCAGGAAAATCATTCAAATACAAAACATCTTAACTAAAATATCATTTTTTCTGTTTTTAAAGTTTTTCCCAAAATGTGAAGTATAATTACAGATACATAAATATCTATTTCAGATAGTAAAACTTTCATCTTGATTACTAACTAGTAAACGAGATTTTGTGTATTGAGTGCTTATCTACTAATAGTGTAATAAAACTTTTCCTGTTATACTCTTAATTTCTGTCAAGATTATTCTCCTGCTTCTACAAATTTTTCTGCATTTAAGCAACATCAGATAAATGGATTATGGTTGAAGAAGTTTTCCTCTAGTTAAATAGAGGACAAGCATACGAAGTTCTCTGAAGCCATGTATCAACTATAATGCAGGCCAGATTTCCTCCCAACTTTATCAAAGTCTCCAGTCAGAGACAATGGTGTGCTACTACTGTGGACCATACACAGGACTTAGACTCGGAACATTGTGATAATCATAAATCTGCTCCTGGGTTTGTGTTCAACCTTGAGTATTTTTATAGACATCATATCTTTACTGATAAGATAGTTGTATTAAACTTACTTTCACAATATTTGGGAGTCTTTGGAATGAGATATTACACGACAGAATTTTTCATAGATGTAAATGGCCATATTATGGTATTATTACATTTTAATATTTTGTTAAACTTTAAACTTAAATGCAGAGCTTGTGTAGGAAATTGTTTAAAGAAAAATTTTATTTATTCCTCATTCAACATCCAGAATAAGATAAATTTTGCCAAATTCTACCAAAAGAAATGAAGATACCAATCAACCTGTACACTAAATATTGAATCAAAATCTATATAAATAAAATGTAAAGTAAGTTTCCAAAACTAGCTTTATCAGTTCCCTTACTATCCAGAATCAGATGCCTTATATAACCTATATACACACAAATCGCTTTAGTAAACGTTAATATTAGTTTCATACTTTGTATAAAATTTAAAACCTCATCTGGGGCTTGTTCTGGGAGTGTATCCATCATTTGTACCCTTGTGCCAGGAAAAGAATGTTTAGATTCCAAATAACTGAAACAGCAGCAAACTTTTGAAATACAACCTACTTAAAATTTGGCTATTGTTAACCTAGGCTTTCTATGCAGTTGGCAATGCTGAAGACTAAATAATGATTTTTTAAACAAGTATGAAATAGAGAATTGGTGTTAGGGTATATGAAATAAAAAGTACAAAGAGGTTAAGAAGAAATAAAAGCTGTCCAAATAAACTAACATTCCTAAAAGTGGACATCTGCTCAGATGAATGGCTACAAATAACATGCATTTTATGTGAATAAAGACTAAAATATGGAAAAAAAAACAAAATAAGAAATATACACATACGTGTGTTTAGAATCAGAAATTCAAGAAGGAACAAATTTGTTTTGAAGCATAAGCAAAGCAGTAAAGAAAAAAGTTCAAAAAAATTGGAGGAGTAACATTTTAAAAAACATTTCTTTTTAAAGGAATATTTCTCCCCATCCTGTAACTTAAATGTATGCCTACCGTGGAATTTATTAAGGTCAATTGAATTAATTGTAAATTTTAATAAGCTTAAAAGCAAGCACAGCTAATTTGAAAATGGGTAGGGGGGAATTCCCATGGCAATAACTTTGCTTTCTAAATTTGTCCACAGGGTAATTTTCTTTCATCCTTCCCATTAAAGATTTGGGTACGAATAAACCAGTCTCAAAGAAACACCTTAATAAAACAAAATTAACTCAATGGTAGATTTTTGCAATGTCAGGTTTTCATAGATCCATTTATTAAAATATATCATAAATATAAACTAAATTTTTTAAATGTACATGTAAACACTTTTTTTTTCAACCTATGTAACGGCCTGGCATGTATTCGGTTACTCTGAGAGAAAATGTTAGTTCTCTATGATAGATTCCTTCTAGAATCACGTTTCCCTAGACACTAGTGAGGAAAAAATTGGGCTTTGGAATGAAACAGATCACTACAAAAAAATCATAGTGCTACCTCTTACAAACTTGATGATCTTGGGCAAGTTATTTAGCATCTCTAAGCCTCAGGCTTCTTCTAATGAAAAATGGAAGAGATAATAATATCAGGATTTTAGTAAGGATTAAATGAGATGACTTTACATAAAAGAACCTAGCAGGTCCTTATAATGTTAGCGTTTTATAAAATGGAATTATTTCCCACTGTAATTGATTTTATAAACTAAGTTGACAGGCTGGAGAGACAGCAGATTATACTCAAAACAATTAGTTAAAATAAAATCTAAATTCGGAATGCTTCCTATATTCAAGGGATTGTGCCAGGTGTCTGATTTATATGACTAATTTCTTTTAATCCTCATAACTAACTCATAACAATGAGTTAGGTGCTACAGTTGCAAACATTTTGCTGATGAGAAAAATGAAGTTGAGAAAAGTGAATTGGCCAAATATCAAATGGTCAGGCACTCTGTAGCCCTCACTTGGACTATTCCAAAGGTTTCATTAAGTACCTTCGAAAACAGTCACAAAAATGAAAATTGGCATAATGAAGTAAAGTACAGGAATTTCAAATGTGGCAGTAAGCAGTAGCAGTAGTAACAACAAAATGTCCTTAAAAAAAAAAATGCACCCTGCATAGCTCCTGGAAAAGATGCCCTGAGAGTATGATTACTTATCACCTCCCAACTTCAAGCCTCTATGGTTGCTTGTGCCATTTCTATAAAAATCTGTGATTTTTAAAGAGAAATTTCATCTGCTAGGTATCTTGAAAACAATCTCATTACAATAAAAGACTTCAGACCCACACTAACTTGGATGATCATATTTTTTGGCTTGATTTGTGGTTCCACAGGAATTCCCACATTCTATATATTGGACAATATATTGAATAAGGCAAAAAGGATATAACTTCTTCAATCTCATTTCAACCTGCAGGGCATTTTGTATCCATAGTAAAGAGCAGGGGCTTAAACCACATTTCAAATCTCTACCAATTTTCCTGATTTTGTAGCATATTATAAGTTACATAGATTTGTGACCCACAATTAGATTTATAATTAATCAAATTAAGTGCTTGTGATAATTTTCAATAGCTTTATAAAATAATTATAAAATGGCCATTTGAATCTTATTCTATCATAAGATGTACTGATAATCACTAAACAGCAAGAAGTTTTTGGCCTTAATATTTTCTAATTTAAAGAGGGAATGATTTAAGTCTTAATGAAAAGCCTTTTTTCTACCGAACATTTTTTTCTTTTTATCAGTCAAAATATTTACTTCCAAAGATTGAGATGGTGACTTCACGCTTCCAACACTTTAATTATAGTTATTTTTTATTTCACAACATGAATGAATAGCTCTCTTAATTTATCTATCAAATATTGAGCCAATAAGTTCATTAAGAGCCCTTAAATTAGTTACCTATTCTTCATTTGGCACTTTCTCTTGTAATCATCTTTTATGCATGTTAATTTTAAGTTATAAAATATTGTCAAAACCTTGGTCAGAATATACTATCAATAGAATACAAGAATTCTATTTTCTGTGAGCTCTCAAAATATGATTCTATTTCTATCTGTCTATCTGTCTATCTATATCATCTATCTTTCTCCATATATCTATGTGTCTATCATATTTCTATCTATCTATCTATCTATCTATCTATCTATCTATCTATCTATCTAATTTGTTTCTTATCCCTATCTGAAAACAAATTTATAAGCATGGTTTCTTGAATGGAGCAGTAGAGAAGTTAATTCAGTTACACCAGATTGCCAAATAGAAAAAAAGTTGAAATAATTAATGTGAAATAAATGCAGAAATTCAACAGATTATAAAGAACGAAGGGTGTAACCATGCAACTCCATGGACAGTGACTACACATACAAGCAAATGAAAGCAGCTGACCACGTACCCACACACCTTGGCAGAGGTGCACTCCACACTCGTCGGCCACCACCAAGACAGATGATCTCTGATGTTCCTTCCAGTCGATAACCCGAAGAGCATGAGAAGGTCAGAGTGTCACCAATCCCAAAGTTGAACCCGATTCGACTACCATATTGAGGAATGCCAGGATCTTCACAAGGTTCAAGGTTATATTCTGTAAATTAGAGAGAAAAATTTCCCCGCGGGGGAGGAAAGGACAAAGAAAATGATAGTGGTTACTTTTAAAGGTATATTCCTATTGTTTTTAGAACCTAGTCATATATTTAGAAGGGACTATATGAATAGCTATCAGAACGTACAAATGGCACACATACGTTTCTTTTTCTGTGAAATAGCTAATAACTTGATAAATATTTGTATTTGTGGTATTCAATATAGATGAGAAAATATCACCTTCTGAATAATAAATTAAAAAATAGCTATTTATCTTATTGTTTTTTCTGCATTAGAAACATTTTTATTTCATATATTTTCGACTTACGGCATAAGAACTGCATATTTTCAAACACAAAATAACATTTGAAATGAAATCATTTGCACTTTTGAAATGCTTTTGCTTAATATTTTACATTTAAATGATAAAGGCCCTTCTGCTTCTTGTATACAAGTTCAATTAATGCATATTCTGAAAAACACATGATTTGAGATGCAAGGGTTTATGTGAGACTGAAGTGACCACACATTGAAAACTATTGTATTATGGATTTTTACAGGAAGTTTTCCCCAGGCAATAAATGAACATTATGAAAATGAACAAGTAAACAGTCTTCAGGGTATGAAAAGTAGAGTTGATTAAACATTATAATTTATATACAGTCCTAAGAAGAAGTAGCTTATCTAAAAATATTCCCAGAGCAGTTACTGTGTAATTACAACAAAGAACAAGAGGCATTGCTTCATGTTGATTAGCTAATATTTTATGCTTTAAAAAAATTACTTGGACTTTTTTTAACATTCTAGGTTATGTTCATTTACTATTCATGATAAAATACTTTAATGATTTTAGCATCCAAACATTTCCACCCAAATACTAAAATAGTTGTTTAAGAACAAGGTTAGTGCTTGTATCATTTTAATGTTAGCAAGTTGGCATAAGATTTACTTATTAATTTGTGTCTGTATTAAGAAATAGCTAGTTGTGTTCATTCAAATGGAAAGTACAACTCTAAGTGGTGGGAATACATTTTATTTTCTTTGGTCTCATACAATTTTTTCCCCCTGTAATCTAAGTAATACTATTGTCTATAAGTGAGGTTATACTAGAAGAAAGGAGTAACTATGTTAATTTGATTATAGATTATAGATTATCTAATTCCAGAATAATAAATTACTATTTATTAATTATATATATAATTAAAATATATAATTTATTATTAATTAATTAAGATCATTAATTCTGGCCTGTTGACTATGCCTTCTATGTGTTTTCCTAGACACATAAAACAAGGAAATCACTGGATTAATTCTCATTTCATTTTTGAGTTTAACTGAAACTTTAAAATATATATTTTAATTTTTATTTTGTGTTTACTAGGCATTTTAGCTAGTTTTGACCTTTGTTAGAATTTTTCAGGATTGTAAATTAAAGAAATGTAATTATTGTACTTCCGGTAGATTTATAGCAAATTAATTTTTGCTTTTTCCCTTATTTATTACTAGAGATAATCTTCAGTGTATTCCAAGCTTTCCTTAAAACTTGACACATACTACTTTGCTTTCTTCTTTTTAAAATTTTTCTTCTCTCCAGCTATTTTTCACTGTTTTATCATCAGTTATGCTCATATCTTGAAAAATTGCTTTTTTAAAAGTTACTGAATGAGCCCTTTTGTTTTTTATTTTCTCACCAGAGAATGTTATGTTAAATCCTTCATATGATATTGAAAAATCTGAAATGAAACGCAATTGAGCCCTGAAATTTCCATAGAGACCAGCATTGATTGTTGGAGGAAGATCTGAACCAGTCAGGCGTGCCAGTGGTTGGGTAAAACTGCCATTCTCTGTGATCAGTAAGTAGTCATGATGGTCTTCCAAATGAAAAGTGTGGAAGTTGAACTGCACACCTATTAAGAAAAATAGAAACACTGAATTTACAGGTAGATCAGTAAAACACAGAGAGTTACTGTCAAACTAACTATTAGCCAGGACTTTACTTATAATTAAATTTTCTGAAAATGAGAGGCATTGCTATAAAATATTCCAAATATATGTTATATTATTCTTTTTGTGTGTGTTTTTCCTTCAGGTTCATTATAAGAGATATAATGAGTCATGTCTTGGAAACTGCTTGAAAATACAATTTAAAAATCAGTGCCTGAAAAAAAATTACCTGGTTTTCTGAAAATTTCAAGAGAAATACATATCTTTTGTTTATAATAGAGGTGCAATTTCCTGGCAAATACTGCACATGCCTCCATTTTCTTCTCCAATCCCTTCGACCAACATAAAAGCAATGCTTAATATTATAGCACTTAACTTCCAAATATGCTTGTTTATTTTAGAAGAGAAATATAAAACAGGCATAGGGAATGCTATCTGTTAGATGAATGTAATTATTCTCCATTTATTTATTTGTCACACATTTCAACCTGTGCATATAATATGCAAAAAATGTATATATAAGTGTTCAGGTCAATAGTTTTCACAAATCGGACACCTTTGTAAATAGTATCCAAATCAATAGCCACAATAATACCAACACCCAGCGCCTTCTTTATAAAACTTTTCTGTCATTTCAGTTTTCCAGAAGTAACCACTCACTTAACTTCTAATAGCACAAACTAATGTTGCTGCTTTGTATATATATTTTGTAGTTTATAGATTGGAATCATATATACTCTTTTGGATCTGACTTCTTTTACTCAGCATTAGGTATGTGAAATTTCTCAATATCATTGTGCATAGTTGGGGGTGGTTCATTTTTGGTGATGTATAGTATGGCATTCCACCTTGTGAATATACCACATCTATTTACCTGTTCAACTGTTGATGGTCACTTAAGTCGTTTGCGTTTTACCACAAATGTAAATGGTACAGCCATGAACATTTATCTTTTGTGAACATATGTGCTTTTTTCTGTTGGGTATGTATCTAGGAATGGAATTACTGAATGATGGGAGTAATAATATGTGTTCTGCTTTAACAAATACTGTTTTACAAAGTGGCCATGCTGATTTACATCTCCATAGACAACATGGTTGCTCCGTATCTTCTCCAATACTTGAAAATCTGGGGCTTTTTAATTTGTTCCATTCCAGTGAGTATATAGTGGACTCCTTGTGGTATCACGTTAGTATTTAATTACACTGTCAAGAACACATGTAAAAGACTAATGACTTCACACAAACACACACACTCAAATACACACAACACACTGTGTGTAAGGAGCCATCTGAAATAAAAAATGGCTACCACAGGGATCCTTCCCTTGAGGTGCTTTATTTTTTTGTACCTCACCTAAAAAATTACCAAAGTATTTGCTAAGAAAATTCCAAAATATCAGAGTATGACAAGTAACATTTTTTATTCATTTACATTTTAGTTCCAAATGTTGGAAATTCTTAAGAGTCTCCATTGTTTTAAAAAAAAGGGGACAGAAAATGAGACCAAAACAAATGATTGAAAACACAAACATTAACACAACAAGGTTATCACTGCATAATGAATCAGAGATTTCATATTTGAGAAATATTTGAAATATATAAGGTACTATTTTCAAATTATTTTTCAAAATGCAAGTTTTGGTGTTTTTTTTTTCTCCTCTCTATAATTGGCAGCAATACAAGAGCCCTTTTAGAGGGGGTCTAAAAATTAAGTCAGTTTTTCAAATCTTCTATAGTATAAAATCAGTATTGATACTAGACAGATGAAAGGAAAATGGGATTTTGACATAGTAAAGAGAAGATGCTTTGCTGTCCAGATTAGCTCCTGCAAAATAATGTAAGGGTAGAAAGTTCAGATAAGTCAGTCTTATTTCTGCTATAAAGCTAAGAAAAAAATAGTTAGACAATAGGAGAGTAGATTGAATAAAAGAGAAATAAATCATCATGTATACTATATTATTTTTATTTTTTAAGAAAAATGTGCTTGTTCTGAAATACATAGAATGAATTATTTTAGAATTTCATTAATTAATTATCGGTGCCAACAAAGCCACTGTTAAGTATTATTTACCTTTCTGAGCCCTACTTTCTCCATATTTAAAATGGGGTTCTAATAGAGTTGTTTTGCAATTTAAATAAGGTAACAGGTAAATGACTTCGCACAGTGACTGGCACAGAAAGCGTTATTGCTATTGATCAATTTCCCAAAATGAGAGCTAATGTTTTTCCTGTTATTTAGCCCTGGCCAGCCGCTTTGTAAAAAGAAGCTGCTGTTCATCAAGTCATGGATTAAATGGTAATATTTGCTTTCTTTCACTACTGCAAAACAACTTAAGACCTTCAAAGTTGTGCCAAAGGTCAATTAATCCAAATAAGAAAATGATCCTGAGAAACTACTATATTCTAGTCATTATAGAATATAAATATTTAGAAGACTGTAAGTAACTCATGGCCTATTTGAGGAAAAAGGTACATGAACCAAAATTTTAATCATTCTGCCAAACTGGTTAATACAACTCAATATAGGAGCATAGAAATAGAGGTAACTAATTTGTCAAAGGGGTCCGTAGAGGGGTATAAAAATGACCTTCAAATGTAATGACAATCCAGGTCTGGTGGCTCACACCTGTAATCCCAGCACTTTGGGAGGCCTAGACGGGTGGATTGCTTGAATCCAGAAGTTTGAGATCAGCTTGGGAAACATGGTGGAATCCCAACTCTACAAAAAAATACAAAACTTAGCTGAGTGTGGTGGCATACACCTGTAGTCCCACCTACTCAGGAGGCTGAGGTGGGAGGGTCACCTGAGCCCAGGAAGACTGAGGATGCAGTGAGCCAGGATCAGCCTGGGTGACAGGGTGAGAACCCATCTCAGGAAAAACATAAAAAACAAACAAACAAACAAAAAACCCCAAAGCAATGACCTCCTAAATCAAAAAGGCAATGACTTTCAAAAGTGAGAAGTTTGTGATGGTGAGGACCTAGTATAGACATTTTGGAAAGAAGGGGATTAGACAGGAAAAGACAACCAATTCTAATAAGGCAGGGAGAAAAAGTCAGTGGTTTCAATATCGTAATTACTTCTAGTAAGAATGCTAATTCAAGATGCCCAATAAAGGTAATTTATGTTTATATATATATATATCTGTATGACTTGTACTTAAAGTCAAAATAGCGTTAATATCTAGGTTTTAGTTATAGTCATGCCACCAGCTATTACCTAAAGGGTGCCATTTGACTTTTTTTTTCTAATATGTAAAGTAATAGGTGTGGACTATGCTTTATTTAAGGACAGTCCAACTTCTAAAAGTCTAAGGGTTTTTCCTGATGTACATTTTTTTCTCTAGGTTTCCCGTAACTATTTATAATTAGCATCCTGACTTCTACAACGTGTTTAAGGAAAATCTCTCATGGTGTCCTTGTAAATAAGGAGCAATGTAGGCTGAATGACACTGTCGTTAACTGAGTTTGAAACTACTGAACAATTGTATGTGTTCAAACACCTTGACTTAATGTTTAATGGTGAAGAGATTACAGATGGTACATATACATTTTATTATTTCTTAAATATTTAGATATTTAGATTTATCCTTGTTAAGATTCTTATAAACCCTTAAAATACTAATGATCATAGTTATATAAGAACATCTGACTACACAATGTAAATGTAAATGAAATGTAAATCACTTCAAAATGATCTCATAGGAACTCTGAATCAAAATCAATATGATAAAGCATAACAGGGATACATATAAAAGCTTGCACTGAAGATAGAAAAAAGCAATTGCATAATTATAGAATTTTAAGAATTGAATTTATCTGTATTTTAAGTCCCAGTAATCTAAAAAGATGATTTAGATTACTACAAACTTCTTATCAATTAGTATTATAACATGGCAGCAAAAAAGTTAATTAACACAAATACTGTCTTCTTCAATGAAAATAATTTTAGTGTTACACTGTGCCATGATGTGTTCAGTTTTAGAAAACCACATTTTAAAGAGATAAGCTGGAATGCATCCAGAGGAAGTTGATTAGAGTGGTGATGAACATGAAAATATTATCTTATGATGAATTAAAGAAACTAGGAGTGTTTAGTCTGGGAAGAAAAGACTTGGAATCATGATCTAGGGATAGAGGACATGAAAAACATGGTAGTCTCAGAATGGTGAGTTGATGTGTTTGAGGAGCTTTTGGTTGGAGCAAGGATTAGGCTGCCTTTTTTGGTATAGCTCCAGAGAGCAGAACAGGGATAACGGCTGCAGAATAATTTTTAAACAATCAAATATGGAAAAAATGAGGAATTTGTCCCAAGGAGTACAGTCCTTATCAACAGAAATACCCATAACAGGCCAGTTCATCATGTTTCTGAAACACCATACGGAGAAGCTAGTTTTCTGAGTAAGAGGTTAGACTATATTACCTTGAATATTTCTCCCAACTTTGAAATTTTCCTTCATGTAAATTTGCTACACTTTGGAAGAGTTGTACTTCAGACAAACTTAGTTGGCTCTTAAAAGAAAGGCATCTACGTCCGCATCTCTTGCCATGTAAATACAGATTTAATTAACATTTGCAACCTGTGAAGATGCAAAACTTTAAGTGTTAATTAAACCTCTATTTACATAGCAAGCAGTATGTAGCCCTCCACTCCCTTCTATAATATCAGGGAGCTTATTTTAAACTCTATTAATCTATTGCACACTGGGATAATGGGACACTTTGGTTAACTTCCAGCAAAGAGTCTTCTATTAATAAAGATTGACAAAAATCACAGTTTACAAAGTCTTCTACCTCATTCCTGCTATTCAGTACCAGAATACTCATTTTAACAACGCTTTTTCTCAGTAATATTTAATTCATTGTAGAAATTTAACCAAACTAGTCCTGACATAATTCTCACCTCCTGATAAAATATATATGTAATTTAATCAAAGGCAAACTTTATTTCTGAAAACGCAAATTTAAATGTATTAAACACAAGCTTTTAGTTTTAATGGTAATAACATCTTCTCATTGCTAAAAGTATTTTGTTTTGACTTTTTCTTTTTTTAGATTTTCTATATTAAAATCAATAAATATATTTTAATAGTAAAATTCAATAATATAATACATCAACAGAGCTAAAAAAAAGTACTTTTCAAAATCAGATTTTAAAATGAATAAACTAGCTCTTTTAGAAGATCAACCCATGGAGATTTTCAAGTAAATAACTTTAATATATTTTTTGTTTTCATATATTAGAATGGTCATTTTACCATTCATAAGTTGTTACCTTGATAAATTACACTGTATCTTGATAAATTTGAAATACATACTTATACACTTCTAATTATAAGCAATATTTGCAAAAATGGATGGTAAATTAAACATGAGTAATTGTTTAGCAGTCCCTCTTATTAAGCAGTAAGAAAACGAATTATTAATCATGCAAAATTGTTTGTTATAGATTCCTATAGGGATACATGTCATTCTTTACAGATTCCTTTCAAAACAGTGAAGTAGGTTGTAAAAGTTTTATGAGTGGTTGAATCTCATGAATGAACCATGTTTAATACTACAGAGCCTTTTACTTATTTGTTTATTTGTAAAAGGACATTTATTAACATCTACCTTATGCAGAGTGCAATTTTACACTCTATGTGAGACATATCTATAGCTCTGTACTAAAGAATCTGAGACACAGATATTTATAGAATGGCTATAAATTTATATAGAGAATATAATTGTTACAAACAATTATAAACAAGTATATATAAACACATACTAGTTGCTTTAAAAATTGGCTTAGCATATCAGAGCATCTCATATTCCCCTTTGAACTCCTGAAATCCATTTCTTAACACTATGCCAGAAACTAAAGCCCTCTTGTTTGAGGTTTTCCTGTTACAAAAATTTCAAATGACATTAGTTTATTATATCAAAAGTAAACAAATCTCTCATAGCAACAGCCTGGTAAAAACATGAGCACAATATAATACTATAGAAGAGTAAATATAATTTTTGTGGCAATTATTTAAATTGAAATGTGTTTTAGCATATTGTAGTACTGATCTGTTTTTGCTCATGCAAAATAACATGTAAAGGAAAGTGAAATAAGAATAGACTCAATGAAAATTCAGAAGATAGTCCAATTATTATTTCATGAGGCAAATTACCTTTTCCATGGGTTACATCAACAGTCCATGTACAATTCAGAGAATTTGGATAAAATTCCGGGTAACCAGGTGATAAGATTGTTCCACTAGGCCCTCTAACATCTCCTCCACATAATGCTGAAATACAAAGAAACAGATCCATGTGATCAGCAGTGAGAGAGACAGAGGGTGAACAAATCTCTATCTCCTCTCTTGAATTGAGCAGTCGCATTATCTTTGCTTATGCTACCTCCTAGTAATAACAGGTGTGCATGCAGCACTAGAGAAGAAAAGTGTACTCAGTAGCATCTGAGAATTAGTGCAGTCCCCAAGAGAACATGGCTCAACTTTCCAAGTTTGAATTTGAAGTATGTGCTAATACATTTCTAATTATAAGCAGTATTTGCATAAATTGGTGGTAAATTAAACATGAGTAATTAATTGTTTAACAGTTGCTCTTATTAAGCACTAAGAAAATGAATTAACTGTATAAAACTGTTTGATATAGATTCCTAAAGGGATATGTGTCATTCTTTATAGGATTCCTTTCAAAACTATGAAGTGAGTTGTAAAAGTTTTTAAGGCTGCTTCTGGGTTTCTTTATTTTTCTAGGAAATATTATGAACAAAAACGAGTTTTGTAAGTAATTATTCTAAGATAGTAAAAATAAGCTAACTATCTGAGGTCAAAAAATTAATATTTGATTTGATATTCATTTCTTTGAGAACAAATCATAGTTTACAAGGTCTTCTATATATTCAACAGCTATCAGTGCTTATGGTATGCCAGGCAATTCTATCAAAATTGAAAGCTGGAGGAAGCAAAAAAATATTGCTTAGTAAGCATTTTTATTCTAGTGTGAGCAGAGAATTTGTTGACTCCTTATTCACTTTCACTTGGAAAGGCCAACTCTTAGACACAGCCAAGGGCAGTAAGAATCATGAATGCCACATGTACCCTTGTCTAATTTGATCCTTGCCCACTTTCTTAGCACACTAGAAAAGTGAGTTTTGGTTTTGTCTCTTCCAAAAATACCTAACACTATAACATGATATGAATTTGTATGATGAATGAAATGTCTACTGAGTTAAAACCTACAGTCTCTACTTCAAAGGACTATATGTCATGCAGCTAGAATAAAATTTCTCACTGAACACAAGCATGAAAATTAAGGGAGTTAAATTAATTTAAAATACACAAAAAGGTAACAAAAAAGAGAGATGCAAACTTTCAGAAAGGACACCAGACATGTGCTCCTGAGCATGCACATTTATGTGTGTTTGTATATCTGTGTGTTTGTGTGTGTGTATATCTGCGTGTTTGTGTGTGTGTATTTACAAGAAGTTGAGAGAAAGTTTTTCTGTATATCAGTATTCTTTCAAATAAAGACACTTTGTCAAGTATCCTACTTCTTGAGAAGTTTCTTGGGAATTTTTTTGTCTGTAAGCTGTACCTATATACATATGTAGAAGGGGAAACTTAAAGGGACATTCTGCAGGTAAATGCATAAATCTATGTAACACATAAACACATTTAAACATTTAGGAGGAATGGTCAACAACTAATATAACAAACATTCGTACTATTACTTTGACTAGAATCAGATGGGAAAGTATAGAATATATTTTTATAACAAAGTGAAGATTTCTGTTATTTGAAAATAATTATCATTGGATGAAGACACTGAAGAGAATGGACTTAAAGATGGAATTTCATAGTAAATAGTGAAGAAAGAATGTAATTTAAGCTTTTTTTATAAGATGAAACTAAAAACATGAAGACATAAATTTTATTTTATATCTAATAAAACAGGATAAAATTACAATGATTTACTAATTCTTATCAGAAACAAGAGCAAACTGTTTTGAACTTAAAACGTAGCTGGCACTATTCTGCAGATTTTATTTATGTTAACTCAGCCCCCACAACAACCTTTTGAGAAAAATGCTGTAATTATTCGGTTTACAGATGAGAAAGCAAGCAAGTATAGAAATAACTCAAACAGTCTAGTTCCAGGGTCTATGATCTCAGGCAGATTCTTGAATTGTGTGGATGTTTTTTCCACATTAAGAGTACTATTTTAGCAAGCTATGATGTTCTTTACTCATGTTTGATTTTGTAGCACTTCCCTCACAAATGATGAATATATAAAAAAAATTCAAGGGCATCCTTTATTTTCTCAGAGATTCATTTAATCCTGTCATTTTCAAATCACTTTTTTTTTTTTTTTTGAGATGGAATCTCGCCTTGTCCCCCAGGGCTGGAGTGCAGTGGCGCTATCTCGGCTCCCTGAAAGCTCCGCCCCCCGGGTTCACGCCATTCTCCTGCCTCAGCCCCTCCACCGCAGTAGCTGGGACTATTGGCGCTCGCCACCACGCCCGGCTAATTTTTTTGTATTTTTGGTAGAGACAGGTTTCACTGTGTTAGCCAGGATGGTCTCGATCTCCTGATCTCATGATCCTCCCGCCTCTGCCTCCCAAAGTGCTGGGATTACAGGCGTAAGCCACCGCACCAGGCCTTCAAATCACTTTTTTAATGCACCTAACACCTATTGTGTCAGTATCCTTGTCTATGTTCTTTAATTGATCTATCTCTTCCGAATTCTCATTTGCCAGTAGCTTTGTATGTGACTGAAATAATTCTCCATCATCATCATCAGCCTCATCATTTTCATCAACCTAATGACATTTTTCATTTTTCTAAATGAGATTATTTTACATTGCCAATGTTTTAAGTTGCATTTGTTTTATATTGTCAGCTGCAAGTGGTGATCATAATAGCACTTATCTATAGAGTTACTTGGAAGAGAAAATGACTTAAAATACATAAGGCACCTGTAGCAGTATCAGCATATGGTAAAAACTCAATAAATATTAGTCATCACTATTATTACCACCATACTACATTGTCTGGTTTGCTTTGTAAATCAGCTAATCATGGGATATAAAGACATCACAAAAGCTGATGTATGTTAGAGTGAAGCACACTGTACACAAGCATTAGGCAACCTAGGTCAATCAAGTTTACATTCTTGGAGCAGGGCAAGAAATTCTGTTTGTCTGTTTCTCCCTTGTTACCTCAGGAGATCTGGACTAGTTACCGCTGGGGCAAAAGTTTCTGTTAAAGGAAAGGTCTGATCAAATCTGTTCACTAGGTGATACAATAGTTGAGTTCAGTTCGAGTCAACAGAAAAAAATTATTATTAAGTACCTGCTTTATACACAGCTTAGACATTTTTTAAATAAACATAATTCAGTCCTTGTCCAGTTGCACTCAACATGAAATAGAAATACAAAAGAGGAGGCCAGGTTATAATAGAGGTTAAAAGTAACATGATTTGATCTTTTAAAATAAAGATGCATTGTAAGAATGCAGGACAGAAACATCACTGAAAAGGATGGATTTCTCAAGGTTAAGGACATTGAATTCCATGATTAGTCATTTGAGCTTTCATTTCTAAGCAATAAAAAGCCATTAAGAATTTTGGATATGGAATATAACGTGAAATAACCTTAGTGAGAAACATGGGGTTGGATGGAAAAATGATGAGGGCCTGTGCTGCTCCTGGGAAAACTGGATATATTTGCTTTTATTATTAATAAAAGTTAAGCGTGTTGATGCGCTTGCCATTACTTTTTATCTTCCTGGTTCTTATAATATTGCCTCCATACCTTTCTTTCGTGGTGAATGCTCCTCATTCAGGCCAACCTTGTAGCTTTATTAGGGTCTGGCAAACATAGGACTTTTAAACCACCATGGTCTGTCTCAACCACAGGGATAGATGAGCACATGACCAAGACAAAGTCAATCATAATGGGCCCTTCTCCTTCACTAGAGTTACTAGTTTAGATATGGATGAATTGAATACCTTCCCTGGGATTTTTCTAATTAGAGTGACAGGGAAGAGCTCTCCTTCCTCTCTGAAACTGAAGATACAGGGCTATCAACTTCCATCTGCCTGAGAGTGTATACACTACTGTCAATTCCTCATACGGAAAAAGCCTGTCTGCAGCGTAAGAGAATTATGTGAATACACAAAGAAAAGTCTAAGTGTAAGATGGAGAAGTTCTTAAAAAGTTTTGAATTTATGCTTCTTATTAGCAATGAGAGTTATCCCACCTTGCCTTTTCTACTAGTTGAACAGTTGAACAACAGCTTCTGCTTTTATTTTTAAATACCAGTTAGAGTTGGGTTTCTGTCACTTACAATCACAAATTAAAGGAAGATGTTTTGATGAGTTGTTTAAATCTTCATATAAAAACAAATTAGCTTAAAACTGTTTAAAAAATGATGGCACTGACAGTACTTGAAAATTTAATCATAAAATGACAAATGGTATCTTCCACTTCAAGAAATAGTAAGTGTAGAATTTGAAAATAGTACTGTAAATAGAAATTAAAACCCATAGTTAAATAATATATGGATTTACATTGAGTGTGCTTTTTGACAAGCAAGCATGCAAGCACTTCCCAATCTTAGGAGAAGCAGTTTCCTCCACTGGATTTCATATGTGTTTCCTGAAAAATGAAGCACTTCTGACTTATTCTCATAGAAACAAAGAAGCAGTAAGGAACACTAGTATGCTATTTATTATAACTAGGAACTTGACACAACAGGGTAGTCGGAGTAAACTACCATAGTGCTGTGTAGCTGGTTAGAATTTTTGTAGACAGGCTGGCCTTCTATTTGAACTGGGACATGTTGCCATTCAAGGCAGGAAACAAATGCTGCATTTTTTTCAGGACTTTCTTCTCATACAAATTTGGCATTTTCAAGGCTGTTTTGAAAAGGTCCACAGCATGTTCTTAAAATAGTTACACAGGTGAGTTTTAAATATATATGCATATATAAACAGGGTAGATACACAGATAGTATCTTTAGGCATGGAGTAAGTTTGGCTGATTAGCAATAGTCTTTATTTCATGAATGGTTTGATAACATAAATTTGCCAGAAATCAAAAGAACTTTTAAAAAACCTAAAATATTTATAATTATGTTAAACCCCATATAAAAAACTACATTGATTTTTCTGTTTATAAATCAGCATATTTTGCATGTCAAATGAGTTATTACCATCACAGGTTGGAAGTGGATGACTCCACCAGTGGTTTTTTTCGCATAGAAGGGGCTCTTCATGACTCAACCTGTATCCTGAATCACAACTAAATGAAACAGTAGAGCCAATGGAGAAATCATGACCATAGCGACGGCCATGTACAGGTATGCCAGGGTCCAAACAAGAATACGTGTTCACTGTAACACCTGGAAAACAAAGGGAAGAAAATAAAGAGTAAGCTTGGTGGGATTTGGAGTTGCTGAAAATAATTCCTAGTTCTTCAAACAATTACAAGCAATGATTTTTACAAATAAAGGTACTCGTACTTCATTTTTAAAATCAGCAATTTATTTAATAAATTTGTTTTCTCATTTCCTACCAGTAAGGATCAAATTCAGGTCATTTAATTACATAAGAACTTGATGAAAATGTATAACTATCTGTAAAACTTTGTATTGTTATAAATTTTGTGTATATATACACATATATCACAATAATCATAGCAATAGTCAACATTTCTTGAACTTATTATATTCCAAGCACCATTCTAAATATTATACAAAATTTTCTCATTTAATTACTAAAGGAAAAAGAAGAGTAGAGGCATTTTGCAAGGTATGAAAGTATGAACACCAGAACCGTTCTAAGTATAACCAATTAGCACATTTCTTCTGGTGGTTAACTGTTGTTGTTATCAATAGTCTCTAGTACACTTCAGTGTCTCCTGATATCTTCCTTGCAATTTACAATCCCTAGCTGAGATCATACCATGACAATGTTTTTCCTTTAATAAGATATGGCTTCTCAACCTCGGCACTGTTGACATTTTGGACTGGATACTTCTGTGTTGTGGGTGTCCTGTGCATTGGAGTACTTTTAGAAACATTCCTGGCCCCCACCTGTTCGATGCCAGTAGCATTTCTCCAATCATGACAATAACAAATATCTCCAAATACTGCTACACATTTCTTGGGGTGCAACAATGCCCTCAGTTGAGAACCACTGGTACAAACTATAACAAGTAATTATTTTTTTCTTCCTATATAGGATATTTAAACAATGAATAACTACTATTTCTATATTCCAAAATTAGTCGTTAACATTTTTAAGACTGTATAATTATATTAAATCATATTTATATGAGAAAATATTTATTTGTATTAGCTACCCAATTCAAAAATGAAGCTAAACAAAATGGTACAAAATAGAAGTTTAATTTTAAAGACGGAAATTGTACATTTTAAGTGTATTTATCAAGCATATTCGTTTCATCTAAATGGTGTTATTTTAATGAGAAACTAAAATACAATAGAGACAATTTTATCTTCAACACATCTACTTTTATCTGCTAAGTTCCTCTTCTAAGTGTGACCATTATTTTTCTAAGCACCCAGTGCATTTTTTTTTTTTTTTTGACGGAGTCTCGCTTTGTCGCCCAGGCTGGAGTACAATGGCGTGATCTCGGCTCACTGTGACCTTCACCTGCCGGGTTCAAGCAATTCTCCTGCCTCAGCCTCCCGAGTAGCTGGGACTACAGGCACATGCCACCATTCCCGGCTAATTTTTTGTATTGTTAGTAGAGACGGGTTTTACCATGCTGGCCAGGCTGGTCTTGAACTCCTGACCTTGTGATCTTCCTGCATCAGTCTTCCAAAGTGCTGGGATTACAGGCGTGAGTCACTGCACCTGGCCAGCACCCAGTGCTTTTAAACTCTCATTCATCTTTGATTCCTCACTCTTTTCCTCCACAAAATATGTCTGAAATCCATTCTCATTGAAAAGCATCATGTCATGTATTATTTCTCTTACCCTATCCAAGGCCCTCATCACCTCAAGTTTATGAAACAAACAATAACATTTAGCATGTTTTTCAGTATCTTTCATCTCCAATTTATTCTATATAAAATGTTGGACATACGTATAGCCAAAACATGTTTTTTCATTGCTTTAATACCCTATGGCTAATGGCACCATGTTCAAAGTCGTCACCCTGAAAATTAAGATTCCCAAATTAGACTTTACTATTCTAAATTGTCATTATCTCCCAATGGTCATTTTTTATATCAATCAGATAAGTCTCCTCATTAGTTTTAGGCTTTGTCTCATAGGAATACCTTCAGTTGTCCTCTTAATGTACACAATCTTCTCAACCTTTAACAGAAAAGTTTAGACCCCCTTCCTTCAGGTTTCAATTTCCCCCAATGTTCCAGGTGATATATAACTTTCCTTTACATGAACCTCTAACATTGTAGTAAAATCGTCTAAAATCAGAGAAATGGGGGTTGCAGTGGTCATATACAATGTAAATTACAGTAAAATTTAATTATTCAAAAGTGATTGTAATGCTTTTGTTCATTGACCTATAGTAAAGGTCAATGAATATATGGGGTTAATAATTCATTTGCCTTTCTTGGCTTTTCAACTGATAAAGTAAGATGATGTATTTCTTTTATGTCTTCCACTGTGGTGCATTGATCTAGGAGTCACAAAATAAGTCTAAAGAAATAGTTCATAATTGATTGACAAGCAAATAACTCAAGGCATAATGCAAGGCAATGGAAATGTTGCAAAATTGAGAAAATGAGAAACATCATGAGGAACTGATATCAGTATTATTTATTAACTGATAGTCATTACTGAATACTAAAACATAATTGGTAAGTAGCTTTAGAAGATTTTTTTTTTAGACAGAGTCTCACCCATCCTACAGGCTGGAATGCAGTGGCTAATCTTGGCTCACTGCAGCCTCCACTTCGCTTCCTGGGTTCAAGCAATCAATTCTCCTGCCTCAGCCTCCCAAGTAGTGGGAATTATAGGCATGCACCACCACTCCTGGCTAAATTTTGTATTTTTAGTAGAGACGTGGTTTCACCACGTTGGCCAGGCTGGTCTCAAACTAATGACCTCAAGTGACACTCCCGCCTCAGCCTCCAAAGTGCTGGGATTACAGGCTTTAGTCATCGTGCCCAGCTAGTTTTAGAAAATTCTTAAATGTTGGCAATGTACATAATTTTCAGAAGTTCATGTCTGCATTATATCAAATGACATTAACATGTTATCTTTTTCCTTATTGCTTTATAGAGCTTGTTTTTTTAAAAAGTAGAAATTCAAAATGGACATTTTTCTTATTTATGTAATACAACGTTTGAACATTTTATGTTTCTGTTTCTACTACTCCTCCCCTCAAATATCTATTGATCATAAATTGTGCATTCTTTTAGATGTCTAACATTTTCCTAATTGGAAAATACATCTATACGTTCATATGAAAAATACATATTTGGAGATGAATATATGTCTATACGTTTGTTCTGTATCCATTTTCAATTTTAAAATTTGTATAATATTTAGATATCCAAGACTTAATTATAGTCATATTTCAAGCAATACAACATAATAAACAGACGTGATTTTTTCCTGGGGAAAAACTATAGAAATAAAAATAAATTATATTCCTAAAGTCTACTCTATGTTGTTATAATTTTAATGTGTTTTGAAACCTCTAAATAATCTTATCTTTTTTTTTTTTTTTTTGAGATGGAGTCTCACTCTGTCACCCAGGCTGGAGTACAATGGTGTGATCTCGGCTCACTGCAACCTCCACCTCCCAGGTTCAAGTGATTCTCCTGCCTCAGCCTCCTGAGTAGCTTGGATTACAAGCACACACCACCATGCCTGGCTAATTTTTGTATTTTTAGTAGAGATGGGGTTTCACCATGTTGGTCAGGCTGGTCTTGAACTCCTGACCTCGTGATCTGCCTGCCTTGGCCTCCCAAAGTGTTGGGATTACAGGCGTGAGCCACCGCACCCAGCCAACCTTATCTTATTGATAGTTTTTGTAATCCCCATGTTTTGGGGGGCAGATAGAATGGGGTAAAAAAAAAGAATGGGGTAAAAAATATAACAGAAACCTGGAGTACAAACAATGGTGGCATTGCAAGCATTCCTTCCTATAGGATTTTGGTTGCCTGGGGAAGACAAATTACTTTCACTTTCAATGAATTTGATTAAAAAAATAGAAATACACCAAATGCCAAATATATTGTTAATGTTCTCATTAGCAATCTACTGATTTTGAGGTTTGTGAATGGTTCATTTGAAAAAGATAGTTTAGTTACCTTCAGCTTGGGAAACAGTAAGAAAGAGATGAATGAAAAGGCTTTTGTTGGTTTCTTGATAAGAAAGGATTTATGATGTTGGAGATTATTTCACAGGAGTAAATATACCACAAGACTAATAGAATAAAATGAGAGAAGGTGATTTCTTAAAGACAAATTTAAATACAAAGTTATTTCATCTTGTTAGATTTGACCAAATTAATAACAAGTGTGTCTCTAATCAACCTCAATGTTTGTCAGCTCTCAGCTTCCACTTTGCCTTTTAAGGCACTAGCCCTCGAAAATAACTTGGACTATGCCACTAAGGACCTGTAAGTGACAAACTTGCTGACTGAAGGTATGCATTTGAGCAGGACTTCTTATTTTTATTCCTTATCTGACTAGTTTTTGTAGGAGAAATGTAAAGGCTATCATTTATTGAGAACATACTGCATGTTACCAGTTATGCTGACACATTTTGCATGTTTTGTTTCATTTAATCTTTAAAATAGTCCTGTTTTTGGTAAAGACCACATACCTTGGGTGGAATGGGATTGAATACGATTTACTGGGTAAAGGATACAGCAATGGACTAAAAGAAAAGCTGCCTGCATATTGATATCAATTAATTACTAGTGAGAATTAGTTTTGAAGTAGATTTTTCTAAATGACTAATTTGACTCAGGTTTAGTAAATACATGTTAGACTCAAAATATCAGTTAAGGCACTTTAGTTCATTTGAACCCCCAAGTATGTGTGCATTCTCTTATTGCATTTTACCATGATTTTTACAAAATATGCTTTCATGCCACAAAGCTCAAAATAATGGGAAGTTAATATAGTCAAACAATACTGTAGATAAGATGATTTAAAAAAACTAATGGATCTATATTGACAATTATTTTAAAAACCCATGAGTCCATTGACTATATCTATTGAAGATAGATGCCCAACAGCAAATATAAAACTATATATTTCAAATGCAGAAATCTCTTCTTGAGGGGGAAAGGGTCATAATTAACTTGAATATTAAAATAAATAATATAATATCTGCATTTGAAATAAAGACATATTTTAATAACCCTCTTAAGTGTGTTGTTAGATTAATTTATCAAAAGTGCATTTCACGTAAAAGTATATGGCTATGCATTCATGATGAAAATGTACACATATGTAAATTTATATGTTTGCACACACATAAATCTTATGCAATATAGCCACACATGTGCAAGATGTTTATAAATGGAAAAAAAGCCCATTTCTGTGTTCATATCAGCATCAAAATGTTTCAAAAATCAAAATATTTTAGACTTTTTAAACAAAACCATGAGATTTAATAGGGGTTATAATGATTCCAACACTCTGAATTATAGCTTGTATTAATATAGTTTTCTCGACTTATATTAATCATATTTGAATATATGTATATACAGTTTGCCTTTTAATTTTAATATTATTTTCAACATTTTATGCAAAATAATAAAATTAAATATTTTAAATGGAAAATATGTGCAATTAGTGTGAGGAAACTATAAAAGAATAACTGAATTTGTGAAGTAAATGCTAAAAATGTTATTGTTTATATATATCTTAGACTGGCAATTACTGTCTATTATCTGTTTTTCAGAACTATACACAAATAATTGGTACAAAACCTCATTTTCAAATAATGATTTGATGCTTCTGATATTTCTTTAGTATTTTGTTTCATAATGATATTAGATAGATATTGCTGGAAAATCTATTGCAGAATTTACTAAAACACACACCTTATAAAGCATTAACATTCTTATAGATGAAGGAAAGCTTTGATTTAAAATAAATAGAGCTAATAGTTCCATTAGTAAAACTATAATAATACAAAAAGTAGGGCAAACAGAATGAGGAAATCAAAAAGTTTTATCATTACTTACTTTCATAATGAATCTTGAAACCATTATTGGAACGACTGTTGTCTGTTGTAAATAGAAGGTATATAAAATTACTGCTACTAAATAGAAACTGGGGCACTTGGGTGCCATTGTAAGATCCAAGCAAGGGTGACAGAAGATTTGGCCCATCATGAACTTCCAGAACATCATAATTCAGTTCAGTCTGAAATCTAAGATTAAAAGACACATGTGAAAATATATTTAGAATTAACACTATATATGGAAATAATGCTTTGGACTGCTATTTAAATTCCTATTTAAAATTTTTCCATTTTATATTATAATTTTCTTTAGCTTATCTAATATCTAAGATATCATTTAAGACACCATCATTTGTGAATGCCAAAGGTATAAGCTCTTATTCCTATGAAAAATTATTATTAAAAAGTTATGTATTGTTCCTAAGATTCTTTCAAATATTATAAATTATCTTATAACTGGACTGTTCATGAACCAAACATATTTTTGGAATTATCTTTGGTTGTCTTCCTTATTTTTATGGAAAAATATGTGGTTTACATTTATTTTCAATCAGATAATTAGATTATCATCTTAATAACACACACATTTCAAATTTGACATCTGCTTTTATAATTATTTTTTATTCAAGTGTTTTTTATTGATACATAACATTTATACAAAATTTTTGGACAAATCTATTTCTGCCTTTAAACATGTGATAAAGTTTGTATTTGAAAACAACAGTTCTAAGTAGGTAGTAACTAATGATGATACATTTGATGTTTATTAAAGTATCAGCAGCTCTATTAAAGACTTCATTGACATTAGTTTTTGTAATCCTCCCATTAACCCTATGGTGTAGCTCATATTATTAAACCCACTTTCCAAGTAAGAAAACCACAGCCTTAAAAACTTTTTTTTCTTTTTACTTTTTTTTTTTTTTTTTTTGAGGCAAAATCTAATTCCATCAACCAGGCTAGAGTGCAGTGGTGCCATCTTGGGTCACTGCAGCGTCTGCCTCCTGGACTAAAGCAATTCTTGTGCCTCAGCCTTCTGAGTAGCTGGAATTACAGGCGTGTGCCACCACGCCTGGCGGATTTTTGTATTTTCAGTAGACACAGGGTTTCACCATCTTGGCCAGGCTGGTCTCTAAGTCCTGACCTCAAGTGATCCACCTGTCTTGGCCTCCCAAAGTACTGGGATTACAGGCGTGAGCCACTGCACCCAGCCACCTTCAAAACTTAAATAGTATTACATTATCTTAAATTACAAAAGTAGGCATCAAAACCAAGTCTCCCTGACTCTAACCTCTATTCTATGATGTCTGATCTTATTAGATTTTTGGTTGTTCTGCTGTTTTCAATTCTTTAAAACATATTAATTTATTTTATAAACGTCAATCGACACAGGGCTACTTTTAACATGTATAACATCTATTTTAAAAAAATAGCATTTTGTATTCTTCCCTTGCACTTCAGGGTTATACTATATCCTGAATCTAGATCCAAGATCTAAACTGTGGAAAAATGTTTATGTGAACTCATGGAGTACTAAAATATTTTTCCCTTGCCTATGATGATCTTGAAGCCTCGAAAATTCTTTTCCTTGCTTTAACCAAGGTTTTCCTACACATCTTTCAGTTTCAGCTTAAATATGCGAACAGCAAGACCTCTTCTGTCCTCACATTGTAGATTATTTTATTTCCTATTCTACTGCCACAATTTACTGTGGCTTTTGTGATACTAATCACAGTAGTGTTTACTTTTTAGACAACTGTCTTCCTTAAAAGTCTATAAACTCCATGAGGTTAAGCAGTGTGTTTTTGTCAATGCTTTGCATATAGTAGACACTCAATAAATATTTATTGGATCAAAGAAAAAATGAATGTATTTTACAGTTAAAAATGTCTTTCTTTTCTCTAGGGTAGTTACTAGTTTTACAAAAAAGTATCCAACATAATTGGATGCTTTAGTATTAACCATGTATTTTTACTCATGTTAAATGCACTTTCCAATAAAGTTTCAGTACTTTATTTCTCCAGTTTTATCTCCAGTACACTTTAAAAAATAATTTTTAGTTTGAAATGCCCACTAATTTTCAGAGAATCACTTTTACTATCATACTTGCCAGTCTTTTGCAGTATGTGTTATGAGATTAAACCACTTTATTCCTCAAAACCAAAATGAATAAAACTCATATGTGGTCAAACAAATGCCCAGAACTAATTGAATGGATTCAAAAAAGGTTAGAAACTCTATTTCATTATATCGTATCAGTCTCTGATATTATTATGAACATAGCATATGACACGTTAGTCAAAATTAAGTATATAATTTAATACTGTTCAGGAAGCACAACTGCCTCCTATTAATCAGTAAACAGTATATGTGAATTTTTGAAGTGTATTTTACTTCTAATTTTGTGACCTGGAATATACTGTATGTGTTTCATAAATGTTTCAATAATATGGTGTAGAGAAGGAAAGATAAAGGAACACTAAGTTCTTTAAATAAATGATCATATACTTAGAAATTGTCAATCTAGGCCAGGCACAGTGGCTTTTGCCTATAATTCCAGCACTTTGGGAGGCTGAGGTGGGTGAGTCACCTGAAGTCAGAAGTTTGAGACCAGCCTGGCCAACATGGCAAAACCCTGTCTCTACTAAAAATACCAAAATTAGCAAGGCGTGGTTGGCGTCTGTAATCCTAGCTACTCGGGAGGCTGAGGCACGAGAATCACTTGAACCTGGGAGGCGGAGGTTGCAGTGGGCCGAGATCGCACCACTGCACTCCAGCCTGGGTGACAGAGTGAGACTTTGTCTCAAAAGAAAAAAAAAAGAAATTGTCAATCTATTATTTGGTTGCTTTGTAGTCAGTCTACTGTGAATATTGAAATTGGAGTTTGACTTTGATAGCTAGTCAGCTGACAGCAGCCAAATTAAAATGCACGGAAGAGTCAGGGATTACTTCAAATTGAAACATAAAGAGACTTAATTCTTAATAGAATAGCAACATTAACTGGTGATATAAAGAACATTGTTCAGTACCAGTGAATCTTTAAAAAGAAAATCATTGCAGATTTGCCCTGAGGAACTATAAAAATACATTCTAATAACAAGCAAAATGGGATAGGGTTACACAATAAATTGAATTTCTTTCATTTTCTATTTTAAAATAGTTGTATAAATTTCTCATGAATTGCCTCAGTCTCATGTTTGTTTATGAAATTAAATTTATTGTATATGCTAAACAAATATTATGGTAGCACTAAATGTTATTATGAATGAAATTGGATCTAATCTTATTCAATTTTTGTTGTCTTTAAAAAACATTCTTGATGTAATCCAAACCCTTCCTAACCAAATTGAGATAGTCCTCATTAACTTAAAAAAATATTCTCTGAAAGACTGATAGTGATAGCATGCATTCAGGGAGCTGAGGATAGGAAAAGGAACCGAAAAATACACTTTGAATGATGGATAGTAAAATGAATACCTCTTAGACTCAGGAGCTGCTGGATATTGAGAAAATTTAGAAAGTGTGGGAATAAACAAAAACAAAAATTCCTTTGCAGATCTGAGAGTAAGAATTGTTAAATGTTTGGATATGTTAAGAAGAGGTAAATGGTTTTAAAAACATGTTTGTTGGTGTTATTGCTATTTTGTTTTGTATTTTACAAGAAATCATATTTCTTGTAGTTTTATTGACAAGCTGTTGAGACAATCTCAAAGAGAAAATGAATGAATAATATATTGGTAAATAATATTACTTTCTGTAGGTTAATTCTAATCATTTTCTCCATTTGAGAATATAGAAAAAAACTACAAAATAGCTATGCCACCATGTTAAATATATTATCTGATTTTTACAAATTTTGTTTTCAACAAATTTAAATGACTCACGAGTAGTGGAAAGTAAGTGACATGACTCTGTAATAAATCATTTCTTGGAACCAGCTTCTTCAAGAATATTCTCAGAATAAGAGGAATTATTAAAGAGTTGGCAACTAGTGTCCTTACAAGAGTTTGGCTGGAAATCAAAAGAGAATTAGATATTTTCAAGAATCCATTATGTGTTAGATACTTTAGAAATAATATTCGATTTCTTAAAACAATCTTTAGAAAAAAATAAAGCACCAAGACATTATAAGGCCACTGATCAAGGAAGTGATAGGCATATTTATGTCTGATTTCAAAGTGATTATTTTATGTTGCTGCCCTAATGGATAAAATTCACTTATTTTTAAAATTGAAATACCTTGTTCATCCCTTTGCTACTGAGTTACTGCTAACCATGTGATATCTGTGTAAGATGTAGATTATTAAAAGAACCAATTTTCTGGCAAAGCATATGGAATATAGACAGCCCTCAACCAATACCTCATACCCTTAAAAGGTCTTTAGAGAAGAACAAATGGAAGAAGATATTTAAGGATTTTTTTTTCTTAGCTCCAATTCAATAATCTTATAGGATTTGGGGTGGAAGTAAAGGAAAGGCAAATAGAAGGCTCAAGCCCTAAAAGGAGCGTTTATTTCAGTTTACAACATTTGGAAGAATTTGGGACTTAATTTATTTTATTTATATAAGGTAGATTCAAAGGAAATATGTGATATAAATGTGCTCTGTTTATTCTAAAATACTGAAAATACCATTAATAAATTCTTAAAGCATTGTAACTCCTGATTATTCCAGTGTTTGGGCCAATTAACAAAGAATGATTTTTTAATGATTGGTTTTAGGGAAGTGGAAGAAGCCATGAGATTATAATTGATTTGAGTGGGTAATTTCAGGATTAAGAAATGAGGCACGGTTGACAAGTCCAGCTTGGTGATGTCCATGGGGAGAAGCCAAAATCTTTAAACTGTAGGAAACATTCCTCACCCAAGGCCTATTCTGATCTACGCACAAGACTGATTATTGTTCCTGTGCATAAATCCTACATTGAAAATCACTTTTCAATTAGACTTTCTTACTTCTAGCCTAATTTAAAAGATTTGTGTCTTAATCAATAGATAAAAGAATAAGAAAGTGGCAGAGTAAAACGTGCTAAGTAACGCTATAGAAATTAATTTAAGTTTATGCCTATTTAACTAGTGTTACATTTTATTAAAATGGCTGGAAAGATTTCACCAGAAAGTCAGGTTTGAAACAGTCTAATTTCAAATATAGGCTATACAGTACAAGTGAATTCATTTGGAGAATTCTAAAGGTATCTAAACAAGATAGGCAAGCAGCAAAGAGGCCTATATTGGCCTGTTGGAAGGACAGCAGATGCATGCTAAGAATTTTGGACAGAGAAAATAGTGCCTTCAAACAAAAGTCCAAAATCAAATGTCAGAGTACGGATGCCCTCTGAATTGCAGGCATTGTTTGGCAATCAAACTGTTCATCAAGTGAGCCACTCTTAGTAGCCTACTTTGAGCTGAAAGATACTAGGTGTTTATTTATTTAATGATGATTAATGACTCTCATTAGCAAATCAGCAGATGCTTTTCAACATAATAATGCACTTTGTGTTCATAAAGCTTAAACTAATTTTCTAGTCATATTATTTTTGGCTTATATAGTATTTTAAAACTGAATAAGAGAATAAAAGAAAATGTTATTTTAAAATAACATTCCAGTTTCAGTCAGCTAGAAGGTGGGGAAGGGGTGAGGTCTTCATAAGAAAACACTGCTGTTTGATAAAAAATAATAATAATAATAGTATGTTTCAAAAGAAAGGCAAGATCCATTCCTACTCCCCAACATCACCCAGAAAAACAAATAATTAAATCACTCTGCATAATAAAGTAATAGGTATTTTGAGACTTACCCTGCTATATACCAGGAGCACAGGGAATGGGGAAATGAGGACTGAAGATTCTAGATGCAGAAGAGATTAAAAATGAAGAACAAACAAATGGAAGAACATTCCATGCTCATGGGTAGGAAGAATCAATATTGTGAAAATGGCCACACTGCCCAAGGTAATTTATAGATTCAATGCCATCCCCATCAAGCTACCGATGACTTTCTTCACAGAATTGGAAAAAAACTACTTTAAAGTTCATATGGAACCAAAAAAGAGCCCACATTTCCAAGTCAATCCTAAGCCAAAAGAACAAAGCTGGAGGCATCACGCTACCTGACTTCGAACTATACTACAAGGCTACAGTAACCAAAACAGCATGGTACTGGTACCAAAACAAAGATATAGACCAACGGAACAGAACAGAGCCCTCAGAAATAATGCCACATATCTACAACTATCTGATCTTTGACAAACCTGACAAAAACAAGAAATGGGGAAAGGATTCCCTATTTAATAAATGGTGCTGGGAAAACTGGCTAGCCATATGTAGAAAGCTGAAACTGGATCCCTTCCTTACACCTTATACAAAAATTAATTCAAGATGGATTAAAGACTTAAATGTTAGACCTAAAACCATAAAAACCCTAGAAGAAAACCTAGGCAATACCATTCAGGACATAGGCATGTGCAGGGACTTCATGTCTAAAACACCAAAAGCAATGGCAACAAAAGCCAAAACTGACAAATGGGATCTAATTAAACTAAAGAGCTTCTGCACAGCAAAAGAAACTACAATCAGAGTGAACAGGCAACCTACAGAATGGGAGAAAATTTTTGCAATCTACTCATCTGACAAAGGGTTAATATCCAGAATCTACAATGAACTCAAACAAATTTACAAGAAAAAAACTAACAACTCCATCACAAAGTGGGAAAAGGATATGAACAGACACTTCTCAAAAGAAGACATTTATGCAGCCAAAAGACACATGAAAAAAATGCTCATCATCACTGGCCATCAGATAAATGCAAATCAAAACCACAACGAGATACCATCTCACACCAGTTAGAATGGCGATCATTAAAAAGTCAGGAAACAACAGGTGCTGGAGAGGATGTGGAGAAATAGGAACACTTTTACACTGTTGGTGGCGACTCCTCAGGGATCTAGAACTAGAAATACCATTTGACCCAGCCATCCCATTACTGGGTATATACCCAAAGGATTATAAATCATGCTGCTATAAAGACACACGCACATGTATGTTTACTGCAGCACTATTCACAATACCAAAGACTTGGAACCAAGCCAAATGTCCAACAATGATAGACTGGATTAAGAATATGTAGCACATATACACCATGGAATACTATGCAGCCATAAAAAATGATGAGTTCATGTCCTTTGTAGGGACATGGATGAAGCTGGAAACCACCATTCTCAGCAAACTATCGCGAGGACAAAAAACCAAACACCACATGTCCTCACTTATAGGTGGGAATTGAACGCTGAGAACACATGGACACAGGAAGGGGAACATCACACACCGGGGCCTGTTGTGGGGTGGGGGGAGGGGGGAGGGATAGCATTAGGAGATATACTTAATGTTAAATGACAAGTTAATGGGTGCAGCATACCAACGTGGCACATGTATACATATGTAACAAATCTGCACATTGTGCACATGTACCCTAAAACTTAAAGTATAATAAAAAAAAAATGAAGAACAGTTTGGGATAAGAGAGGGGATTGGAGAGATACAAGCAATTATTCCTGTGATGAGGGTTATCAAGAAAATTTAGAACAGTGTAGGCTTATTCAATCTTAAATGACTCTGGATTGTGCAATAATCCTCTTTCATTGTCACCTGCATTATGGTTTTCATGAGAATGAAAGAAAGTGATGCAAATGAATAGAGTAATGTTGAGAGAGTGCAGCAGCCTCAGTGTCTATTATGTAGGTTGATTCTGGAGACAGAATTTAAGTCCAGAAGTGAACAAAAGCACCCCCAGGCATTCTTTGAAAATTGAAGGAGAGAGTAGGTTTCCCTTGTATGTGGGATGGCGGTGAAGTCTTTTTACTTGAATATTGAAGGATAATGACTGGTGAGAGTCATCTGGGTGATAGATGCTATGAACTGATACAAATAAAATATGAAAATAACATATTTTCAACTACCGTTGCACCTCCTGATACAAAATAATGTTTAGTCCAAAACAAGAAATACGAAAATTATGTACTTGACATATTATATAAATATATATGAGATTAATTCTGATAGATTGACAAATATGCTTGTTTTTCAAATGTAAAATACTAAATTTAAAAACTGAAAAATATGGATGAAATCTTTGTCCTATTGTTCCAAATCAATACATATCATGCTTTATCATGTATTCCAAACCAAACATAATTCTGTGTGCTAAAGTAAGGTTGGTTAATTTTAGTTCAACATTCATGGAAAAACTATATTGGAAAAAGATTTAATGATGAATAACTAAGATGTTTTTCAAGCTTTCTAAAATTGCTATGGCAACATAAGCCATGTAAACCAATAAATAGGGGATACGGTTTTAACAGAATAGCAACAACAACAACAAAATGCCAAATGAATGTAAATGAAAATTTTTAAAAATGTGTCAATTATTGTTGTGGGCTAAATTGTGTTCCCCCAAATTTCTATGTTGAAATCTTAATCCCTAGTAGTACTCAGAATGTGACAGTATTTGGAGAAAGAGACTTTAAAAGGGTAATTAAGGTAAAGTGAGATCATATAGATGGGCCCTAATCCAATGTAACTGGTGTCCAGGACATAAACACACACACACAGAAAATCACGTGAAGATAAATGGAGAAGACAGCCATCTACAAGGCAAAGGGAGAATCCAGAATAAACTGTCTTGTGGACACCTTGATCTTGAACTTCTAGCCTCCAGAAATGTGAGAAAATTAGTTTTTGTTTTTTATCTCATGCAGTCTGTGACACTTGGTTATGGCAGCCCTAACTAATATAGAAAACTAATATAGCCCTAGTAAACCATGTAGATTATAACAAGATAGTGTTAAATTAAGTTTAGCTTAAAACCTCCTGTATACTTTGAATTCCCGCATAAGAAATGGCAACCTAACTAAGAGTATAATCTTGTAATAAATAGCTGAGTGTCATCCAATTACAGAAACCAAGCTTCAGTCAGTAACAGGCCACCGACTGATCAGATCATATCTATATAAGTCAAATGCGAAGTTGTAACTAATCAAGCTGTTTCTTTATGTCACTTCCTTTTTTTGTCTATAAATACTTTCTGCCCATTTGCCATACGAAGCTCTTCATATTTACTGATTCAAGGTGCTACCTGATTCATGAATGGTTCTTTGCTCAAATAAACATGGTTAAATTTAAGTTGTCTAACGTTTTTGTTTTAACAGTAGAATGAAGCCATGTGAAATGTTTAATACTCTACCTCTGTTCAAAGTGGAATCTGTTCTCTCCCATGCAAATGTTAACACTAGCATGGATAGACAAATTCAATGAAAGACCTTTTGAGTTAGGAAAGAATCATGTTAGGTTTGTAAAATTCAATCTTCAGTCAATAATAAATATATTCTGCTGTACTTATATGTTTTTCATGTGGATCTAATGCTTAAATAAGTTTTTTTGTTCATCTGTTTGTTTTTTGAAGAAAGGGGTTGGGAGATGAGAGAAGTCAATGATATAACTGAGAGATTATATAGATAAATCTATTTTGATTTGTAAGTTGTGATTCAATAACGTAAGAGAAGTTTCATTCTTTTAAGATTTAAAATATACAATATTATAGCCTTTTACAATATAGTTTATTTGATCAGTAATACTAATTTTTCTAGGGGAAATAAAAGGTCAGCTGTTCCACCATTACTACATACTACATGACAGTCATTTTCACAAGGACTTATAGGTGAAAGCATATGGATAGTGTGCCTAAGTGTCTTAGACTGCACTAGTGTTGATTTGAATGTGTTTACAGCACCTTCGCCTCTTGAAACCTAGCAGAGCAGAATTCACAGGCCCTTCAAAGTATAGAACAACTAAACTCATTAAGTTAAAGGTCACATGTTCACATCTTAGTAGTACATAAAGCAAAAAGGTCGATCTTGCATATTTCAATAGTACTGATACAGCATTACACAAATAGAAAATTAACTTGGAAACACGCTGAAAGGTTAAAAGGGGGCAAACAGATGGAAGCATTCAAAGCACAGCAATTGACTATTACAATAAAATTAAACATTCATTTGGTAAATGCAAAAGAGAATGTCAACTAATCTTTTAGATAATATTTTCTTTAAAAGTAGGAAAAATATTTGTGAGACCTTTCAAATGTAATTTTGATAGAGTGTCCAGGTTCAGCTTCAATCACCCACTCACAATTCAAAGAGTCTTTGTAGTATCCTGGCCATCCTGGTGAGAGAATCACTCCACTGGGAGCTGAAAAATGGCCACCACATGGGGCTGAAAAATTAAATCAGACAAGTAAGAATAAAACATTCAAGATAAATCGCAGATATTATTCTTAATACAAACAATTTCAAAAACAAGTCTCTGCATATCCTTATTAAATAGTTAATACTATTTTTGAAAGCAATGGTACATCTAGTCAATTACTTCTGTTAAATGATTATTTTTCTAAAAAGGTAATTTACTTTTCAAAATATGAAATAGCTACATTTAGCATGTCAGGTAATAAACTGCTCCTCCTTAAGTCTCTGAATAATACCCCTTACATATATTCTTGTCTCTCCATCGTCATCTTTGTATTCAAAGCTTGAAAGAAAACCTAAGTTGTTAGCTTTGGTTTCTTTCTCTTTGATTTTCTTACTTATGTTATCAAATTCTACTAATTCATCTTATACACTAACAGTTTGTGCTTCCATTTTCCAGAGTCACTTCATTGATTCAGCTTTTTACCTTATTTCTCATCTGCTATTTTCTTTCTTACTTTAGTCCAGCTGTCAGAATAAGCTCCTCCAAATTATAGTTTCATCATACCATTTCCTAGACATCTAGCCCCTTTCTTAGATTTGTATTTTGATCTCTTTTCTTTTTAATATCAAATTTAAATATTCTGTTTATCATTTCAAATATTGTATCCTCTGATTTCCCTAAGCTCACACACAATTGAAACCACAATGATAGCATTGTAGTTCCAGTAAGTACTGATTAGGTCATTTAGTGTAAACGCCTCATTTTGGAGATGTGTAAACCAAGTTTTAGAGAGAGCAACTTGCCAAAGTTCAGTAGGTTGAAAGGTCTTAAAATCACTTTGAAGTCAACTTTTGCAAAACAAAGCCTTAGTACTGACCCTCTTCCATTATTTCCTGTATTGGTAAATGAAACCGCCATCTGTCCAGTTGCATAAACTAGAAGCTAGAAGTATTCAGTTTTCATACGTATATTATTTTTACCATTTACTCCCATATCCAACCCATCCTCAAGCTCACTCTTATTTCTCTAGCTCTATGGATTTCATCTTAGTTTAAAATAACATCATCTCATCCTTGAAGTATAGAAATAACCCCTGAACTGGTCTCTGCATTTACACTATTCTCCATGCTACGGATACAGTGATTTTTTTTTCTTTTTAATTCACAAAGCTTACCATGCCCTTCAGTGACAACTTTCTGTGTTTCCTGATAAGGCTCTGTGGGATCTAGCTGTTGCTTATTCTCTAGCCTTGTCTCAGAACTCCCCTCCACTCTGCAGCCCAGCTACATTAGCCTGCTCTACTTTCAGGAAGTATACACAGAAGAGAAAATGGAGGAAAGAGTGTTTAAGATGTTGAAAATTATCAGGAAAGAAAAAAAGTCTAAATGTACACTAGATCAACTTTTTAATACATCATTATTTCCAGTGACTTTTCACATCATTTTCTTTAAATCTTCCCATTTAAACTCTTACCCATGTGTTTATATTTTTCCTAGCTTATTTCTTTCTGTTTTGCCTTACAGAATTTCTGAAAACAATTGCTCTAGACACTATTTTACTCCTTTTTATTCTTTAAATAACTTGATGGAACCCAAATGAAATAGCAAATATTTATAAATTGGCCTAGGAATTAAACATTACTGTAAAATTTCTGTTTTTAGTAAAACATTTTCTATGTGAAATTGCCAAAAGATGTTATTTGTATGACAGAGAACTCTCATAAAAACTAAGTTTTCTTCCTTAATAGAATTTAATTTTGTTTCCTAAAAAGCTAGTTTTAAAGGAGGCCATTTTTATGAGGATTATTTACTCTTCCTAGTTATGATGACTCATAATTAGGTTTCCTGTAGGGTTATGTATTTCAAAAATGAAATTATGTGCATAATAGTCACTTAAATTACCATATTTTACAAGACAGAGCTAAGTATTTTAGTGACAGAAAGCCCCAAAATACAGAGTATTTCTGACATAAATCTTTATTATGTCAGCAACTCATATTGTTCCAGAAAAGTATTCACTCATTCATTCAACCTAATCATCATTAGACGAGGTAATTAGTCATAAAATTAACAATTGAGAAATGGGCCATAAAGAATTAAAAAGTAAAGTACTGAGAAGCATTCCGACTAGCCACTCAGTGCAAAATGTGAGGGAGGCAGAGTTAGAAGGGGTCTTTAAAGTGAAGAAGTAGCCTAAAGATGTGATTGATTGCTGTTTGTTTCCTAAAATGACTCTCTGGTATAGTGACCCTGCTTGTGGTTCTTCTCCTACTTATGACATTTTCTGAAGTAGCTACTTTCTCACTTAAAGGATTGGAATTTCCCAAAATTATTCTTCCAAAAGTATAGGAACCAACTTTCTAGAAGGTCTACCACCAAGAGGGGAGAGACATGCTTATATGGGTCGGTCAGCAAAAGTCTCATCATTAAAGTGACTCTCGGGCACATGAGAGGAAAATGTCAGTAAGGAGAAGCCATGGTGTAGCAACAGTGGAAGAGCATGGAATAGATAACATGCAGGAGAAAGGAGAGGCTAAATGTAGAAAAACAAAACAAAACAAAACAAAACAAAACAGCTGAAGAAAAAAAAAGCTGCCTAGAGTTTTGGAACAGAAACCTAAAAATATTATTATTATTATTATGTATTTATTCTTTTTTTTTTGAGATGGAGCTTTGCTCTTGTTGCCCAGGCTGGAGTGCAATTGCACAATCTCATCTCACTGCAACCTCTGCCTCCTGGGTTCAAACGATTCTCCTGCCTCAGCCTCCCGAGTAGCTGGGATTACAGGCACACACCACCACACCCGGCTAATTTTTTGTATTTTTAGTAGAGACAGGGTTTCGCCATGGCCAGGCTGGTCTTGAACTTCTGATCTCAGGTGATCCACCTGTCTTGGCCTCCCAGAGTGCTGGGATTACAGGCATGAGCCACTGTGCACGGCCTAAAAATATTATTAATTGCAAATATTTTATCTGTAAAGAAATCTAACTGCAATATGAGTAAAATACAACTAAAAAAAACAAAAAGTTATCCAAACTTAACAATGTTGCCATATCCATATATTGCCTATGTAGTTAATTATGTACCTACTGAAATTTAAGAAATTCTTATACATTTTTTTAACCAAAAATGAGCTTGTGTATCTCCAGGTGTGAAGATACTACACTTCAAAAAGGATTTCTCTAAAAAACAATAACTACTCTTGGCTGAACAAGAAAAATTTGGAATATACAGAAAGCAAAAAGGGGACCAAGGCCATAAAGAAGCATTTTCAAAGTCCCATTCATTCATTCATCTTTTATTCATTTATATTTCAGTTCTTCGACGTACCATTGTCTGACAGGTGTGTGCCTGTGTGGCATTTGTACTACTTCTACTAATGAACATTTATGGAATGCTTTCTCTGTGTCAGGCACCCTCAGATTATTTTATATAATGCTCAAAATAATCTAGCCAGATAAGTACACTATTATAGATAAGAAAACTGATGTGTAAGGAATTTAAATAATTTGCATCTGAACTGTCAAGGATTTGAACAAAGGCAGTTTGACTCTAGAAAAATTCTTTCCAACTGACATTAAGATAGTCTTTTTCCTTTCCTCCCAGTGCCCATGGTGCAAAAGACAGAAACATTAACAAAACGTAAAAATGTCAAGTTCTATAACAAAGGTATGTCCACAGTACAAGGGGCCCAGAAAAGGAAATGAATAAATGTTTCATAGAAGAGATTCTGTTTAATTTGAAGATTAAACAGGATGAAATCAAGAATGAAGATGAAATCAAGAAGAAGAAATCAAGAAGCACCAACAGAAAAACTGAGGGAGGATATTGTAAATGAAAGCAACATCACATGCAAATGCATAGAGGATTGAGTTAGCATAAAGTAATGCAATTACCTTTTCTGGGGAATAAAGAAGTGATGAGAGAAAATTAGAAAAGGACCTGGTTTGCTCCACTATGGAAAGTGAACCACGGCAATTGAAAAATTGTTGACAAAGGATATGTATATATACACACACACGTATATAGACAAAGGATAAGATTTTCATTTAAGTGAAACTTTCATGTAAAATGGATTGCAGCAGTACACCTGGATTTAGTGAGATCAGTTAGAAGATTGTTGCAACTATCTAGGAAAGGCATTATCAGATTATGAAATAAGGCTGTAGCAGAGATAGGCAGAATATACAAGGTATTTAGGAAGGAGAATCAAAAGCATTTATTGACGTGCAAAGAGTGAGTCAGAGGAAGGAGTCTAAACTGGTCCTTGAGCCCTTGGCATGTGCAATAGGGTGGATGGTGATTCCATTCACCAAAATGGGAAACACGGAACAGGGAGGAGTTTCATGTGGAAAGTTAATGAGATTCAGTGCTAAAATGGAAGGGTCTGTGAAATATCACAAGAAACAAGAGAAAATAGAATCTGGAGCTCTTGGCTATCTTAGGAGTGATTTTCAAAATTGGTTGATGTTCAAGTTTCCATGGAGGTTGAAGGTAAAGGTGAATATTTAGAGGAAAAAATGAAAGATGATTGAATATGCAACCCTTTGAAAAAAGTATTTTAATTTAATAAAATTAAGTAGGTATTGTCCAATAGCCAGTATATCACTACAACACTGAGAAAAGGGCTGAGATGAATTATTTGTTTGGGTCTTCCTCTCACCTAAGTGTGTGAACTGGGATAATTTTAGCAAGTAAAAGTAATAAATTCCTAGGTTTTAGTGGAAAAATAGAATAGTTTATATCTCAGTTGACTGAGATAAACTTTAGTTTAACTAAATTTAGACAGGCTTCTTCCTGATTCAAGACCCTCCTTCCCACCTCCCTTTCCTAGAGCATTTAGTTTAGAAAACTTGTTTGTTTTTTTTCCTCTGTACCTTTGAAATGTACATTTTCTCCCAGCCTCTTACTAGTTTTATGACCCAGGAATGTCTTTTTCAATGACCTGGGAGCCATCCCTTTGAAGCACCCTTATTTTCCACTCTCTCTGTGGGAGAGTGGGAACCTAACTTCAGTAAGCTCCAATTATCAAACATAAATGATCTAATCACATTGGCCAACCTACCCCCTAACATGCTCCAGTACTTTTCTACTAGCTCACCCCAATGCTTAAAAACCTTCTCCCTCTTTCAAAGGAGTTGAGTTCAATTTTTCTTCTCCTTTGCAATAGTCTCAAATAGTCTTGCTTGCCTGTTTAACTCTGACAGAGAAATTTTTCTTTGACACACAGATGATCCTCAACTTATGATGGAGTTTTGACTTATGATCATGACTTGATCAGAAACATGGACTAGGTAGCGGCAGAGCTGAGACTCAAATTCAAATTGTTAAATTCCTAGTTAAGAATTACTTCCACAGTAGATTTATTATTTTTCCAAAAGAAATGTTTATTTAAACATTTTATACTCTCTTTACCATTGGTTTAGTGAAGACAGAAATAGATGAAAAGTCAGGGGGTAGAATATTTAGTCCAAAGGTTTTTAGTATAATTTTGAGGCTCTAACCCCATTTTAAGTGCCTCTCCACTACTATTATTCATTTTTTAATTAATTAAATAAACATTTAGTTTCTGCTACTATGTCTAAGATACTGTGCTAGCTGCTGAAATTGAAAAAAAATTCTATGTGATATTATATCTGCCTTCAAGAGATACACATTTTCTACAAGGAAGATTGATACAGTTAACATGAAACATGATAAGTACATGCTTGAGCTGGGTAAGTAGCCTTGAAATATAGGGCAGGGACAGGTACTGTCCCAGGGGCATTAGGAAAGAGTCTGGGTAGGAGATGTTGTCAAAGAAGAGTTTAGATTAAAAAATGAATACAAGCAAAACAGGCTTAACAGAAGTGGGACAGAATAGGCAGAGGTAGGAAGTAAAAAACACTAATCTGTGTGGGGGAAAGTCAAGTGGTTCTTGTTGTTACAACTTATTATTAGTGGAGGCCTAAGGAGGAGCAGTTCATGGGGGCCTCTGGTTACCTGCAGTTATTATTGCTTTCAAAGACTTTCAAACGTTAGTGGCCATCTACTGAGCTTGTTAAAATGCAGATTCCTGTATTGTACTTCTAATAGTTGTAAGATGGGACCCAAAAATCTGCATGGTTGACAAGACCCCCACCTGATCCCTCAGGTCCTTTTATTGGTTAGGTATGTGGACCACACAGGAAATTTAAGGGATGTGGGTGTTCTGCAGCTCCAAGACTCCATTGGTTAATCTCTCAGTTTTCTGGGATGAGGAAGTTATTTGGATATTTTAGTGAAACACAGGTCGTTGCCTTTAATTCTTCTTTTTGTAGCAATGAAAACAACAATGAGATATGTAAATTCAATATAGTTCATTTATCTAGTTTTATTTTTCTAAGGCCTGAAGAACGTCTGTTATAAATAATGTGAGTTTGAGTGCTGGCTCAATTTTGTCTTACTTTAAGAAGAAAGGATACATTCAAAGAACCCACTGTGTTTTAAGACCTCGATGAAAGAATCAGAAGTGCTTCAGACTGCATTCAGATAAAATTCTCCTGAATAAAAATGCTAAGGAGTGCTGGTACTCCACAGCAGGAGATGCTCTTCCATCTGAGAAGTGGTACTTAGGTGCTCAGAAGGAAGTTGGGGACCATGGGCTAAGCTAGGTTTTGATCACAGGGATTTTGCCATAGGTGAATTAAAGAGGTGAACATTGTAGCATTTGGTCTGATAAACAGTCCTTCTGTGGAGTTGTTCTTGATAAAATCTAGATGCCAATTCAAGGACAATCAGACAATGACAGTTCCATTTTGTTCCTTAAAAAAAAAAACTTGCTTTATGGTTATAGGTGTGGTAAGTAATCACCAGGTCTCTCAAACCTCAGCACACTGCATCATGGTTCAAAAAAAAAAAATTACAATGAACAAGTCAGGTATGTATCTAGGATAAGAAGAGAAAGACAGAAACATGGTAATTAAGGAGCCAAAATAGAGTCCATTTCCATAACTACTTCTATCCCTCCCTGTACCCAGCTCCACAAAGATTAGAAGCAAAGCCCTGCAGATGGCTATTAAATTACATTATTCTATATTAGTGCTTCAGGAGACGTAGAATTTAATAACACCTAAATACTTAACTAAAGGAGGGGTTCATTGTTAGATATAAATATATATAAATGTGTGAATACATATCTGTTTATAAGAACCACAAATCAATTCTGATCTGTGTATCAAATTGTTACTCTAATTGCTTCCTCAAAAGAACTCTCTCTAAAAAGAATGTAATGGCTGTGAATGAGAATGGCTTCCTTTCCTCTGAGACTAATTGAGATTCAAGAGAGAACCTCTTACCCTCAAAGGGAAAGTTCATCAGGCATGCAAGTCCAGGCTTGTCTTCAAACAGTTCTCCCGGGACTTCAGTCCCATCCTATTCACTCAAAGAATTCTCTTAGATATCCCATTAGGGAGTAGGAAGGAGCATAAGCCACAGCTATGCAGGGAGTTCTGTGCTGAGGGCAAGGGAGTTCTTGCTTGAGTAAGCATTTTATAGAACATTCTAAAGTTGGTGAAGCAAAAACAGAAGACTTTTTTTTTTTCTAATTACTGCCTTAAAACACACACTGCCAAGTCTCTTTCTCTCCTCAAAGAGCATGTTAAGCAGAGCCTCTAGTTTTCTTATCACTTCTAGTATTTAAAAACTTGATCCAGTTCAATTTAAAACTGTTATCTCATTCTCTCCATTCACTCACCCAAGGTGCCTTGAGTAGCAGCCAGAGAGACTTGGAGGATAGGGAAGAGCATGCTAAAGGAATGCCAGCACTTTCAGATTCATTCCTCTACTTACTTCAGCACTTGGAGTAGAGAAGGTATTATCACTTATTTTATATCTTGTCCTCTTCCTTTTACCTTTAGATCCTGTTTCCTGTGGTGAGTTAGGGCTGGGATGAGGTGAAAGGTCATAGTCCTTTCCTGGAAGTTATTGCTTTCCTTGCAAACCTTTGTCTGGTCACTGGTGCCTCTCTTTTGTCAGGTATGGAACATGTTGATTCTCCCATGAGAACAAATGAGTTGTTTGCAAAGGCCAAGAGTGAGGAGAATGGCTTCTCACCGCACAATTCCCTGATAAAAGAGAAGCTCAACCTTTTGTAGTTGCCTGTCTGCTCCCATCCCTGACGGCACACCCTATAACTCTGTTGGATTGTCTTTTCCTGTGGCCAAGCCTGAGTAATTTCTTTGGTATTCATTTGATGCACAGGAAACTTACATCACTGACTAATCAAACTGTTTGAACTAAACAGCTCTCCCTCTCTCCAACCTGCCAGCTTTTCACCAATTTCTTTTCTTTTGTTCAATAGGCATAGAAGGTAGATCAGCAAGCTCATTGTATAAGCAAATATCCACCTGGGAATTCTCTTTCACACAAACATCTCCATTCTCTAAGAGGGATTCTTATGCAGCCCTTTCCCTCAATTTGGCTTGAAGATAAGGAGACTAGCACTTTCCCTCCTCTAAGAAGAATGAAAAACCAAACAACTTATAATTCAAACAGTTATAGATAGATGAATGATAGAGAAAGACAGATATACGGATTAGATAGATAAAGACATATAGATCTCCCTAGCTTTTGCTGCTTAGCACATTGGAAGTGGGATGGCAGAGGTTATGATTGAGATAAAAGAATCAGCTAGAACCCACTTAAGCTCTGGAGGGGTGTCTTGTCCTTAAATTTTCAAGAAGAGGAATATAGATAATTTTTTCTTCTTAACTGGAGATCTAAGTTGCCAAAGCTAAAGCAGCAGGAAAATTTAGTTCTCCATTTTGTTAGTCACACATTTATTCCTATGGTTTTCCTTGTCAGGAGGGCTGCAAATATAACAATGTTCAAAATCATTTCGAGTATCCACAAGAAAAAGGCAACTTTGCCAGTCTTAACCCAGCTCTTAGTTAAATCATCAGCTTTGAGGCAATAGCATTCATCAGACTCTTCCAATGTATTTCACTAAATGTAATCTCCTTTATCTATAAAGCAGACCCATGAATGTATTACATCTAATCATATTCAAGAACATGATCATGTAATCCAGAAGGCCAATATTCATTTCCATTTTTGTCACGGAGATTGCTTTAGATCAAAGGGGGCACTGCTGACTACAGTGTAGGGGACATGTGAGTCAGAGTGAGGTAAAAAGGACAAGAGAAGCAGAAAGCATATATACATCAGAGCCTTCTGAGACTCAGAGGAGAAATAATTATGAGGAAACTAATGGTTGGGCACAGGTGGACTGAACAACAAGCTATTTCTAATTTGAACTACAAATTTCAGTATCTGCATGGGATCTGGAAGGAAATGACAAGGTACTGCTTAGGGGAAAAAAATCACAGGGACCAAGTCTCTTTAGAGAAGAATGGTATATCACTTTGGCAGCTGTGTTGAGAATAGAACTGAATAAAAGCAGAGACAGAAGCAGTGAGAGCAGTTAGGGGGCTACGGATTAATTAAAGCCAGAGACAAAGGTTGCTGGGACCAAGATGTCAGCAGTGGAGGTAGTAAGAAATATTTGGGTTTTGAATGATTTCAAAGGAAGAGCTAGCCAGTTTTTCTGATGCATTATCTATGGTTATGACAGAAAGAAAGGAGTCAGGAAAGATTTGATAAAGACCGAAGAATTTTGGCCTGAATGACTGAAATAATAGAGTTGCTATTAATAATGGAGAAAGTGAGTGACAACAGCAGGTTTAGAGTGACGTGGGGAGACATATCAGTTTCAGACAGGGTAAGTTTGAGATGCCTATTAAACACTTAAGTGCAGATGTGGAGTAGGAAGTTGAACATATAAGTCTACATTTCAGGGCAGAGAACCAGGCTAGAGATGTAAATTTGAGAGACAGCGGCATGTAGATATTGTTTACAGTTAGAGACTGATTGAAAAATCACCAATGAAATGAATGCAATAGAGAGCAGAACATATCCAAAATGTAGCTCTGGGACATGCACTTAAACAGATCACAGAGAGGAGGAGAAACCAGGAAAGGAGACTAAAATGAGCCTGAGTAGCATATTTAATAAAATAAAATTTAATAACATATATAATTTTTAGACTTGTCTAACTTATTTTTCCATTAACAGTTAAATAATTGTATAACTTTAAATTATTGAGGAAAATTTGATTTTAAAACAAAAATGGTATGAATTTCAGATTCTATAACAAAATAATGAATACATTAATGCATCTTTCATTTTTGGTCTGCAATAAAATCCTTTTCAACTTTCAATCTACATGAGTATAGTTCAGTAGCATTTTATTTTAAAGGCATTCACCAATGAATAATAAATCTTTATATTCAGGAACTGTTTCCTTCTGTGGCTGCAACAGAGGAGAATTAATTTATGTCCAACTGTCTTGCTTTTTAAAACAGAAAACTCTAGATGACTTAGTCCTCACTGCTTGACACTTAGAAAGATAACTTTCTTGTTTTATACTACATCTCATGGCCTGGTATCCCTTTCAAGTTCTTTTGGGATTCATTGGCTGGCTTATTACTGGCAAATTCAGAAGCGGGCATTATAAAGTAGAAATGTAACTCAGAGAGTAGCTGAGAATATATGTCAAAAACTTGCTGTCTCTCTTCTCGTTGTTTTCAAAATCAGTACATAATTTATTATAACAAGGTGAAGAATTTATTCACCAAGCTTCCAAGGAGACAGAATGTCAATCGAAAACCATCAGAATGGAATTAATGAATCTTTCCTGGGTGCAGAGTACAGTGGAGTGGATTTTCTGGTAACTTGAGGATTATGTGTGTGACAGAGGGACTGAATTCATGTGAACAAAGACATGGGCCCTGGAAAGGAAAATAGAAAGGGAGAGAAGAAGAGCTTAGTGATGGGAGGACTGTGTGTGTGTAAGCATGGGGGAAGACAGGGAAATAAATGATAATGATGATGGTGGTGATGATTTTTACAAGCTATCTTGAATGGTGGGTGAGAAGGGGGAAAAGATGGCCTAGAAAGGTATTTGAGAAGCCTTCTGTTTACTTCATTGTATAAAACACTTGCATCCTAACTCAAAAAAAAAAATCAAAGTAAAAATCTCTGTTATTTATCAATGCTTCTTAAATAACTTTGGTCTAGTTCCTGAGTCTGACTGAAATGAAATCATACTAGATAACTGAGCCACATTAGGAGCTAAATTATTAGCAAAATTGTACTGTCTCATGGTAAAAATAGGATAAGACATGAGCAGAATATCAATGCAAAGCCAAAAGGATATTGCAGAGAGTACTTTGAATTTGAAATGATCATTTGGGGGAGAATGCACAATTCAAGATATGATGTTCCAGCTAGACTCTAGGTGCTAGAGGATTGGACTTAAACAGTGTTACACAACTTCACAACAAAAAATAGTAACTCAAGAAACTTTCTCCTGAAATAACTACTTTGCAAAATGATTCTTAAGGCCCTAAAGGATACCCAATTTCTTGAGACATTGGTGTGCTTTCTTAGAAGGAATAGAGGTTGCTGTCCAATATATGATTTCTGAACTGCTTCACTGGCCTAGCACAATGGATTGATTGTGGCTCTTTTCTAATGTCCATGAAGGTATTGTATAAGCTAATGGAAACATTGCTCTCAGTTGTCAATAATATAATTTTTTGTATTATTTATACTGTTTTTAAGCACATATTTATCTATAATTATGTCTGTATAAAAAGTGGGAAAATACACCTGTCCATTGGGAGGGTAGCCTGCTTCCTTTAGCCCATCTAATTCATTTCTGTTACTTCCTTGCTCCTGTTAAGCATTTGAGATTATGATTCCTGATCTGTGGCATTGGGCATTAGGTGCTATCTGTAGACTCAGATTCACCAAAACTACCATCCAGTCTAGTGGCAGTTGGCTTCACCAACCTAGAGGACATAAATATCTAGATGAAGTTGAGTTGAGTAAAAATTTTGGAAAGACATTTTCTGCCTGTGTGTTAAACTCACAGAACAAGTTAAAAGCAAGACATCCACTAGGAAGAAGTATTAAAAGATTGGATAATCAAAAGTACCTGCAACAAGATGATGGCAGAATTACCTATAGCTAATTTACCAAATAATCACAGACACTCTCCTTTACAAACTGATCTCAAGAATCTGGTAAAGCAAATCAGAGCTGAGAAAAATAAGTTAATTATGGCTATAATTAAGAAAGAAAGCCAAGTAATGATGCTAAGATCATTTAAGGTAATCTTTAAGTGGATTGAGGTTCTGAGTTTTCAAACAAAAACATTTTATACTGATTTCCATTGTTCTGTAAGTTCTGATTAAAACAAAATGTTCTACCTTCTAATTTTAATACACAACAATCCATATATATATATAACTTTTAACAATGAATTTGATTTTGAAGAAAATAAAATAGAAGTAGAAATTTAGTTGTATTAACCAGAAAATACCAACATGTACCTTTAAAAAGTTATTCTATTTGAAATGTTTAATATGAAGATAATTTAAAAGTTTCAGTGAAAATCTTAAGGATGTTAACGTTTGTTAACATTTGTAAATGTTGGAGGCTGCGATAGTGCCCCAAAGATGAACAATAATAAATAATAAGAAAAATTTTATCTGTAAAAATATAGACTGTCTACAGAAAAAAGGAGACAGGAGGAGTAGCCTCCCAACCATAGTTCTCTATGTAAGTGGGAGTGGCTCTGGAAGTTTCAGGAATGGTGGGGGGATGGGGCAGGTTTTTTTTTTTTTTTTTTTAAATTAGGAAAAATAAAAATAAGCTGAGGCATCAGTTAGTCTCAGGCTTTAATTGTTAGTACCTAAGTAGAATTCAGGCAAAATGAAAGGAAATCAATATAAACCTTAATTAGAGGCTAAGAAATCAAACCTACCTGAGTTAGTTATAGAGTTGACAGCAGTCTGCTTTGTTGGGTGGAAACTGGCTCAGAGGTGGTTTGGGATAGAGTAGTAACCTGGCAAGGGCCACCCTAAGATTGCTTCTGGCCCACTCCAGTTCTGCCTTCCTTGGCTCCAACCTCATCCTTAGTGATGTTTCCACCTTGCTATTGGGTCCACAAACAGGCAGGTGTGCCAACTGTGTGTCATTTCACTCACACATAGAGAAAAACAATTCTTGTCCATCAGAAACTTCATAAGGGTTCTCTTAGGGATGTGTGGAGGGCTTATTGGCCTTTGTCAAGTTAGAGTTCTGAATATTTTATCTTACTTAATTTTAAAAGTTAAATACCATTTGTTTTTCACAGATAGTAGAAAATCTCCCTGAAATTGCTCTACATAAGTAGTGATTCATTAAATTACTGATTGACATTACTAATTACTTTTACCTCCACCATGAAGCTAGGCACCAAGCAACCCCAAAACCAATGCCCAAGTTAGGCAAACGAGGATCCAACAAAATTCAAACTTACCTAGAAGTGGTCTCTGTATGTGTCGACTGAGATTTAAAACAAATTTCAGTGCAGGGGAGGGTGAGGCTCAGATAATGTCATTTCCCAGCTGCAATGGCTCCTGTTTAGCCACAGGGTAACTTTGGAGCTACTTAGCATTATTTAAAAAGGGTCTAATGCTCTGGACTTCTCTAGTCATTCATCAGATCCAACTCACTGTGTCCTCCCCTGCAGTCACACTGAACTGGCTCTATTCCTTTTGCCTGAAACACACTTTTCTCTCATTTCCTACTGTTGCTTCAAATACTAATGTGTGGCCGTAGGGCGTGGTGGCTCGTGCCTGTAATCCCAGCACTTTGGGAGGCCGAGGCAGGCGGATGACCTGAGGTCAGGAGTTCAAGACCAGCCTGGCCAACATGGTGAAACCCAGTTTCTACTAAGAATACAAAAAAAATTAGATGGGTGTGGTGATGTGCACCTATAGTCCCAGCTACTCAGGAGGCTGAGGCACAAGAATCTCTTGAACCCGGGCGGCGGAGGTTGCAGTCAGCAGAAATGGTGCCACTGCTCTCCAGCCTGGGTGACAAAAGCAAAACTCCATCTCAAAACAAACAAACAAACAAACAAACAAAAATGCTAATGTAGATTTTTCTTACTGGTTCCCCAAAGCCGGATCAAAAACTATGTTAAAAGAATGAATGGGCTCCGGCAAAAAGAATGGTGGAAAAACTAAGTATTACTATCCATATTATCCATTTTCCCTTTTTACTTTAGTCCATTATTGTGTAACTCCACTATGTTTTTAAAATACCATCATAGTCATAATTATTGACAGAGTAGCCCCTGCTGAACCCATACTATTTGAAGTTTGAAAAAGAACACTAAAGTCATCTAGTTCTGCCCACCTGATATTACTAATGAGAAAGCAGTTAGTAGTAAAAAGAAGGAAAGCATTAATTGAAGGGGCCACTAGGAAAACATAATTACACGGTCTGGGATTACTTCATCATGAGACATTATGAAAATGTTCAATCCAATGAAAGTCATCAATATATAGGTAATGCTTCAATTAAATTTGTTGTACTTTGGAAAATTACATATTAAATCTTCTCAATTTATCAGCTAGTCAGTTTGGAGACAGGTAAGAGGAAAAACTTGGAAAATAAGAAAAAGAAACTGCTTTTAAAATAATCAATTATTATATGACAATCTACTAAAGGTGTTAGACAGTTATAGTTCATCTATTTCTTAGTAAAAGTTCATTTGTATACTTTTTTCCTTTTTCTTTTTTTTTTTTTTAAGACAGAGTCTTGCTCTATCACCAGGCTGGAGTGCAGTGGCGCGATCTCAGCTCACTGCAACCTCTGCCTCCCAGGTTCAAGCGATTCCCCTGCCTCAGCCTCCTGAGTAGCTGGGACTACAGGCATGTGCCACCACACCCGGCTAGTTTTTTTTCTTATTAATATTATTATTTATTTTAGTAGAGACGGGGTTTCATCATGTTGGCCAGAATGGTCTCAATCTCCTGATCTCGTGATCCGCCCGCCTTGGCCTCCTAAAGTGCTGGGGTTACAGGCGTGAGCCACCGTGCCCAGCCCATTTATATCTTTATAATAAAATAGATATGTATTATTAGATACTATAGTGGAAGGAGAAATTAAAATTTAGAATGTTAATTCCTTCTGTGGCAAATCTAAATAAAGGTCCCTCATTTCAGTAGATTCTAAATTGATATACTATGTAATTGATGTTTTACTTTTAATTATGATCATCCTTCCTTCTTACCAACATAATCTGAGATTTCATATGAGTGTATATATACAAAAATAGGCCAAGAGCAGTGGCTCATGCCTGTAATCCCAGCACTTTGGGAGGCCGAGGCAGACAGATCACTTGATATCAAGAGTTTGAGACCAGCCTGGCCAACATGGAAAAACCGTGTCTCTACTAAAAATACAAAAAATTAGCTGGGCACGGAGGCATGCACCTGTAATCCCAGCTACTAGGGAGGCTGAGGCAGGAGAATTGCTGGAACCTGGGAGGCAGAGGTTGCAGTGAGTTGAGATTGCACCATTGCATTCCAGTCTGGGCAACAGAGTGAGAATCGGTTTAAAAATAATAATAATTCCAAAGATCATACATATATATCACACACACACATATATATGCCTTGAACCTTGTTGACTATATTTAATTGGAAAAATAAAAACTGAAAAAAATTAGCAAATGATGCCTTCAGAAATCATATATTTTAAATAAATGGGTGTTTTAGCTTAAATGTATTTATTATAATTGATCATTATTAACACATTTTTGAAAATTAGTGTGTACCATGAATAGATAACATACCGAGAAAAAATGAATGGAAACTATAAAGTGTATTAAACTATAACTAGGAAGTATACTATAGAGAGTTTACACATGTGACCAATATTTACCATTCATTAATCTTTATCTTTTAATAAGAGCTTTTTTTAAAAGGAAGCTTCTAAAAGGTTTCTAAAAATTTGTTTTAACATGAAAAATTAAAAGTGTAATTTCCTTAACAAGATATGTTTAATATAGAATATCAAGAAATGTTTTAAGATAATGATTATGACAGTCCTGGTAGGATAATGTGTTTCTTGTTGTGGTTTCTTGTACATAATGATGATGAGGTTCTATTTCTCACTCACTACTACACTTACCTCCACATTTTGGAATCAGTCCACTCCACATTACTTTTCCATCCATAAGAATACATGTAATTGTTTCTGTTCCCTGGGTTTTAATAAATCCTTCTTCACAAATAACTGAAATTGAACTTCCTAATTGAAAGTTGTCCCCAAACCGCCGTGCATTGATTGGTATTCCAGGATCAGGGCATTCATTATGTCCAAATGCTTTAGAATAATATGCAAAGAAAAATACACAAACAAACAACATTAGCCAGAGAGAGATCCTTCTATATTTTGGAAAAGAGAGAGAGAGAAAGAGATATTTTAAAAGGTTGTGTTTATTTCTACACAAGTTTTTATTTATTTACTTTAAATTTGGAGGTTCTCCTCTGACCTTACCTGTTTGCCTGTGATGTGCAATAAATGTGAATGTTTTAAAATGTGAATTACACTCTAAAATTATAAAATTTCAAAACAGAATTATTTCTGCTTATTTCTGGAGACCATGAGACTAGCTAAGATTATGAAAATATTTCCAGTATAAGCTGGTCAGAATTTCAATTAATTAAAATGCAAAGCAATTGACAGAAGCATTAGTATGTATTCCTTTGGAAACTTTTATTTATTTTTCTCTATTTCCAACTGGAAATAGAGAGAGTGAGTCTCATCTTGAGAATTAAAGTGAAATGTCTCAATCTAGTATGAAACTGTTACAACTTTTTAAATAATTTTCCATGACATTTATTTTCTGCCATCTGGGAAAAAGGAAGAGAGTTAATTCTTTCGCAATTACCATGTTCCAAGCACTGTGATATGTTATTATCTCATTTAATATTTAGAATAGCTGATGAGGAAAGTATTGCCATCTATTCAAAAGAGTAATGTTAGACTCAGGAAAAGTTAAGTAACTTGCCTAATGTCATAGAAATAGGGCTTCATAGGATTGAAATGTATCCCCTGGACCGGATTTTAATTTCTTCTCAACAACCTATTGTATCTTGGCTTATTTGTCTCATGTATCTCAGGAGAACAGGAGTTCTTGAGCTCAGGGCCACTATCTTATTCTACCTTGTTTGTCTCACAGTTTATATTTAGCCAAGTTACAGCAAATAGCAGGAGTATAATAAAAATGGGTTTATTTGAATTTTTCATAGATTATAGATTACATGAACAATCCAAATTTTTCTCTGTATTCATCTGAGTGACCAATTGTGTATTATAAAATTTTAATGTATTACAATATAAATGGAAGAATATTTAAAGAGGCAAGGTCTACATGTGTAAAATATATTTTATGAGATGCTTATAACTTATTATTATATTCATACTGCATTAGTACATGCAGTGATTTTAAATTTTCTCACTAATCATCACTTTGATGCTGGTTATAAATTGTATAATTTTACTATCTGTTCTCCTTATTTTAAATGAAACAGTGCAAAAGAATATTAAGGTACGTTTTAGAATACATAAAATATGTTTTATATGTATACATATTTCTAATTATTATTTTATTTTGTAATTTTAAAAACTCAATTTTGATTAAGCAGTGTAACTCTAATATAGAGTACCTGGTAGATATTTTTTCAGAAAAAATGAATCTCATTAGTAAGCATTAAATAAAATAATTTGCACATTATCAATTAAATTATTTACTATAGAACAGAACCAGGAAAAGGGAGACCTATTTCCATAATACCCTGAAAAACTATCAACATTAAAGTTAAAAATATTATGCATTTAAGACAAAATAAAAATTATAGATAGATAGATGCATATACATGTCTATCTTTAGACATGTACATGAAGTATTTTTTAAAAATTCTCAAAGCAGTCATTTTATATAAGTTTCTATGACACATGTCACCGCTAATTTAACTTTAATAATATGCAATTACATGTTTACAATTTACAGCGACACTATTCACCACTAGTATCACTTTGAAAATACAACAACTACACTTTGTCTGCCAAAGCTTAACATTGAATAGGTGAGGGTGGGAGTGAAGTGTGAAATTCTTTTTATAAAGCAACAGGAAGAGCTGGAAACTAAATCCTTTTATTATGTGACACTTAAATATTAACTCATCCAATTGGTCAATATCTGACACAGTGTAAAAGCTTCAAGGAAAAGCAATAAAAATTACTAGTATTCTATGGCTTCAGGTATATTTGCAAACAGAAGCATTAGTATCTAAGTGTTATTAATCCACTAAGGTTTTTTTCTTTTTTATGTGATTCATCTTTTTTCTATGATTATAAACATTTTTGCAGATAAATAATATTTAACATCTCACACAACAACATAAGATGTCAAGATAATTGTTCAAAAACCAACTAAACAATAATGGCTAATGTTTATTAAGCTTTTACTAAGTAATATGTACTCTGTGCTAAATTATTCACATGCATCACCTAATTTATTCTTTATAGCAATCCATTGTGGTTTCACTAATGTGAGTACTGTGGCTCAGTTATAAAACCTAAAACAAGGCTAAGATCCAAAGTTAATTATTTCCTTTTCTATGATGCTACTGTAGCCATGTGATTTTTTCTTTGGAATTTTAATTCTATGCCATGATTAGTTGTTTAATATCTATTGGTGCATGAATATCTTTAAGGGAAACTCTATTTCTCTTTTATGTTGCATACAAATAACAAAGTATGTGATCAATAATAGGTTTGGGTTTATGCTAAGATATAAATATGTTGGCTGATATAACAATTATAAATATATTGGCTTACATAATAACAATATTTGAAACATATTTCCTTGATATTGGGCCTCTCACAAAAAAGGAAATGTATTAATATAATAGAGAGTAAAATGTGATTGGAAATGAAGGAAGAAATGACCATCCTTGGCACAATGAGATTTACAGCTTTTACAAATTTTCTTAACTAGGAAACAAGGGAACCAATATACATGATCACTTTTCAACTCAAATTTATAGAAATATATTATATGGGAAAAAAACAGAAACAGAAACTTACTGTTGTAAGTGATGTTAAAGCCACGTCCTGACATTGAGTGGTCAGCCTGAAATTCCAATCGCAGTATGTGACTATTACTAGTAAGATGGGAAGGCACCTCAGCCCCAGTAAAGGTTCCAAGAATTGGGGATTCTGGAGAGTCACCATCTTTAACAGCAAGGAAATCAAACTGGGATTCCAGGTCAAAGTCATTGAAAGAAAGATGTATCCGGCTCCCTGGATCAGAGATTATCGTCCAGATGCAATTTAAATTATTTCCATACCCTTCTGGGTAATCAGGAGAAAGAACTGTTCCCATTGGTGCAGTAAAGTTAGACAGGCAGGGAACTGGTGAAACAGGAAGATTATGAAATACAATAAATATTCAAAAATAATATTTCATCTTATTTTGTCATATTCTACAATTATGATAATCAATTAGCAGTATAAGATAATATTAAATTATGTAAATTATAAAACAGAACAAAACGGTTACCATTTTTACATATTGAAAAAGGCAACTAGTACTTTGGATAAACTTAAGGCTCTACCCTTAAATAATGCACAAAAATATAATTGGAATAATAGCAATTTTTTGACATATATCTTGTTTATGTTAGACTGTATAAAGTGTTCATTTCAGTGTTTAAAAAGTGAAAAAATATACAGAAGTTCCCATAGAAAGCAATAAGGTTCTTGAAATGATTGAAGACAAAAAATATTATGTGGATATTAACAGAACAAGAATCCGGTAGCTCAGAAAACACTCAAGGGGATGGTTATCAATGTGTGAGTTCCATTTCTATGGTGGCAATGGATGCTCTGATAGTTTACTACACAAATAAGGAGATAAACTAACTTCTTTAACAGCCATTAGTGGCTAAAACCTGAAGAACAGCTAAATGAGAGCTCTTGCCATCACACTAAAATGAAGTCTTTCTCCTCCAGTTTTTTTAACTTTTAAAAACATGTGATTTGAAAGTTCACATAGAACATTTAGAAAGCAGAGGAAAAATAAAGAAACAGAAAAGAAAATGACATACTACTCAAAGGAAATCAAAGTTTAAGTATTGATATATTATCTTCCAAAGTTTTCATTACATTTTTTTTTTTTTTTTCTGAGACGGAGTCTCATTTTGTTGCCCAGGCTGGAGTGCAGTGGCACCATCTAGGCTCACTGCAACCTCCACCTTCCGGGTTCAAGAGATTCTCCCACCTCAGCTTCCGGAGTAGCTGGGAATACAGGCACGCCCACCACGCCCAGCTAATTTTTGTATTTTTAGTAGAGATGGGGTTTCGCCATATTGGTCAAGCTGATCTCGAACGCCTGACCTCAAGTGATCCACCTGCCTCGGCCTCCGTAAGTAATGGGATTACAGGCGTGAGCTACCGTGCCCGGCCTTTTATTACATATTTTTTAAAAAATTGAATTCCCTACATTTTGTACTAAATTATGTTTTCCTTATATTTAATATGTGAGTTTTTCAAGTCGAGTTTTTAAGCAAAATTTATACTTATTAGTTAAAACTCTCCTCCATTAATTTATATGGACATATAAACATTAATTGAACTGTTCTTCTAGTGTTTGACATTTAAAATTGTATTTTAAAATTTTTGCAATATAAATAACACTGACTCTATTCTTGAAGAAAGCTTTTTTGTTCATTATTTCCTTGGTATACATTTTCAAAAAAAGCACTTAGTATGACAAAGGATATGAATTTAAGCCTCAAAACATTTTGCTAAATTTCTGATTTAAAGTTATTTTGACGTTATTGAAAAATAACAGAAATATCAGAGAATACAACACCCGTAACAGTATAAAATATTGTGATTATTTTCCTTCTCCTCCATTGATAAGAAAAATGATAACTCATTGTCTTAACTCGCATTTCTTTGACTACTAGAGAAGTTGAAGATTTCTTACTTTTGTTAGACATTTTCATTTTCTTTTAAAAAATTATCTGCTCATAAACTGATCATTTAAGTTTATGATCTCTTAGTTTATAATATGCATAAAACTTTCTCATTATTTTGTAATTTTAGTATTTTGGCATAAATTATTTGTTTTAATTTGAATATTAAAATAATTGTTCGCATTTCTTACAATCTTTTAGCATCATATGTTTTATTAACATTCAGACATTATACCAATATCTATTTATCTACACAAATATAAAACCATAGGTATAGCTGCATCTACCAACAGATATATCTCTCTTTATAACTTTTATCATTTTATCATTCAAAAATATTTTGTACTTTGAATCTATTTATTTTCTGCATAATTTTATGAGTTGAACTGAAGCTTGCAAACTGACAGTCATTGGATTGAATTCAGATTGCAGATGTGTTTGGCTTGATTTTTTTTTCTTCTGCCCCCATAAAAATTTGAAATCACATTGAAAAATCATCATATTTCATATTTAAGGGGAAAACATCTTTTATTCTAGCTTATCTTGAAAAGTTAAGGCACCCCAGTTTCCTACCACTTCCAAAATGGGTGCACACATACTTACTCCTAATCCCTCTTCACACTGTTTCCTGCCTGCATCCTGGAATAATTTGATCCTATAACTCCTGATCTAAATTAAGGGTCGGAAATCTTTTTCTGAAAAGGAGTAGGTAATAAATGCTTTGGCTTTGCAAACCATACGATCTCCTTTGCAACTATTTAATTCTGCAATTGTAGCTGGAAGGCAGCCATGCACAATCAGTAAATGAAAGTGTTTGGTTATGTTCCAATAAAACTTTGCTTAAAAATACATGGAAAGGAGGATGGATTTGGCCCACAATCTGTTTGCCATCTCCTGATCTAAATGATCCCCACTTGGAGCAAGAGCTAACCAAAGACACACTTTAATGGCCCTTATCAGATAGATAGATGCTTATATCATACTTTAAATTCTTAATTATATAAGATGCAGTTTTTATGTAACTTCCCTTCACAATTTGTTAGTACCACACTCATAACTTAAGATGATACTTAAGCATCCACAGAAGCACTTTGCTTTTACAAAATTCTTGTATCTACTCCTGCCTGTTTTATTACTTAGCTATATGTCAATACAATACGTCAAGTTCCCAGAAAAACTATGTTAGAATTTTGACTAAAATTGCAAAGCAATTTCTGTATAACTCATGTATTTGAAATAGTGATTTATCATTCAGGAACATGGCTTCTATCTGTATTTCGTTCTCATAAAATTTTATTTTCTTGTAAGTTTTATAATTTTTTGTATGAGTTATTTGAAATATGTGAGGATTATTTATTTGTATTTTATAATTGTATTTTCTGAATGTATTCTCTTTTAAATGTATTTCCAAGTTAGTTATTACTGGTATATAAAACATTATTAATCGCTACATTTTTATCATATATCAGGATATCAGACCTAATTTTAAAATAGTAAAAAATGTTTTCTAGTATTCAAGAATGTTTTAAAAATTGGTTTTAGTCAGCAAAATTTTCAGTATTTTCACTAAATGCCTTTTGGAATCTGTTAAAATGCTCTTAAAATATTTTTATTTTTGATGTGATATATTACACTAATGGATTCTCCAGTATTAAGCCAACGTTGTCCTCCTAGAAGAACACCTAGAATTAAAAATTGTCAACAAAAGTATTTTGAAGTATTACTAAGCTTTGGTAAATCGAATCAGATCCTCCTAATATATTTTCTTCTCTTACAAGAACTTCACCAAGTAATCTTGGTTAAAGATAAGAACTAAAACAAAAGGGGACTGTGAAGGGGACGTATGCACTTTTCCTCTTCTAGACTTCCTGAAGAGCAAACACAATATATTGTTATTAGGGAAATTTCTGCCAGATTCTAAAAATATCCACTTCATTTTAATGTATTGAAGACAGCATTTAATTGAGCACACCAAGTGCGTGAATAGGCAATACAAATTATACTTTTGCTGTAGTTAAACTGCAATATCTTAATGTATTTGAATACATTATTTTAATCCAAGCATATTGTATATCATTAATGTTAATGAATTGTATTGTATGCAATATAAAAAAATGGCACCTCATGCATTAGTGTTAACATCTACAAGCAAAAATAAGTTAGTGCATTATACATACAATATAAGCTTTAAATATTTTAATGTTTTTGATTGCAAATAAACATATACTATCTTATTAAAATAAATGAGTCTATTAGAATTCATTCAGATGTATAATTTCCATAAGAAGTATGCTCTCTAGAAAGTATAAAATGTCATGAAATAAAATGTTGTAAGAACACACGTAATATATATTTTGCCATTACCAAGTGAACTATGTTAACTTTATTTAAATCTGTAATAAAATTTATAATTTGGCATAAGCACACTTGTTAAAGATAGCATCACAAAGTGCTACTCACTCAAAAATAATTACACGGTTGCAGCTCTTTGCAATTAATTACAAAAGCAATTATATGCAAGGACAGGGTAACATATGCTATCTGGAAGCAAAGCATTTGGTACTCACAGATACAGATGGGTATGTTTGCAGACCATTGGTTATTCTCTTGACAAACAATGGATTTCTCTCCAATTAATTCAAACCCAAACTGGCATTCAAACCTTAAAACATCACGATTAGAAAATCCATCGCCTTCTCTAATTCCATATAAGGGTGTACCAGGATCACCACAACTTTCTTTCTCAATTTCTGGAAAAATAGAAGATAAAAGTCACCTTCCAAGGGTTGCAGGCATATGATACCCATAATACAAGTTAGGTAGATATATGCTCTTTGTTGTGGAGATATTTCAGAACAAAAAATAAATATATTCTCCAATCTTTTTTTTTTTGGCCATTCTTACAGGCATGATAAAATGATCTTTAGATAATAATTAGTATATTTCTTTCTTTTTATATATGAAGAATCTGAGGTTATCAGAGCTAATGAGGTGCCAGAGGCCATGTACTTAACAGAAAAATTATGATAAGATCTCATATTTTCTCTCTGTACTACATATATACATAAATGTACACACACATAGACATAAATGTATATTTCCCTCAAATCCCAAAGACTTTTCTTATTCTTGTCATTTCTACAGGATACGGTAAATCCCTGAATCATGACCAGGACACGAGGGAACATTCTCTGTGTCTATACTCCTACAGAAATCAATGAATACCTCTCACCTAAGATCTCTTCCACACTCTGGTACTAGTTGGTTGAATTATTTTCCCAACTAGACCCCCCCCCCCAACAAAAAAAAAATCTTCTCAAAGGAAGCAATCAGTTTTGAATTCCAAATTACTCAGCTATGTTCCTTAATAAATGTTTCTTGGATGAGTGGAAAGAGATTGAAAAAAATATTTTAACACCATTAAAACAACCTTTGAGATGTATCCAAAGAAACTTCAAATATCTGGGATCATCACTGTTTAACTATGAATGTTAGCAGTAAATTATTGTGGTGGTTGATTTGCCTTAAAAGTCACATAAAATCTTAGTAATACAGTTGTCTTCAAACAAACAATAGTAAAAAAAAATACAAATTAAAAAAATGTAACTTTAAGATAAAGTTATAGTCTCTCCTGACACTCAAATATCGACACATTGCTAGTTCCTCCGTTATCCACTAGCATCGATTTAATGTGTATCTTTCCAGTTCTTTTTTCAAGATGTATAATTCCACACAGACATATCTAATATGTAACATTATAGAAACCTAAAAATTATCTTCACAAAAACTATGCAGTATTGTTTCATGTACATCATACTTTAACTTTTATTATACTGTCAATATTATTTTCTTTCTCCTTTTTAACCAAACACTATGTTTTAGAGATACTATTGAACATCCTTGTATCCTTAGCAGAAATCATACATGCATTTAAACGTTTCTTTAAAAAACTGGATTTGATTTTATATTTTCTTAGACTTTTTTTATCTATCAGGGACATTGGTCTATAACTTTTTTCTTCTGCTCTTCATATCTAGTTTTAATATCAAGGGAAGATGTTAGTAATTTTCCACATTTTACTAGTCTTTAGGTTAATTTGTACCAGAAAAAAATTGGATTCTTGCATGGATGAGTTTGGTAGCCATCTGAGTACCATTTTTTTTCTTCAAAGGTTATTTTCCTATTTAAGTGTTTCATGTTGTTGTTTGTTTTTTCTTTTGCTTGTTTCTTGGAGAGGGTTTTGGGCCAATATTGGCAACTTATAAACATTAGAGAAGTGACATTTTTCAAGGTTTGCTGGTAGTTTAGTTGTAACAGAATTGTTACAAGATTTTTTAATATCTCCTTTATAAATATGCCATAATTATTTCTGACTTCTAATGCTATTAGTGTTTACTTTCTGGTTTTCTTTCTTCATATTTACAAAAGGTTGTCAGATTTATTAGGTGGCTTAAAGAACCAGTGTTTGCTGTTGATAAATTGTTTTTTTGTTTGTTTGTTTTTTTGTTTGTGTTTTGAGACAGAGTCTCTTACTCTGTCACCCAGGCTGAAGTGCAGTGGCGTGATCTCGGCTCATTGTAACCTATGCCTCCCAGGTTCAAGAGATTCTCCTGCCTCAGCCTCCTGGGTAGCTCGGACTATAGGTGCTCGTGCCACCATGCCCAAGTAGTTTTTGTATTTTTAGTAGAGATGGGGTTTCACTGTGTTGTCCAGGCTGGTCTCTAACTCCTGACCTCAAATCATTCGCCCTCCTTGGTCTCCCAAAGTGCTGGAATTACAGGTGTGAGCCACTGCGCCCGGCAAATTCTATTGTTTTTATTTTAATTTAAACATCTTTTCTTTTTATATTTTTGGATTCCATCTTCAGTTTTCTTTTGGATTATATTGCTATTCTTTTTTCTGTTTTCTTGAGTTGAAATCTTAGAACTTTTTTAGTATATTTTCAGCCTTTCTTATTTATTAAAAAATAAAATAAATTTAGCTCTAAATTGATATGGAGAGATTTTATTGTTCACTTGTGAAAAGTTTGTAGCTTATGTTTTGGTTTACTTTGTAACTCATAAATAATGTCTGAGTGTTTTAAAATTTATGGGTTGATCTATCATTTTGTTGCTGCTTTCTAATGTTGTTTCTTTGGTATTCAGTATATGTATATCGAGGTCTTGCAGTGGATAAATAAGTGAAATATATTCAGTTCAATTTGTTATATTAATCAAGTTGAAATTATTTATGCCTTCAATGTCTACTGGCTCCAACAACTTCTTGAAGAAGCCTGTTAAAGTTCCAAATGTGGATTTGACAACATTTTTTAATAGTTGAATCAAATTCATTTCACATACTTTAAAGCATCATTCAGTTAGTTAGTTTATACAACAAACAGTTGATTGTCTTATACACTAATTCCTCTTTATCTGCATTTTGCTTTCTGTGGTTTCAGTTACCTGAGATAATGTGGTCCAAAAATAGGTAAGTATAGTACAGTAAATTATTTTGAGAGAGACAGAGAGCACATTCACATAACTTTTATGACAGTATATTATTATAATTCTTCTATTTTATTTTTAGTTATTGTTATCAATCTCTTTCTGTGTCTAATTTACAAATTAATCTTTATATCTATCTATCTATCTATCTATCTATCTATCTATCTATCTATCTATCTATCTATCTATCGAGAGAAAATAACATAGCCTGTATAAAGTTCAGGACTATCTGTGGTTTAAAGCACCCATTGGGGCTATTGAATCATATCCTTATGAACAAGGGGGGACTACTGTATTTACATGTGTCAGATGCTGTTCCAGGGATCTAAGATACACCAATAAATAAACAGACAAGGATTTCTGCTCCATGAATGCATGTATTCCATTGGATGTTTGCAAACTATAAATAATAAACAAATAATGTCTTATTTTAGAATGTGATATATAGTACAGAAAAGGAAAAGATTAAACAGGAAGTAGTTGTGTTAAAGTGCTAGGTGATTGGGGGTGACACTATTGCTAGGTTCAGTTTATTACTCTTATACCTTCTTCGAAAAATTGTTTCTGTTATTGAAAGAATAGGTCCTTCTTCATCTGAAAATGTCTTTATTTTGCCTTCACTGTTGAATAATAGGGGGTAAGGTATAAAATTTTAATTCAAAATTATTTGCCCTCAGCATTTAAAGATGTTTTCCTCTAGTCTATTATCCATCCACTATTCCTGATAAGAAATATGATATCAAATTGATTTTAATTCTTTCATAATTAATCTGCCCCTTCTCCTCCATTCTTTTAAGAGCTAGGATTCCTTTTCAGACTTGCTGTTTTTAAATATACTCATTTTTAAATCTATTTTTTCTACTAGGTGCTCAATAGACTACTTCTGTCAAATACCTTGTAACTTTTTTTTCAGTTCTAGGAAATTGTTACCATTATTTCCTTTAAAATGTTGTTTATTATATGTCCTCATGTTTCTGAAACTTGTTCATATTGAATGTTGAAAATTAGGAATTTAGCCCTCATGTTGCGCAAACTTTCAACTTCTCATTTTTAGGGATTCTCTATTTTGCATTCTAGAAGAATTCAATAATTCCATATGTATATAATACACATATACACACACATTTATATATTTATATATTATAAATTTCAGTTTACTAATTCACTGTTTAGTTTTATTTAATTACAAATTACCTTAAATACTGAAAAATTATGTTGTCATTTCCTAAATATTTAATGACTTTAATGATTGTTATTTCTTATTGTTTCATAGTCTTCTTTTTTTCCATAAATACAATTTCCCCCCTTAATTTTGTGAAGGTATCTACTCTAATTATTTTAAAATATTTTCTTATTGCTCTTTTAACTCTGTTTCCTTGGATTTAATGAGAAGTGTATTTAGAGAGTAGCAGAGTGAACTTTATTCTAATGCAGCATATTTGAAAATTTATACAGTGAATCATAATGGCTGTTATGCCTATGATGAAAAGGCACAGGAGGAAGTAGTTTAGGGGAGAACAAAACTTGTGTTTGAGCAAGAAAAAACAATGATAACAAACATTTATTTATATGTTTATTTACACTTATTTATCTTAGGAATACCCTACAGCCTCAAAACAATTGTAAATGTTCTCTTTTCATTCTTAGTCATTATTATATTTTTAAATACGCTTTCTATTATCTTGGGTTTAGTGTTGAGAGTGAGTGTTAATCTATTTGAAACTCTATTTTTTTCTTTGCTCCATTAATACAACACTCTTTAAAATTAAGAACATATTTTAAATTTAATGAAGCTGTAAATACTCTCTAACATAGACTGGAAACAATACACAGTAAGTAAAGTAAACATGCACCTAGTATGTAACACTGCTTTTGGGTTTTTTTCCTATGCAGTAGTGATATGGTTAGGCTTTGTCTCTCCACCTAAATCTCATAAATTGAGATTTTTATAAAGTCTTAATCACCATGCTATTGTGGAGAACTTTTCATTCACTAGTTATTCATTTATAAAACCTTTACTTAGTTTCTAATATTTATAAAAAATAAAATAAGGATGGCCAAATAGGAACAGCTCCAGTCTACAGCTCCCAGTGTGAGCGAAGCAGAAGACGGGTGATTTCTGCATTTCCAACTGAGGTACCAGGTTCATCTCACTGAGGCTTGTCGGACAGTGTGTGCAGCCCACCGAGTGTGAGCCGAAGCAGGGGAAGGCATCACCTCACTCAGGAAGCACAAGGGGTCAGGGATTTTCCTTTCCTAGCCAAGGGAAGCTGTGACAGACGGAACCTGGAAAATCGGGTCACTTCCACTCTAATACTGAGCTTTTCCAATGGTCTTAGCAAATGCTAAGTCTCTCCTGACACTCAAATACTGACACATTCCTAGCTCCTCTGTTATCCACTAGCACCAATTTAATGTGTATCTTTCCAGTTCTTTTTTCAAGATGTATAATTCCACACAGACATATCTAATATGTAACGTTATAGAAACCTAAAAATTATCTTCACAAAAACTATGCAGTATTGTGTTATGTATATCATACTTTAACTTTTATTATACTGTCAATATTATTTTCTTTCTCCTTTTTAACCAAACAATATGTTTTAGAGATACTTTTGAACATCCTTGCAAGGCTGGTTCAACATATGCAAATCAATAAATGCAATCCAGCATATAAAGAGAACCAAAGACAAAAATCACATGATTATCTCAATAGATGCAGAAAAGGCCTTTGACAAAATTCAACAGCCCTTCATGCTAAAAACTCTCAATAAATTATGTATTGATGGGACGTATCTAAAAATAATAAGAGCTATCTATGAAAAACCCACAGCCAATGTCATGCTGAATGGGCAAAAACTGGAAGTATTCCCTTTGAAAACAGGCACAAGACAGGGATGCCCTCTCTCACCATTCCTATTCAACATAGTGTTGGAAGTTCTGGCCAGGGCAATCAGGCAGGAGAAAGAAATAAAGGGTATTCAGTTAGGAAAAGTGGAAGTCAAATTGTCCCTGTTTGCAGATGACATGATTGCATATTTAGAAAACCCCATCGTCTCAGCCCAAAATCTCCTTAGGCTGATAAGCAAATTCAGCAAAGTCTCAGGACACAAAACCAATGTGCAAAAATCACAAGCATTCTTATACACCAATAACAGACAGAGAGCCAAATTATGAGTGAACTCCCATTCACAATTGCTTCAAAGAGAATAAAATACCTAAGAATCCAACCTACAAGGGATGTGAAGGACCTCTTCAAGGAGAACTACAAACCACTGCTCAGCGAAATAAAAGAGGACACAAATGGAAGAACATTCCATGCTCATGGATATGAAGAATCAGTATCGTGAAAATGGCTATACTGCCCAAGGTAATTTATAGATTCAATGCCATCCTCATCAAGCTACCAATGACCTTTTTCACAGAATTTGAAAAAACTACTTTAAAGTTCATATGGAACCAAAAAAGGGTCTGCATTGCCAATACAATCCTAAGCCAAAAGAACAAAGCTGGAGGCATCATGCTACCTGACTTCAAACTATACTACAAGGCTACAGTAACCAAAACAGCATGGTACTGGTACCAAAACAGACACATAGACCAATGGAACAGAACAGAGCCCTCAGGAATAATACCACACATCTACAACCATCTGATCTTTGACAAACCTGAGAAAAACAAGCAATGGGGAAAGGATTCCCTATTTAATAAATGGTGCTGGGAAAACTGGCTAGCCATACATAGAAAGCTGAAACTGGATCCCTTCCTTACACCTTATACAAAAAGTAATTCAAGATGGATTGAAGACTTAAATGTTAGACCTAAAAACATAAAAACCCAAGAAGAAAACCTAGGCAATACCATTCAGGACATAGGCATGGGCAAGGACTTCATGTCCAAAACACCAAAAGCAATGGCAACAAAAGCCAAAATTGACAAATGGGATCTAATTAAACTAAAGAGCTTCTGCACAGCAAAAGAAACTACCATCAGAGTGAACAGGCAACCTACAGAATGGGAGAAAATTTTTGCAATCTACTCATCTGACAAAGGGCTAATATCCAGAATCTACAAAGAACTCAAACAAATTTACAAGAAAAAAACAAACAACCCCATCACAAAGTGGGCAAAGGATATGAACAGACACTTCTCAAAAGAAGACATTTATGCAGCCAACAAACACATGAAAAAAATGCTCATCATCACTGGCCATCAGAGAAATGCAAATCAAAACCACAATGAGATACCATCTCACACCAGTTAGAATGGTGATCATTAAAAAGTCAGGAAACAACAGGTGCTGGAGAGGATGTGGAGAAATAGGAACACTTTTACACTGTTGGTGGGACTGTAAACTAGTTCAACCATTGTGGAAGACAGTGTGGCAATTCCTCAAGGCTCTGGAACTAGAAATACCATTTGACCCAGCCATCCCATTACTGGGTATATACCCAAAGGATTATAAATCATGCTGCTATAAAGACACATGCATCCATATGTTTATTGCAGCACTATTCACAATAGCAAAGACTTGGAACCAACCCAAATGTCCATCAATGATAGACTGGGTTAAGAAAATGTGGCACATATACACCATGGAATACTATGCAGCCATAAAAAAGGATGAGTTCATGTCCTTTGTAGGGACATGGATCTTTGTAGGGACGTGGATGTTTGCATCATTCTCAGCAAAGTATCACAAGGACAAAAAACCAAACACCACATGTTCTCACTCATAGGTGGGAATTGAATAATGAGAACACTTGGACACAGGAAGGGGAACATCACACACCGGGGCCTGTTGTGGGGTGGGGGCAGGGGGGAGGGTTAGCATTAGGTGATACACCTAATGCAAATGACAAGTTAATGGGTGCAGCACACCAACATGACGCATGTATACATATGTAACAAACGTTGTGCACATGTACCCTAGAACTTAAAGTATAATAAAAAAAAATAAGGTACTAAGGATATAAAGACAAATAAAATGTAGCCCCTGTCCTTAACTGAAGGCACAAAGGAGGTATTAGCTAAGTCTCCTTGGATTTGGAGGTTGGAAAAGAGGTAAAGACTGCACAGAAGAGGTAACCCTAAAGCTATTTTCAGAGTTATCTCACCGAGTAGACTAAGAAGGACAAAAGAAAGAAAAAGTATCCTGAATAGAGAGGGCAGTATCAGAAAAGGTATAAAGCCTTTTTCTTCCCTTTTCTTTCAAAGTGGAATGGGTAGAGTTAGGTGGCAGTGGCAGTGGCACCAGAGGTTGAGGAGATATTAGGGTCAAGTACGTGGTATTATGGATGAGGGCCAGAGAAGTAGAAGTGAGGCTAAAAAGGCAGCCGGTAAGGTTGGGAGGTTAAGTATATGTGAAGAAGGTTGAGAATCAGAAATATTGAAGATAAGGGCAGACAGACTTCTCACTAACAAAAAAGAGCATTTACAAATGTAGAAACAGAAAAGACTACAAAGAACCCTAAGGGGTTAAACTGAAATGTTAAAAAATCGTGTGAACTCAAGTTTAAAATATGAATATAACTAGATATAAATGGGTGGATATACATACATATGTCATGCATACACACATATGTACACATATATGTGCACATATTTTCTAGCTGCATCCACTGAGAGTCCTAAAAGCAATAAAGCTCTATAGAAACAAGTATATTGAGTACCCAGATTTGGTTTCTACATACCATTCTTCACTAAAGGGAACCAGGGGAGCTGATTTTAGGGGATGGACAAGGAAAAAGATAAGATGAAACTGGAATACCTTGTTGTGCCAATAAAAGTAGGGTGTACTTAAAGAATGATGGTGGGGACATATCAAAAGGACATAGAGGCCAGCTTGAAGAAGCTCCATTGGCTATTCTGGTGCAATTTAACCATCAAACAAAGATAATGGCAGAGTACAACACATTGAATAAAATTTAAATGCATTCATCCATACTGACATAAATAAATAAATGGGACAGAAGGGAAAACATTTTCTCCATAAAGAGGTGAAAGGTGAAGCCGGCTGGGCTTCTGGGTCAGGTGGGGACTTGGAGAACTTTTCTATCTAGCTAAAGGATTGTAAATGCACCAATCGGTGCTGTGTGTCTCGCTAAAGGTTTGTAAATGCACCAATCAGCACTCTGTAAAAACGCACCAATCAGCGCTCCTTGTCTAGCTAAAGGTTTGTAAATGCACCAATCAGCACTCTGTAAAAACGGACCAATCAGCACTCTATAAAATGGACCCATCAGCACTCTGTAAAATGGACCAATCAGCAGGATGTGGGTGGGGCCAAATAAGGGAATAAATGCTGGCCACCCAAGCCAGCAGCAGCAACCCGCTCGCGTCCCCTTCCATGCTGTGGAAGCTTTGTTCTTTCCCCCTTGATAATAAATCTTGCTGCTGCTCACTCTTCGGGTCCGCAGTACCTTTAAGAGCTGTAACACTCACTGCAAAAGTCTGCAGCTTCACTCCTGAAGTCAGCAAGACCACGAACCCACCAGAAGGAAGAAACTCCGGACACGTCTGAACATCTGAAGGAACAAACTCCAAACACACCATCTTTAAGATCTGTAACATTCACCGCTAGGGTCCACGGCTTCATGCTTGAAGTCGGCAAGACCTAGAACCCACCGGAAGGAACCAATTCCGAACACAGAGGGACAGTTAATAAATACAGAATAAGTGGGGAAAAAAAGAGAAAACTAACATCTGGCAACCATCACAGTGGTTGTGGATTTTTGGCTGGATGTTTGATAAAAAATAAGATATTACCTCTCTGTGAAACACATATAAATCACAAAGGTGAAATTGGTGATGTTCTCATGAAAAATCCTGGAAGACATCAATTTTACTAGGTGACTAATGATCGCATAGGACGTATATTCAGGTATATTGACGTTGTTTGCCTCCTGGTGTGATGTCCTGAGAGGCGAGCATCATTTTTGTGATACATCTGTCAAGAATGTGTGGCCTATGCCTGGATATGGGAAAATATTGTATGTACCCAAATTGAGGGATATATCACAAAATAAAAGGCTTATACTCTTTAGAGCTATCAAGGTCATGACAGATAGGGAAACATTGAGGAACTCATCCAGATTGAAGGAAATGAAAGAGACATGACAACAATGCAATGCAGGTTCTTGGGTTGAATCCTGGACAAGAAAAAAACATACACGTGTGTGTGTGTGCGTGCGTGTGTGTAGTTAGTGAAATTTGGAAGGGTTTTAATTTGTTTGGAAGTGTTTTATTTATGTTGATTTTCTGATTTGTATGGTTGTTTTGTGGTTACATAAAGGAGTTTTTTGTTTTGGTGCAATTCAAACTGAATATTTGGGAATGATGAGCTATTATGTTTGCAACTTGTTCTCAAATCATTCCGTAGTAGTTTTAAAACATGTCTGCAAATTATTTGATGCTTCTATCAAAAGGTAGAGTCAGCTGGGCATGGTGGCTCATGGCTGTAATCCCAGCACTTTGGGAGGCCAAGGAAGGCGGATCACCTGAGGTCAGAAGGTTGAGAGCAGCCTGGCCAACATGGAGAAACCCCGTCTCTTCTAAAAATACAAAAATTAGCTGGGCATGGTGGCAGGTGCCTGTAATCCCAGCTACTCGGGAGGTTGAGGCTGGAAAATCGCTTGAACCCAGGAGGCAGAGGTTGTAATGAGGAGAGATTGTGCCACTGCACTCCAGCCTGGGCAACAAAAGCAGAACTCCATCTCAAAAACAAACAAACAAAAGCAAAAAAACAAAAGGTAGAGTCAAATTCCCCTCTTTTTTATTATTGGCCAGTATTGTTGCCTAGATTTTAATGAAGAGAATATGACAGAAGTGACACTCATGACCATTTCTGTTGGCTCCTCTTCTAATGTTACCAGTTGTCTCAGGCTCATGCAGGCTTACGGACAGAACAACCATGGTAACAGTTGCCGTTTTCTTGTCAATTGCAACATAAACTACTATAGCAGCTCCAGTACCCAGATTTGACTCCACAGGAACACAGGAATCTTCCTACAGGGGCTGGATAGCAGCATCAAATTGTGGAGAATTTAAAGCCTGAGAGATGAAATTTTACCATCAAGGAGCAAGAGAAGAGATGGGAAGGAGACCAGTAGATAAATTTCTAACCCTTCCTCTCCCAAAACAGATGGTTCTAAAGCACAACTGGTCCACATGGCTCACATAATTAAACATTCAGCTGTGTTTCTTGTGAGGCTGTGGCCAGCTCAGTAACATACCACCTTATATTTGATTCTCCAATTTCTCTGTTTATATAACTTTTCCCCCTCTTTCTTGCTGTCTTAGAAATACACCTCCCAAGCTCCTCAATAAAGTATTAGTCTATAATCTTTGCTTCAACTATGTTTTCTAGAGAATTAAAGCTAATACAAGTGAGTGACGACTGGCAAACAAATTGGTAGACAAGGTAGGGGATTAGAGTATCTTAAGGTGGAAACATGGATGTAATTTCCAGGAAGATAAGAATATTAGCTGACATTAGTGATTTTTTTGAAAAGGGGATTGCTGAATACTATAATCATTTTAACTCATGTAATTTTTATTGCAGTGCTATTAGCCAGTCACCATTATTTCCCATTAAAGGATGAAAAAACTGAAGTTCTGAGAAGCTGACCACAGTTATATATGTAGAAATAGCTCAACTGAGATTCTACTCATGCCCACACTCTTTTCTATTGTCCCATGATAATCGAGAGAAAGAATGGAATGAGACACTGTAAGCCAGGTACTGGGAAAAATGAGGGAAAGGAAAGGATACCTTGAGTCCACTGTTGAAAGGGAAAGGATGGTCATATTAATTTTAAGAAATTTTTTTGTCTCTACTCCTTTGGCCCACCAAAGTTCCACCCCTGCACACTCTGAAGGTAACTTGGGAACTATTTAGATCTCTTCGACTTCCTTACCATAGAGGGCCCTTCATGATCTCAGCCTTTCCTACCTCTCCAGTCCTGTCTCCCATCATTTTCCCATAAGCAACCTAAGTGTTAGACATGTTGAAGCACTTGTTGTTCCCTTTCAACCTCTGTGCCCTGAGGCATGACATCTTCTCTGCCTGAAAAGAAGGCATTCTCTGAGTGTATAAAACATGAAGAAATTGCTATTTATTTCTTAAGGTCAAACTATACATCCTCCATAATGAGTGCCCTGAGCTTGCAAGCACTGTTAATTGCTATTTTCTTTGGGCTTCTATAGGCCTTGGACATACCTATATTGGTCCAAGTATTTTACTATAATTATTGATTTACTCATCTGTCTTTTTCCCATGAGTTTATATTTATTTTTATTTATTTTTTACTTTGTATCCCAAGTGTCTAAACACTTACATATGATTTATGTATCACACGGTTCTAGGCTCTTACATTTAATCCTGACACAGCCCTATGAGGACCCCAAAAGTTAAAGGATTTGTCCAACGACACACAAATTTTAAGTGGCAGAGCTGGCTTTTGAATACAGTCAGTGTCATTCCAGGATATGAGTTCTTAAGCACTATACCCTCTCTCAGAGCCTAATATTCAAGAAACAGTTGTGGAATGTATAAAGAAGGAAGGAAGGCAATCAAGAACATACAAAAGTATATGGTCCGCTTAATACATAATATAAGCAATCACAAAATCTCATAGTTAGAGAAAATCATAGGATAATCCATATTTCAGCTACGTCTTTTGAATGATTTAAATTGTATAGTTGTCTTGTAATTGAAAGATATGAGTGCTGGATATCTTCTGTTTACCCACTAAAGCCATTCTGCCCCTTCTCTGCTCGCTTTTTGCACTTCTTTCCTACTTCCGGGGTGGGGGGTAAAGACTGATCCCCATGGTCCCATGATAGCCAGGACCCTATGCTCTCAGGCTTTCTGTGGGTAAGAGAACAGAGAGTTATCAGGCAGTGAGCAGCATTTTGGTAGGAGAGTAGGGTGAGGAGGTCAGGAGGGGCGTGAAGTAGGGTATTTCCCCTCAGTTCCTTCTTTGCCTGATCGCTATGTGATGGCTGTGTCCTGTTAGTGAAAGCCACACTTATGTAAGGCAGCCCACTCCATACCGCTGTCCTCCAAGCTGTGGTTATCATTCCTGAAGCTACTAGTGGCTCCCTGCTGTCAATAGCTAGAGATATGGTACAATCCTTTGTTAGTTTCCTTAAGCTCTACCCCCACACACCCAGTATGAATGTGTCATTTGTTTCCTGCAGGGTTTCTTAATGATACAATATAATTTATCATTGAAATATCAATTAAACACACAAAAAATTTAGCTAGCATCCTACTGGTACTTGATTTTGTTATAATAATTTTGTCTTTCAGAATATAAAATGAGGTTGGGATTTCTTTAATACATGTTGCCTCCACTGTCAGCTAAATATCTGTGCATCATCCACAACTAAATTTGGAAGAAACAAAGTGAGGATCCATCCCCAGGGTCAGAGGTTAGCACCCATAGAGAGTAGCACATGATTCTGCTCTTTTTTTCTTCCCTGCTGTGCAGGCAAAGAAATCAGAAGCAGGGGAAGAGGTGCTGAAATGAATTAGACTGGGAGGTCAGAGGAAATAAAAGCAGAGCAGTCAGAATGCTCTCATGCAGTGAGTTCAGAGCAATATTGGAAATATAGGTTTAAATGGCAGTGGCTAAAATTTGTAGAAACAAGGCTTTTTCAACACTTTTTAAAGTGACCAAGTAACTTTGATCCTTGATGGCTAAAGTAATAAACCCTAATTTTAAATTCAATCAGATTTCCAGCCAAATAATAACATCTGGCCTTAAAGTGACATAGAACTACTCATTGATCAATCTCTGACTTGACAACAGTTGACACTATAATTCAAATACTTCACAGAGAAACTGTGTAGGTTAAAAGAGAGTGATCTGTAAAACTTGCAGTTTTGCTGATTCTTAATGTTAAGAAGCCTTTTGGGAATCTCATTACCTCAGCAACGGGTTTACAAAGGTTGTGAAATATAGAATCATGCAGCTAGAAAAGACCTTGTGAGTTAAACCATGTCTCACCTTCAAGCATCTCAGACAAACGAGACTATAGTCAATATTTAGAGAGGTTTTGAGGAGGAAATCTATAACTGCCCACAGAAAGTAATGAAAGGCATATTTACAATAATAAATAAATGTGTGAAGTGTTTTACAATCATGATGTAAACACTGACATTTAAAATGCCTCAGATTGAGTACAACAATTTAATAAAAATATGCAAAATTTAGAATGGCAGCAAGTATGCCCTGGGACACGGGTTTCCATTTTACACAGAGCTAATATAGAACATCTGCAGCTAGTAGTTAAATCATGCACTCTTTTGAGATACAGCAAATAGAGACACTCTAAAAAATACATATTTAATTCTCTCTCTCTCTCTTTTTTAGAAACAGGCTCTCACTATGTTGCTCAGACTTGGTTTCGAACTCCTGACCTCAATGATCCCCCCACCTCAACTGCTGAGTAGCTGGGATTACAGGCATGAACCACCAAGCCCAACAAGAATATTTTAATATGTTTAACAGAATTCAGAACTCTTTAACTGTGATAAAAAACTATGCTTTTCTTTGACTCTAAATATGTTACTTGAAATATCATTAACGTGAAGTTGTTTTTATGATTGCACTGAGTATTTATCACAAGCCATTTATATCGTCAACTCAGCTCTTAGATCGCAAATTTACAGGATGGCTAGAAGACCTGCACGAAATGTCTGTGGACAGACAAGGAGTTTGCCAGTCTTCATAGGTATGGGACCTATGAATTTGGATTATGTAGCATTTTGCTGCAACCCGATGATTATCAAAATTTTTTCTGGTTGTGAGTTTCCGAGAGTTTTATGCAAGACTCTGCTTAATAATTGTAGCTCCATCCTCTCTCTCTCTCTCAAGAGAATACATTGAAATACACAAGTGTGGGATTAAGCTTATTTTTATGGATAAGACTAATTGTTCTCTAGCTTAATTAAAATGAAATATATAATTTACAAATGTACGTACTTCAAACATTATTTATTAGTAGTAATATATTTCCTGAAACCTCATAACACTTTGAAACGCTCCACAATGTGACTATTTCAAAATCAAGAGCTAATGCTCTAACATAATAGTTCCCCAGCTTATAAATTTATTTCATGTCCAAAACAATTAAATGGGATATAGTGGGAATGAATTTAAAAAATCCACACTTCTTGATGATTATAAGTGGTTTAGTTAAGGAAATGTTAAGGCTAGTCTCATCAACTTTAATGTATGATCAATTCACTTCAGTTCAATATTTACAGAGCATATACTGTGTACAAAGAACTGGGGTAGGAACTATGGCTGCTGAAGTAGTTCGGGACATGCTACCCCAAAATATTGTTTATTTTGAGATGAAGGCACTTGAGAACAGCAGATACGAACTTTCTGACCTCTTCTCTTTTACCTAAAAACAAGCCATGAAATTTCCCATGAGAAAGATATCCTAGGAAGAAAAGAACATCTTTATCACTAGAGAGTGGAAATCAACACTGAAATGAATCTGCACAACAAACTTGCTAAAATAATCTCTACCTTTGACTAGTGTTCTCCAGTATATCTTACTCACTTCCCCACAAGTTAATGCCCCAGCCCAAACCCCTTGTCTTCTCATTTCTTCACGAATTTAGGATTTCTTTGTCTAAAAAGTATATAAGCTTTCTGCTCTGGTCACTTCTTTGGATCTTCATTTCTTGAGGACTCTCATGTACATTTAAAATTTTTATAAAATTTACATGCTTTTTCTCCCGTTAATCTGACATGAGATATCATGTAAGTTTCTTAGGCCTAGTCAGATACCCTAAAAAGGGTAGAGGAGAAATTTTTCCTCCCCTGCATCACAAAAAAGATGCAAGCCATAATCTCTGCCCTTAAAAAGGATACAGTCTATAAGAGCTGCCAAATAGGTGTATTCAGAATATATTTTAAAATTCTCTGGCACACATTTTTCAAGATAAAAAATGGACTATACTCTGGTCAACACCTTTGCTAAAAAATGTAAATGTTTTAAAACTCTGAGATGATTTCAAAAGTTTAGTGCATTTCTTATATATTCTGACTTACTGGGTATATTATAGTTTAGACTATTAAAGATGAAACATGAAGTGATAAGGGAATCCTCCTTGACTTGCCTTGAGGTAGCATTTTAAAAAAACTTAGCCCATTGTTTATATACTTAAAGTTCTTCAAAGGAACTCCTTGACATTTGTCCTCAGTTTGGGACTAGGTACTGTGTCTGTGACAAATGCACAATGTAACAGTCTACTTGAGGATAGGAAACTCAGATATATGCTCAAGGGCACTTTCATTGTAAAAATCTCAAATCAGTAGATTCCATCATCCAGTGAGTCAGCTAATTATAGCTTCATTATCAATTTTTCAGATACTCTGACCTTTCTTGTTCACACATTCATTCATTCATCTATTCATTCAAATATCTATCACTATTCAAAAAAAAAATCTTGAAATTGTACTATGTCCTAAATGTTGGGACAACAGAAGTGAATAAGACAATTTATTATTGCCTACTAAGAAGACAAGCATACAAGTACATAAAAAGTCTAATAAATAATGTAATTTTATCATAAAATGTATTGGGAATATGGAGAAAAAAAATAAACAATTCTGCCAAGAAGTAGAAAGACAAAAAAGATTATAACAGAAAGATGAACTAAGATTTGAAAGATTTGCATGGATGTGTGTGTATTGGGGGTGATGTAGAGGTAGCTCGTGACTTTTTAGGTATGGAGAGTAGTTTGACCAAGGGAATGATAGTGTGAACAAAAGAGCACATTTGGAAAAATTCAACAGCTCAGTAGAACTGGAGTTCAGATGCAGGGAGGGTTAGGTAAGACACGAGACTAGAGAGATGTGGGGCTACCCTTGTGTCCAATGTTAAGGGCCTTTGATTTTATTATAAGGAGAGAAAACCATTCTGGCTGTGCACACCAAATACTCCATACATAGCAACTGTCACACTATTATCATGTGAAATGAACTAAACTTGATATACAGTCAATTAAAGAGACATGACACTACTTTCTTAGGAGTTTATAATCTAATAATAGAGCAGTAAAATGGAAGTATCAGGAAACATTTCTTTTTATAAAAAGATTCAACATGGCATTGTTCACTTGCAACCTTACTTAACCTGTCTATTTTTTAAACATTTTCTCTGAAGTACCTTGAATGAAAGAACAAAGTGGAATATAGATTTTTGTCTAAATCCTGTAGCTACCTGTTTAAAAGAGTTTGCAAGCAAGGATAGATCAATATTTTTTGAACTATAATAGCAATCAAAGTAAATGGATTTTTCTTTTGAAAGAACCTTAACTGCATACAGCCCAATAGTCACCATCAAAAACTTTGAAACATTATTGCTCTTACTGTATCTACTAGATGGTAAATGAACTTATAATTATCTGGAAATATAATTTTGTATATCTATAAAGCAAGTAAGAAGGATAAACCACTCTTACTTATTATGAAAGACTACATTAAGAAAAGTGACAGTGAAACAAGTGAGCAGCAGATGCCTTTTGCTTTAAAAGTAATCATGTTGATACTGTGTTAGTCCTTTATAAAATTAAAGGGCTATCAGCACAACCTCTTGCAACCTAATAAACCATTATTGAGACTGCATCTGTGCTGAGCTAATTATTGGGGGTGGTAGTGGTGGTGGTGCGGCGGGAGGGGGGTGGTTCCTAGATGAATGGGACTAGGTATTTTCTCAAGGAAATAAATACAACAGTTAAACAGGCAATTTGGAAAATTGGTGATGGGTATAAAAACAACAATATAATACTAGGTCTTTGGAGCTGATTTCTTTCCTCAACCTTTGAGGGTTGTTTTGAAAACTACTTCTCTATTGTGTTTGTCTATCTTTCACGCTCCTGGGGCTGTGTGTCCAGGAAAAATTTATTCTCAAAAGAGAATCCTGAATCAATAATCTTTAGTTTGAATTTGAAATAACAGGTAACTTCTTACTATTATCCGCATTTTAACTCTTATAAATTCTAGAAAGAACTCTATAATTTTAAAAGAATATTAAGTTGTATTTGGGATATACTGTTTGGAGACTGAAAAATAAATTTCAAAAGTCAGATGTTTGGCCTTATTTATTTAACAATAGTACATGCCAGACATAGTCTGCACATAGGCTGTAAAATTTAAAAAGTTGACCAAAATAAAGATTCTGTATATAAAGAAAATTATTAGTTACATGATATACAATTAATTTAAATGTAAGGCAATGTGACACAAATGATTGTTATTTATTCAAGGTGTTTTAGAAATTCAGAGGGAGAAAAAGTTATTTTCATGTTGAAACTAGGTGAGTGTAGGGATGATTATAGGAGACTGATTCAAGGAAGTTAAATTTCATATGGTCCCTAATGAATGAAAAGGACTTTTGTATATGGAATTTAGTAATTATAGTACAGAAGAAGAAGGAGGCATATCAAAGTTTGAAAGGAAAAAGCTTTCAAGATATAAGTGGAAAAGTAAATTATACCCAGATGGTAGAGAATGTCTTACATCTGGTTATAATGGAGTTAATTGTGTAAGATTGGAAAAGATATTAGCAATTTTAGAATAAATAAGAAACAAAACTAAAACTAATCTTAAATCTATGAGAAGAGCAGACGCAAGAAAGGAATTGGGATTCATTTTGGAATAATTAAAGGAGCACAAAATAAAGGATATTAGAGTGGAGACCAAAACATGGTAACAGACAGGATAAAACTTGCAACTTGTTTGAAGTGGGAAGTGCAGAAGGAAGATTAAAGGTTAAAAATAATATAAAAATATATGGCAAAGTAACAAGTTTTATGGGTTGTTAGGGTAATGCTTCTTTTTTTTTTTTTTTTTTAATCTGAAGGACTGAATATATATTGGAAAACCACCACACCAAACAGGACGATAGAGCAAAAAAAACCTACAAAAAAAAATCCAGGGAACTAAACCACAACCTCTGCAACAATCGAGAGCAAAAAAGGTCGGACTTGGTCAATGACAGAAAACTTTTTTCATGTTTCTTTCCACTTCCAACTTAGGATCAATCAAGAAAGCCAAATGTGCTGCTCACACTAACGTGGTAGCTAGCTTATCTTCAGCTTCCCCATACCAAAAACCTCCAGCTAAAGCATAACTGAATCCTTCCTTCTTTATTAACTAATAAAGTTTTCCCATTCTCTTGACTGCGTTTAAGTCTCTGCCAAAGACAAGTGATGGTGGCTGCCTCCCTTGCTACAGAAAGCTCTGAATAAGTAGCCTTGATTTATTCCCATTTGCATGGTCTTCATTTATTTCCAACAATCCGAGCTCATATACACATGCCAACAAACACACACAAAAATAAATAACTGCAAAATACGTTTCATAGTAAAATACATATCCCCATAAATGTATTATAAGTAATGCCTTCTGAAATTTTCTATTCCATTACATAAAAAGTAAATGTTGGCCCCAAACCAAAATTATTTAATGGCCCATTAACCAGTACGACTTTTATATTGAAAAATAGGTGTACACATATTTTCTAAAGCTTATTTGACCCCGCGGCCATCTGTTCACTGAGTATCTCTTAAGACTTGTTTCCTTAGGACACGCTTGGGGAAGGTTAACTACATTTTGAATAGAGATTACTGGAAGAATAGAGATGTGATTAACAAACAATCAGAATAAACACTTGGTTTTTAATGAAAGGTATTTAGTTCAATTTAAATTATATTGATTAAGAAATTACAATTCAGAGAAACAGAAAAAAATACTAAAATTGAGAAAGAAAAGAGTTTTATAAAATTCTAGTCCTTTCTGAAGCTTATTTAAAGGTCATTTAGTTTAACTTTCCTCTCAATCAACAATTTTGTTTTCCTGTTCTAGTATCTATTATTAAAATGGGACTGCTGTTTTAGGCAAAGTAAATATAAACAAAGAATAAACTCCTGTCTATTAGAAAGTGAAGGGAAAGTGTAAGGGCAAGCACAAAACGAAAAGAGGCTTAATTTTTTAGGGTTAGGGTTAGTGTTAGGGTTTTAATGAGAGAAGACTCCTGTTGAAAATAAGAGAAGAGACTCCTTTTCACCTCCCTTTATCTCAGATAACTCACTTTAGAAAAACTGTAATTGTCAGATTTTTCTTTTGCAAGTATATGTAATTTTTAAAATGCTAAATAAGCCCTTTAATAGTCTCAAAATTTAAAAATTCTTCCTTAAGGACGTGTAAGCCATTTCTTTAAAATATAACCATCTAGGAAGACAGCACTGCAATCTCCCAGTTTCTGTGAAAAGGTAGGAGTCCAACATATGCCAAGTTGCAGAACTACCTCCTGCCATAAAGATATGGGGTTTATTTTTTCTTCAGATAAAGCCAATTTATTTTTTCTTTGAATAAAGCCAACACAGATGGTCACCCCAATTATAGGTGAATTTAAGATAAACTATGAGTGACAAACAGTGGTGTCAAGTTCTTTTACTTGAGAACAAACTACTGTTTCTTGTGAGAACATGTGTCTAATGAGGTTGTATCTGCTTGGCTATTTAAAAGGGTAACACGTCTTTCTGGCTTTTCAATCTCTTTAGCAGATTGCCTAAGATGCACATCTTGTTCTCATTTCATGCTTATCCAATAATAAAAATAATTTTCTTTCTATACTGCTTTTGTGGAGAGGCTTTCTGTACTGGCCGATTATGTTTTTAATCACATTAACCCAACGCCAGTCACATATAGAAATTACAACTTTTTTTTCTTAGTGGAAAAAGCTTGTATTTATTAACATTTGGTTTTGTTTTTGTATTAAGGTTTGGAGTAAAAAGAATTGGGTGTGGGAGAAAGACAAGGAAAGTCTGAGAAAGATGTAGTGGCCCAAGTGTGAAGGGAGGCAAAGTCTAAAAAATCTCTTACTTCATGAGTATTTATACTTTATACACATTTTAAAAAATTATAATTTCTTGTTTAGGGTGGGTAAAGCAGAAGTCTTTATGCTATGATGTATACTAGATAAGCATAAGTTCCCATAAGACTTTTGTTGAGAGATTTTGACAAAAGCTTTGTACTTCGTAAGAGATATTGCATATTTCTGCTTCCCTTTCTGGTACTCCTGCCATTTGCTGCTCCAAGGATAAGAGACCCTGGGGCAGACCTGAATTAGATCCACTTTCTGGAGCCAAAGCCCAGCCAGCCAACAGGGTAAAGCAGAGCCCCACAGGCCAGTTCACTACATTGAACTAATTGCTGTTGATTCACAGAAAGAAAGAGCAATAAATAAATAAATATTTCTTATTTTATAGTAGAGTGGATATTTTAGCAGCATTATTGCAATGATAGTAACTGATATAAGTGCTTACAAATGAAGATAGCCTAACAATAGATCATCTTAATTAAGTAAAAGGTGAAAGGTTTTAAGAAACTTATAATCTCTATTTTCACAAGAAGAAAAAAATTTTACCAGGGTAATTTCAGACCTCATGAAGAGATTTTCCTTGAAAAAAATAATAATGTGCCAGAAGGCCCAAAATGAAGACAGAGGCACCATTAAACAAGCGCATTGCGATTTACACAAAATCAAGGCTGTAAAGAAGTAGGAGGAGAAAAAATAATATGACAGGAAAAGGTAGGAAGAGTTGAACTAGTTCAATGGGTTGTTGAGTCCTTAAGAAGTAAAAATTTCTAACTTATTTTCGTGTGCCTAGCACCCAGCAAAATAACTGGCATCTAATATGCTATTTTATCTTTTTTTATTTTCATGAATCATAAGGGAAATCAGAGGTGGAACTACTGGAACTCAAAGCTAGGCTTCATTAAAAACCACAGTCTACACTGATTAGTTATAACAGGACTAATTCCAAAAATAGTATTCTGGATTTGTGAATTGTCACTACAATTGATTTTCTGAGAACCTTTCTAAACAAAAATACAATTTGTATATCAATATCATTGTTATTTATGTATTTATTATGTGTTTATGTATTTTTTTAGAGTCACAGTCTTGCTTTGTCACTCAGGCTGGAGTGCAGTGGCCAGATAATGGCTCACTGCAGCTCACTGAGGCCTCCAATTCTTGAGCTCAAATATAATCCTGCCTCAGCCTCCTGAGTATCTGGTACTACAGGAGCACGACACCAATTATATATCAAGATGTTCCAGAAGAGTCCTACTTAGGACATTATGCCTAACTATTAAGCTACTGGCGGTATGTGGACTTTTGTTGGCTTGGAGCCAATATGCTTATGGCCTGATAGGAGATGCAAGAGTAACTGAGAAACACTGTAAAATCTGTGACACTCTGTGTGCAAGTCAGTGATACTACAGACCTCAGATACTATTGACCTCTCCTCCAGTGTTGTGCCACTCTCATCTACCACCACAAATGTTCTCAGAGCTGAAACTGTGAGCTTAAGAAGACCCACTATGAAGAGCAGGATCCTCAAGGAAATGTTAACTTGACATCAAACCAACAAACAACAATAAAAAACACCTTGTAAGTTGGGAGAAGGGGTAATTAAAATTTTACTTCAATTTGGTAAATGTAGTCTGATTCAAAAATTTAAGTAATCTTGAGGTAATTTAGTTTCTATTAAACAGATCTTTTTACCGTGTAAGTGGTTGATTCATGTTAATTACTCACCTACTCCTGTTCCTTTTTAAAATGGTTATACACAGGGTTGGATTTATGGGACAGTGAGGAGATTGTCAGGACAGGAGGCCCCGCAACTGTAGGATGGAAGTTCTCTGATTTTACTGTCACTGCTGATGTAGAGTAACTGGATTAATATTTTCCTTGGACTGATGAGTTGTCAAATGTAATTATTCTGGTTTTGACTTTTGGGGTATATTCGGAATCTTAAGGATCGAGGCATTAAGACATTTGTGCCTTGTAGTCTTTTAATCTTGAATATTTGCTAGTCCATAAGTCTTACAAGGAATTCTGCATCTAATTATTAAGACAGGTAAGAATTACCACAATCCCTTGACATGCCAAGACTGTGTAGAATCAAAAATAAAAAAAAAAAAAAAGAGCCTGAAGTTTCTCTCATGACATATTGAATGGAAAACTGAACTTACTTAGGTGCTGCAGACTTCCTTCAGGACACCCAACTCAACATTTGGGGAAGCTGGTTATTAGTCTGTCCTTAAAAATAGATTCTAAGGGGCAGGGCCAAGATGGCTTACTAGAAGAAGCAGCGATTGGAGGCACCCATCAAAAAGAACCAAAACAGTATGCAAATCCAGCACCAGCAACCAATATCCAGGTATCTAGGTTGTCAACAGGACTGACTAGGTGGCTGGCATGACCAACAGAGAGAAAGGAAGAGCAGTGTGGTGCAGCAGCCCACCTGAGAGCCACATGGGGCAGGGGAGATCCCACCCCTTAGCCAAGGGAGGCAGTGAGTGTGCTACCTAGTCTGGGAAACTGTGCTTTTTCCATGGAACTGTGAAACCCACAGATCAGAAGATCCCACTCGTGAGCCCAAATATCAATAGCCGAATTGATTAAGTGGAAGAAAGAATATTAGAGCGTGAAGACCATCTTGCTGAAATAAGGCAGGCAGACAAGATTAGAAAATAAATAAATAAATAAATAAATAAATAAATAGGAACAAACAAAACCTCCGAGAAATATGGGACTATGTAAAAAGACCGAACCTACTATTGATCAGAGAGTCTGAAAGAGATGGGGAGAATGGAACCAAGTTGGAAACACACTTCAGGATATTATCCAGGAGAACTTCCCCATCCTAGCAAGAGAGGCTAACATTCAAATTCAGGAAATACAAAAAACACCACTAAGGTACTACATGAGAAGATCAACCCCAAGATACACAATCAGATTCTCCAAGGTTGAAATAAAGGAAAAAATGTTAAGGACAGCCAGACAAAAAGGCCAGGTCACCTACAAGTGGAAGCCCACCAAACTATCAAGAGATCTCTCAGCAGAAACCCTGCAAGCCAGAAGAGAGTGGGGACCAATATTCAACATTCTTAAAAGAAAGGAATTTTCAACCCAGAATTTCATATCCAGCCAAACTAAGCTTCATAAGGGAAGGAGAAATAACCTCCATCTCAGACAAGCAAAGGCTGAGAGATTTTGTCACCACCAGGCCTGCCTTGCAAGAGCTCCTGAAGGAAGCACTAAATAGTGGAAGAAAAACCAGTACCAGACACTGGAAAAACATGCCAAAATATAAATACAAAGACACTATGAAGAAACTGCATCAACTAGTGGGCAAAATAACCAGACAGCATCATGATGACAGGATCAAATTCCCACATAATAATATTAACCTTAAATGTAAATGAGCTAAATGCCTCAATTAAAAGGCACAGACTGGCAGATTGGATGAAGAGTCAAGACCCATCAGTGTGCTGTATTCAGGAGACCCATCTTATGTGCACAGGCACACACAGGCTCAAAATAAAAGGATGGAGAAAAATTTACCAAGCAAATGAACAGAAAAAAAAAAAAGCAGGGGTTGCAATGTTACTCTCTGACAAAACAGACTTTTAACCATCAAAGATCAAAAAAGACAAAGAAAGGCATTACATAATGGTAAAGGGATCAATTCAATATGAAGAGCTAACTATTCTAGATATATATGTACCCAATACAGGAGCTCCCAGATTCATAAAACAAGTTCTTAGAGACCTACAAAGAGACTTAGACTCCCACACAATAATAGTCAGAGATTTAACACCCCACTGTCAATATTAGACAGTTCAACAACACAGAAAATTAACAAGGATATTCAGGACTTGAAAGCAGCTCTGGATCAGGTGGACCTAATCAACATCTACAGAACTCTCCACCCCAAATCAATGGAATATACATTCTTCTCAGTGCCACATCTCACTTATTCTAAAATCAACCACATAATTAGAAGTAAAGCTCCTCCGCAAATGCAAAAAAAGCTGAAATAATAAAAAACAGTCTCTCAGACCACAGTGCAATCAAATTAGAACTCAGGATTATGAAACACTCAAAACCACACAACTACATGGAAATTGAATAACCTGCTCCTGAAAGACTCCTGGTTAAAAATAATGAAATTAAGGCAGAAATCAAGAAGTTCTTTGAAACCAATGAGAATAAAGAGACAACATACCAGAATCTCTGGGACACAGCTAAAGCAGTGTTTAGATGGAAATTTATAACACTAAATGCCCACATCAGAAAGCTAGAAAGATCTTAAATCAACACCCTAATATCACAATTAAAAGAACTAGAGAAACAAGAGCAAATAAATCCAAAAGCCAGCAGAAGACAAAAAATAATTATTCAGGGCAGAATTGAAGGAGATAGAGGCACAAAAAACCCTTCAAAAAAAGCAATGAATCAATGAGCTGGTTTTTGAAAAAATTAACAAAATAGATAGACCACTAGCTACACTAATGAAGGAGAAAAGAGATAAGAATCAAATAGACACAATAAAAAATGTCACAATAAAAATGACACACTGACCCCACATAAATACAAACTACCATCAGAGAATACTATAAACACCTCTGTGCAAATAAACTAGAAAATCTAAAAGATATTGATAAATTCCTGGACTCATGCACCCTCCAAAAACTAAACCAGAAAGAAGTCAAATCCCTGAGAAACCAACATCAAGTTCTGAAATCTAGGCAGTAATTAACATCATACCAACCAAAAAAAATCTCAGGACAAGACAAATTCACAGCAAAATGCTGCCAGAGGTACAAAGAGGAGCTGGTACCATTCCTTCTGAGACTATTCCAAAGAATTGAAAAGGAGAGTCTCCTCCCTAATGCATTTTTTGAGGCCAGCATCATCCTGATACCAAAACCTGGCAGAGACACAACAAAAAAAGAAAACTTCAGTCCAATATCCCTGATGAACATCGAAGTGAAACACCTCAATAAAATACTGACAAACTGAATCCAGCTGCACATCAAAAAGCGTATCCACCATGATGAAGTCGGCTTCATCCCTGGAATGCAACGCTGGTTCAACATACACAAACCGGCAGATGTAATCCATCACATAAACATAACCAATGACGAAAACCACATGATTATTTCAATAGATGCAGAAAAGGCCTTTGCTAAAATTCAACATCCCCAATTGTTAAACGTTTTTGATAAACTAGATATTCATGCAAAATATCTCAAAATAATAAGAGCTGTTTATGAAAAACCCACAGCCAATATCACACTGAGTGGGCAAAAGCTGGAATCATTCCCTTTGAAAACTGGCACAAAACAAAGATGCACTGTCTTCCCACTCTTATTCAGCATAGTATTGGAAGATTTGTCCAGGGCAATCAGGCAAGAGAAAGAAATAAAGGGTATTCAAATAGGAAGAGAGGAAGTCAAATTGTTTCTGTTTTCAGACTACATGATTTTATATTTACAAAACTCCATTGTCTCAGCCCAAAAACTCCTTAAGCTGATAAGCACTTCAGCAAAGTCTCAGGATACAAAATCAACGTGCAAAAATCACAAGCATTTCTATATGCCAACTATAGATAAGCAGAGAGCCACAACATGAATAAACTCCCATTCACAATTGCTACGAAGAGAATAAAATACCTAGGAATACAGCTAACAGAAACGTGAAGGACTTCTTCAAGGAGAACTACAAACCACTGCTCAAGGAAATAAGAGAAAACACAAACAAATGGAAAAACATTCCATGTTCATATATAGGAAGAATCAATAGTGTGAAAATAGCCATGCTGCCCAAAGTAATTTATAAATTCAATGTTATTCCCATCAAACTACCATTGACATTTTTCACATAATGACAAAAAGAACCACTTTAAATTTCATGTGGAACCAATGAAGAGCCCGTATAGCCATGACAATCCTAAGCAATAAGAACAAAGCAGGAGGTATCATGCTACCTGGCTTCAAACTATACTACAAGGCTACGATTACCAAAACAGCATAGTACAGGTACCAAAACAGAAATATAGACCAATGGAACAGAACAGAGACTTCAGAAATAACACCACACATCTACAACCATCTGATCTTCTACAAACACGACAAAAGCAAGCAATGGGTAAAGAATTCCCTATTTAATAAATGGTGCTGGGAAAACTGGCTAGCCATATGCAGAAAACTGAAGCTGGACCCCTTCCTTACACCTCATACAAAAATTAACTTAAGATGGATTAAAGACTTAAATGTAAAACCATAAAAACCCTAGAAGAAAACCTAGGCAATACCATTCAGGATATGGGCATGGGTAAAGATTTCATGATGAAAATACCAAAAGCAATTGCAACAGAAGCTAAAATTGACAAATGGGATCTAATTAAGCTAAAGAGCTTCTGCACAGCAAAAGAAACTATCATCAGAGTGAACAGGCAACCTAAAAAATGGGAGAAATTTTTTGCAATCTATTCATCTGACAAAGGTCTAATATCCAGAATCTACAAGAAACTTAAACAAATTTATCAGAAAAAAAAAACAACCCCATAAAAGGCGGGTGAAGGACATGAACAGATGCTTCTCAAAAGAAGACATTTTTGTGGCCAACAAACACACGACAAAAAGCTCAACATCACTGCTCATTAGAGAAATGCAAATCAAAATCACAATGAGATACTATCTCTTGCCAGTCAGAATGGCGATTATTAAAAAGAAACAACAATGCTGGCGAGGCTGTGGAGAAATAGGAATGCTTTTACACTGTTGTTGGGAATGTAAATTAATTCAATCATTGTGGAAGACAGTGTGGCAATTCCTCAAGGATCTAGAACCAGAAATACCATTTGACCCAGCAATCCCATTACTGGGTATATACCCAAAGGAATATAAATCATTCTACTATAAAGACACATGAACACCTATGTTTATTGCAGCATTATTTACAATAGCAAAGACGTGGAACCAACCCAAATGCCCATTGATGATAGACTGAATAAAGAAAATGTAGTACATATACACCATGGAATACTATGCAGCTATAAAAAGGAATGAGATCATGTCCTTTGCAGGCACATGGATGAAGCTGGAAACCATCATCCTCAGCAAACTAACAAAGGAACAGAAAACCAAACACCTCATGTTCTCACTGAAAAGTAGGAGTTGAACAATGAGAACACATGGACACAGGGAGGGGAATAACACACACCAGGGCCTGTCAGGGGGTGGAGGGCAAGGAATGGGAGAGCATCAGGACAAATACCTTATGCATGTAGGGCTTAAAACCTAGATGATGGGTTGATAGGTGCAGGAAGCCACCATGGGTCACGTATACTTAAGTAATAAACCTGCATGTTCTGCACATGTATCTCAGAACTTAAAGTAAAATAAAAAATAATAAAAAATAGACTCTAGTGAGAGAAAAGAAGTAAGTACCACCATATTATTTCTTTGCATAATCCTCAGGCTCATGGTGGTTCTGGCTATAGGTTTTTCATTTCCTCTAGTTTTGTATTTTTCTCCTCCTGTTTTGTAGTGAGCCTGAAGATCTAAATTGCACACGTATAAAGGCTGTCTCTTCTATATACTATGAAGGATACTCTATAATATGAGTACTTTATTCTTGAGAGGTTTCATAATAAATGAAGAATTCATGAAATTCATTTTTCTCTGACAAAGGCTGGCTTTCAAGCCTGTCTTCTCAACTCAACTCAACTCAACTCAAAATCACACTTTGATAGGCAAAGCTTGAACTATTTCATTCTCTCTTCAGTGTTTTATATGAACAATTCCTGTTCTAATGCCTATGTGTGTGTATATATATGTATATATATATATATATATATGCATAAAGGATGATAGTAATATGCATAATAATGCAAGAGAAAAGTATCACAAAACAAAACAATTTAATTTTAAATATTTGTAATTTAGACTTTTAACTACTTCACCTTGAATATTCCTATTTATCTTTTAGGACTTATGTAAGGTGTCTATCCTTGGACTGCTTTTACAGTACCCCTTATTTTTAGAAAATCATTTCTGTTTGCTCTGAGCACGTATTAAAATAACCTATTTATATGTACCTGTCCCCACTTATCTGAAGGTGTATAGATGTATGAACCTTGTCTATTTTGTCTTCTCAGCCCCATTACCTAACACAGTGCCTGGGACATAGTAGGTAATTTAAAATAAAAACTTCTTAAGCTTAAATTAAATCTATTTATTAGGTGGAGATTAGTATTGAGCTCTGTGTAAAAGATTTAAAACTGTACACCTGTCAAATGAAGAGAAAGCATTTTTCTGTATAAATTCACTCTGAATTTATTGAAGACATTATTCTGATATAAGAACAAATCAACTATCAAATCAAAAACCACATTTGTTATATCAAACTTCATGTAAAAAAATTTCATTAGACAAAACATAAGTAAATGATCTAGAAATATATAAATACTGTATTTTGCTGCCATGGGTAACAGCAAGAGAATTAGAGGTCAGATTAGAAGACTAAGTAAAAGTTATGACTATTTTCGGTCAGATTAGAAGACTAAGTAAAAGTTATGACTATTTTCCAGAAGATAAATTAGAATTTAAGGTATAAAGGTCAGCAACATAATATGCCCCCCAAAAAGGCAAGGAAAGAAAGAGTAGGTACACTGCTCAGCTTATGCTGCTACACCAAAATACCCAGTGGCTTAAACTTAAGACTTGGCTTAGACAACAGGCATTTATTTCTCACAATTCTGGAGGCTGAGAAGTCTAAGATCGGGGTGCTGGCAGCTTTGGTTTTGATGAAAGCTCTTTTTCTAGCTCACAGTTGGCTGCCTTCTTGATATATCCTCACATGGGAAAAAGAGAGAGACAGACGGAGATTTCACGTCTCTTCTTAGAAGGGCACTGATCCCATCATGAGAGCTTGACTTTTCAAAGGCCCCGTCTCCAAATACTATCATATTGGGGGTTAGGGCTTTAACATATGAATTTTAGGGGGGACACAATTCAGTCCATAGCAGTAGGTGGAAGACTGAAAGAGTAAAAGGAATTAATAATAATACAGAAAAAGCTATTGGCAAAGAGTCTTATATGTAAATTTGAAGTAGTTAGGAAGAATTAATATTCAACAGTTATTCCAAACTTTATTTGAAATATCTTTCAGCACTAAAAAATTAAAGGAACAAATAAGCATAGAAACAGCAATCCTTTTCTTAAACACCCTTGCAACTAGACTCCTAACTGTGGATTAGATGTAGTCAATTAGGTAAGATTTAAAAAGTGAGAGAGACGAAGAACCTATCTTTCTCACCTTTCCTGTGCTTTTGGTCATGAAGACAAGCGTGGTCATCGGGTTTCTCTGAAGGCAAATCCCTTTGTCCAGTCATGACTTCAAGAGCACTGATTTTTGAATGGAAGTCTTTATTGATGCTAAGCTCAACTTCTTGATTTCCACTGACCTAACTGTGGCAAAGGTACATTCATTTGGTAGTTTATTTCTTGCTATTCTTATAGTCTCTCCTAGAAACCTGATCTAGCATCTGCTCTTCTAACCATTGCAACAATTTGTTAACCAACTCATTTGGTTTAAATCCCTTTCTGCTTAAAATGCTAGAAATTTTTTTCTTTTCTTTTCTTTTCTTTTTTTTTCCCCTGCTTTCAACTGATCCTTGACTGACACAACAGGTTAGGGGAATGTCACATTCAAATGTGACAAATTCAAATATGTAGGCATTCTACCCAAATTATGCCTCAAAAGATATTAAAATCCTCTACAGTGAAAACCAAGTATCACATAGTTCACCTACAAAATGCTCGTTTTCCAAAACTTAATATTTTAAACTGTCCTAGGCCTATACGGACCCTACATACATGCGAGGAATCACATTCATTTGCATGTAGATCTAGGAGTAAACTCTGAACTGAGATGGTGACACTCTGAACCGCAGCATAGTACCTATCCAGGATGTGACTGATTGGCTCAACAATCATTCACTAAAACTTCCAACGTGCCAAGCACAGTGCCGGATTCTGGCAATATAAATAAACGATGTTGTTGCTTCTTAAAGAGTTCACAGTCTAGATTTCAGATAAATGATACTTGGAATACAGATAATATTCTAAGATAAATTTATATATTTTCTGTTTATACATATTTGATTAAATAATTTGAAAGCAGAGGGAGAGAGTAATCTTCAAGAGAAATTTGTATGACTTTAGTATTCTGAAATTATCAGTTTGGAATGTATCCTCATCTCCCAATTTCACTGTATATATTGTTTCACTTTCTACAAAATCTAGTTCAAGTCTGAATTCATTTCTGACCCTACAGTGCTTTAACAGTAGAACAGGGTCTATCAAGAAGTTAGTGTCCATATATATGGTTAAATGCCAACTCTAGATTAGAGTTGCTCAGATCAATAGCTCAATGCCTTACCTGTAGTAGATCTCACAAGTATCAATTACAGAATGTTTCCTTGACTTGTTAATCATCATATATATGCTGACAGCTTTGATATGTGAACAATTGGAAAAATCACCATGAAAAACTGAATCTATGTGACTTATTTGACCTCAGTAACAATCACATTAGAAATGTTAAAATATTGGCCGGGCATGGTGGCTCATTCCTGCAATCCCAGCACTTTGGGAGGCCGAGGCAGGTGGATCACCTGAGGTCAGGAGTTTCAAATCAGCCTGGCCAACATAGCGAAACCCTGTCTCTACTAAAAATACAAAAATTAGCTCGGCATGGTGGTGGGAGGCCTGTAATCCCAGCTACTCAGGAGGCTGAGGCATGAGAATCACCTGAACCCGGAAGGCGGAGTTTGCAGTGAGCCGAGATCCTGCCGCTGCACTCCAGCCTGGGTGACAGAACGAAAGAGAAGGAAAAACAAGTATTTGTCAATGATAACAATTTCACAAGCTGTATTTTTGATCTACTAAAGATACCTCGTCTAGACTTTTACTAATGCATTGTTCCTTGATGCATTCCTGTTTTGTCAGCTTTTGGCACTATTTGATAGTAGAGAAAAGAAACATCGAGTGAGGCCTTAGAACTATTTTTGTTTTAATGTTTCCTACATTTTGACAACCAGCGATTAGCCTCCCAAATATCATCAGAAGTTTTGAAGGGATGATATTAATATATTTGATGTGTGAGGTAAAACACACATGTACATTTCTCAGTATTAAACAATAAATAACACTACAAATGCAAGAATATGATTTGGTCAAGATGCAGGGATCTTGCATTGGTTAGAGTTCATATTTTGAAATCTGACCTTCTTGTGTTTGAAATATTACTCTGCAGCTTTCAAAATGTATACAATTTGGGGACGTAACTTCACTTTTTTTAAGCCCATTATATGAAAAAAAAATCCATACATAAGGCTGTGTAGGGAATTATATTAAATAGCTCACACAATAATACATCATCAGTACAAATCATTATTGGGATAATCTAGAAGGCAGCTGGTGTTAACTCTGCTAAAAATTCAGTGAAAAGAGAAAAAAAAAAAAAGCAAGGGAACTGTTCCAGAGGAAAAGATACCAAAGAGACATAACAAACAAATGCAATGAGTGCAAATTAATTAGATCTTAGGTTTTTTAAAAAAAAAGGCTATACCAGACCTTTTTGGGCAAACTGGGTATATTGAAAATGGATTGTACAGTAGATAACATTGGTGATTGAATGTTAATTTTCTAAACATGATATTGATATTGTGGCTACTTAGGGGAAGGTTGTTACGATTAGAAGATGCTTATGTATTTACGGGTGAAAGCACGTGGTATTTGCACCCTACTTTCAAATTGTTATGCAAAAATAAACGAATAAGCAAATAAAGATGTGTTTCTGTGTGCATGCACACGAGCCTGTGTGTGCGTTAGCGTGTGTGTGTGTGTGTAGTGTAGGAGGGAGAAAGAGTGAAACACAGAATGCCAATGTGGCAAAATCGTAAAAACTGATGAATCTAAGCGAAGAATATGCAAGTATACTTTTTCTTATTCTTTCAGTGTTTCTGAAGGTTTTAAACTTTTCAAAATAGACACAAGGAATAAAAGACTCAGTAAAATGAGGAATTAATTCACGAGCTACAGAAAATAATATGTGTATAAATAATAATGGTAATTATGAAACATATGATGTGTCACAATTTAAGTGGGAGTATTAAGATGACTCACTTGTAACTGAAGATCAAAAATCACAAAATATGTTGGGTTTTTGAAATTATATTTTCCTAAATTTATAATAGGCCCAAAAAGAAACAGAAATTAACACTTTAGAAATCTTTAGATGACATATTTTTGTGAGTAACAAGCAGGTCACATTAGTCATTTGTTGACAAGTAGCAAAAAAAAAAAAACCTGTTCATTAAGGTATTGATAAAACGTAGTGTTAAATTGTCAGTTCAAAAATCTGAAAATCTTAAAATGTAATAATCATTAACCTAAGTATGCAAAATCATTTGCATAGCTTGGAGTAGATATTAACACAGACAGAAAGAAAAGCCAATGTTGATATTATAGATTTCCTAACTTAAAATTATGACTACTCATTTTCTTATGAATTTTCTTGCCAATAATGACAGAACACATGCTATTCCTATTTCCTAAGGAAGAAACTATCCTGTCACTGTGCCTCCAATGGGTCAAAATAGTTCAGAACATTTCTCACAAGCATTTCCATCTATATTTGAAACCAGTTCTTGTGGTGAGTATATTAGATTTAACATGTCACATCTCACACTCTTGAAGGCAGCAAATGGCTTAGTTGATATATTTCATTAAAGCGTAAGATAAATTCTCAAAATCAAATGTCAACAACAGTAACTTTTCTATGTTGCCAAGAAGTGGGGCTATTATTTTTCATGATTATCAGCAGAAATTTTGTTTTCAGAGTTCAATACACTGCATTACATGTGTTTCAGAAGCAATAATTAGCTCATGTTAAGATGGGAAACAATGAGGATTCAAAGCAGAAGCTTTGGAGTCAAGCTACCTAGGTTTAAATCCCATCTTTAAATGCTGACAGCATAACTTTGGGCACATTAGAAATCACGGAGACCTAGTTTTATCATCCCTACAAGAGGAAACAAAATAGCTACTTCATTGAATTCATGAAAAGATTAAGCAAGGTAATCAACACAGCACACAGCATGGTACATACTAGGCACACCAATGCAGTTATTTAATAAATATGTATTGAGTACCCACTCTAAGCCATGTATTGTTCTAGGCACTCGGGGCATAGCAGTAAATGAGAGATCATCCGTTCACTCCCCACCTTGGAAAAAAAAAATACCTGTCCTTTTGGAATTCATATTTCAGTGTAGAGAGACAGAAAATATTAAACAGACATAATAAAATTATATAATATTAGAAGGTAATAAGTGCTATGGATGAAAAAAATGAAGCAGAATAGGGTAACTGTGGAGAGGTGAATAGGTTCCAATTTTTATTATAGTGAGTAAGTAGGCAGCCTTGGAAAATGGCATTTGAGATAAGTCATGAAAAAGTTGAAGGGGTTAGCCATGGACATATAAGAGGAAAGGCCCTAAGGAAGGAATATGTCTAAGTGAAGAAGAGTGAGAATGAAAGAAAAATGGTGGAAACGAGAAATCAGGTATAGTTATTGCCTTAATCCTGGTGCCTGATGATAGTGGGTTGACCAAGATATTAGCAGTAGAGGTGGTGATAAAGGATTGAATTCCAGACATGTTTTCAAAGTGAAGCCAAAATAATTTGCTAATAAATCATGAAATGATGAGAGAAAGGGGTAAATCAATTATGTCCCCAATAATGTCTGTCTGAGCAAGGGGAATGATGAAATTTCTATTAACTTAGATGGAGAAGACTAGGGAAAGCAGTTTGGTAAAAAATCAATTAAGTTAAGTATTCGCATACATAACTTGGGGAATTAGGTGTCCAAGTAGAGATTTCAAGAAAGCAGTGGATTGTCTAGAGGTCCAGCAGCATATTTGGGCTGGCAGTGTAAAATGTGAGACTGCATACATATGTGGCATTTAAAATCATGCAACCCAGAGGTTATTGCTGAAGGAGTGAATGTGAGAGACAAAAAGATGATGAAGTTGCATTAACATTAAGTGATCAGACAGAAGAGGAGAAAACAATGTGACAGGAGAAAAACCAGGAACTGAAACCCTCGAATAAAAGTAATGAGGAAAACTGAGCATTTAGTGCTAAGATAAATACTGCTGATCTGTCAAGTAAAAAGTATACAAAGAATCCACTATTAGACTTAGCAATGTAGAGAACATTTTTGACTTTGCCAAAGAAGTTTTGTTACCATAGTAGTGAAAGTCTGTTTGGAACAATGGGTTTGGGAGGGTCTGGAAAGAGGAAAATCAAAGTTAGCAAAGATGAATAACTCTTTTGAGCAAGTTTGCAGCAAAGAGAAGCAAAAAATATATGGCAATAACTGGCAGGGAAAGTGGGGTCAAAACAACTTTTTTTAACAAAGGGAGAAATAAATCCATGCTTTTATAATCATAGTCCCGTAAAGATAGAAAACATGACTAAACAGAAAAAAGAAGGGAGGCTGGCTAAACTAAAATCTTAGAGTAGGTTAGAAATAGTGGGGTTTAGTGTGCTAGTGGAAAGGAGTAGCTTTAGATAGAAGCATTGCGACTTCAGTTATATTAACAGGAAGAAAGTCACCAAAAACAGGCAAAGATTTTGACTACCTGTGTAGATCTGGTAGTAGATATGGCATATAGTTAATGTCATCTAAAATAAAATCCATATTAAAGGGAAATGTGAATGTTAATTAGTTCCTTTAAATTGTCCCATAGTAGTTCAAATGGAAGTTGATTCAATCCAAATTAATAAACTCTAAATCATGGTGGTATAACATCTACAAATGACTTTCTAAGACAAACTGAAATATACTTGGCTTTTTTACTTTTGTATATATGAAAGGGAGAATTGGCTAGAAACTGCTTTTATTTGCTCTTATAATATCAATGCACAGTACCTCAAAACTTGTTACCTAATTTGGAACAAAGAGAAAAAATCCGAAGGATTTTTTTCCAATTAACTGTGACTCAAACGGAAGTTATGAAGTTTGAATTAATTTGAATTTCAATCCATAAAGTATTTATTTCTTATTAACTGTTTATTGGTGAAATGAAACATAGACATGAGAGGAGAAAACATGAGATTGCAACCTGTGTATGAATGCTGTATTAGTCCATTTTCATACTGCTATAAAGAACTGCCTGAGACTGGGTAATTTATAAAGGAAAGAGGTTTAATTGATTCACAGTTCAGCATGGCTGTGGAGTCCTCAGAAAACTTACAATTATGGCGGAAGGCAAAAGGGAAGCAAGGCACCTTCTTTACAAGGTGGCAGAAAGGAGAATGAACGCAGGAGGAACTACCAAAAAATTATAAACCATCAGATCTCTTGAGAGCTCACTCAATATTAGGAGAACAGTATGTGGGAAACCAATCCTATGATTCAATTACCTCCACCTGGTCTCTCACTTGATACTTGGGGATTATAGGGATTATGGAGATTATAATTGAAGATGAGATTTAGGTGGAAAAACAAAGCATAACCATATCAATTTCTCTGAGCATGCAGACTGCTACTTTCTGCTGAAAAATAACTATATACTTGCTTGTTGTTTAGGTAGGCTAGGCCAGTGATATACATTAGCATATCACCTCTGCTTCCTCCTAAGCTTAGAATGCATTCTAAGTACTTAGCCAATTATTATGTACTTGGCAAGTAGTAAAGATAATTTTATGAAGAGCAGGAAATGGATTAGCAAAGAAAGTAGTTGAAGGTGGTTAGAGAAGGTATATATATAAAAGAGAAGATCATATATTTTTCTAAACCTAGTATTAAGCAGAGTGTTAGGTGCATAGTATACTCAGACCAGTGTTTGTTAAATTACATATGGAGCTTGGATTTAGGCTGTCTTTTGGAAGAAGAGACATTACTCATCCAACCAACAGGATTTTAGCCTTTCCTATTTTGAAATTCTTCCTTTTCTCATAACTTTATTTGCAAAGTTATAACAACAACGTAATGAAAGATAATCCAAATACTATAGATGCGTCATTAAATTTTTAAAAAGATACGGAAAAAAGGAAAATTTGATTATTGATGTAATGTATTAGATTTAATGCTTGATCAATAACACTAAGCAACAAAATGATATTACATCAAATTAGTAAATATAAGAACCAATGGGAATATGATTCAAGAGAAAATGACTGATTAAAGCTCATTTTATTTCTCAATATAGTTCATGACCAAGCAAAGAATTCTAAAAAATAAAGACAAAAATGACTATGCTTCTTAAATTTATTTAGCCTCATTCTTCAGGTATTTATTTCTGAACAACAAAAAATACAGACTATATTAAAAAATCTCATATGCTGTTAAAATCTATTATTTTTCTGGAACTATACAAATGTATAATTATTTTGAATAATTATAGAATTTTCCTGATTTGTATCATATACAGTAAACATTTCATATATTGTGTTAAGGGAAGTTTTGATGAGTTATAAAGTTCTCAACAAAAATGTATCAAAAAGATAAGTCATGAACTGCGTCTGATTTTCCACAAACTGAATATACTGCAATTAATTGGTTGTAGTGCTATAGATATGAGATTATGAGCAAAGCAACATAAACATAAAGGGTCTATTTTATTGAGTGGACATAATCTTCTATGGCTCCTTTCCAACTCTGTCTAGTGTGTGAACAAGATATTTTCTGTTGAATTAAACTAACAAAGAGGGTGAGTGAGCATTTAAACCCCAAGGACTATTCTTGGAGGGTGTTACACACTGCTTCAAGATTCTTAATGACTTCAGTTTAAATGGCATAATTTTCTTTCTCAGTTTGCAAATTGGCTTTTAAAAAATACTGACCATCAGCCTATATATATATCTAATTAAAAAGAATAAAATCAAAACTTAATATTTCCATTTTTATATGAAAGTCATTGTATACTATCTGTGATTTTACAAGTACAATTACTGTGATCTAGGATTGATTATTGATCTATTTTATGTTACTTTTTACAATAAGTATATTTTACCCATATCTTATTCAAAATGAAGTGGAACAGTAAAATACTGTCGGATTCTAAATGGCATTTTTAAACTGTTTAAAATGTGAATTCATTCTATGTGAAGTAATTTCATTAACCAAAAAACATAGCGTAATTTTGAAAAAGTCAAATAATTAAATCTTAGTGTCTAAAATTTGACTTATCATATTTTCCAGACTGTAAACTCTTGTGTTACATTGGCAACAATTTGAAATTATCTGGTGTAATGCTAATTTCCTTTTCCAACAGGCATTTTCTTGTTGTTTATCATAAAAGACAAAAGGCATTAACACTATAGTTAATTAGGGGTAGTCATGTGATAGAAAATGCAGATTGTTGGGAAGAATTAAAGCTTTGTCAGCTAGATTTCTAACTCCCCTTCATTAAGATTAGATAAAGTGCTCTCAAGACAGTAAACTGATTATGACAACCAAATTTTTCAAGTAAATTTATTTAGATGAATAGCTTAGGAAATTGAACAATAAAAACAGAGGTAACATAAAGTTCCAAAACACTGAACAAAAAAAATATGAGTTAGATGTAATTTATATGCTTATAATTTTACTAAAAACAATAAAGAATTAAAATAAGTTATATATCTATACACGTATGTATGTAAATATCAATAGAGGTTAATTGTTAGAAACAAAATGGACATATACAAAACCAAAACTTCCTCCTATATTTCTACTTTTTGAGAACGAAGACTGTTAACAGTTTTACTCTTTCAGCCTTATTCATACCTATATTCTGTTATTGTTGTTTTGAACAAAAATGTGTCACAAGTAAAGTTCTACATAACAAGACCACCTTTGCTAGCCAAGCCCCTTCTTCTCCTCCTCCCATAATGTATTTTGCCATGATACAAGCCCCCATTCTTTCTGTAACTTCAAGAAGGAATATGAGTTTCTGAACTCCATTGAGGAATGGGGAGTAATCACTCTGTGGTTCTCACCACGTGCACATTAATAAATTTGCATGCCATTTCTCCTATTTAAAACAAATAAGTAAAGTTCTGCTTCTGATATTTGTTTGATTATTTCGGCAATTATGGACACCATACAATATCTATATGTACAAATTATTATTCATTTTTAAAAATTAAAATAACTTTTAAAATTGCATTACATAATAGACATCAGCAAACTGAGGGAATTTAAGAGTTACATATACATATATACACATACATATACAAACACACATATATATATTTTACATAGTACAAATAATGCTTCAAAAACTGACATTTTTATTTTTGTTAAGCTGAATATTTCTGTGGAACAAGTTTTTGAAAGTAAAATTTTGAATCAAAAGTTATGTACTTTTTCTGTTTGTTTTAATATATTGCAAAACTGTATCTCCAGATGATTTTGTCAAAGTACACTCTCACCAAAAGTGAATGAGAGTGCAGGAATGAGAAGGTGAAAAGGCATGAGATCCAGAGCAAAAGAACAAGAGTGTTCTTAGAGCAGGGGTGAGGGAGGAGGGGCCAATCTTTCATTTAACAGGAAGGATGAACAATAGAAGAGTAGTGATAGTACCAGTTTTGAAAAAAGCTGAAATATTCTTGACTGATTGTTGTTATTTTCCTAATACAGTGTGAAACACGATTATCAGCTGATTTTGAGTGGTCAATGATGATGGAGTATAAGCAATTTGAAATTGTAAAAGAAAGTATAAAATAATAGCGTTAAAAAGTGAAACAAAGATTTTTGCTGTGGCCCCTCAAAAGATGTCTATGTCAATCTCTAGAATTTGCAAATGTTAACTTTTCGGAAAAATGATCTTTGCAGATGTAATTAACGATTTTGGTATGTGAAGATAATCCTGAATTATCTGTGTGAGCCCTAAATGACATCATGTGTCCACAAAAGAGAGAGGAAAAAATAATCACAACCTGACAGTGTACCTGCTTAAAAGGGATTATTTTTTCCTCTCTCTTATATGGACACACAGAAGAGAAGACAATCAAAATAGAGAGTGGAGTGATGTGGCCACTAGGACAGAAATGCTGGGGCAACCACTATAAACTGGAAGAGGCAAGGAACTGATTATTCCCTTTACAAAGCCCCTAGAGGGAGAGCAGCCCTGTCAGATTTCAAACTTTTTGCCTCCAGAACTCTGAGAGAATAAATTTCTTTTGTTTTCAGCCAACAAGTTTGTGGTAAATACTAAGAAACTAGTGTACTTAGAAACAAATATACTATTGAAGTATTAAATTAGCATTTGAGCTTTGTAGTTATAAATCTGAAGTACAATTATTTAGTGGAAAAGAGGATACTTGCTTTCAATTGTGGTTGGAATATTTGTAGATATAGTGAAACAGTAAAGAAAGCCATTTTCCATTTTGTTTTTGTTTGTGAAGAGATTAATTATAATGAAAGACTAAACAAGGATCTAGACTTAAAAGAGAAGGGAAGGGTGATAAATATTATTTTTAAAAAGGATATATAGATTGCATTTCTCAAAGAAATTGAGCACACATCTTGTGAAATACTACCATAAGAAAACTGTAAGGAAAGAATTAAGGTCACTGACTGAGAAGTCGCTAGTGGAAATGTCACAAGAAATAGAATTACTGATGATGATAAAGATTGTCATTATTTCATACATGGTCAAGCTAGCATGATGGAAAATAGTTGGAAGTGAGTAGGTGAAGGACATAGATGTTAGAGTTTTCATATGCACTGTCTTCATCTATGTTTGTAACATGTATTTAGCTATATAGCTTGCAGTAGTTTGACAATATTAAGTTTTGAATATTTACTTCATTTGTTTGGGCTTAAAAAATCTTCCTAGCATTAATTCCCTCTTTTTCATGCAACCATACCCTGATGTTGATATGGGAAAACCCCGTTTTCTCAACTTGCTCACGGTATTCAACCAAAGCTGACTGCACCACCAACACCCCTTCAACCTGACTGTGTACCTGCTTAAGAGGCCAGATCAATTGTTTTTTTTGTTTTCCTTGTCATGCAATGATTCTGTGATGGGCACGAAACACAAGTCAAGCAAATTAGATCAATTTAGGGCTTGCTCTTGAGCTATAAACGAAGTGGGTGTACTATTTCCAGCTGGAAATAAATCCAGACAACTGTATCCCAGGAAACTGTTCACAGTGCTCTTGAAACCACACGGGAGAACGTACCTAAGAGTGTCATGATGCTAAGGAAATGTATGCAAAGAATGAAAGCAAACAAACAACTCCCAGTCTGTAATTTAAACACCAAATTAAGGTTTCTCTGACCCTTTAATTATTTAGCTGTTCAGAGAATTTTAAAAAGTCCTTTGTTTGAATTAATCTAGTTGGAGTAGCATTGTTATTATTATTGTTTTTGTGACATATGAAGTACACATTTCAGATATCTAATAGTTTTCTCTAAGACTACCACATCAATGTTGCTGATAATTTCATTTTAAGAGGATAGATCTACACTAAAAGGAAAGTAAGTGCAACAAATTCTCCTTATATACTGAATTTCTGTCATGACTACGTCCACAAGTGATAGTCATTTTTTAAAAAATGAGAAAGGTCATACCATAGTAATGACATCAAATAGCATAGAGAATCTGTGCAACTATATTGAATTCTGCATCTGTATTATGTGAATTAAAATCTTGGTTTCCTACAACTGATGCTTTATCTTCCATCAGTATGGATTTTCATGCTAGCAGTAAACCATCAAAGACTTACAAGTTGAGTAATGCCATTTATGAACATGGATTTTAGATAAATTAACTTTTAAATGTTCTTCTTGACTTACATTTTTGTATTTTCTTACTGATTACAATCTTCTTTTGTAACTCTTCTAAATATGCATCCCCAACCTGCTTTTTGTTTATAGTACTGTAGGGTAATATCAAATGCCAATCCTTATTGCATTTGCCACAGTGTATTTCAGAGCTTGATATGTGATTTTCCCAGGAGATTTTTGTTTCAGAAAAATATACCCTTTTTACTTCTTTGGTGAACAATTTGCAGTAATATGCTCAATGAGTATTTGTTCACTGAATTCAATTATCAGGATTAAAGGCAGCTATATAATATAAAGTAAATCTACAAGGTATATTATTGAAAGAAAACTGTCAATTTTGAAAGATATATTATATCAACAGTAGGAGTCAGTTCTATAAAGTGATTAATAGGATTTTCCAGACAGGCAAAAATGTATTTGGAATGTTTCCTTGTCTATGCCAGCAACATCATAATTCTGATTCAGGGCCAGCGCATGAAAGGTCTAGTCGTGTTGATTAATTTAAAAGGCATTGTGTGAGTGTGTGTGTGTGTATGTATGTGTGTGTGTGTGGAGTGATGACAATAGCAGAAACAATGTAAATATTGCTCATGCATTTGTATTTTCAGGTTGCATTGATACTCAGCTATACTCTAGAGACCACACCACTGCAAGAGAAACAAGAGAGGATTCATGATTATTCTCTTGCCTTCAAGATGCTAAGGAAGTAAACTATCAGCATAAACTAACTTAACACAGAGATAGCCCACAAACAGTTAAGTTGTCTCTCTTAACTAAGATGGGAAGGGAGTGAGAATGCTTATTTGTTAAAATGGGTTAGTGTTCACTAACTGATAGTGGTTTTGTTTCCTTTTCATTCTGTAATTGTTTAATTATATTAATTTGAGAAGACATGAATTAAAAATAGATATCGTGGCTGGGTGTGGTGGCTCATGCCTATAATCCCAGAACTTTGGGAGGCCGAGGTGCAAGGATCACTTGAGGTCAGGAGTTTGACACCAACCTGGCCAACGTGGCGAAACCTCGTCTCTACTAAAAATACAAAATATTAGCTGGGCATGGTGGTGCATGCCTGTGATCCCAGCTACTTGGGAGGCAGAGGTTGCAGTGAGCCAAGATCATGCCACTCCACTCCAGCCTGGGTGACAGAGCAAGACTCCATCTCAAAAAAAAAAAAAAAAAGAAAAAAGAAAAGAATAGATATTGTCCGAATAGACTTATTTTAGAATTCCTGATGTCAAACAGTAATTATTCCCACAAATTATTTTAATTCAGTCTTCACTTGACAGTAAAACTTAATTGCATAAAATCTGGCAATCAAAAGAAATATTAAAAATTACCAGTGTAACCTAATATGTGGTTAATCACAACTACCAAACTTATATGTTACAACAGACTAAATGCAATATGAAAAGTAAACACAATTTATTTCAACTTAACTTGATCTAAGAGCAGAATGTCTTTTAAAATGTATTTTTAAAACACACAATAATTTTTATGTTGACCTCTTTCATTTAATAATATGTTAGACCTTTTGTTTTCACCAACCAGTCCTCAATAAGAATGATTCCACCTCCCTATTATGAAATATTTGGAGAGTAGCCATAGCAAACAATATTATGCCTAATAAAATAATAATAGCTCTTCCTCTAAGAATCATGACTGGCTTCCCCCTTATTCAACAAAATTGTAAAATGAAAAAACAGGCATAATCACCACGCTAGACGAATTAAGCATCATATTGACACATACTTTATTTTACTACTTAAAAGTGTGTTTAGATTTTTGTTTTGGCTAAATAAATTAGAATTTGAATGTACCACTTTTTCACATAAGTGCTTGTTAGTTTTTTTTTTTAAATTAACATTAAGTAAAGTCTTTAATGAAAAAAGTGCATCTATGTAATGTCAATAAAACTGCTAATTAGGAAACTCAGTATTTATAAACATAGATTGCATAATTGAAAATAAGTATAAAGCTTAATTATGCAAAAATGGGTTAAGCAACTTTGATAAGAAAAACTACAGACATAAATATAAAGGTAAGTAATTTGTAAGTTAGATAGTAACTGATATTGATGTAATAAAAACCATAAGAATACATGCATTTACAACTTTTATTAAACATTGTATTTTGAAAGGACCTTTTAGTCAATATGATAATGCAATTATGTTAGTTCTAGTAAGAAAAAGACCAGTGAGAGAGATATAGCAAAGGAAGAGGACTGACTTTAAACCATAATAATTAAATGCTAATCTCAGTATAAAAATAACACTTTTCTTTGACTTTGGGCAACACATAATGTCTGTGTTGAAGTTTGCATATGTAAAACATACATAATAATAATAATACCTCAGACAGGTGCTGTGAGACTTAATTAATTTCTCCAGAGTGCTATGGACATGAGAAAATGTATGCAGTCTGGACATTTAATCATTATTATCCTCCAAGGGTTTTCTTTTGATATTGCTTAGGGAAGCTAGATGGAAGACTGCCAAATTACCAAATCCCTGGAAGGAGTTAGAAACACATTATATTGAAGAGTAAGACAAATGCAATAAAAGCTAGACCTTAAAAAGAAACATTAAACAAAAGAAGTTGGCCATTTGAGAATGGCAGGGAGGATTAAATGAATTAACATTATAATTTAAAGTTAAAAATATATATATACATCGGTGCCAACAGTTTTGAAAGAGAAAGAAGAGGAGGAAGGAAAAAAGGAAGAAGAAAGGGAGAGAGGAAGGGAGAGAGAGAGAAAAGAGGGAGAGAGGAGGATGTTAAATTTCTCTTTAACAGATGAAGGAAAGAAGAACAATGGAGTGGTTATGAGTTAAGGTCATTGTTAAACACTAGTAAATTGGCAAAAAGTCAATTCAGAAGGTTACAAAAAAATTTTAAGTGTTGGGAGAGCTGTCATATTTCCTAAAAATCAAAAAGAAAAATTTCTGCTGCAGAATTAAGATTAATATTTACACATCAATTTTTTGTGAGACTTTTGTCTCAGAGAAATGATATAACATTAGTTCTTCTAATCGGGGCTGAATTTGTAAAGATTTTTGTCAGGAAATATTGAAAATAAGAAGGGTGCTTAACAGGTAAGAAGTACTCAATACATTTTTAGGAATTATTATTATTCAAATTCTAATAATGCATGAACTGAAATTCCACTGATTTTTTGCTTTTTATCTTTAAATATTTTATGTTTAAATTATTAACTGTAAATGTGAATAAGTTACATTTGATAAATGCTATATAAGAATAGGTGTCAAGTGATATGAAATTTCTGAAGATATATTTGCAATGGCAATTCATAAGAGAAAAAACATCCTTAAGAAAGTACTTCCTTCTATCATACTCATTTTTCTGTACTTTTTACAGCTTCCCAAGCAAAAGGCTGCACAGGGAAAGGTGCCCCCATTTGTAACAATAGAAAGACGTAGTAGGAAGAGCTCATTGGACTATCTCTATTTGTCTCTTGTTTTGAAAGTCCCTTTGATTGTAGCAGAGAACATGAATTTAAAGATTAATTTTAAAAACAATATCCAAAAGATTGTTTGGATATTGGGACAAAAGTGTCCAACTCTGAGACAAATTCTTAAATGAAATAATAAAAATAATGTATATTGAAAGATCTCAATTACTCTACCAATCTGGCTTGTTCTGTATATAGCGAAGTATGAGCTGAAGTTGGTTATTTAATGACTATTGAGAATCAAAACATACAAACATTGAAAACTCTGAAGTCAGTAGAGCACAATGTGAGCAGAGCAGAAAATTAGGTATAAGTTTGTTACTTCATACCTCAAAACCACCCTGTAAATAAACAACTTGAGTGTATCAGATCCCAGTGGGAGTTCCTGATCTTACTAATGATAAAAAATATTTTAGATCAGAGGTTACCACATAAGTGTTAATTGAAAGTATTCTGTATTCATCTCTCAGATACCCAGTTATCTTAGTTTTATTTGACAAACTTATAATTTTATGTTCCAGTATTGTGTTCTAGACTGGAAATACACAAAGATAAAGACACAATTCTTCCTCACAAGACACTTACAGTCCAGGTGAAAGAGAGGACAAATAATACTTGCTGATCCCTGCAGCTTGCTAAAAAGTGCTTGAAACTTGAGATCAGCTATCCCTTTCAAAGGGAGGCCTTGGTCTTTCAGGTCAATATCATGTCAGAAAAATACATGTTTCAGGCAACGTCATTCTCATATTGATCACTGTGAGAATCTCACTTTATGAAAAGATCTCCCCAGAACAATATAACACTTTTTTTTTACTGTTTTTATTGACTTATCAATCCATCTTTGATTCTTTAGATGGGAATTATTTGTGGCCCAAGATAGACAAGTTCAATGTAAATTCTCATTCATGCATCATCATCAAAATCTAAAATTTTTAATTATACATCTCAAGAATCATGTTAGGTAGAAAACAGAAATCATATTTCAATTTTCAGTTTTATATAGAGAGAGCTGTGTCCAAGTCCTCTTCTGTTTAAATTATACTTTAGGAGCCTAGTTCATGTTTGGATGCTCACTAGCTAACACAATATTTGGCACGTAAGTATAAAATATATGTAGACTGAATGAATAAATACTTTCACTGTTGCTTTTTGATTAGTTAAATGCCAACTTCCTTGTCATTGATGGACTTTCATTAGGCCCTCAAGTTTCCCCCGTGTATTTCTGCAAATGCTTTCCACACTGCCAGTAGAGTTAGTTTTCTGGGTTAAAATTTGATTATGACTGTTCTTCAAAAATACCTTTGTTGGTTCCTGGTAACTCAGCTAAAATCCCCTTCCCATGTTATCTAGGTTTAATCATGCTCTGACCTCCTGCCTTGACAGGCTTTCTCAGAACACAATGGGTTCCTGTTCTGGTTGCATGCAGCTGCTCACAATCTTTAGGATACCACATTCTCTTCTGTGCTTCCATGCTTTAATGTGAACTCTCATAGTCTGCAGTAACATTTCTCCATTTCACTGCTTGGCAAATGCTCACTCATGCTTCAGGATTCCCCTAATCTATGAACTCTTTGAAGCTTTCCCAGATGAAGAAGTCCTTTTTAATGTTCTTTGGTGTTATCTTTGCTGTTCTATAGAGTTTTAGTTAAATCTATAATATTGTAATTCCATGTTTGTGTATTTATCTTTCCTGCTGGGCTGTGAGATAGAAACCATGTCTCCTTTCATTTTGTATTTCTGGTGTAGTGCTAGACTGTAATAAATCCTGATGAATAAATGAATGAACGAATGAATGAATCACTCAATCGATTAATATATTTTTCTTAGGGAACAATGGGAGAAAATCTCTGGATCTATATCAGCGTATACTGCCCTGACAGAAATTAGAACATTTTCATCTAATAGGTTCACAGAAATAGCTGAGCCAGCTTTGTAAAATTGTACTGCTTTGCTATTTTAATTGTTGGTTTTATCTTTAAAATGCTTGTAAAGTACTTTAATATTGTTAATATTTATCTCCGTGCTCACTTTAGAAAAGTTGAGGCAACCTTCAGAGAGAAAGAAATCTGAGAGAGACATAAAATTTGAGATAAGGTACAAATAACTAATTGGATAAGCCATCAGATGGCTTTCTGTACTTAGCACAATTTACTTGAAGGTAAAGAGTGGGCAATTATAGATAAAAGAATACAACATATATAACACAATATATTTTCTCCAGAAACTTACACTTTTGAGACCTTGTCAGGATACTAAATTTACTAACAGCTGGAGTAGCAAGCATTTAATTAGCACCATTTCAGCACCATCTCTGGATGATGTTTGGAACAATCCAAACTAGAGCTTCATCTCTTTAAGGCTTTAAGTTTTTGTTAAAATCACTAAGACTTTCACAGAGGTGATATTTTGATTACTTACAGGTGTTTGACATTTTAAAGTGATTAGTACCTAAAGGCAGATTTTCCTGGAAGGTGAAGGATAGAGGTTGTTGGTATGGAAGTTTTAAAGAAAAAGTACTGTGACTAGAGACCATAAGTCCTGGTTTGCCCTGGACAGTTCCAGTTTATGCCCATTGTGTGATTGGAGTCATTAATAGCATCCCATATCATTCTCAGAAGTGTCCTGGTTTGAACAATAAATCATATTGTCACCTTAACAATGATAAAAAAGAACAGTGGTTGTGATGAGATCGTAAGTGGCTGAATGTGCTAAAAACAAATCTGGACAACATAACAGCTGACCCTGATTTCTTAGGACTGATGCCTACAATTCTAAAGGAAGCTTTACCTGCAATTCAGAATTTATACAATTCCGAAATGTAACAATGAAGAAAAACCCCTTTTGATCTTTCCAAATAGTGAGTTTATGAATCCATTACTCCAGCTTACATTTCTACGATTGCAAATGAAAACACTTAGTGTCCCAAGTAGATTATTTATTAATGTAAATCATTACCTAAACTCATTTATTTTTAGAACTGTGATTACATTCTGATGATAGTTTGATTGACAGCTAGGTGAAAAATAGTCTTGATCAGTAAAGAACATGTAAGCACACAGTGATAAGACCTGACGTTGGTTTATAGATTATGGTGTCATTGATGCAGATATAAGCAGAGAGGTGGGGGGAAGAAATATTTCAGGGATCCATAAGTATGCTTATATGGCATTCTGAGGGCTTTTTTGAATTAGAAAATCAAAGAAATTTTTAAATGCCTAACCATTCATTTTATAAAGTTGAAGTCTGCATCTCAAAGATTGATTAAATAATCCTTTCGAAGTGGTGGAATGTCAAAGACGCAGCTGTTTTACCGAATTATTCAGGAAGGTCCTTGGTATGTAAGTGTTCAATAATAACATTCACATAACAAAACAAAATCAGATATGAAATTATTCACTAATGAACTATTTATATAATAATTATTATGCAAGTAGACCAATACATGTGAGCCAATTTAGTGCACGATATTTTGCAAATGCAATTTTATAAATCTTTCAAAAGAATTATGTCATGCTAGGTACTTCAGAAGAGAAATATTTTAATTTCAAAGATTTGAGAGACCCTTGGGAAAAGGGGAAATCCTTAAATATTTCTCAGAAAAAAATGGTTCTCAATATAATCATGCTATGCAAGTCAAACATGAGAGGAAAGATGTTGTAATGCACCTAATAAAATTTTGTCAAAAAAATGCCCAAAAGGACAAATCAGCACTTAACTCATTCTTTGCGTATTTTAAGAACAATTTTACCATTGCAATTAAAACTTAAATTCTGTCTAAAATAAAAAGCAATAACTTTATTTTAATGAATTTTATTTATTTTTAAGATAAAAGTCTTGTGTAGTTATTTTCATTCACCACTTATTGCAGAATTCTGGACAGTTTTAAGTGGATTGAATTTAAATGGAATTTTTTCCAGTGCCCTTTATCTTGAAGTATTAAGACTTTCTATCATTTCATTATTCACTTACTGAATATATAGTAATTGAATATCCTTCTGGAAATAGTTCTATACTGCAAGCTTGCAAAGGTTCAGGAAATAAAGGTTATAAAAATTAGCTAGATATATCCAAGTAAAATAAAAATGATTATATGATAAAAACACTGAGTGTAAGGGCGAAAGGTTAACATAATTAAGAAAGTATTTTGTAACCATGAATGTTAAAAAATAATAGAATTTGAAATAGAAAACCCACTCTTTGAAATTCTATATTTATTTAAATAAATCAACAGTTCTAATTCTCTCCTTAATATCTTGTGTTTTCTTGAGCTTTCATATATAATTTTCTGCAGTTTCCTATTCTTCCATAAGAAATGCATTTGACTTCAAATCTGCTTTTCCTTCATCCCATTACAGTCATGGATGAATAGTGGCTGACCTCCTTATTAAGGCCATAAACCTAGAGCACCCTGCACTCTTCAGTTTGCCATTATTTCCACAAATAGTTTTTACTGGTACTTCTTTAATTCATGCATCCTGTAAAATTCGTTGTTTGTGCAGGAAGAAACAATGAGAACAAATTCAATTTGGCATTTCCAGACTAACTATACTAAAACCTATCAGACCTCCAGGAAGAGTCTTTTAACTTCTTTGAGTAGAAATTTCTCACATATAAGACAGGAAGGATGAATTATTGTGTTCTAGCTCTAAGATTCAATGTACACCATTACAGTTAGAGCACACTCATAATTATCAGAGAAAAAATTGAGGAAACCCTAGTCCATGAACAATATTATATGTATTGTATAGCATTGTATAGATAATATCGCATGGTGTTTTTTCTTACATAATATAAATATACATTTAAGTGTTTGAATATTAAATGTTAATAATCCAATTTTAAAATAAGTTTTGTATTATGTACTACATTTATAAACTCTCCTGTAATCTGGATATTATGCATATTAACACTAAACTCTCACATAATTACATATTATAAGGAAATGTGATACCACAGGAGCATAATTAGAGGAAATGCAATCCAAATCTCATTCAGTATTCTTGCTAATGCTGATATCAATGGGCACAGAGAATTCCTTGGAAGGAATTTTTATTGGTAACAGAGATTACAGGTTGGGCATTTCCAAAATATCTGTATACAAATATTTTGAATTTTAAAAAATTCTAGTCTCAGAGCTTTTTGGCATAACTTGTTCATGGCACATCATTATGACACAAAAATATAAAAAAAATTTTAAAATATTTATTTCCGTCAATATATACTGCCAAGTCTATTTCTACATATTTTATTTCCATTTCTAATAAGTAGTTTTCCTTACAACCTCTTGGCCATGTTTTGATGAAGACCTAAAAATAATAAAAAATAATTTCTTATTCATAATATAAAGCTTTGATCTTTTTTGTGTTTTTTTCACTTAAATAATACATGTCAGAAATTACTCCTTATCATTTATATTGACCTTCCTCACTCTTTTTTATAGCTGAAACACTGAAGATTCTAAGGTGAGTAAAATATAATTTCCACGAGATGTGTAGTGAGGATGATACACACCTAAACAAAAACACTTAGTAACATTTTAAAAGTGACTTTATTGAAGGTATGCACTCTGTTAAATTACAAAAAAGAAGAGTTTTCATACTTCCGCAAAGGAAGTCTGGTTGAGATCAGTAGAGCAGGCCATGTTTAAACTGGATAGGAAGGTAGGGGTTACCCAAGAAAGAAAAGTTTGGTGAAGTGCTTGACAGACATGGTGAACAGCACGCCACACGTAACAGGAGGTCTAGACTGAATGTCTTTGCAGAGTGGGGAGTAGTATAAGTTCTTCACACACAGAGGTCCTTCCAACATAGTTGATAAATTTAACTCAGCAAAAGTAAGAGCAACAGGTTTAGGAATGTTGAGTATTTCTGCATGTTTGGCCATAAGAAGTATGGAGGGGAAAATCACAGACTATAAAGCTAGATAAGTAGATTTAGAATAGTCAAAGGAGAAATGTTTTTCTCCTTATTCTTTTCTGACATGGATTTATGAGGCAGTAGTTAAAGCCATTACAATGTATAACTTTTCCCAGCAAGAGGTCAGAGGATAAAAGGACAGAACTGTAGTGAACTTCTCTAACAGGACAGAAAGAAGGCAAGGAGTCAGCAAAAGAGATGAAGAGAGTGTCTAGAAAGGCAGAAATATGATGTGTCATCAAGAAGGAAAAGACAACCTACCAGATAGTAGAAAACATTTACAAACTGTATATCTGATAAAGCGTTAATATCCAAATATATAAGAAACTCCTACAACTCAATAGCAATTTTGTAAAGAGCAAATGGTAAGAGACTTAACTAGACATTTCTCCAAAGAAGACATATTAGTGGCCAATGGGTATATGAAAAGATACTCAGCATCACTAATCATCAGGGAAATGCAAACCAAAATCACAGTGAGGTAATCTGACAATTATAGTAATTATAAAAACAAAAGAAAACAAACAAAGAAAGTAAAAGATAACAAGAGCTGGCAGGACATGAAGAAACTGGAACCCTTGTACATTTTGATAGAAATGTGAATAGTGAAGCCACCATGGAAAACCGCCCAAAGGGCCCACCTCCTAATACTATCACCTCAGAGGTTAGGATTTTAACATATAAATTTGAGGGGATAGACACAAACATTCAGACCTTAGCATGCAGTTAAAAATTATGTTGACAAGATACATCTCATGTTATCTGTTCTTACCACAATAATAATTTAAAAGCCCCCCCCATCAAAAGGTTATTTGAGCAATTTAGGCAATATAGATAAATGATAGATAGATGATAGATAGATAGATAGAGAGAAGATAGATAGATAGATAGATAGATAGATAGATAACACAAAAAGTTGATCCTAAATTGTAGTGGGTTAAGGATTGAATAAGAATTAAAATTAGAGAAACCAGTGGAAAATGTTAAGTATATTGTGAAATAGAAGAAAACTGTTGAAGAGTGGTCTTCAAGCAAAGAAAGAGCAATAGAATTAATAGGCTTGACAGAAATAAACAGGAATAACTCTTCTTAAGAGATAGGAAGAAAAAAGTCTTCCAGCTTATGTACATTTCTGCCACTGAGATGCTCAGGGTGTAAGACAAGAGTGTGTTACTACTTACTTTTCCACCTCCACCCCCTCCGCACTCATCTCTCACAACAAACACACACAAACGCTAAGGTAGAAGTGGTTTGAGGAGAATCTGGACTGCTAGTAATTTTTATTAATTATAAAACACCATGTTAGTAATTTCTCATATTGAAATGACTTCTGCAGAAGATTATAATGTCATAAGCCTATCCTATCACAGTCTTAAGATATAACATTTCTCCTTAATGCCTCCTTTTCCATTATCAGCAGAGAAAGAAAAAATCTTTGATAGGCTATTCTGGATGCAAATAGAAATACACAAACTATCTAGTTAGAAAATCTGTTTTTAAGCCATTAGAGTTCATTCCTTACACACTGTGGAAAGCTGTAAGGCTCTTTTTTTCTCATGAGAGTGCGATCTGTACAATGTGTTAAAAGTACAGTTTGAATACTGTATTTTAAAAAAATACATTATTTTTGCCTATCACTTGATTGTGTTATACTCCAGAGATTTAATAGGTCAGAGAAGTTATTTAAGAATCACATATAAAGACAGTTGTGTGATTTTGCTCTGCCCAAATTCATGAAATAGAAACATGACCCATCTGCCTGTCTCGATGATTGAAAAAAAATATCCCATAGCTGTACCTGATCATAAAGGAACATTAATAGCAGTCACTGGTATTTTATTACCATATATCCTCTTTTTTGAGAACTGATTCTACTGCAAGGAAATGAAGAAGACTGACTACTGAGTATGATTGACACAATTTTCCTATAGAGAATGGGAACAGCAGGGCAGGGCCTGCTTAATGGATGTGTGGCCTGTATAGTCACACAGGGTCCACTCTCAGAAAGGCCTCATTTTTGGTTTAGTGCTTTTCTGCTGTGACCCTGAAATTCTTAGTAATTTTAAATAAAGGGTCCAGTATTTTTATTTTGCAGTGGGCTCTACAAATCATGCAGCTGGTGTCTGGGAGCATGAAGACATACTTAGCACATATTCTTAAGTGACTCTGTGTGTACACACATGTGAGTGTATTTGTGTGTGACTGAATGTGTGCTTATTTGTACATGTAGTTGAAAGAAAAAATAAAAATGATATTAAAAATAGCAAACTAAATCTTAAGAGACAAAAGCAATTAAGCTTGCAGTGGAAAATAGTTTAAAATAATTTCCTCATATTATAAATGATATGGCAGTAATTAAGGCTTACATTCTCACCAAAAAAAAAAAATAAATAAATAAAAAGAAGACATATGAGCAATGATTTTCAAAGTGGGAGATCAGAAGATGAGTATTTTCCAACCTCTCATATGTTTTAATTAATAGCAAGAGCATATCAGTCTTAATGATGAATCATTCCTTTTAATTTCTAAATAACGCTATGGATTAAGGCAGTCTTCAACAAGGAAAAAAGCCTAATAACATCTCAGCCATCGGGATGGATATTTCCTTGTGATTCTTGTGATTATGTATATGTATACAAAAACTTAAAAAAATCCTTTGGGAAATACCAAAATAGATATTATTATAATTTTTAATATATAGCAAAGCTTTCTCTTTTTCTGATTTTTAGAGAAGACAGAATTGCCTCTCTAGTAATGTGAAATTTCATTTAACATTTAAGATATAAACTGGATTTTTAAAATGTGTTTCTTTAAAAGGGAAAATAGTTTTTACCATGTGCTTTTTCTTTTAAATACTTGCATCATATAAATAAAATCGTTCTGATAAACACCTGGTTCAATTTTGCATACCTCATGGAATATGCCAAGTAAGACAATTGCCTCTCACTGGTGCCAGGATATTTCATTAAAAACATATGATTAAACAAGATAAGATAAACAGATGTACAAGCAAGCAAATCTGATATAACCGCCAGGTAAAATTATTTCCTGAAGAGAACCTTAAATCTATGAAATGGTCTGTTAGGCAATGTTATTATATGCAGCATACTAAATATAATTTTTATGAAAAGGTTGTCATATAAAAAAAGACAGAACTAAAAAGGAATGAACATTTAAAAAAATTGTCTCAGATGTACTTCTGGAAATTTCAGAGTATTAAATGTACTGCAACAATTTGTCCATACCACAGCAAGCTCTGTCTCTGTTATATTGAAGGATTACTGTTGAAAGAATGTCATTGAGAGCCTAAACTAAATCTAAGAACTTCTACATCAGAAAGAAGTTTACAGAGATCATCAGATCTTAAAGAATGATGCCTTACTCTCAAAACATAATTCCCATGCCATTTCTGGATGTAACAGTTTAATGCATAGATATTAGAACAGTACTGATTTGAAATAAGTAATTGAAATTATTTCTCATTTTTAACTTTTATTTCCTTGGGAAAAACATAGGAAGACTTTTTTTGTGTTTAAAATACAGTATTTATCTTTCAGTAATCACATTTACTAATATAAAATACCTATTTTATAGATTAAATGATTGTAATTATTTATAAATTGTATGACAGTAAGTCATGGTTTCAAATGGAGTACTGAAAGGGAGAAAACAACTCTGTCCTTAATATAGAGATTTTTTTTTCTATTTTTCTTTCTTATTTAGGCAGTTATTTATTTTTAATTATTAAATAAAATGAAGAGACGACTTTGGGCGTAGGTGACAAAATAAAACCTCACAGATCTGGGTGATTTAGAGAATGAAGAAAAGTCAGCTAAACAAGAAATGAGACAGCTTTCCAAGTGCAAATAGCATTACAAACAAAGATAAGAGACAGCAATGGGCAAGATGTGTTGCAGGTAACCTGTGCAGACTGGTCTGGCTAGAGAAGATGATTCGGCGGTCAAATTAAGAAGCTCCAGCTTTATCTTGAGCACACTGTAAACCTATTTAAGGTTCTTAAGCAGGGAAATGACTTGGTCACATATCTGATTTACAAATATAACTCTGAAGATGATGTGTTTGAGGGGACAAACGGGGGTGTGCACGTAGTTAGTGCAAAATGAAGCACAGTTATGATACAGGTAAGCGTGGTCAGCTGCTGCAAAACAGACCTGAAACAAACTGGTGAATTGTAAATTGGTACAATTTGATAGTACCCTTAGGAAGTGAGAGTGGGAATAACTGTGACAGTGTGTACTTAACACTGTTGAGTGTTTTCTCAAGAGTCCAGGTAGTTATAGTAAGTTGTAATTGAGAGAAAAATATATCATGTTGGGAGGGCTCACTGAAAACTTGTGTAGTTCCTAGGTTTTCTTCCTTTTGAAGAATGCACCCCATATCATATCAAACAAGAGAAAAAATAGTTTCTACTATATATCATATGTTCCAAATTATAAAAATAATGCAAAATAATATATTTTAAGTATTTTTTCAAATGTAAAAAAATAAGTAAATGGGTTTGTATATTGTTTTGGTCTTTTACTACTGTACAATTTACTTATAATTGGCTATGCTTTCTGTAAAATTATTATGCATACTCAGAAATGCTTGGTTGATAAAGTTACCCAGCATATTAATTTCATAGTAATAAACTTTTACTGAATATTAAATTCAGCAATTAATGAAGTTATAAAATGAGTTTGTGTGGATATTCATGCAAAAATTTACTAATGTCAATTCTAAGTTTCTTTTTTTTGTTTTTGGAGTTGTTTTTATTTTTTATAATTTTCAAATATTTTTATATACTACTGAAAAAGTTTAGAGTCCTTAGGAAATATGACTATAATGCTTACTAATACAAAATGCCCCTAGATAATGTAGGGTATTTATTTTATAATAGATACTTTAAATGTCTAACATAACTTCTAAGAACATGTTTATTTCCAAAATCACAGAAGAAAAACAGGGAGGAAATAAGAACTAAAGAAACATTTTGCTAATTTTTTTTCTTAATACAGGTAATTATTTTGTTTTTTTGCAGGGAAAATAAATCGATGGGCAGTGTTATGATCAAACGGCAGTTGACAGTTATTCCCACAAACTTTGAACTCACCTTTTCAGTATGGGAAACTCATAAAGCTTAAAACTGTATTTATCAGATTCCCTTGCAACTATAGTTTTATATGCTAATCAGATTATTCCAATTAGATGTAGCCTCCAGATATTTGGAATAAATAAGAGAACAATCTCCTGACGCTTTTGGCTATTTTTTTCTGTTGACAAGTAAGACTGTAGAGATAGGAGTTCACCCCTCTCTTTGCCAGCATTATTACTGCAATAACTGTTCTGCTCCACTGGTGTTAGAAAAGCACTTTAAATGGAAGTAGCTTCCTGGTCTTGGTTTCTTGGTCCCTAGATCTTAGCTATAGTGAGTGGTGTGTCTTTGCTCTTAGTGATTTCAGACAGCACTTAATTGTCTACCTTCTTGATTGTGATAGAGTCAGTAGCTCCCCATGTGGTATTCTGTGACTCATCCCTGGAGGACCATCTTCCAGCTTGCTCTTCCAGCCTGTCTACAAATTTGAAAGCACCTAATATGCTTTATTAAAATCCTCTCTCCTTAAAATATATAGTGTTGTTCTTTCTTACACTGAACTTGTCTGATGTAATTAGTACCTCTTTCTTTATGGCTGTTTTATTAATAATAGAATAGTTATATATATTATTTATTTTTGAATTATCTCTATTATTACATTTGTATATTTTGCATTCTACTGCCTTAGGGTCTTTTGTGAGCATGACTATAAAGAAAAGTTGCCTAAAGGCAACCCCTGTAGCAACCACCTCCAGCATTTGTATCTGACAATATAATTCAACATGCTGTCCTAGGAGTGGAAGGAGAGAGAAAAAGACTTGGAAGGATAGAAATTCCTTTGCTTCTACCACTAGCTACCTCTTCATGTTGTCATTAACAAGTCTCTATTCACTATTTTTCTTTCTGTTGATTTCAAAATTCATGTAGACATTCTACCCAAGAACTTTTTACTTGACCTCCTCATTTCCAAGGAAATTTTATTTTACTCCATCGCAGGCATTCATTTACATGCTCAAATACAAGACTGTGTCATTTCCAAGAAAGGTACTACCCTTAAAATTTCCATATCATAATTCTACTCTTTCCTCTAGTTCATTATTCCCATAATGTTCTCTCATTTCTTTTATTTCACATCCATCATTATGATTATTTGTCTGCACACTTCCCTTTTTTTTTTTTTTTTTTTTTTTTTTTTTTTTTTTTTGGTGTTGCTTCATTGTTTTTTCCTGTAAAAGTCGTAGCCCTGGTGAAGTTCAAATTTCAATATACTTCAAGAGTAGACCTACTAAGTTAAATGTGGTTGGAGAAAAACTTCAATAGTGCTAACTGCCTCACAGTTAAGTGTATAATCAATAAGAACAGGGCCAATCCAACCACTGTAAAAGGAAAGAAGTGAGAATAAATATGGACAGATGAAAGTTGATAGATTTGGAGATAGGCAAATACGAAAGTTACTTTTTAGCTGTGGTACCTACCAAGGGCAAAGTAATGGGAGTGATGGTGGTATAGGCATTGTCTGCAAAAACTTTAAAAAACATAGTAAGTTTTTTTATCTTAGTTCTGAACAGAAGTTCACAAATATTTTCTGTAAATTGTCAGAGTAATTTAGGCTTTGCAAGCATAGACCACGAATAAACATGGCTGTGTCTCTATAAAACTTTATTTATAAAAACAGGCGGCCGGGCGCGGTGGCTCACGCCTGTAATCCCAGCACTTTGGGAGGCCGAGGCAGGCGGATCACGAGGTCAGGAGATCGAGACCACGGTGAAACCCCGTCTCTACTAAAAATACAAAAAATTAGCCGGGCGCAGTGGCGGGCGCCTATAGTCCCAGCTACTCGGGAGGCTGAGGCAGGAGAATGGCGTGAACCCGGAAGGCGGAGCTTGCAGTGAGCGGAGATTGCGCCACAGCACTCCCGCCTGGGCGACAGAACAAGACTCCGTCTCAAAAAAAAAAAAAAAAAAAAAAAACAGGCATCAGGCCATATTAGATGCATGGGTCAAAGTTTTCTAGCTCTTGTTTTAAGCAACTGCTGACAACAGGAAAAGACTGTTTCCCACAGCCCTAGCTTTGGTAGGAGTATTATTGCCTTCTGGTTATTGCTTTTTGCTCAGTGAAAAGAGAAAGATCATTATCTAAGAGTGAGAAAGAGGAGAAGAGATAGAAAATCTGAGGAGAGAGAAGCTAAGTAGGAAAAAATCAGTAAGGCTGATGAGAAATTGAATAGGAAAATATATGATGGCTCAGCAGTGCTCTTTGAATAGGAGTCCTGAAGATTTTTGGAAGAATAGTGAAAACAATCATAATATAACAAAACTTATTTTAAATTTTAACTTTATTTTAGTTTTGGGGGTACATGTGAAAGTTTGTTACATAGATAAACAGGTGTCACAGGGGTTTGTTGTACATATTATTATATAACCCAGGTATTAAGCTCAGTACCCAATAGTTATCTTTTCTGCGCCTCTCCCTCCTCCCACCCTCCCGCATCAAGTAGATCCCAGAATCTGTTGTTTTCTTTGTGCTCTTTAGTTCTTATTATTTAGCTCCCACTTATAAGTGGGAACATGAGGTATTTGATTTTCTGTTCCCGCAATTAGTTTACTAAGGATAATAGCTTCCAGCTCCATCCATGTTCACACAAAATATATGATGCTGCTTTTTTTTGGTGGTATAATATTGCAAGGTATATATGTACCATATTTTCTTTATCCAGTCTGTCATTGATGGCCATGTAAGTTGATTCCATGTCTTTACTATCGTGAACAGTGCTGCAATGAACATTTCTGTCCATGTGTATTTATATTAGAATGCTTTATATTCCTCTGGATATATACCCAGTAATGGGATTTCTGAGTTGAATGGTAGTTCTGCTTTTAGCTCTTTAAGGAATCATCATACTGCTTTTCAAAATTGTTGAACTTATTTACACTCCCATCAACGGTGTATAAGGTTTTCCTTTTCTCCACAACCTCACCATCATCTTTTACTTTTTGACTTTTTAATAGTAGCCATTCTGACTGGTGTGAGATACTATCTCATTGCAGTTTTGATTCACATTTCTCTATTGATCAGTGATATTGAGCTTTTTTTCATATGTGTATCGGCCGTATGTATGTCTTCTTTTAAGAAGTGTCTGTTCAAGTCCTTTGCCCACTTTTTGATGGGATTGTATGTTTTCCTCTTGTGAATTTGTTTAAGTTGCTTATAGATCCTGGATATTACACCTTTTAAGATGCATAGCTTGCAAGTACTTTCTCCCATTCTGCAGGTTATCTGTTTACTCTGTTGATAGATTCTTTTGTTGTGCGCAGGCTCTTAAGTTTAATTAGATCCCATTTGACAGGTTTTGCTTTTGTTGCATTTGCTTTTGGTGTCTTTGTCATAAAACGTTTTCCCGTTCCTATGTCCAGGATGGTATAGCCTTTCTATTTAATAAATGGTGCTAGGATAACAGAATAGCCATATGCAGAAGATTGAAGCTGGACCCCTTGTTTACACCATACACAAAACTCAATTCAAGATGGAGTAAAGACTTAAACGTAAAACCCAAAAAAATATTTTAAAATTAGAATTAGCTCTTCAGACATGAGGAGCACTCTAGTACTAATTTTATCCAATAAATGAATATTATTGTGCAGCACTGTGGCCTAAGTGATGGATGAACTGTGATATGCCTCAGTTGCTGAAGCTAGGAAAATATTCAGTGGTTTTATTTATGAAGTTTTATGCTCCCTTGGTTTGATCCAAATATGAGGACGAACATGTCTATTTGCAGTTTTGACTATTAAAAATTCAAATTATAACTAGAAGTTTTCTTCCTACCAAAAGAAGACTAAAATATTTCTCTGTCAGTCACAGAGAAGGATTGAAGACTGCTGCACAAAGATTAGAGTACACTCAGGGCAGAGGGGTCAGGCAATAAGCAACAATGCATCAAAAATAGAAAGAAAAGAGAATACCCAGTAGTAATTATTCATAAGCAATCTGCGAGTATGTTGAATGGAGGAAACCCCCTGACAATAAAATTTATAAAGAAGATACTAAAAACGAGCCTTCTGCAAGCACATAAGTCGATGTAGAGTGTGGTCCCTATTACAAAAATAAAACAAAATCCAATCTTAGACTAGTATGGCATAAGAAGAGCTTTGTGTGACGTTAAGAAAGGAATTAGTAATTGTTCAGTAAACTTTCTGGGAATCATAATAAAAAGAAAGATAACTATTGATTGAGAACATAATTTTTAAAATTATATTATTGTATAAAATGTATAATTTTATAACTAATTTTATAAGTATAATTCCATAATTATAATTTAATAATTTTATTAAATATCAACTATGGGTAAGTCCCCTTGGTGCTGGAGTTACAGTAATGAATCAGGCTAAAATCCCTGCTTTCATATGCCAGGAGAAAGACTACATAGAAATAAATAAGAAACATAACAACTTGATGATAATAAATTCTATGGAGTAAAATAATGCAGAAAAGAAGGGACCATAGATGCTTTGTATATGATAGTAAAATTTTTAACAGTATGACTGCATAAAAGATAAGTATATATGCAAGTTTAGAGAAGAGAAAGTATAAACTCTTACAGCAGGCAGGTCCTGGCATGTTCATAGAACAGTAAAAAGGCCAGTTTGGCTGGACCAGAATGATCCAAGGGTGGAATAGTAGGAGACATGATCAGAAAGATGACAGAGTTCAGATCATACAGTGTTAAAACAATTCAATTCCTGCTATTACAAATACAAGTTTATTAAAAAAAAGTTCTAATGGTAGAAGGCCAATTAAAGTACAGTTGACCCTTGAACAGCACAGATTTGAACTGTTTGAGTCCACTTATATGTGGCCTTTTTTTCAACCAAATGCAGATTGAAAATACAGTATTGGAGGTATGCAAAATCTGTGTCTATGAAGAGCTTATTTTTCCAAGACATCTGTTCTGCAGGGCTGACTGCAGGACTTAAGTATGCATGGATTTGGTTATATGCCAGAAGTCCTTGAAACAATCCCCTAGTATACCAAGGGATGACAGTATAGTAGCTTTGTATTAAAAAAAAAAAATAGAATTATTTTGATGTTTACTAAAAATATTCTTTCTTTCTGAGAGAATATGCATGCATATAATCCTCCCCAGCCCTGCAGAACTGAGTCCATTAAACCTCTTTCCTTTATAAATTACCCAGTCTGAGGCATGTCTTCATAATCAGGGTGAGAACAGACTAATACAGTTCCCAACATCTAGCTCAGTCACAATTCCTCTGACATCCTACAACCTAAAGAATGTATGAAAAGGATAACCACACCCAATATACCTTATATTAAATGGTGGAGAAAGAGGAGAGGAAAGAACACAAATTAATTGATATATAAATTGCAAATATGTCCATAAGAAAGCAAGGAAGAAAATACTTATAAGAATAAATACTATATGATTGAAATATAGGTCCATCAATTAAACCTCAGAATCTGTATTACAAGGTTTACGATTGCTCACATATATTTTGATTTCCTTTTCTTTTTGCAAATATTCTTATGGATCTGATTTTCAGGTAGTAAAATACCTATTCCAATCACTATACTTTTTTCAAAATAAGAAGTTTAGGTTTTTTTTTTTTTTTATATATTTTACCTATTCTCCTCTCACCTGTTTCACAAAGTCACAAGTTGGTAACCTTCTATCCTACTTCACAGAGAACTCTGAATCAATCAGAAAGAAATTTCCACAGACTCACATCATTCCCTTTCTCTACCTACCAACTTCTATTTAAAGCCATTATTTCTTTTTATTATTATTATTTTATTTTTTAAGTTTCGGGATACATATGCAGGATATGCAGGTTTGTTACATAGGTAAACGTGTGCTGTGGTGGTTTGTAAAGCCATCATTTCTACTTGAGCACTAAATTCTCTATGATGTCCCCTAATCCAGTACATCATTCCAACTATTCTCTCTCCCACATCATGTTTCCAATTTTTCCTCTTCCATTCGCCCTTAAAACCACCCTTGTTAACCTCTCTCCCTTCAAGTCCATGGAAACTGCTGTTGTAAGGAATACCAATGTCTTTCATCTGGCAAAACTAAATAAGTTGTTTGTCCTTATCTTGTGGCCCTAACACACTATTTAACCTTGTTGACTATCCTCTCCGCCTTGATTTCCTTTCTTCATAAGGCTTCCAGGACACTATACTCTGTTGGTTTTTCTCCTCCCTCACTGGTCTCTATTCCTAAGCCTCTTTACTAACTTCGGTATCACAGTGCCCAATTTCAGCCCTTGGTCCTCTTTTTATTTCCTACTTGTACTCACTTCCTAGGCAATCTCATAATCTTATGCTTTAAGTACCATCCATCTGCTGAACAACCCCCAAATTTTTGTTTTTATTCTAAATGTCTCTCCTACCTTCAGACTCATGTATCCAACTGATCAGTTAATGGCTTCACAAAGAAAAAGCTAAAGTTTAGCTAATAGAAAATCTGGATGTGAATCAGGGACTAAGGGAGGAGAAAAGGGTAGAGGATACAATATCATCATATTGCAAAGTGAGGAGTCATTAGATACTATCCAAATTTATTGAAACCTTAGACTGATGTCTTAAATATTCATTCTGAAGTTATAAAGCTAACAATAGGATAACTAAAGAATAAAAACATAAAAAGGAGTCAAGAAAAAGAAAGACAATATGAGTAAGATTCTATTTTTTTAGTCAATATATATTCTCTAAAAATAAATACAAAATAGAGATGTATCTTTATTATCTAGAGTTGTTGAGGTAACAACCTCCAAAAGGACTGAAAATGAAAATAGTTTATAAATGTTTCCTATAGTGTAAGAAGGAGAATTTTTATTTTTTCTAAGCCCTTCAGTATTTGTTACCGCGTGTGTGTGTGTGTGTGTGTGTGTGTGTGTGTGTGTGTGTACAGAGATAGGGTCTCCCTCTGTCACCCATGCTGGAGTGCAGTGGTGCAGTCATGGCTCACTGTAACCTTGAACTTCTGGGCTCAAATGATCCTCCTGCCTCAGCCCCCTTAGTAGCTGGGACTGCAGGCACATGCCACCACATCCAGCTATTTTTTTATCTACTATGTATATTTATTTAATTAACATATATTAATTCCATAATTTGCTGACATCAAAAGATATTACCTAACTTTGATAAATCAATGATAAGCAGAAATAGTATATGAGTTATGGTGGTGTTATAAAAAAATAAAAATGGAAAATGACAAAACCTATTACTTTTGGGCAAAGGGTTGGAGATGAAAAGAGGACACATATTTTCTTGTTCAATTTTTATTTTGTATAATGCATCTATTGCTTTTACAACTAAAATAATTCATTTTTTATAAAGGAGGACTAAATAAAATTAAAATAATACATTTTATAGGAGGAATATATTTCCCTTCCTATTTCTGGAAAGAATGAACATAATTCGGCAGCAGGGTCAGGGTTGATAGGCAATGCCATTAAATTAAATTGAATTAAATTGGGAAGAGAAGGCCTCATTGTAAACACGGAAAAAGTAGTGTGCAGAAATGTTTCAGGAGCCTCTATATGCCAGGAGTTCTTCCTGACTGTCTAACTGGTTTTAAATGATTTTATAAAAGATCTTTTCATGGAAAGAACATCAAGGGAGCATTAGAGGAAATCTATATAGAGTGTGAGCAGAACTGTTAAATTCCTGTTAGGAGTTACCATAGGAAATGCCTGTACAAGTTCCACACATTGTCAACTTTATGTAGTAACAGCAAAGAGTTTGCTCACCCAATGTATGAGGAGTTTTAAGGACAATCAGCTTCAGAGTTCTAACTTCCTATCCCAACTTTGTTTGTGCTAATAAGTCATCTAGTTTTTAATTGACTGAATCATTTTGTTTTTGTGGTCTTCATGAAAAAAGAAGTTAATACAAATTGCCAAAATTTATCTTGAAATATTAAAGAAGTTTGAGAAAGAAGAATGGAGCTGTGTGGCTAGAGAAAGGCTGAATAAGAGAAAAGTCTGATGAATAATGCAAGGTGCACATGCAGAAAGCACAGCAAGCTTGACAGAAAGCTGTTAGAAAGTGGCCAGACCTGAGCAATAGGAAGTATACATCCTGGTATTCTGCAGATTATGTAACAACTGAGGATCCTTTGTTCACTTAGGATGGTACACAGTACAAAGTAGTTGAGAAACCTGATTTTAAAAAGAAAAAACTGCTGAACAGAGCTGTAAGGCCGGATGTAATCAACTCTGGTCTCCCTCTCTCATGGTGAAACCTATTATATTGGTGGAGATAAGAGTCACTTAAGGTCTCCTTTCGAAATATACAAATCTCAAATTTTGCCTAAAAGATGAGGAGAGGCTGAAGTTTTAGGAATATGAAATATGTTAAGAAGAGAACCCAAGCCCTGATTTGGAGAAAATCATGGAGGCTTTTATTATTCTCCCAGCAGTAATTTCAAGTGTTTTTTAGGAAAAAAAAAATAGCAATTATCTCTTTTTCAAAAAGGGTTCTAACAGGAAAACAGAAACTTTTGTCATTTAGGCAACAAGGATTAATACAGGAAATTAGACGTTAAAACCAGAAAAGAGCAGGAAACGTGATGGTCAGGATGGGAAGTGACTTTAAGCATTCAGCAAATCAGAAGGTCCAAGAATAACAGGGAATTTGCTGCTGATTTACTTCAAAATAGGAAATCTCCAGGGCAAAGTGCCTGAAACCTCTGGCAAACCTCTGAAATATCTGTCATTTGATGAAGCCCCTAAACCTGTCTGTCCCGTTGAGGAATAACAGCACCTTCTGTTACCCTTTTGACTTCAAAGTCTCATATGAGCACTTCATATTGGAGAAATTGATACTGAACTCTATAGATGAAGACATGTTTACCCCCTCCACAAAAGGAGAAATACATATTCTTAGCAATTACTGTTAGTTCCAATATGATTTGGCTATGTCCTCACTCAAATCTTATCTTGAATGGTACTTCCCATAATCCCCACATGTCGTGGGAGGGACCTGGTGGGAGGTAATTAAATAATGAGGGCGGGCCAGGCGAGGTGGCTCACGCCTGTAATCCCAGCACTTTGGGAGGCTGAGGCAGGCGGATCACGAGGTCAGCAGATCGAGACCATCTTGGCTAACACGGTGAAACCCTGTCTCTACTAAAAATACAAAAAATTAGCCGGGCGTGGTGGCGGGCACCTGCAGTCCCAGCTACTCGGGAGGCTGAGGCAGGAGAATGGCGTGAACCCGGGAAGCGGAGCTTGCAGTGAGCCGAGATTGCGCCACAGAACTCTAGCCTGGGCGACGGAGGGAGACTCCGTCTCAAATAATAATAATAATAATAATAATAATAATAATAATAATAATGAGGGCGATTACCTCCATGCCGTTCTCATGATAGTGACTTCTCAAAAGACCTGATGGTTTTATAAGAGTCTTTTCCCCCACTTCGTTCTGCACTTCTCCTTGCTGCCGCCATTTGAAGAAGGACAAGTTTGCTTCCCCTTCGGCCATGATGGTAAGTTTCCTGAGACCTCCCCAGCTCTGATGAACTGTGACTCAATTAAACCTCTTTCCTTTATAAATTACCCAGTCTCAGGTATGTCTTTATAAACAGGGTGAGAACGGACTAATAGAGATCCTAACACCTAATTCCATCACAATTCCTCTGATATCCTACAACCTATCCTTGTCTGTATGACAAGGATAACCACAACCAATATGCTTTATATTTAAATGATGGAGGAAGAGGAGAGGAAAGAACACAAATAAATTAATATATACTTTGCATATATTATATATAATAAATATATAATAAATTAATATATACTTTGTTAATATGTCCATAACAAAGCAAGGAAGAAAATACTTATAAGAATAAATGCTGTATTTATTTTATTTAGTTTTATTTTATTTTATTTTATTTTATTTTATATTTCTGCAACTGGTCACAAGATTGAGATTATTTGAAGAACAATCTTAGCCACAAGGGAAATGGAATTGGTGCTACATATCCTGGTGGAATCTTTGCTTCTTGAGGAATTAAGAACTGCAAACTACCAGAGCCTAAAGACGTGGGGATTAGAAACAAATATCGTCTGAGTGGGCTATTAGGTATAATCGTGAGGGCTGCCACTTCCATTTTAACACTTGGTATCCAGGACTCCGTTCTGGGTATGTGAAAAATCAGGTACCATGTACTGGTCACTTGTTCCAAGTATATATTTAATGCATGTTTTAGAACATCTCATTAAACTTGCAAAGGGTTGATTCCTACCAGGTGCTTGGACCAACTGCAGGGCTTTCTCTTTCTCTGGTAACCAAACAACAATAATGACAACTTAAAACTATCTTCAGGTGTTCCTAATAGGAGTATTTTAAAGAGTAGCTCCTTACCTAAAGGAATAAATCTCAAACAGCATAATTTCACTGGCAATATTATGGAAACAGGGAGGCATTCTCTCTCAAGTTACTTGATATATGAGCCCTTTCACTAAATCTGCTTTAATTTTCCATCATGGAAGAACACTTTCCAGAAATAGGAATTGTAAGAAAAATTCCCAAGAATATAATTTATTTTACCATCTGCTTTTCTTAGAAAACAATCAGTTAATAAAATCAGTTAATAACATAATTGCCTTGGCACCATGTTCTGAGTTGTACATGTACTACGTTAGAATGAAAAATGCGGTTTGTTATGGATTGAGGAAAGAGTTCCTTGAAATCGTTTTTTCTCCCTCCTTTAAAAAAAATTATGTATTAATTTTTTTTTTTTTTTTGAGACGGAAGTCTCACTGTGTCTCTCAGGCTGGAGTGCAATGGCGCAATCTCTGCTCACTGCAACCTCCACCTCCTGGGTTCAAGCGATTCTACTGCCTCAACCTCCCGAGTAGCTGGAACTACAGGCACACGTCACCATGCCCAGCTAATTTTTGTATTTTTAGTAGAGACGAGGTTTCACCATGTTGGCCATGCTGGTCTCAAACTCCCAACCCCAAATGATTCACCTGCCTCGGCCTCCCAAAGTGCTGGGATTACTGGCATGAGCTACTGTGCCTGGCCCTCCCTTCTTATTTTGAGTTACTTTTTGGAAATATATTTTATTTTGACCTTCACCATAAAAAACTTTTAATACTTTATTTTATCCTAAAGAATTTGGCAACATTTTAGTATATTAACACGGTGGATAATAATGCAACACATTGATCTATGGAAAGCTTTTTTTATTAATGTTTAAATGATTGTTTTTGCTTATATTTTTCATAGAAGTTTGCAAAATAATGCTTGGTTTAAGGAAGTTATCATAGAAGGAAAATAACTTGTTACTTCAAGTGCAAATAATTATTGTGACGATGTTATATGTGCATATATATTTAGATGTATATATATACATATATGTAATATTGAAAAACTAAGAAATAATTTTATTTCTGTATGCTTACATATAAGAGGTCTTGTATTATCTTCTTTCATTCTTTTTTAGCAAACAAATATAGTAACAGAAGCTCCCATCATCAATATAGGGTAATTATTTCATTTAAAATATTTTTTGTATCTGGCTGTCTCTTAATTTGGGGGAAAATAGTTTGCTCTGTGACCTCAGTTCTTTGATGGATCTAAGAAGAGCAGTTGATTTTTAGTTTGTTCAGTATTTTTCTCTTATGCACAGGAGAGGTGATCCCTACATACCAGACGAGACCAGAAGTCTCTAAATAAGAGATTTTCAAGATTGATCCTTTGCATCTAAGGAATTATATAATTTTTAGGCCAGGCATGGTGGCTCACACCTGTAATCCCAACACTTTGGGAGGCTGAGGCAGGAGGATTGCTTGATCCCAAGAGTTTGAGACCAGTCTGGGCAACATGACGAGACCCCATCTCTATAAAAAAGTTTAAAAAATTATCTGGGCATGATGGCACACATTTGTGGTCCCAGCTACTCAGGGGGCTGAGGCAAGAAGATCCTTTAAGCCCAGGAGTTCCAGGCTGCAGTGAGCCGTGATCAGGCAATTGCACTCCAGCTTAGGCAATGGCATGAAACTCCATCTCAAAGATTTAAAAAAAGGGGCCGGGTGCGGTTGCTCACGCCTGTAATCCCAGCACTTTGGGAGCCCGAGGCGGGTGGATCACAATGTCAGGAGTTCAAGACCAGCCTGGCCAAGATAGTGAAACCCCATCTCTACTGAAAATACAAAAAATTAGCCAGGCATGGTGGCAGGCACCTATAATCCCAGCTACTTGGGATGTTAAGGCAGAGAACTGCTTGAACTGGGAGGTGGAGGCTGCAGTGAGCAGGGATCGCGCCACTGTACTCCAGCCTGGGTGACAAAGCGAGACTCCATTTCAAAAAAAAAAAATTTAAAAAAGGAAAAAAATATGATTTTTAAAGTGCAACTCCCAAAATTTAAAATATTCTTAGCATATATCTAATTTTACTTCATTATATTTCTAATATAAATTAAGTCACAAAATATAGCTAACATTAAATCTTTGGTCTAATCTTGACACGAGTCCAGTTTCTGCAGGATCAATTTCTTATCATATATTTTAAGTAACTACTCAAATAGAGAAACTGACCAGGTGAGAACTATATTGTAAAATATAAGCTTTGTGGTTACACCATTTGAATTCAAACTTTACTGTTCAACTTCATAATAATAAGGTATTTTCCAAGTTATTTAAGCTATTCAAGCCTCATTTCTTTATATGCTAAACAGAAAATAATAATTTCTACCTCATGATAACATTTAAAGGAGATAATGCACATGAAGATTTTAACATGGTATCTCACACATGAAAAGTGTTTGATGAATACTAGTTTTTAATGGGGATGGTATTTATTTTATTAACAAACTTAAGCAATGATTTGCATTTATAAGATACAGAAATAAATGCAAAACAGAATTTGTGTTTCCTATTTGTATTTGTGTTGAGGCAGGATTATATAATTGGTTTGTGAAATTATTACACAAAATAATAATTCAAAGACAGGGTTTAATTTTATAACTCTGGAAATAGCATGTTTTCGAAGATATATAGATTTCTATCAGAGTAATACTGTTCTTAGATTTATAGTTTTGCATTACTCTATTACACAAGCTTTGGTTTAATTAAGGCAAGTTAGTGATAAAAGGCCTAAATTTACAGCTGAAGAAATTAATAAAAGTCCTCCTTGGTTCTGACTTTCAGGAGGAAGACAGGATCAATAAAATAAACATCTGTGAGATAAAGGAGGCTTTTCCAATTATATTAAGTGATACACATATCATGCCTTTGATGACCCATCCTAGGAAAAGCTCTCTGTACTATAGAAGAGTTAGTGATATTATCATCATAAATAATTATAATATGCTTCAAAAATTCTCTATTAGTGTCAGAACTCAGGGTTCGTAAATAGTTAAAGGTTTATACAACCTGAAGAGAAACCAGAATGTAGATTTGAGTCTTGAGACTGATAAAGAAATCGTCTATGGTGATTCATAACATTTATATTACATTGAAATGTACAGAAACAATTTTTGAAATTCTATTTGGTTCTTACTACATGATTTGATCTTTGCTGGCAATATTTAAAGATTAGCTACTAAACAGCAATTGCATATGGTGATAGAACATAATATTGTGATAGAATACCCATTCTGTATTTGATTAATGTATCAAGTACCATATGCTATTCAATTTGGAAACTATAAATTGATTTTATTTTCAAACTATTATTGTAAAATGTGTTATTTTCGCAGCCTTTTAGTGATCTTTTTGCTATTCACTGTAATTTTCTTTGTCAGAATATAATCTTGACTGAAAGAAATCCTATTTTTAAGCAAGATTGTGTCTCATAATTACCATTCTCAGAATAATAGCTATTATTTATTTAGTGTTGTGGGTGTCAGGCACTTTTCTAAGTACTTTAAATGTGCTTCTTTCAACAACACTATGAGATACTGTTATGAATCATATATTCCAGGTTTGGAAACTGAGGCAAGGTAAGTAACTCTTCAAGGTCACAATGCTAATAAGTATTGGAATCCAAATAATAAACCAGGCCATGTGACTCCAGTACTAAATTCTTAACCATTGCATTCATTGCCACCACACTCCCAAAACACTATTCTATAATCAATTTTGCTAAAAATTTTCAGAATCAGATATTGTGACAAATAACAATCAATATAGCAAGCAGACATTAGATCAAACTTTTAGGAATGAAACCTTTTTATTTAGCAAAGTGAGATGAATTAATATGTACTTTTTATTCTTCAAGAGCAGTCACTGACAGGGACTAGGAGAATGGGGAGAAGAAGGATTTCTCACTTCCTTTTGTAAAGATAGACCCAGATGACTTCAAGCAGGCACTTTATTTCAGTTATTTGTTGGGACAACGTAAAATATTTCAATGAAAAATGAAATGTGTCAGTTGTCACATTATTTTCTTCATTTATACTTCATGCTAAACCTGACTGTTAAATTATCAATAACCAAAAGGTTTTCTACATAACTTCTATGAAAAGTTATTACATATAAATGTAAAACGTCCATTAATAAAAGATTTATAATATTTGCTAATGGAAATTGAAGCCCATTAAATTAACAGTGCATATTGCATTGCTTGGATGCAATCAGTTATTGTACAAATAAAAATATTCTTATCATCACATTTCCCCTTGAACTTCAATGAGTTTTAAAAGCAATTTGTAATTAAAGGTGTTTTTACATTTTGGTAGACTTATTCCCACCATAATCTCCAGCACCAATCTTCATCTTGAGGCAGAACAGCCAGGCCAGTGCTGCTCTTTTAGGGGAGGGATAGCCCAGCAGATCTGCAAGGGTTTTCTAGTTCAAATGCATTCTGCTTTGAGTTAAAAGTCTTTTGAGGCATTGTTTCTGGATGAAACTCTTCTTTTTAAAGTCATAGTAAAGGACAAGATTCCCTTGGAGAAGATGTGATTATTCAAATGAGCTTCAAGAATCGTGCCCTCCGAACATGGTCTTTGTCAGTACAAGAATGTCCATGACAAAAAAGCTGAAGACTGATTAAGAGTTCACTTATATCCCTTTTCAACAGAAGCAGACACAATCTCTGTTCCAATTTTCCATGGGACACCTTCAAATTACCTTTTCAATTTTTCTAATTTATTTACTAACATAGAGCCAACTCGAGATGTAGTTACTGGTAGTTTCATGCCATAGTTTCTTTTATTTCTCATTAAACATGCCACTGAACAGTAATATCTCTATCATTTAAAAAAAGGGAAACCACCAATGGAATTATTTCAAAAGTTGATTCTAGTTTGGTTTGAAATACACTGCTAAATTCTTAACTTCAATATTATGAATATGTTTTTAGAAAAGTATGTAGAATGTATTTTTACATTACTTAGCTAATTTATTCTTTTAGCTCCTTTTCATTTTACTGTCTGATCCACAATATTTTCAAAGTAAGCTACTAGGATCTATCTATACCAGAGATAAAATATCCTGTAAATATTTTTCATGATAAGTGTTACCCCTCTTCTATTTTCCTAGTCAAGCATAAATCAAGATGTTAATATTTGCCAAAATTCTGGCTCTTGTAATTTGTATGAAAGCAGTTTAAAAAGTTGTGAACCATATTTACAAAAAGTTTTTTTTTAAGTCTGTGCTTAATTCATGTCTTTAAAACTATACTATACAAACATTTTTTATTTTGCATCTCCATCAGTGAAACGTTGTGCATGCACCCATATTTATTTACTTATCATTTGTGCAAGTTGTGCTAGTGTATTAATACACCATGTTCCATATACATATGTATCCATGTGAGTATATATGTGTATGTGTATGTGCATGTGTATGTAAGTGCATGAGGAATCAATGCAATTGGCCTTGTGGTATTGCCAGTGGATCCTGACTTTACTGCAACCGAAAATCTTGAAGGTGAATGTTTTAGTTCACAAAGACAGCTACGTGGACAATAGTATATTTATAAGATTTTCACCTTTAATATAATCTATCATGCTTGAAAAGTTGTTATTATGAACCTCAACCTTCTGGTTTACCTTCTGCCAGCAGTAGAGGTCATTTAATACAGATGCTTTGCGTAAGTCACCACCAGATGGCATTCTTGTGTCTTTGATCATACACACTTATTTCTGAACTAAGAACTACTTTATTATGTGAAGTCTTTAACTAAAATTTATCTGCATCATCTTTTTAATTATGAGAACGAGGCAGCAGATATGTTACTTTGCTTACAGAGACTTAAGTTCTAGTTTTGGATTCTTTACCCATATTGGGAAAATTCTTTTACTTTTCATTGTACATGTATTGTCATAAATAAAGGATATCGGATTAGATGATTCAATTCAAGCATGTATTATCAAGCAGCTGTTCTGTCCATAGCACTGTGTTAAATGTGATGGAGGATATGGCAGTGAATTGTCAATGCTTTTAAATAGTTTAAGCTAGGCAACAGATATTTAGTAGACCTCTTTACCTGACTTCTATTTAATTAAATTGCCAGATTCTCTGTTGTTTTATATTTTCTTGGTAAACACACTGAAAATAAGAGGTGGGCAGATTGTAAAAAATACAATATGGCATACGAAGAAGTTTGTACTTTATTATAGAATAGATTACATGAAATAAACCACTTAAAGTTATCAAGTTGTTATTGTTTGTTTGAATTTTGGCTGGTTTCTGTTAATGACATAGGAAATTACATAATCAAAGTTGTGTTTCATAAAGATAAATTTGAAAGGAAGAAAGCATATAATAGGGATAGAGAGACCAGTGAGAGGGCTATAGTGCCAGAAATAACAGAAAGACAATACAGCATGATATCACTCATATGTGGAGTCTAAAAAAGTTGATCTCATAAAAACAGAGAGTAGCATAGTGGTAACCAGATGCTGAAATCTTAGCGATGGTGTGTTGGGAAGATATTGGTCAAAGGATGCAAAGTTTTAGTCAGATAGAACTAATTAGTTCAAGCGATGTATTGTACCTGATGACTATAGGTATTAACAATATTTCTAGAAAAATGCTACGAGAGTAGATTTAAAGTGTTCTCACCACAAAAATGATAACATTGTGAGGTAACATATATATTAATTACCTACATTCATTCATTCCACAATGTACATATATTTCAAATATCATGTCGTAGATGATAAATACTAATATTTTGTCAAGTTAAAAAAATAAAAATCTTTGGCATCTGCTCAAAAAATTACTTATTAAAATGATAAAATGAAAAAATCTTGTTGTGCATGTAACAAATTTGACTTGGACAAGTTAAGCTTAAAAATTTGTGGTGAACCTGATGAAAATATTAACAATTTGGTACAGAGCTCAAGAAAGAGGCAAAGGAAATAGATTACAGAGTAAAACTCCTATAGAATATTGTTAGATAAATGGATAGTAAATGCTTCTACTTTTTAAATTATCCTAATATATTTACTAGTACCACAAAGATTATTTTAAATTTAATAGCATCACCATTTTATTCAAATAATATTTGAACATTTGAACATTGAATAATATTTGAATATTTGAACATTTTCATTTTAAACAACTATTCAGATCCAGATGCTAAAATAATGCATCCTAGATAAAAAATAAGAGCTTCTACTTCTATTTTTATTCCTATGAAACTATATTATTATATGTTAGTTACTTCGTGTTAAAAGAAAATGGAGTTTGCTATTATAATTTTTTTTTATTTTATTTATTGAGCTTTGCTTCTAAATGAACAGAAACAAAATTTTTGGTATAGAGGATAACCCTCTGTTTCATGTGGGCACTAAATTACTTTCAAAATGTAACAAGAATACACATTGGGCTCTGGACAAGAGTATGAAGCATAGATGCTTCTCAAATTTTCCTAGCAACACATGAAATTCTTTAGCTTTTTTTTTCTTGCTGGCAGCTCCATATCTAAAAAATTCCAATTAAGCCTTTTCTTCCTAACTTATAAGTAGCTGAAAATACTGAATTTCCCTAAAGTTTTAAACTTTTATATCTTCAAAATGAATTTATTAGTGGTCCAACATAATATCTTACTTTTTCTACATGGTTTTTAAAACGAACCACTTCCAACAGGATTAATACAAGTGACATTTCAGCAATTTCTATACTGTTGAAATGAACTAAGAAATGGAAATTTTAGTGGGAAAAAATGTCTTTTAGAAATACATCCATGGCTTCCATTGCTATATTTACATACTGGGGAGAGATGTAAAGGTTTTATTCAATGAGTGGAGGGAACAGCATTTTCATTTTAAGCAAAAATTTAAAAACTTCTTGTTTCTGATCTTATTAAAATCAACATATGATTCTTTGGAGTTTTAATAAAAATACCAAAATTAGAACAAAGTAAAGAAAAATAAACAGTGAGTTTCAGGATTTAAAAAAAAAAGTACTTATTTCCAAACATCGGTGAATTTACATTTTAACTAAAAGTAATTGAGTCTAATTTTACCACACCTTTAAAATAAAAGGTGTCTTTCAAATATGCCTTTAAAATTCAATTTATCATGTTTAGGCTCAATGGTAAACTTGAGGGCTAAGTGTACACAGTTCAAAAACTTTTCATTTGTTATTTCTCTTAAAAGTAATGGCTAAGCAGTTACAATGAAATGGTTTATGAAGAGTTTTTATTATATTGTTAAAAATTAGTCAATATAACTTACTATATACATAGTAAGTAAATACATACTCATTTTTTAAGTATTCCTGAACTTGTTTTTTAATATGTTGTATGTTCAAAAAAATTTCAAAACCTTTGCTGTTAGCATTAATAAGTTTGAAAGTTAAGGTGTCTTTACAAATGAGATTAGTAAATAATTTTGTTTAGAGTAATCATTTAGACTCTGGGAAGTGTAGTGGCTATGGTTGAGTTGAGGGGATATCAGAAGAAGATTACAAATTATATGTAGAGAAAAGATTAGTATATAAAGCAAGCAAGGAAGGGAGATATAAAGTAGCATGGCTCATTCAAGAAACAAAATATTTCTGGTGCACATAGTGAATGAGAGGTAAGAGGAAAAACAAGGAAAAAAGGTGGACAGCGTCATAAGATCTGATCATGAAGAGCTTTTAATACCTTTATAAAGATATTAGATTTTACACAACAGATGACGGGGAGTCACTAAAAGTAAAAAGGAGAAGGAACAGGTCAGAATTATATTTCAGATTTTATTGTGAGCAATGGAAAGTATGGTTTTGAGAAAAACAGGGAAATCAGAGGGATGATTTTTAATTGTCAGGCAAAAAATGATGAGGTCTTGAGGATTTGGCTGAAAAAAACTACCAATAAGAGGCTGAATTTGGATTTGAGAAATACGGAAGGGCTGGTGGAAGAAGGAATTAGTGAGAGTCAATGCAGGAACTAAAACAAGGGAGGGATATAGGATGATGCCAAGATGAATATCATCATTAGGTGGTTGAATGTGTGCGACTGAATTCTTTTATTAAGTACCTGATTCGGGACACTGTTTCATGAACAGTGAAATAATAAGACAGTATAATCCAGCGTGCAGGAGGTGATTACATCGTTTTCTATATGAGTGTCAGGCTGCAGCTTCCTAACCTAATTTCTACCACTCATGTTCAATATGTTTCTTGACTATTCATTCTTCACTTAATAAACATTTTCAAAAGCCTTACCATGGCTAAGTTCTTATTTGCTAGAATTTTTTCCCATGTCCTCAGTCTCAATTGTTTTTCAATTTTTCATTGGAAAACATTTGTTAGTTCAAGCCAGCTCCTTTCTTTGCATCTGGATTGCAACTCTGCGGTCCTGTATTTCTACTCGGAAAGATCTCCTAGGTATATTTTTCAGATGCTCGTTGAACATCAAGGAATATTGCATGCTTCACCTGACTCTAATATATAATAATTTTGGATGGTAATTAGTGGAGAGACTAGAGTTTTCCATTGCCTGTAAGACCTGATGATTTGGACCACTAACTTTTCCCTAAAGTGTTTAGTTTCTTTTATGCCTCAGAGCTAACCTTCCCCATACTGCTCTCACTTCCTTTAGCCTTTCCCTCACTGAGTTTCCAATGAAGGAAAAAATTTCTACAGGATCAATGATTGTATTGAAGAAAAGGTCTCACTTCTCTCTACTCTCCACAGGTGGAGAGGAGTTGGATACAGATTTACTTTTTGAGGGAAAAAATATAATCACATACATTAAACAAAGTAACTTCAAAAAATTTAACCTACCTGATTTAAATCTAATCCATGTTTCTCCATACTGAAAAAATTAATGGTAATTAAATTGTCCAGAAGAAGAAGAGATATTCTTGGAATATATTTTTTTTTTTGGTCAGAAGTTGGAATGTCAGATGTAGCACTTAGAGTGAACAGAGACCTCTCTCTAAATCCAGGAACAGAAATTAATCTCTCTCTCATAATTTGCTGTGTCTTTCTTTATTTTTATATTTTCTAAGCACTTGAATTTGTTAAGTTATATATTTGATAATGAAAAAATACATATATTTATAAAGTAGCAAAAAGTTACTGCTATAGATAAAGATGTCTCAGCAACTCATACCTGAGAAGATTTACTAATGAGGGCTATGCTGTCAATTTTTAACAATCAGCATCTTTACTAGCAATGTAACTATAATTCAGTGGACAATAAACGGTAAAAGCAAAACCCTGAGAAAGCATTTCTGCTGCACTTCATAGCCCAGGGGTAGAAAGGCTGATTTCCTTTGATAGTTGGCCACTTTGCTATGACCAGGGGGCAAGTTAATGAAAAAGGAGAAGCAGCAGCAGAGAAACAGAACTTATGTTCCAACTTTGGAGATCAGTCTTTCTATTGGCACAGCAAACTGTGATCATTAAGAACTCTGGAATTAGAAATGGGGGGTTTAAATCCCTGCTCAACCACTTACTAGATTTGCAATCTTGAGCAGGATAGCAAACCTCTGAAACAACTACAAAATATAAATAGTGACTTAGCTTGTAAGACTTTTAGAAAGACAAAGGGAACTCAACAATAACTGACTATGCATCAGGGTTTAGCTTGTAGAAATGTACTATAAATGGTAGAGTAATCACTGATAATTGTTTTCTATAGTAAATTTTGGGATTCCTGAAGTAAAAATGAAGTAAGGAGTAATAATATAGGAAAACAATGATGAAAAGTAGAGATTATGAAGCTGTACATGAAGACAATAGAAAAGGAAAGTAGAGAAGCAAATTGAGTTTACAAAGATTTACAGAAAAATGCCTCAGAAACAATATTACAATAATTTGACATTGGGCTACTTGGAGAGAGACAGTGGTTAATTTGAGCAGAGAAGCATGAAGGTAGTGTGGAGCAACATAAACTAGGACAATAAATCAAGTTTAACAGAACCAAGATATAGGATGATACCTAGGCAGGTTGGAAAATTACCGACAATTTATTAGCAAGAAATAGACTCAAGTTTTGAACATGGACACTGAAACCATATGGCCTGGAACCAAACCTTGGCTTACTAGTTATACATCCAAGTACAAGTTACTTAACCTCTCTATGCCTCAGTTTCCTCACATGTAAAACTAGTGAGTAATAATACCTACCCCAGTAGGATTGTTTGGAGTTTAAATAAATTAATATAAGCAAAGCACTAGACTCATATTTCATACCTACTAACTGAATTGTAAGTATAGCTATTATTATTATTTTTAATAATGTCCAAGGGTATAGTTTCCTTGAAGATGTCCAACTCTTCTGTATATGATTATCCACTTATGTATCTACTCCTAATTTTATCATTAATATCAATTTTAAATACCCTCATAAATGACCTTGCTGTTTAACACCCATTGAATGAAGCTATTTATTTACAAGCCCCTTTCCCTCTGCTAGAATGTTAATTCCTTGAGTTCATTGAGCAAGCCTTTTATATCTCTGAATTCTTAGCAAAGTAGTTTCCAAGTCTGGCTGTACATTAGAATACCCTAGGGAAACAAGAATATTAATCTCTGGGCCCAATTTAGATGAATACAATCAAATTATCTGCTGGGTAGGATATATTTTTAAAGTACTTCAGGTGAATTTAAAGGACAGCTATGACTATCTAGTGTTTTGCAATGAATTTGACATATAGTTTATGTTCTTCTTTCTTTTAATCAAAACTCAGATGATTTACAAAGCCACATAAATATGCATAATATAAATATATATAAATATAAATAAACAGTATATGCATAATAGCAGGAGAGTTTGATATCCAGAGGCATTAATAAAGATTTAATAAATATGTCAGTCAGGATCCTGGCAGGCAACGAATGGCACAGAAAACCTGGGTGTGGTGAGAGTTCGTAAAAACTAAAAAACAGTGAAGATTTACTAATGAGGGCTATGTTGCTTTCACTTTTTATACCTGTCCTTTTTCCCTATTGCTTAAACAATTTTATTCCTTCAACTTCTTTGATGAGACTAAAAGTAAAGCTCACCATATGTCTGTTATAATCTCCTACAAAATAAGGACTTCTTCCAGAATGTAAATCAATGATGTCCTTAAACACAGTGTTTTATTGTCCTGACACATTTTTAGAGTGAAGCTTTGTAAATGAAAGAAATAGTGCACTGAGTTACATTCTGGCACAAACTCATTGTCTCCTGGTGGACTGCTCACGTACAGCTTGTAGAACAGTACTTTGAGTAGTAGTGGACTAGACTTTCCACATCAACATGAGAACTTGCTGAATATCTTTCATACAAAAGACAAAACAAAACAAAACAAAACAAAATTCCTTTGCCCCATGTTTCCCTCCAATTCTTTTACAGGGTTGTCTGTGTTTATTATGGGTAACTCCTCTTTCACCAACCATTCATAAAGCCATTCCCATCAGGCTTTGTCAAGGTCACCTATTCTGTTAAATCAGTAGTCAGTTTTCAGTCTTCATCTTTCTTGATTTCTCAGTAGCATTTGGCACAATAGATCATCTGTGGCAACCTCAATGTTCAGCTATTTATTCACATATCCAATTACCTACTCCATATGCTTGCTTATTTGGATATAAATGGGCATTTCAAAGTTTATACATGTAAAACATAATTTTTGAATTGTTTTTCCCTGAACCTACTCTTCTCACATTCTTAGCTCTTCTGACTCTTACCACCTTGCTCTAATATGGAATGATCTCTCACCTAGATTCTTGGAACATCACCTAACTACTCTCTCTGTTTTTGTGCTTGCCTTCTTATGATATATTCTCAATATATCAGCCAGAGTGATCTCTGGAAAATATAAAACACATAATCACTTTTCTGCTCAAAACCCTCCAATGACTTCTGAATTCAGGGTAAAATCCAAACACTTCTAAGACCTGCATGATCTATACAGGGATGCTCCTATCTTTGCTACTAACTCTGTGAGCTTGTCTACCACCGTCCCTTCCAGACACTGTTAAGGCCATGAGATCCACTTTGCTGGTCTATGGAAACATTTTGATATTAGCCACATTTCAGGGATATGTAAAAGGTAATTACATTTTAAATTTCACATTTGCACCATCAATTAAAAACAAAGTGCTGAATTTTAAATCTTATGAATACCATGAAAATATTAGAAAAGATTTGAATATCATATTTGTGGACATTGTAGGCCTGTAACCTTCACTGGACATAATTGGCTAATAATATTTTTAATAAGTTGCACCTCAATAATTACACTTTTAGAAATATTTTATTTAATTAGATATTTTGGTTGTCTTGTAATGAATCATCATTTGATTTATTGAGAGTACATAAAAGATTTTTTCTTTTGGCTACCATCAGAGTTATAATTAAAAATCCCATATTTTCCCACAATCCATTGAACATTTATTTAAGTTGAAAAAATTATAAAATATTTTTTCACACACATACATATTACTAAAATAAAGGGAATCTATGGCAGTGACAACCTAAAATTAATGTACAATAGTGTAAATATATTACTCTCATGTGTAACTGAACACTACAATGAACCAAAATTAAATTAGATTTCTACTAAAAGCAAGTTGTATGTTAAAGATAGACAGTTTTATTAATAATAAATCAACACAAAAGCACAATTTTAGCTTTCAAATTATTGCAAATATCTTGAAATACAAAGTGGTCTGTCTTATTAATCTTCTTTTATTTCAAGTACATGAAAAATTAAAAAAAGCTCATACAACTCGTTGGCTCCATCAAGTAAACTGTTGCTATGTTTTGAATGTTTGTCCACCTCCAGAATTCATGTTAAAATTTAATTGCCAATGTAATGGTATGAGGAGGTAGGACCTTTAAAGGGTAAAGGTGGGTTTAATGCCTGTGTAAAAAAGCTCATGAAGTGGGCTCTTTTTCTTGACCCTTCCACCTTCTGCCATATGAGGAACAGCATTCCTCCCCTTCAGAGGATGAAGCGTTCAAGGCACCATCTTGGAAACAGATACTTTATTCCCACTAGACACCAAACCTACCAATGCCTTGGTTAGACTTCTCAGCCTCAGAACTGTGAGAAATACATTTCTTTTTTTTAAATAAAATACCCATTCTCAGGTATTCTGTTACAACAGTACAGAACGGACTAAGACAACCACATTTCAAGTTCATTGGGTGTTGCCTCATTGTAAAATGTACTGAAAATATTAATCTCATCAGTTCCAATATCTCTATTATGATTGTTACTCAATTACGATCTTGATCATTCATTATTTTAAGGATCATAATGAAAACTAAAAATATTGATTTAAATTTAATATACAAAAGCATTGCTTATCTATATAATATAATAACATACATTATATTTCTACATACTGACATCAATTTTTGAGAAAAGAATGAGACTTGTAATAAGAAAACCATTTAGTCAGATTTTACCTATAACAGCTATTTGACTCTGATCTATTCACTTAATTTTCCTGGCCTCCCACTTCTTCATCTGTAAACTAGGATTTTCAAACTGATGAGTTCTAAGCTGTATGTCAATTCTAATGTCAAGATTGTATAATAATGTCTGGAAAAAAATGGTGGTTGCCTGTTTCCAAATTTCCTCCACACTCCCTCTAAAAATCTATAAATAAAATCAAGGATGAAAATAAAACCATACATGCATGACATATACCTTCAACATTAATTGGAAAAAGAGAATGCTATACTCTTACTTGTCTGGAAATAGAGAAAAAGAAAAATTCCCACAGAGTCCACCTGCAAGGAGAAAGTCAAACATTCAATGTTAAAGTACCAAACACACTTGGTAGTTCACAGCACTGATTAAATGAGGAGTTTTAAAGTGTGTGGGGGCAGAGTGTGGTGGTTTACGCCTATAATCCCAGAAATTTGGGAGGTCAAGGTGGGCATTCACTTGAGGCCAGGAGTTCGAAATAAGCCTGGCCAATGTGGCAAAACTCTATCTCTACTAAAATTACAAAAATTAGCCAGACATGGTGGCAAATACCTGTAATTCCAGCTACTTGGGAGGCTGAGGCACATAAATCACTTGAAACCAGGAGGTGGAGGTTGCAGTGAGCCAAGATCGTGCCAACGCACTCCAGCCTGGGTGACAGAGTGAGACTCTGTCTCAAAAAAAGAAAAAGAAAAAGAAAAAAAAGTAAAGTGTTTGGGATTGAAAGTAGCAGTCTCAGAGAGCAATAATTAATTTCTAATGAGTGCTACTCTTTCTCTATACGTATGTATCTCCCTCACAATAAAAATAAGAACCACAACAAAAAAATAAATGAAGAATCCCAAAGAAACAAGAAGGAAACAACAATGTGTCTTATCCATACCAACACAATCTATAAAATAAATTGTAGAGAAGAGTACAGAAGAGGGCATTCTTAAACCATAAACATTGTTCATGAAATGAATAGGAATAGAAAAAAGTCAATCACATCTACACAACAATATTGTGGTAAATCAGAAATGGAAACGACGCATTTCTGAGGAAAACAATTTTCCCCCTGAAAGCAACCGAATACAGTAAATCAAATATACTCAAACACACAATTGAAGATATAAAAACTTCCTTGAATCAGAAATATAAATACTAGAATTATAAATGGACATAAAACAGATTTTAATGAAACAAAAAATGAATTAACTCAGGAAAGATACAGAAAAAATGACAAAGTCATATCAGAAATAAAGATAAATTATAAGGGGCTCAAGGTAGAAGGTTTCAAATGAAAATTTAATAAAGGGCATTGACTAAAAACTGTGGGGAAAAGAAAGAGAGATCAGATTGTTACTGTGTCTGTGTAGAAAGAAGTAGACATAAGAGACTCCATTTTGTTCTGTACTAAGAAAAATTCTTCTGCCTTGAGATGCTATTAATCTGTAACCCTACCCCGAACCCTGTGATCCCTAAGACATGTGCTGTGTCAACTCAGGGTTAAATCGATTAAGGGCTGTGCAGGGTGTGCTTTGTTAAACAAATGCTTGAAGGCAGCATGCTTGTTAACAGTCATCACCACTCCCTAATCTCAAGTACGCAGAGACACAAAACACTGCGGAAGGCCGCAGGGACCTCTGCCTAGGAAAGCCAGGTATTGTCCAAGGTTTCTCCCCATGTGATAGTCTGAAATATGGCCTCGTGGGAAGGGAAAGACCTGAAGTTCCCCCAGCCCTACACCTGTAAAGGGTCTGTGCTGAGGAGGATTAGTAAAAGAGGAAGGAACGCCTCTTTGTAGTGGAGATAAGAGGAAGGCATCTGTCTCCTGCTAGTCCTTGGGCAATGGAATGTCTCCCTGTAAAGCCCGATTGTATATTCCATCTACTGAGATAGGGGAAAACCGCCTTAGGGCTGGAGGTGGGACATGCTGGCAGCAATACTGCTCTTTAATGCATTGAGATGTTTATGTATATGCACATCAAAAGCACAGCACTTTTTTCTTTACCTTGTTTATGATGCAGAGACATTTGTTCACATGTTTACCTGCTGACCTTCTCTTCACTATTATCCTATTGTCCTGCCACATCCCCCTCTCCTGGAAACGCCCGATAATGATCAATAAATACTAAGGGAACTCAGAGGCCGGTCCCAGCACAGGTCCTCCACATGCTGAGTCCCAGTCCCCTGGGCCCATTTTTCTATCTCTATACTTTGTCTCTGTGTCTCTTTCTTTTCCAAGTCTCTCATTCCACCTGACGAGAAACGCTTACAGGTGTGGAGGGGCAACCCACCCGTTCAAAAACAGGAAAAAATGCTAACAGAATAAAAATGAAATAAAGAATAAACAAAATGGATCAGAGAGAAAGTAGCTGACATGGAAGAGAAATAAATAAGTTGATTTAGTATCCTTGAAAAAGCAAGTAAAAATGATGAAACAGAACTATTATTTACAAGTATAATCTATAAAAGTTTTCAACAATAAAGAAGTCTCCAGTCTAGACTTGAAAGGGATTACTGGGTACTGAAGAACATTGACCTGGTACAATCACTCTGAGACAAATTCTAATAAATCTTTTTGTTACAGAAAATTAAAAGAAAAAATATTAAGAGCCTCCAGGTAATAAGTTGAAATAACACACAAAAAGCATGAGAATTAGAAAGGTATCTCAACTTTCCAAAGCAACATGTACAGCAAGACAACAGTGAAGGAGTATTTTTAAGAAACTTAAGGAAGTAAGAGTGCCCTAAGCTTTCCTTTGAGTGAATAGACTACAGAAAAAAGCTTTGAACCTGAAGAACTAAAGGAATTGTACACATGTGCTCTTCTAAGGAATCTACCAGATTTTTTAGAGCTTTATTCAACCAAGAGAGGACTGGGAAAGTTTTGGCAAATTAACCGATAGTGAGAAATTTATATTTTAATTTTAGAATGAAGATGAAATAATAGGTGGGGTTATAAATAGACGAAAAGTATATAAATATTATATTTCCTGCCAAAGTAGAAAGAATGTAACAAAAAAATAGTAACATAGGGGAACTCTGCGTGAGCTTTTAGGAAAGCAAGATATAGTTTTCCAATCTACATTTGGACCTGAGGCATTGTGAGGCTAGAGCAACTACCTCCATCTTGGTACTGTCTTCACCTACTTGTCCTCTTGTTTTAAATGTTTTAAGCACACCTTGTTTCTTAATTCAAATAAAAGAGAACATATCAGCTATGGAAACTCATACTTTTTTTGGTTCTTTCTCTATAAATTTATCTGCATCAAATTCATCCTGACACATTAACTTCTGGTACATGACGACATGCCTATCCCTGCTCATGATTATTCTCTCCATCTACAACCTTGAAATGATGCCTTATAATTTTCTCACTGACACCTGGGTGCACTGTTGAGTTTTCAGTTACCTAATTGCCACCAAATCTATCAAAATTTATATTTCAGATATGTAACACACCTCTGAATTGTGGAACTTATCTACACAACATACGGACATCCACCTTTTAGCTGATAGTACCTACTTGTTTCTCAAATCTTCCTGTGAGAATTTTCCGTACTTTATTCCCAGGTTTTCCATATAAAGAGCCCAAATCTCTTTCTTGAGTTCCAGCTGCAAATTAACAGCTCCAATTTTATGCCTCACGGTGAAATTATATGCACTGAGTCGAAATCTACTTTATTTTTCTACTTCACACCTTATCTTCCCTCTTTACATTATATTTTTGTAATGTCATAGCAGCTGTTCACCCAGTCACTAAAGAAGAAAGCTGTATGTTATCTTTGATTATCCCCTATACTTCAATGCTACTTTCACACCTGTTTGGGCATTAGAGACAATTCATTTTGTCTTTTAAAGGTCTTCAGATTCTATTGGCTTTAAAACCCCAACTGTCAATATCTTGGGTAAGGGCTTCTATCTTTTCTGTATAATTGCAGTAGCCTCTTAATTCACATTTCACCTTTGATTCACTGTCTATACAATTTACAGAATAATCATATCCAAATATAAATCATATAATACAACTGATTGCTTAAATTCCTCTGATGACTTCCTAAGGTCTAAAGCCACATTTTTAATCTCATCTGCTGGTGCTCCCTCCTTGTTACCATTATGCTTCAGAAATAATAAGTACTTATAGATAGGCCTTTGGAGCCAGGCTTTCAGGATTATACACTGCTTTTTATGCAGTGTAAGATGCCCACCACTTATATGCCCCCACTTTGCTGACCTGATATCACCTCTCATCTGAAGACTGCCCTGATACCTTGTCCCTTTGTCAAATTAATTACAGGGCTTTCTCCAATGCACTACCATCATAATATAATATTATTATATGATATATTATCATAATAGAAACTTGTACTAAAACTTCTATTATTATGTTAATGGGTATACATTTTTATTTGTTCATATCCATGTCTACCTCTTGTCTAACAAGGCAGAAACTGCCTTAAAAGAAGAACTCAAGCATATAGCATCTGTCATAGCATAAATCCAAAAACTAGAAGTATTTAATAAATGTTAGTTGAATGAATCACATAAATTGTGATTTAAATATCACTGAATCAAGCTTTTATCATTTTGAATTCCTTGTTACTTATATTATATACAATAATTTATAAATTAAGTTTCGTTTTTTAGTAAGTCAAGTTGTAATCATTCTTCTTTTATTTTAAATCGTAGCAAAAAATATTTTGGTGAATAAATTAACATACTTGAAAATTTACACAGACTTTCTAGTTACAAGCAGGCAAAATAAATCAATTATTATTCACAACTGAGTGGGCCTCAAAGTCATATGATTATTTAAATGTAAGATGTGACAAACTAAAAATAAAAGTGAGTCTCACTGTCATGGATCTACTTAACCCACTTTGCCAATCTAGTTAATTCACAAAGCAATATATTTGTATTTCCTAAGCACCCATTGTGTGTTTTAACTATCTTCCATCTTTGCATAAAATATACATATTTAGAAAATGTGCTAATTTTCACAATAGTATTCTAAATCTGAATCATAAAAACTAATACCTTTTATCTATATATAGAAAGTTACCTTTATTTGCTGTAGTTTTACAATAATTAGGTCAGTATTTTGTAGGATTACAACTAAGACAGCACATTTACAACTTCTAGCATGATACTTGATATATAAAAGGTGCCCAAAAAAATGTTAGGATCTGTCTCATTCCTGACAATTGCAAGTAAGCCACATAAGGAGAAAATAGATTTTTCAGAGGACAGCTTATCTTTTAGAAAATGATAGAGCCTCATTTACATTTTCCTATTGACTCCTTATTTAAACCATGGGAAACATAACAGCCGTATCACCTGTATATGCACAATAACCATAATAATTTACATTGTGAAAGGAAATTCAGTGGATACAACAAAATAAGGTTCTTACCCAATGTTGCTTTTTAAAATTATTATTGTATTTTACCCCATTATTGAATCATATTTCTCAGTTTTTTTATTATCTTCATAAATTTTCCTACTAAATAATCCACCAAATTATTTTTCTTACGAAAATACATCATCATCTTATAAGCTTCAACTTGACTAAGATTTAGGCAACAAGAATTTGAAGTGTCAAAAAGATATAATTTACTTTCTTTCATTTACTTTTGGTATGCTGCTGTCTAAATCCTGTCTTCTAGACTAAGGTCAGATTTTCAAATCTCATATTTTCTATGGTGTCTTGCAATTCTCCATTTTCTTGAACATTAATCTTCTATTTTCAGATCTAAAAGGGTTGGAAAAATTGCCTTAAGACATATTGTGAGCAGCAAGTTTGAGGTAGTGTGAGCTTGACCAAAAATCCTATTACATATTCCTGGATGCTAATGAATATTTGAATTAATTTTTAAAATTGTCTTTTAGTTCTAAAGCAATGACCATTATATTGTTTCCTTACATTTCCCTCAGAAGTTTCTATATGTTAATTCTATATCAAGGCTGTTTGAGAAACACATCCTTGGGTAAGGAATTTTAGTTGATTCACTCGTGTGTAAAGATTAACAATAAATATACAATTTAATTTATTTTAAATCTCATCATATATTTTTATTGACCTCCCAACCTCTGCTGTAAAAGGATCCGAAACATAAATGTGGCTCTGGATAGAATGATTAAGCATGGGAAAAGCTTTTGTACATTTTTTAGTATGTTATTTTTCCATCTTCATTTTCTTCTTTTAAGCTGTATTTCTGGAGGGTTATGCATCATTTGTGACCAAAATTTGGAGATGCTGTGCCCAAAAATGAAAGACAAGCAAAAATAATAAGCACACAATATATTTACAAATACGTGTTATTGATAAAATTCAGCAAACTTTCCAGGCTTTGTCTGGTTCTTTCATTTAAGTAAAAGCAATATGAAATTTTTCTCCCACATAATTTCACAGAACACAAACCACGGAAAGAAAAGTAGTATGTTTAATGTAAATAAATATTGGTTGTATTTTATACTCTATTTTATAGCTTGTGTTGTTTGAATTTTTCTATTTGTATAAGGCATTTTCATCCTGTTTAGGATGCCTATTTAATGTATCTAACAGCTTTAAATGCAGATACTTCTTAATAAGTATTAGTTGTTGATGATATTATTTATGAACCATAACAATTGCCAGTATGTTCAAACACGATTATTTTAAAAGGTGTAAGCCAAGATATTTATACAAAGATAATTCAATTTGAGTTTCTATTGTTCCTCAAAGAAACAAAAAATGCATTTTCTTCTATTTGAGGAATTGCTTTGAAAATGCCATGACTTGGTGACCACGACTGAATTAAAAGACAGAGACAATATTCCATTTCCTTATCGCTACTAGGGATATATCAAGCAGAAAATGAAGACATTATTATTTTGAATGAGTTTTTCAAGTCAGTTTGAGTCAAAGTTTGCCTCCAACATATATTTAATGTAGTCTGCAATGTTGTGAAAGCTGAAATAAACATGAATGACACTTGAGAGCACTGGCCAGAATATGTTGCTTACTGATGCCCTGATACTTTTTTTTAACCTAAAACATTGCCATGGAAATTGAGTAGTAGACTAAATCAGAAAATCATATTAAATATATCAGTGAGAACAGCCACCTTAAGCTTTCCAATGCTTCTACTAACACAAAATAAAACATTTTATAAATATTTGTGGACAACTTTGGAAGTAGTAATGACTACTTTTTTAAAAAATCAATAATCTTTGTTTTTAGAGCAGTTTTGTGTTCGCAGCAAAATTAAACAGGAAGTACAGAGTTTTCATATACTCCCTGCCCTCCTTCACGTACAACCTCCCCAACTACCAACATCCCACACTACTATGGTACATTCGTTAAAATTAATGAAACTACACTGACACATCATTATCACCCAAAGTCCGTAGTTCACATTAGAATTCAGGCTTGGTGTTGTATATTCTGTGGGTTTTGAAAAGTATGATGGCATGTATCTACTATTGTCATATTATGTATCATAGCTTTACTGACCTAAAAATCCTCTTTGCTCTGCTTAATCTCTCTCGCTCCCACCTAATCCCTGGAAACCACTGATAATTTTATTGTCTCAATTGCCTTTTCCAGAACATCATATAGTTGAAATCATATAGTATGTAGACTTCTCAGATTGATTTCTTTCACTTAGTAAAATGCTTCTAAGTATCCTCCATGTCTTTTCATGGCTTGATAGATCATTTCTTTTTAGCGCCATAGTTTATTTATCCATTCACCTACTGAAAGACATTCTGGTTGCTTCCAAATTGACAAATATGGATAAAGCTGCTGTAAACCTCCATTTGCAGGTATTTGTGTGGACATAAGTTTTGAGTTCATTTGCGTAAATTTCAAGGAGCATGACTGCTGGATTTTATGGTAAGAGTATGTTTAGTTTTGTAAGAAACTACCAAACTATCTCTCAAAATGGCTATACCATTTTGCATTTCCACCAGCAATGAAACAGAATTTCTATTGCTCCACATCATCACCAAGATTTGTTGCCATCAGTGTCCTGGATCTGGGCCATTTTAATAGGTAGCTAGTACTATCTCATTGTTTTAATTTGCAATTCCCTAATGACATATGATGTTGAACATATTTTCATATGTTTAATTGCCATCTGTGTATCTTTTTCCAGTCTGTTCATATAATTTGCCCATTTTTTTAAATAAGGTTGGTCATTTTCTTATTGTTGAATTTTAGGCACTCATTTTGTATTTTGGATAGCAGTTTTTTATAAGATGTGTCTTTGCAAAGATTTTCTATTAGTCTGTAACTTGTCTTCTCATTATCTTGACACTGTATTTTGCAAAGATGTGTGTGTGTGTGTGTTTGCGTGTGTGTGTGTGTGTATATGTATTTAACATTGACCTCAGCAGTAGCTCAAAGTTTTTCATTAATATGTGGGTTAATCTTTGTGGCAAACTATATTATTATTTTAAAAGATTCACCCTCTTCCCTCATATTTGAGGACAGAATCTACTTTCCTGTCCCTTAAATCTGAGCTTGACAATGTGTTTGATTTAACCAATAGATTTTAGGAAAAAAATGCAAGTAGAGCTTTAAAAATAGTTGTACAATTAAAATTTTAGCCTATGAACTTTTTTCCCTTGTCAGAAAAAGACCATGCATGGCTTTGCCTACTGGACCAAGGAGAATGAATAATTCATGGGTCAAAATTCAGCCTTTAAATTCAAAATTCAGCCATCTTCAGCCCATCACAGAGTTGTGAAAAAAATAGTTGTGTTAAGCTATTGAATTTGGGATGGTCAGCACCATCAAAGTGTCCATCAAATGATGCAATGCCATATTTAGAAAATGACTTATTCATATAAATAAGTACCTCTTTGCATGTAGTCAGATCAGCCCTATTCTAAAATTCTAAATTCTAAATTTTATTCTAAAATTCTGAATGAAAATTATCAAGATTTCTTTCTCATGTGAGATAAGCAAAAAGCAAAAATCACATTGGGATTTTATTTAATCAAATGAAGAACTCTGATCTCCTCTGCTGTTAAAAAATCAAATTCTGTAAACCTAAATGTCACACATATATCCTATTTTATCTTCTACTTACAGTAAATAAGGAATACCATTTTACTAATATTTCACTAATGTTTCTTCCACTTGAATTAATATTTTTCTTTGATTTAGAATTTCTTCCCCAATTAGATATAATAAATAATCACCACTATATCATATTTAAAATTAAATGATTATTGACATTGAGGGGAAAACACATTCTTTTCATAGGAATTGTGGTGATTATAGATTATTTGACAAAGTTCTTATACAGTAACGCAAATGTATTTGTCAATGTGACAATTACATATACCCTGGCGCCATGTAGAAACGCAAAGTGTGAAGCAATATAGTACAATATAAAGTGGCATTCTCAGATACAATAGTGTATAGTTCCCCATTGGCTCAGGCACTACTTATAGGAACTATAAGAGAAGTCAAACAATCTTTTTGAGTCTCAATTTCCTTATCTTAAAGGAAATGAATATATTCAATAAAATTATCTAATCATCTCTACCAGATTGAAAGGGCAAAGTAAGGCAGCTGAATAGAATCCTCCAGTGACCGTCAACATCTGACACACAAAATCATCAAATTGAACATCTATCCACACAAGAAAGCACTTCTGTAAGAACCAAAAATCAGGTGAGCAACCACAGTACCTGCTTTTAATATCATGTCAAGGAAAGAGACACTGAAGGGGGAAGTAAAGACAGCCTTGCACTGCCTACACCACACCTCCCACATCGTCCAGCAGCAGTGGGGCACACAGAATCTGTGTGCTTGGAGTAGGGAGAACACAACAATTGCGTGACTTTGCATAGGAACTCAGTGTTGCCCTGTCAGAGTGGAAAGCAACATAGGGCAGAATTCAGCTGGTGTCCATGGAGGAAACATTTAGACCAATCCTGGCCAGAAGGGAATTGTCTATCACAGCAGTGGGAATCTGAGTTTGGACTAGCCCTACTACCATAGGCGAAAGTGGTCTGGGCTCTAAATAAATTTAAAAAGCAGTCTAAGCCATGAGGACTGGAATTCCTTGACAAATCCTGGTGCTGTGCTGGGCTCAGAGCCAGTGAATATGAGGTTCATACAACCTAGTGAGACACCAGCTGGGGCAGTTAAAGGAGAGCTTCTGTCACCCACCCCTAACTCCAGGCAATGCAGCTCCAGGAGAGTCTGTTGCTGCTTGAGGAAAGGAGAGGATAGAGTAGAGGATTTGTCTTGCATCCAGCTCAGCCATAGTAAAATAAATCAACAAGCAGACTCCTAAAGTCCCTGATTCCAGGTATTTATAGACCTGCCCTGGCCAGAAGGAAAGCACTTCTCTGAAGGAAAAGACCCAGGCCTGGAAGGATTCTGCATAATCTGACTAAAGAGTCTTTGGGCCTTAAATAAACATTAGTGGTAGCCCGGCAGTACTTACCATGGTTGTAGAACAGGGATGGCCATGAGGTGAGACTCCTTCTACTTGAGGAAAAAAGAGGAAAAAGTAAAAAGAACTTTGTCTTGCAACTTGGGTACCAACTCAGCTACAGTAAAATAAGGCACCCAATAAATAACTAAAATTCATAACTCCAGATGCTAGCTCACAGACAACATTTCTAGATTCACCTTGGACCAGAAAGAAACCAACCACCTGGAAGAGAATGGCACTAGTCTGGTAGGATTCATCATCTGCTAACTAAAGAGCACTTGGACCTTGAATAAACACCAGCAGTAGACAGGCAATAGTTGCCACAGGCCTTCGGAGACAGCCAGTACTGTGATGGCTTCAGCTGTGACCCAACATAGCCCCAGTGGTGCTGACCACAGGAGTACTTGTGTCATCCCTCCACCAACTGCAGGCAGCTCAGCATAAAGACAGAGAGACTCTGTTGGGAGGAAAGTAAGTGAAGAGAACAAGTGACTCTGCCTGGTAATCCAGGGAAGTCTCCTGAATCTTACCTAAGACCACTAAGGCAGTATCTCCATAAGACTGCAAGATTTATAGCGTTACTGGGCTTGGGGTGCCCCTTAATGCGGATATGGCAGTAGTCACAAAATACTTAATCACAATACTCAATGCTTTTTGATTACTTGGAAAGTCTTCTCAAGAAGGACAAATACAAACAAGCCCAGACTGTGAAGATTGCAATAAATACCTAACTCTTCAATGCCCAGGCATCTACGAACATCCACAAACATCAAGACCATTCAGGAAAACATCATCTTACCAAATGAACTAAAGAAAGGACCAGTGACCAATCCTGTAGTGAAAGATATTCAAACAAAGAATTCAAAATAGCTGTTTTAGGAAGCTCAATGAAATTCAAGATAACACAGAGAAGGAATTAGAATCCTACCAAATAAAAAAAAATTAACACATAGATTAAAATATCTTTAGTAATAAAGTAGAAATTATGGAGCTGAAAAAGGCAATTGACATACTGAAGAATGCATCAGTCTCCCAACAGCAAAATTGATCAAACAGAAGAAACAATTAGTGACCTGGAAGACAGGCCATTTGAAAACACAGAGTCAGAGCAGACAAAAGAAAAAAGAATAAAAATAATAAAGGATGCCTAAAAGATCTACAAAATAGCCTCAAATGGGAAAATCTAAGAGTTATTGCCTTTAAAGAGGAGGTAGAGAGAAAGATCAGGGTAGAAAATGTATTCAAAGGGATAAAAACAAAGAATTTTCCAAACCTAGAGAAATATGTCAATATTCAAGTGCTAGAAGGTTATAAAACATCAAGCATATTTAATCCAATTAAGAATACCACAAGGCATCTAATAATCAAACTCCTAAAGGTCAAGGATAAAGAAAGGATTTTAACAGCAGAAAGAGAAAAGAAACAAATAGCATACAATGGAACTCCACTATGCCTGGAATCAGATTTTTCAGTGGAAACCTTACAGGCCGGGAAAGAGTGACATAACATATTTAAAGTGCTGAAAGAAAAAAAAAATCTATAGTAGTATACCCAGTGAAAATAACCTTCAAACATGAAGGAGAAACAAATACTTTCCCAGACAAACAAAAACTGAGGGATTTTGTCAACATCAGACCTGTCCTATAAGAAACGCTTAAGGAAGTTCTTCAATCTGAAAGAAAAAAATGTTAATAAGTGATAAGCATTTATATAAAGGTAAGACATTCACTGGTAATAGTAAGTACACAGATAAAAAAGAAAAACACGGTAATTGTGGCGTGTAAACTACTCATGTTTTTAGTGGGAAGGCTAAAATATGAACCTTTCAAAACTAATAACTACAACAAATTCCAAGAAGTAGTATAATGACATAAACAGACATAATAAAAATTTTTAAAATGTGGGGGATAAAGAGTAGAGTTTTTATCAGTTTTCTTTCTGCTTGTTAATTTGTTTTGCAATAAGTGCTGTTAATAGTTTAAAATCATGGGCTATAAGATATTATTTCCACATCTCATGGTAACAAAAACTACAACAGATACACAAAAAAATAGAAAGCCAAGAATTAAAACATACCATCAGAGAAAATCACCAGCACATAAACGAAGGAAGGAAGGAAGGAAGGAAGGAGGGAGGGAGGGAAGGAAGGAAGGAAGGAAGGAAGGAAGGAAGGAAGGAAGGAAGGAAGGAAGGAAGGGAGAGAAGGGAGGGAGGGAGGGAGGAAGGGAGGGAGGGAGGGAAGGACGGAGGGAAGATTATAAAACAACTAGAAAAATAACAAAATGAAGGTAGTGAATTCTTACTTATCAATAATAACATTGTGTGTAAATGGGCTAAACTCTCCAATCAAGAGACATAGAGTGACTAAATGGATTTTTAAAAAGTCCTAAATATCTGCTGCCTAGAAGAAACACACTTCACTTACAAAGATACACATGGACTGAAAATACATGGATGGAAAAAGATATTCCATGCAAAAGGAAACAAGAAAAAAGCAGGAGTGGCTATACTTATATCAGATAAAATAGATTTCAAGACAAAAAAAAAACATAAAAAGAGACAAAGAAGGTCAATACATGTTGATAAAGGGGTCAATCCAGCAAGAGGATATAAAACTATACATATATATGTACTCAACACCAGAGCACTCAAATATATAAAGCAAATATTAGTGCTAAAGAAAGAGATAGATTCTAATACAATTATAGCTGGAGATTTAGCATTCAAGTTTCAGCATCAGACAAGTTATCCAGATAGAAAATCAACAAAGAAACACTGGACTTAATTAGCAGGATAAGCCAAATGGTCCTAATAGATATTTGCAGATAGAATAAAACTAGAAATAGATAACAAGAGGATAAATACATGATAATTAAGCAATATGCTCCTGAATGACCAGTGGATCAATAATGAAATTAAGAAGGAAATTTTAAAATGTCTTGAAACAAATGATAATGGAAACATAACATACCAAAACCTATTAGATACAGCAATAGCAGTACTAAAAGGAAAGTTTATAGCAATAAGCTCCTACATCAAAAGAGTAAAAAAACTTCAAATAAACAATCTAATGATAAATCTTAATAACTAGAAAAGCAAGAGCAAACCAAACCTAAAATTCGTAGAAACAATAGAGATCAGAGCAGAAATAAAGAAAATTGAAACAAAAAAAATACAAAAGTTCAACAAAATGAAAATTTGTGTTTCAAAAAGAAGCAAAATAAACAAACCTTATGTCATACTAAGATACAAAAAGAGATGACTCAAACGAATAAAATCAGAGATGGAAAAGGAGATATTACAACTGATACCACAGAAATTCAAAGGATCATTAGATGCTACTGTGAGCAACTATATGCCAAGAAACTGGAAAACCTAAAAGAAATGAATCAATTACTAGACACATACAACCTACCAACATTGAAACATAAAGAAATCCAAAACCTTAATACACCAATAACAAGTAATGAGATTGTGGCCATAATAAAATGTCTTCCAGCAAAGAAAAACTTGGGACCCAATGGATTCAGTTGATTTTACCAAATATTTAAAGAAGAGCAAATACTAATCTTACTCAAAGTAGTCCAAAAAATAGAGGATGAGGGTATATGTCCAAACTCATTCTACAAGGACAATAGTATCCTGATATCAAAACGAGACAAAGACACATCAGAAAAAGAAAGCTATAGGCCAATATGTTTGATGAACATTGATGTAAAAATCCTCAACAAAATACTCCCAAACCTAATTCAACAATGCATTAAAGAGATCATTCATTATGACCAAGTGGCATTCATCTCAGGGATGCAAAGATGGTTCAACATCTGCATACCAATTAATGTGATATAGCATATTAATAGAATGAAGAACAAATCTATATAGTTATTTCAATTAACAATGAACAATCATTTGATAAAATTCAACATCCTTTCATGATAAAAACCCACAAAAATGAGTATAGAAGGAACATACATCAACAGAATAAAAGCCATATACAACAGACACACAGGTAGTATAATACTAAATAGGAAAAAAATGAAAGCATTTCTTCTAAGATCTGGAGCAAGTCAAGGATACCCACTTTCACCACTATTATTCAACATAGTACCAGAAATTGTAGCTGGAACAATAAGACAAGGGAAAGAAATAAAGGGCATCCAAGTTGGAAAGAAAGAAGTCACATTATCTTCATTTACATGCAATATAAATTTATATTTGGAAAAATCTAAAGAGTCTACCAAAAACCTGTTAGAACTGATTTTAAAATTCAGCAAAGTTTCAGGATAATAAAATCAACAGGCAAAAATCAGTAGCATTTCTATCTGCCAACAATCTGAAAAAGCAATCAAGACAAGTGAACAATCTGAAAAAGCAATTAAGACAGTAATCCCATTTATGATAGCTACAAATAAAATAAAATACCTAGGAATAAATTTAATCAAAGAAGTGAAAGATCTCTACAATGAAAATTATAAAACATTTACGCAAGACATTTAAAAGAACAGGAAAAAAAGGAAAGATATATTACATTTATGGATTAGAATAATCAGTATTATTAACATGTCTATAAAGCAATCTGCAGATTTAATGCAATCCCTATCAAAATACCAATGACATTCTTCACAGAAAAAGAAAAAATAATCCTAAAATGTATATGGAACCACAAAAGACCCAGAATTGCCAAAGCCATCCTGAGCAAAAAGAACAAATCTAGAGGAATCACATTACTTGACTTCAAATTATACTACAGAGCTATAGTAACCAAAACAGCATGGTAGTGGCAATAAAAACAGACACACAGACCAAGAAAACAGAATCAAGAACCCAGAAATAAATCCATACATTTGCAATGAACTCATTTTCAACAAAGATGCCAAGAACATACACTGGGGAAAGGACAGTCTCTTGGATAAATGGTGCTGAGAAAACCTGATGTTCATATGCAGAAGAAGGAAGCTAGACCCTTATCTCTTGCCATAGGCATAAAACCAGATCAAAATGAATTAAAGGCTTAAATTTAAGACCTGAAACTACTAAAAGGAAACACTGGGGAAACTCTCAGGACATTGGTCTGGGCAAACATTTCTTATTTATTACCCCAAAAGCACAGGCAGCCAAAGCAAAAAGGGACAAATGAAATTATGTCAAGTTTAAAAGCTTTTGCTGTGGCAAAGGAGGCAGGGTGAAGAGAAAACACACAAAATGGGAGAAAATATTTGCAAACTATCTATTTGACAAAGGCTTAACAACTAGAATATATATACAACTCAATAGGAAAAAAAAAACCAATAATCTGAATAAAAAATGGGCAAAGATCTAATCTGAATAGATATTTCTCAAAAGAAGACATGCAAATGGAAAACATGTATATGATAAGGTGCTCAACATCATTGATTATTAGAGAAATGCAAATCAAAGCTACAGTGAGATATCATGTCACTCTGATAAAAAAGACTTTTTTTATTATTATACTCTAAGTTCTGGGATACATGTGCAGAATGTTCAGGTTTGTTACATAGGCATACACGTGTCATGGTGGTTTGCTGCATGCATAAACCCAAAATCTACATTAGGTATTTCTCCTAATGTTATCCCTCCCTAGCCCCTCACCTCCCGACAGGCCCTGGTGTGTGATGTCCTCCCTATGTCCATGTGCTCTCGTTGTTCAACTCCCACTTATGAGTGAGAACATGCAGTGTTTGGTTTTCTGTTCCTGTGTTAGTTGGCTGAGAATAATGGTTTCCAGCTTCATCCAGGTCCCTGCAAAGGACATGAACTCATCCTTTTTTGTGGCTGCATAGTATTCCATGGTGAATATGTGCCACATTTTCTTAATCCAGTCTATCATTGATGGGCATTTGGGTTGGTTCCAAGTCTTTGCTATTGTGAATAGTGTTGCAAGAAACATATGTGTGCATGTGTCTTTATAGTAGAATGATTTATATTCCTTTTAGCATCTACCCAGTAATGGGATTGCTGGGTCAAATGATATAAAAATGAATTTCTTCCAAATTTTATCCAAAAAACAGGCAATAGTGAATGGTGAATTCTGGCAAGGATGTGGAGAAAAGAGAACTCTCATACACTGTTGGTGAGAATGTAAATTATTACTATGGAGAACAGTATGGAGGTACCTCAAAATACTGCTAGGTATGTACCCAAAAGAAAGAAAATCAGGTTATTTAAGATATATCTGCACTCCCATATTTGTCGCAGCACTATTCACAATAGCCAACATTTGGAATCAACCTAAGTGTTCATCAACAGATGAAGGGATAAAAAAACTGTGCTGCATATACACAATGGAGTATTATTCAGCCAGATAAAAGGTGAGCTCCTGTCATTTGGAACAACATAGATGGAACTGGAGGACAACATGTAAAGTGAAATAAGCCAGGCACAGAAAGACAAACTTCACACATTCTCACTCATTTGTGGAAGCTAAAAATTGAACAGTTGAACTCATGGAGATAGAGAGTAGAATGATGGTAACCAGAGGCTGGGAATGAAAGTGGGGTGGTCGGGAGAGGAGGTATGTGGTGGTGACTGGATACAAAAATACAGTTAGATTGAATGAATAAGATCTTGTATTTAATAGCAGAACAGGGTGACTACAGTGAAAAATAATTTAATGTACATTTTAAAATAATTAAAAGAGTTTTATTGGAATGTTTGTTAACACAAAGAAATGACAAATGTTTGAAGTGATGGATACCCCACTTACCCTGATGCACTTATTATACACTGTAGGCCTGTATCAAAATATCTCATTTATCCATAAATTTATATCCCTACCATGTACCCATAAAAATGAAAAATTAAATTTTTGTTTTAAAAAAGTCTCTTTCAGCTCCAATGTTCTATGATTCCCCTACTTTAATAAATACTGACCCTTGTCTTCAGGGGAAAATTGGGAAACCTGCATACATGAAAAGGGAGGAGTGTTCTTTTGCCTGCATTGGAGAAATGGACATCTTTTGTCATCATAGCTATATACATGCCTTTTACACCAAATCATGGCATGTTCTTTCCTGTCTTTCAGCTTTATCTAGTACTACTCCTAAAACACCTCTCTCTCCATTCCCACCACGCATCCTAGAATTCTCTCAGCTCCAATGGAACCACTTGCACACATTGGTTATGCTGCCCCAGTTCCCACCTCCTACTTAGCCACAGGTCTCATTCAAAGTTCACCGCCTCTGGAAATCTTTCCTTGAAGGCTGCATTAGGTGTCTTATTATAGTCTCCAAAAAACACATTCTGTTTTTCATTTTTAGTATTAATCGCACTTAAAATTATTTTTAAGTATCAGTCTTTGTCCCACTAAACTGAAAATAATGACTAAGTCTTTTATATTTTACAATGTACCCTATCCCCTTCACAATGCCTGGCACATAGAGGAAACTCTATAAAATATTTTTAAATTGACATAACTTTTAATATTCTACTACCACTCATTCTAATTCTTGGCATGTAGAAACAAAAGGCTTAGTTCTCACAGCAGGTTGGGACAAACAAAATTAAGTTAGACATTTTAGAAGCAGTTGTTTTCTGAAAGAACTTGGTATATTGAATGTAAAATAAAATAAACCTCTAAGTTAATAAAGAGCAAGAACAAACAGAATCAACCTTACTCAAATATAAACATTTTCATGAGTCATGCTTAAAAGCCCTCTTTATTCTGAGAGGCAGATGGAAATGTTATCAAAAAATTCCCACACAAAATATCACATGTGACTTGGTAATTTTTCCTAGGCAAAAGAAATTGTGTCTTACAGACTCCAGGATTTGTTTTTTAATAAAAATTATATAAAGAGACATCTCAAAAGATACAAAAATGTGAAAACCCAAGTCTTTCTTGGCTCAGTGCTAAGAGACCATCATCAGACAATAAGGTATCAAATTTGTGCAGCAAGTTCTGAGAGAGAGTGTCTCAGGATTCATACAAAGAACATTTGTCCCATTTAAGATATCTCAGTTTACTACAATGAATCAATATTGAGTGCAATATTTTTGGATAGCACAATAAATATATCAATATCAAATTTAATAAAAGTATGCTAGAACTCAAAAGAAATGCAGAGACTACTTAATCTAAGCTTCTAGTTTTAGGATATGGAAACTGTCCTTACAGCAAACACTAAATCAGCAATGCATATGGAACACTACAGAGAAAAACAATTATTTAAATAAATGAGTTTTGACTCCAATCTAATTGTATGAACACTGAAATGTATCTGTGTAACATGCTTATATTATGTTAGTATATGACAGATAATTCAGTCACTGAAATGTATCTGTGTAACATGCTTATATTATGTTAGTATATGACAGATAATTCAGTTCCTAAGAAACTAGAAATTTCAGTTTTACTTTTCACTTAATTAAACAAAGTTTTTATTATTGACATAATGCTGTTTTAAAGAAACGTCAAATCATAATTTTAGGATTTTCTATAGATGACTTTGATCCCACTAAATTGGATTTCACTTGAGTTAAAGGATAGAATATGGGGAAATATTTGTAAAATAAAAAAGATATAACTATGCCTTACATAATTTTATTTTACTAAATTGATTTGTACCACTAGAAAACTAATGAATGCATGGGAATATTGGGGAATTACAAACTTTAAACAGTCCTGACAGATATTTATTATTCATTCATTATTAGTTTTCTGCTTTAATACACATTTTTATTATTAAAAGTTAAGAATCAACTTTTAATAGTACAGTAATTATTTAATATTAAAAGCCATTTGGGTTTTACATTAACCAATCTCTTTTACAGATTACAGATTGATATATTTATTTATTGTGGTAAGTACTGTGGGGTTGCAATGATGTATAGTATAGGATCTCTGTTTATATGTGCTAACTAGACAAATAAATATACATAAAAACGACTCTTGCCAGATATCATTTCATTTCTCCACTATACAAATATATGGTGAAAACATTTTTTAAACCTGACTCTAATCAGGAATATAGCAAAGGTAAATCTTGGGATTCTACAAATGGTAGGATTTTTTGAGAAATACTCTAATTAAGTTTTGGAAAATAGCAAATAAATGGAACAAAAGTGAAAAAAAATCATATATATGGAGAAAAAGAAAGATGTTTCCAGTTTCAAAAAAAAAAAATCAGTTCCTCACAAAAGAGCAAGTCAGATATTTCTTAGGCATGTACCATCAGGATTAAGTGGTTGATTATAATGAATTTTCACTTTGTACAACTTTGCATAAGCCTGAGTATTTTAAAGGAAAATGGAAAAATGAATGCAATTTTCAGCCCTTTGTTTGGTGCTTGGATATAAATTTCCCCTATCGTAATCTCTATTATATCTTTGACATTCTTGTTTGTAACCGATATAACCTACTGAGAAAAAAAAGAACAAACCTTCAACTCTGCAGAGTATAACCACTTCAACATTTAAAAAATGAATTGTGAGAATATTTTCTTCTCTTCTACTTACTCATTTTGAATGAAACATTGTTCTTGCCTTTTTAATTGTTGAAAATATTCTGCTTATAATCTTTTTCTTATTCTCTCAAAATAGAAATACCATTGAAATAATACAGCTTACACTAGCGTTCAGTTTGAAATGATAATTGGTAATATTAACACATTTGTTTACAGATTCATTGAGATATGATGAACAATAAACCACTCATATTTAAAGTATACAGTTTGATAAATTTTCACACATATATGCATTGGTGAAACCATCACCACTGACAAGATAATGAACATTAAGGCCAGGCACGGTGGCTCACGCCTGTAACCTCAGGTCTTTGGGAAGCTGAGGCTGGAGGATCACTTGAGCCCAAGAGTTCGAGACCAGCCTGGGCAATGTGGTGAAACTCCATCTCTATAAAAAATACAAAAATTAGCCATGCATGGTGGCACGTGCCTGTTGTCCCAGCTACTCGGGAGGCTGAGGTAGGAGGATTACTTGAGGATCACTTGAGAGAGTGCAGTGAGCTGAGATTGTGCCACTGCACTCCAACCTGGGTGACAGAGGCATATCCTGTGAAAAAAAAAAAAAAAAAAAAAGGAACTAATGTGTCTATCACCCAGTAAAAGTTTCTCCAGCCTGTTGCTAATCTATCCCTTCCTTCATCCAAGTGCCCAGAAAACATAATCTGCTTTCAGTCACTATAGATTTTGTTAGCATTTTCTAGAATTTTAAATAAATAACATCCTTCTCTTTTTCATCTGGCTTATTTTACTCAGCATATTGATATTGATTTTCATTCATGTTGCATGTGTTAAGAGTATTTTCTTTTTTATTGATGAGTAGTATTCTATTGTGTAGACATCCCCAATTTTTGTTATATACTCACCTATAAATGGACATTTGGATTGTTTCCAGTTTGTAGAAATTTTAAAAAATCTACTATGTATATTCTCATACAAGTCTTTATATGGACAATTGATTTCATTTCTCTTGGGAAAATGTCTAAGAGTAAAAAGGCTGGGTTGTGAGGTAGACATATGTTTAAGAAATTGCCAAGCTGTTTTCCAAAATGGTTATACCATTTTTATCTTCCTTCTAACAGTGTATGAGAGTTCCAGTTATTCCGCTTCCTTGCCAAGCCAACATTTTTTAATCTTCACCACTCTAGTGGGTATGTAGTAGTATCTCTTTGTAGTTGTAATTTACATTACCTTAATAACAATGATGTTGAACATTTTTTCATACACTTTCTAGCCATCTGTATCTCTTCTTTGTGAAGTGTTTCATCAACTCTTTTACTGATTTTAAATTGGTTTGTTTGCTTTATTCTGAATACAGGTCCTTTATTAAATATGTTTCTGCAAATATTCTTATCCAGCCTGTGATTTGAAATTCATTTGCTTAACAGTGACTTTTGATGATCAAATACTTTTAATTTTGATGAAGTCCAATTTATCAATTTTTTTAATATCTTAGTTTTCTCCTTTACTATTATAAAATTCCATAGCCTGAGCAGCTTATGTGACAAAAATTTATTTCTCACAATCTGGAGGCTGTGAATTCCAAGATCAGGGTGCCAGAATAGTTGGGTTCTGGTGAGGGCTCTTTTTCTGGCTTGCAGATGGTTCGTTTCTAGCTGTATCCACACATGGTGAAGAGAGACAGAGTGGTCTCTGGTTCATATAAGGGCACTAATCTCATCAAGAAGGACTCATTCTTATGATCTCATCTAAACCTAATTCTTTCCCAAAGGCCTCATCTCTAGACACCATCATATATGGGGGTTAGAGGTTCAACATATAAATTTGGGAGGAATATAAATATTCAGCTCATAACAGATAGCATGCTTTTGGTCCCCTAAGATAATTTTTCCTAAGCTAAGGTAACTAGGCTTTTCTTCTATGTTTTATTCCAAAAGTTGTATAGCTTTAGCTCTTAAACTTAGGTCTATAATACATTGCAAGTTGATTATTGTATATTGCATGAGTTAACAGTTAATTTTTTTTGAATGTGGCTATACATCTGTTTCTGCACCATTTAAAAAATATGTATCTTTTCTGATTCAAATCTCTAGCTTCTTTGTTGAAAATCAATTGGCCATAATATGTGGGTCTATTTCTGAACTATTCATAACAAAAATCTTAAGGGTGAAAAAATCATTTAAAACATTTATAGAAAGTTTACAGAAAACATTTACTACACAATATGGTTTGAGTGATGAGAAACAATTGTTTCTTTCTGCCATTATCAATCATATAAGGACAAAGGAATTGATGCTACTTCTGAAACACGTTAATTTTTCTCATGATTTGAGAACAAAACTGAATGGGAATACAACTTACTGTGTGTATATAAATATGTAAACATATTTATATTGCTAATATATTAATTTAATATATTACATATTAAATTAATATATTAATTAAATATATTAATTTATATACTATATAAATATTATATATAAATATATAATATACAAAATGGCATTAAGACACAGGTGCTAAGATAAAGAAATTTGCTCATGATGAATATATACTGGTAGCAGAAGGTAATCCTCATATTTCTATGTTTCCTTTGCTGAAAAAAAAAGAGCATAGTGAACATTAATTAACTCACATATAACTGTTCCTTCCTGTGGGTACACATTTTTTCTTGGGCCCATCTGCACTGTATTTCCATGTTAACATATTTTTAAAATAAAGAAAGACATGTATCTGAAAGCATTGAACTATAGTATAGACTATTTCTTCTTACTGTTGTTAAAATAAAAACTTGCAGCAAATTAAAATTAACAAAGTTTAACTGAGCAAAGAATGATTCGCAAATCTGGAAGCTCCCAAAACAAACAAACAAAAAAAGGTTTGCAGAGACTTCAGCACTCCTGCATAGTCAAAGATTTATGGACAGAAAAAGGAAAGTGATGCACAGAAAATGGAAGTGAGGTACGGAAATAGCTGGATTGGTTACAGCATGACTGTAATAAAACCTTATTTGAACGTGGTTTGAATAGTTGGCTGCCTTTGATTGGCCAGAACTCAGTGATTGGTAAAAGAAGAAGTCACATCCTGTTTACTCATTCAGGTAAGTTATGGTTCACTGTGTATGGAGAAACCTTTAAGCTGAACTTAAAATATGTATAAAGAGGAAGATTTAGACTAAACTTAATTTAACACTGTGTTGAAATAATTAAACAAAGACATAACAAATGTGTTTATCAGGGTTCATTTAGTTGAGAGGCTAATTTAGTGACAGAAACTGAACTCACCATGTCTTAAAAAAGAAGTTTATAGCCTCACACAATTGAAAGACCAAGTTCCTTTCAGGAACTGCTAAATTTAGGAGTTCCAATTATGTCCACAATGCTATGTCTTTCTTTCTATTCATTGGTTCTGCCATGCCTCTATCAGCAAGTTATTAATATTAAAAAAAAGTTATACCAGTATCACCAAGTGAAATCACCCTTAGAATTTACCACCTTAGAAAAAATATTTTCTTTTACCCAGAAACTATATCAATTGCCCCAGATGCTGGACTGATAAACTTTTTTTTTTTTTTTTTTTTTTTTTTGAGATGGAGTCTCACTGTGTAGCCCAGGTTAGAGGGCAGCGGCGCGGTCTCGTCTCACTGCATCCTCCACCTTCCCAGGTTCAAGCAATTCTTCTGCCTCAGCCTCTGGAGTAGTTGGGATCACAGGCACGCACCACCACGCCCTGCTAATTTTTGTATTTTTAGTAGAGATAGGGTTTCACCATGTTGGCCAGGCTGGTCTCGAACTCCTGACTTCAGATGATCCACCCACCTCGGCCTCCCAAAGTGCTGGGATTATAGGTATGAGCCACTGCGTCCAGCCTGGACTGATAACCTTTCAAAGGGAATTCTGATTAGTTTGGCCCAAACCTGTAGAGCTGTACAGAATTAGGAGAAATAAGGTTTATCAGAGTCTAGAATAGTTCAGTCACTAGTACAAAAAGAAAGAACTGCCAGTCAGGGATAAAAGCAGATGCAGTCAAAGAGAGAAAGAGAAAAAAATTACCCCCTTGAAATTAACGTACCCATAAGTAAAATATCGGTATGCTATATCTTTATTATTTTTTTCAAAGAAACTTTTGTTAAAAAAGAAAATGTACATGAAATGTCCATATATTTGAAAATTATTGTGTATGACCTGGAAATTTTTCTAACAAAATATAAGTGACCAGCATTAATTGAAGAAGAGATCTGAAGAGATTTATAGTCAAAGGAACAAAAATTAAATTTGTTAAATATTTACTTTTAAGTAAAAACGTCCAGATAGTTTTATGGCTAGGGTCTTTCTTACTCTAAAAAACATGTAACTTTTATGTTTGTTATTCATACTATTCCAAGTCACTGACAAATTTCCTGACTCATTCTTTAATACTACCATATTCTAAAACTCAAATTTTATAAAACCAACACAAAAAGAAACTCTAATTCAAATTCACAAATATAATTATTTTAGTCAAACTGTTAGCAAATTGATCCCAGGGTGTACTAAGGGATTGGTCATCATGTTCAAGGTTTTATTACAGAAATGAAAGTTTGTCCCAGTACTGGAAAAAAAAACTATGAATACAGTTAAAGGAGAGACATAATTAAATACATGATTGTGTCAATGGATACAGAAAAATGTTTGACTAGAAGTTAGATGAAATGTATTTGAACTCTCTGCAGTTGGTAAAGATTCTTTTCCACATACCCTTGTCAAATATATTAAATGTTCAAATATAAATTCACTGCCATCCAAAGAAGAATAAGACAGAAATGCTAGCTCTCATCACTATAATTTAATGGAATTTTGAGGGGTCCAATCTTCTCCTACAATAGACCTCTGGCAAAAATTATAAGATTGAGGATGAAGACAAATATGCTGAGGATGGTAGAGGGAATTCAAGAACGCACCTGAGTCTCAGATAAAAATAACATTGGTGTATACCCTCTAGACATGTCATGTGGCAACAGTAAACACATGTTTGTTTAAGCCACAATTAGTTGGGTTTTCTGTAATATGCCAATACATGTCTTCCTAATTATTACAATGCCTAATCATGAAATAATTAAAATTAACAAAAGCATTAAATACTGTGGCCAAATACCACACAAGTATACAAAAATCAAAAATTTTTCTTTATAAAAGTAATAATCAGTTAGCATTCCTAAATAATTCAAGTCTTAAGAAATACCAAGTAACTATATGAAAATAAAAAAAAATGCACACATCTCCTATGTGAAATCAGATGGTTTTTGTCTGTGTGTGTGGTTGTGCATGTGCACGTGCATGCCTATGTTTTATTTTGATGTGTACCTGATGAGCTAAGGGGAGCTCAGTAATTTAACTCAGTCTTTTGGTGTTCTCCTGCTCTTCACACTGATTAGGGTTTCCAGCTTTTCCTAAAAATCTCTCAAAATCACTTAGGATATAATATTGCATAATGGAAAAAAGAATGAAGTCAGTAAACTCAGAGTTGCAACTATATTCTGCAATATGATTATGATTAACCATTCATGTTCATTCATTTATTCAGGCATCCCACAAATATTTGTTGTTTGCTTTCTGTATGTTAGGCATCAGGCTAGATTCTGGGAATACAGCAATAAACAAAGCAGACCAAACTTCCTATCATCATGGTGCTTAAATCCTAGTCAGTTTTCTCATCTGTAAAAATGAGTAATAATTCTTACCTCTTATCGTTCTAATCAGATTTAATGAGTTAATGTAGGCAAAATAATTGGAATATGCAAGGCTCTTCATAACTGTTAATTATTGCTCTAATGTTCCTTAAGCTAAGACAAAGTTGAAAATATATCCAAAAAGTAGCTCAATGTTAATGGATGTTAATGTGTCCATTGAAAAGAACTCTCTTTTTTTCTTGCATTCTGATTAATACGCATTTGGAATAATGACCCTATAAAAACAACAAAACAAAACTAATGTTTCTAAGGGAAATGGGGCAAGGTGGACAGCTAGGTTATACTTCCTTTTCAGCAAGACATTTAGTTCACATCTTAAATAATAGTTTTGGCAAACAAAAAAAATCTCCTGTGAATCAGAATGGCCACGACTTTGTTACATCTACAAGGATGTTACTGATTTTTAAAAGTTAGGAATATCATTAACTACCCAAGAGGTTGGTGGCATTTTATTCATTTATGCTATGGTATACAGTAATCAGCACACTGTCATGAACAGAAACACGAAATGAATCCTAGTTGAATAAAAATTAACTAAATTTAGAATTAAGGACTGTTTTCTTGATTTGCAACATTTGTTGCTTTTTATGTTTTAAAATAGACATTTTCCAAACTCCATAGAAAAAAGCATTCATAGTTCCACAGATTTAAAGCAGAAGTTCTAAAGTTAATGACAACTTAATCAGGTAATTATGTACTATTTTACATTCATACATAAATTTTTGTTCCTCTCTCAATAGTACAGTCTTAGAACAGTCATTTTCAAACTATATGTTTTGGAGTCCTAAGGTTCTTCCTACATTTGGAGGGAATGAGAAGCAATCAGATCAACTGAAGGTACCAAGTCTTCTTCCCATCCTTGTTCTACCAGAGAAGCCCAGCTTTTAATCTTTTTTCTATTTTGAGTTTCTAACAGAAAACGTCATTTGAAATTATATTTCCTTTAAAATAAAGTTTCAAAAACACTCTCTTAATTAGTAAAACACAATTTAGGAATAAAACTATATCACAAAAAACAAGGACTAAATTACACATTTTAGTCACTATGTTTAAAATGTTAAAAATTTGAGACAAACTACTCAATAAATAGATATATTTAATTTAGAGGACATGTACATTTAATACTGTCTCATGCAAAATCTACAGATTACAAAACCAGAAGATATCTTTAGACAAATCTGGAAAGGTTTTTAGCAGGTGTTCCATTTAGAACCAACACACTACTCAACAAAGAGCATGGTAATTATGAAAATTATTTTTAGTAGGTGAACTTGCTAAAACTATGTGCACATCAAAATTTGTAACTTCTCAACGTGAACCCTACTTCAACTATGAGCTCAGGTTTTAAATTATGTAGAATGCAAAAACATGATTTTCACAGTACAAAAAAAATCCTGGTAAACTAAACTTTTGAGGACATATTTTGCTTAGTATTACCTAATTTATATAGGCCTAATATAAATACCTAATTTATATAGGTTCATTTATTCAGTTTAATTGAACAAATAATTATTAGCTACCTATAATGATGGCATGGATATTGCTAGCAGAAATACAAAGACAAGTAAGATATATTTTCTATTTAGTTATATAATACATATGATTCACGGTTTATAAAATAGAGGAAGTGGTCTTCTGTGATGGGTAGAGCTAACGAAGTCTTCATAGAAGAGTAAATATTTGAACTTTGCCTTGAAGGATGAGCGAGAAGGTGCTAAGTTAAAATTAAAAACAGTGATTCAGGTAGATTTACTGAATGTCCAAAGAAGCAGAGTTGTGAAACAACTTGCAGGGTTCAGAGAGTTATGGATAATTTGGTAAAATTAGAGTTTATGGAAAAAGAAAATTAGATGGAGAAAGCTGGAGGAAATGATGTATGGAGATTTTTTATTTTATCTCTAGGGATAAAAAAACAGAATTTTGAGCATGAGAGTAATATGATCATCATTCTGATGCTGGAAGATTATCATTAGTAATGTGCAGCAGGTTGGACTGGGAGAGACACTTCCAGTCTAAGGAAAAGGAGGGAGAAAAAGTAGGGCATTATTCATTTAGAATGTCCTGGGTTGGTTTCAAATATATCATCTCTGTGAATTGTTTAATTACTATTGTTGAAAACTGAGCAGACGGAGAACAATATAATGTTTAATTGTGCTGCTCTACAATGTACTTCCAGCTCTTGAACCGCAGCAGAGGGGAGAACTGTGTAAATATCGATAGAACTCCCTGTTGCTCCAACCTATTCATGAGTTTTAATAAATGTTTCTTGTTCAAGCATTATCATTAATAATTCATACAGTTTCTAATGTTTAAATCACTATAGATTTTCTGACAGGTAACCTTCGTAAGATGGAGAAAATAACAGAAACACAGGAATATAAGAATGCCAGGTTTCCTTAGCCATTTAGAGGGAGAAGGGGAAGAAACAGAAAAAGATACATTTCAAGAAGTATGACGAGGTGAGAGGATCTGTACTCCAAATCAGCATTACACAATATTTCCAAGTAACAAATGTGCACACAGACCCCCTGCATGTAAAATACAAGTTGCCGGAAAAAAAAGACAGATAAATACATGTAACATAAGCCAATTGTTCTTTAAATTTTGTAACCTTGTTTTATTTACTGGGGATAGAGGTGGATTTTAAATTGAGGAGGAATATATTAAAACTATAATCAAGCTAACCTTTTTAATAAACTGGCATTTACATAGATTTCTTGAACTATTCAAATTAATACAGTACCAAATTTAGTCACACAAAAAAAAACACAGAATGAATGTGTTCTGTCTCTCTGACAACATCATGCATTCATTTTCATGTGTCCAGAATCAAAAGCATGACAGTGTTTGTAAGAGAAAATTCTAATTGAAAATTATTATGCAAGTAAAAGAATTTTTCACAGTAATTATTTAATTGGTAAGATAGAAAATAATAATTTTTACCACAATAGTAATGATAATTCAAGCAACATAACATTCTGATGATCTCTTGTATATTTTTGTTTTTAAAAAATAGATTTTTAATTGAGCTTATTAGTAATTTTTTCAGTCAGAATTGCAAATTTGCATTTCTAATATGCACATTGTGTGTATGTATTGGTTTTAATCAAGGTCCAACATGTGTGGAAGATATCTATGACCTCACATGCTTGCATCTATTTCTGATAAATGAAACTAGAATAAAATATTTTGTTAAACACACATAGTTAATCATTGATCTGTATCTTTACTGACACTGGGATGGGCAAAAGCAATTTCACAAATTTGTGAGCTATATTTATATGTTTGATAGATTACAAAAAAAGATTTGTACATTGGAATATTTAGGGATTTCAGACCTTTACTGTTATATTTAAGTATTTAATAATTAGTAGAATCTTTGCCAGGAAAATTACTTAAAGTACATAAAATCACATGTCTATTTTGGGGAAGGCTAGGAGTCTACAGTGATTGAAACACAAGGATAGTATAATATACTGGGAGAAAGATGAGGTATGCAAAATAGACACATTTTAAAGGAAAAACTCATTTTATTTAAAGATAAGTGTAATTAACATTTGTAGTTAAATTAAGGAGGAAATGATCTTTGTTGAAATGTAGCATGTGTTCTGCAAAACTTTTAATTTTGTAGATGCAATTAAACGTGAATTTAAAAATATTCTCTGGTGGTATTAAGATAACATTTCCTATGTAGAAATTAATCATTACCTTTGTAGTTAACCTTGAAACCAACAGATCCAACACTTTCGTCCGTTTGAAGGTGCAGCCACATTTGGCTACTCATGCTCACTATCAAGTCTGGTACAAAGCTTCCAGTCAGCCTAAAAAGAGATGGACAAAGAAGGGAGAGATGGGTTATTAAAACATCCTCTGCATACAAATTATAAGACAGATGTGTTTCTCAATACTTTCTTTGCTAGAAAAAAAAGTCAGATAAACATAGAGGAGTATGTGTTGATGTGACAGAAGAAAAAACTACACAATTTAGTGATCAAGGTTATTATAAAAATATTATTCTGTGTTTAACTAGGAAAGATCTTTCATGTTCCTGAGGCAAGGTCATGATATTTTAGACCATCAAAAACTCCTACACAGTACTTGTCTTTTGAACTGAAAAGAAAAGGAGGATCTATACAAATATTCAAGTATTTTTAACACCACAAATATATCTTAACATTCCCAGTTTCACAGAACTTTGTTCTAGAGAAATATTGTTAAAATATTTCTGTGCAAAACAATAAAGTGGCCAAGAGTATAACCGAACCCTTTGCAATACTGATGTCGAATACACAAGCCTTAAAATATAGTACCTACATTATAGGCTGCCCATGTCACATATGTTTTTCTGTAAATAGTTTTATTTAAAGAAATATGCTGCAAATCTGATGCAGCATAACTGTATCCATTCATTACTAATCCCTCATTCAGTAATGCACAGTTTTGTAACCATAAGAAGGGAAATTACTTCACGTTTTGTCTATCATCAATGATATTGTAATTGCATATTAGAACTGAAGCCAAAGGTCATTAGAAGGATGAAAGCAAATTAGTAAATAAGACCTTAGGTTGCGGGGAAGTCCATCAAGAATAGGAAAGAGGAAAAAATGGATTCACTGCAGAGTAAATGTCCACATTGATAAGAGATTCTAAATTATATACAGAAAGACAGGTTTCCAAAGGAAGAAAATACTGAATGTTTGCCTACTTTATTGCTAAAACCATAAGGATTGCTGGAAAATTACATCAGGAAAGTATAAAGTTTCCTTTCATTGTAAAAACCTACGAGAGTGTTTAGTCTCTTAAATAGTGGCTCTACTATGAATACACCAGCAGAGGGCAGTGTAGTTGACCATATCCTGGAAGTGACTATGGCAGCAAAATGCCCTGTGCGTAGTCAACTATTAAAACAAACCTCATTTGCAGTACAAGTATCTAACCAGTGGCCAGTGTTACAGGATTTATGGGAATTTGTCACAAAGAAACTTGGTAAACTACTATTATTTAATTATGGGATTATATATTACACTGAAGAACACCATAAGATACCAAGATACCATAATGCATCATGGAACTTCAGATTATCTTCATTTCCTTCTTCCTGCCAAAAACCATTTTAAATTACCATAATATAAAACAAACTCACACATATATATTGTCTATATATACACATAATCATTTGAAACATCTTTTAATTAAATTTTGGGGCATGTGAACTTTCAAATTGGTGATTCTTAGGTAGCAGTTTTTTGAGCTACTGTAGAGAGGCAGGTGCAGGTTTATGGGAAAGGGTAAACACTCCAGCTTGGAGGCAGAATAGAAAGTAAAGTAAACCCATTATTAAACGGGAATGAGAGCTTATATTTACATAGCATGTACATCAGCTATACCATATCAAACATACCAGCAAACTACCTCAAAGAGAATACTAAGAGTTGTTTTTCTGGGAAAATTGAAGTATTGCTCTTTTTTACATCCTCCTATAACATTCATAATCCTGAACTGTTCTATTATCCTGAAACTTCTAGAATGGTATTTTGTCAGTTCATGAAGAACAACTAACACTTGCAAGCTAAATTGTTCCCTTACTAACTTATCCTATTGCCCTGATTTCACCTAGTTCCCAACTCATTGCTGGTGTAAGGGTATATGTCATCTAAAAATAATAATAAAATATATATATTTTTAAATTTTCTGATGTCAAAAATTAAAACTCCCCTCAACTTCTCTTTAGCATTTCTTTTAGAAAACTTGAAATTATAAGTTCCATTTATTTTAGATGTATCAAAATATTTTAATAGTTAAATGAGACTTTTGCCAGTTTTTCATTCCTGGAATTTCTCTCTTGGTGGCCTTGGAGCCACCTCTTTAAACTGTGAACATCAAAGAGGATGATGCCCTGTCTCTACTTTTCTGGGGAGTTAAAGCCTAGGTACTTAGTACTTAGCTCTTTGATTTAACTTCCTGCTTGTCATAATGATAGGAAATGTTTTATTTTTTGTTTTGATGAAGGCAATTAACATGTATGCAATGGATTGTATATTCCTAGCTATATATTATTTCTCTTTTTTGCAATCTCCTTAGCAGATTTCCTATGATGCACATCACAGTTTGGTTTAATCCTATTCAACAGAAAAACTGTTTCATTTTTCCCTCCATTTTATGGAGAGCTTTTACTGAGCTGGCAAAAGATTTTATTTTTAATCACATTTCCCCAACTACTTGGTAAAGAGGATTGGGATATGAACGGTAGTTTTGAATTGAGTAGACCCCACAGCAGCCATATTATAATTATAATTATAAAAGTTCTCCCTTCTTGATCTTTGCTTTTTTGAAATAGTATCTGGATAGACCACTCTCTCCAAACTCAAATTTTATTAATTTAAAATTTATTAATTTAAATTTAAAATTTTAAATTTTATTAATGAGTATGCATGGGTAATCTGGACTCAAATCCCATCAGGATTACAATTAACTTTGATGGTGGAAAAATAGGGGAAGCCAAGGATATTGCCTGCAATTCTTTCTCCTAAACAGCTAATATCTCTGTCATATTTGGAATACATACAAGTACCAAACCTTTCAGAATTTGTTATGATTCTTTGACCTCATCCCCAGCAAATGAACTGCTGGCATTTATTGGATACATATTATTCTTGGTGGAAACTTAAAAAGATCTGCATAACTAGAAGGAAAGATTGAGAAGAATGGAAGAGGAAATGGATAAATTAAAGGCACTTTCATTGATTCTTCTTCCTTTTTCTGCTATCTCTGCTCTTTCTGCATCCCTTGTGTCTCTTTATCCTTCTCTGCCTTAGTAGACTCCTGAGAAGATCAAAGCAATGGTGTTTTAGACCTCCAGTTCTCCTAGTTAGTGTATTTCCCTACAAAGGACAAGGCCACAACTTCTTTCGCTGATAATGAATTATCTGCCTTGTTTGAGGAAACAGATTTGTGTGCCTCATGCCCTAACCCTGAGCCTACTCAATGTTTTAGCACATACTGTGCCCCCAAAAGTCACTTATCATTTATATTTCATGTATTTAGGAAAGCAGAAATTATGAAGGAACGTGCTTGGGGAATAATTGGGAACTTGTATAAAAGACTGTCCCCACATGAAGACAAAAAGATGTAGAGTGGTCTCACTTGCTATTTGGAAAAAAAATAGTCTTAGTCTAATAAACAGTAACATGGAAAATAAGCCAAAAAGTCATATAATTCTACATTTATCTTGTCACAATGTGAGAAAGACCAGCTCTTATTTGATCACCAGTGAAGCTGATGCCATTGAGAAGTTATACAGACCTCCTTGCCAGCTGATATATCTCAAATAAAAGCTTCTTTTCCCTGCTTCCCAGAAGTTTGCAGGCATCCTCTGCAGCATGTTTTCAGTTTACAGTCCCGGGCATGGAGATTTGCACAGGATACAGTGTGGAGTTCTGCAATCAGCAGACTCCACTCATGTGATGGAACAAGCACACTGGGGACCAGAAGATCACCCATTGAACCAAGAGGTAGATAACTGTTCATCACCCTCCACAAATAAGGGATAACTAAGAGATTTGGAGACTCACTGAAAGTAACTCCTTGTAGCTGTACTCGAAATCTTTCCTCTAAAAGTGAGCTGCGTGAAACTGCAATGGTGTATCCGAAAGACAAGGGAGTCTGCCATTGATTTCCATTAGCAGTTTGTTGAGGCTTTCTCAGAATCTACCGGTATGGATCCAAGGGTAGTTCAAAATTTTTGTCTCAGGTCCTTTGATGACTATCCAAATTCAAATTAGAGGAAGGGTATTAGGATGGCAAGGACAGATTCAAATGTTAGCAGCAGTTACTTAGTTTTGGGACAATCTAGAGAAATGTGAAGAAGAAAATAAATTAAAAAAAAAACTGATATGTTAATTATCCAGTAAGAACTATTTAGTAAAAGGCATAACCCCTATTCTGGCCAGCCTGTAGAGTGAGCAAAGAAAGAAAACAAAACCATATGCCATACTGCGAGAAGCCAGATGTTGGAGGCGGGACTGGAGAAAAGAGAATCCAGAGGATACAGCAACTGCAGAAATAAGGGAATCAGGAAAGCCCAGAAGGCTGGGAAATAATTTGGGAATGACCTAAAACTGACAGATTGAGGGGATCTCAGATGTGGGAACTGATGATACGTACATTTCAATAACTTTCTCTCATGCTAACTCATTGCATTTATTTTATTTTATTTTATTTTATTTTTTTTGAGATGAAGTCTCGCTCTGTCACTAGGCTGGAGTGCATTGGCGCGATCTCGGCTCACTGCAACCTCCAACTCCCGGGTTCAAGCAATTATCCTGCCTCAGCCTCCTAAGCAGCTGGGACTACAGGTGTGCACCACCACACCCAGCTAATTTTTGTATTTTTAGTAGAGACGGGGTTTCACCACGTTGACCAGGATGGTCTGAGTCTCTTGACCTCGTGATCTGCCCGCCTCAGCCTCCCAAAGTGCTGGGATTCCAGGTGTGCATTTTCTAGTAGTTGCTGGTGCTACTTATTCTGTGATTTCCCCAGAAAAGTCTTACTTTCCATCTGGTGTTAATGAACACACGTTGTTGGTATTTTGAGTTAGCCTTCTACTTGCTCTTTTTCTTCTGCAGTTCCCACACAAATAGGGCCTCATATTGGGAATAGGTTTTCTTAGTTTTCTCCTGATCCTCCTGTAAACCTATTGCAGGGAGACCTGCTGGGAAAATTAAAGACTACCATATTCTATATTCCATAGGGAGTGTCTGTGGAACTCCCTGGAATAAAAGGAATCTGATTACTGTGTACCTTCTGAAAGAAAAGGGGTATTCCGAAAAGCAGCTTTCTCACACTGTGCTGGATAAGTGCCCTGAACTGAAACAAGTCAATTCATCACTTTGGGCCCTAGCAAGTGGTTTAGTTTGAGGTGTAGAATCAATAGAAATTCTTTACAAAAAACATAAGCAATGGCCATGGTCAAACAATACCCTTTGTCAAAGGCTCTACTAGAAGAAATAAACACAGTTAAAAAAATTCAAAGACAAGTGGTAATTTTATAAAGACACTCACCCTGTAATATTAATACTGCCATACTTCCAGAAAGGAAAGAAGGTAAATGTGATAAAGATGATTGACCTGTGTACAAGATCTTAAAGAAGAAAATAAATTTATTGCTCCATTCACGCCTTTAGTTTCTAACATCAGAAACTTTAGTACTTTGCTACCATCCTCTGCAAAGTTTTTTCTCCGATTTATCTATGATCTGTTTTTTCTCATTGCTCTAGTAAACAAGTTTACATTTCTGTTGCTGTTTGCTGTTTTACTTAGAAAGGAGTTCAGTATTTATGAAAAAGTATTCAAGGATTTCCTGACTCTCCTTCCATTTCTCTAATCATTTACAGAAAAAACTTAAAGAAATTTGTCCCAGTGGGGGATCTGTAAGTCATCAGCATGTTGATGGTTTGCTGGTAGGCTCAGAAACTAAAGAGCAATAAAAAACTGACACTTCAGCTTTGTTACAACTCCCCCTTCACAAGGGCATAAGCCTTCAATAGACAAATTGCAAAATTGCCAAACTGAGATAAAATATTTAGAGCATCTGTTGATGCTGAAGGCATTATGTAGGCCTTAAAAAAAAAAACTATTTTGAGGACTAGTAGAATATTGTGGACAGTGAATTTCAGTTTTGTAAAGTGGCCAAAACTCTAATGAAATAACTGTGTAATAATTCCTCGGATCCTTTTATTTGGTCAGTAGAATCTGAAGAAGTGTTCCAATTAAAATTGGCTATAGTATAAGCTTTGGGAGTTCCAAATTTTGCAAAGACTTTCCACTTGCTTTGCTATGAAAATAAAGCGGCTACTTTTGGAATTTTAACTCAAAAGTTGGGAATAGATGACACATTAATAACAAATTTCTCAGTTTCCTTGGAGGTAGTGGCACTGTTGATGACAAGATTCTGTGGAAGTAGCATATAAACTTTTTAAAAGGCTCAAGCCCTTACCTGCAGTCACTTATATGCGCGTCCCACATGCTGTGACAGCTATCTTACAAGTGCAAAAAATCCAGAATGTGTGGGTATGCCAACAGACTAGTTAAGAACAAGCATTGATCCCAGTATTGTGCTTAGGAGATGCAATATCCTAAATCATGTTACTCTTTTACCAGATCCTGATCAAATAGATGATCATGATTGTATTACAGGGGTAAGAGAAGACACTAAGCTCTGATGAATTTATCTGATATTCTTGTCTGTAATGAGGCAGAGAAAGGATGGGGCCTCGCTTCAGCTCACCTCCACTAGAACATCCTTTCTTGCATTCCCCCGATCACAAACCTATACCACTACTTCACTGATAACATACCTGTTAGTAGTCATACAAGGAAAAAAGCCATTCTATGTTCTTCTTCTGTGCTCTCATAATGTGTAACCATGCCGTTTGTTTAAATAATTCCAGAAACTGGCCTTAGGAGATTCGAAATCAAACCAAGTTTGCAGTTTCCCACCTTGGGAAGGAATGCTGCACAATTGATTTACAGCCCTGTTGCCTCTGGCCAGACCACCAGGTGGCCCACTGCTCAAGATAACCATCACAATAAGATATGCTGACCCATGTACTCTACCACTTATGTGCTGTGCACAGAACAGTCTGTGTACCTTACCCCTGATGTCAATTCCCATGAGTTACCTAGTAAAGAAAATCCCTACTGGCTTTTTTTGGAGAGCCAGCTGGAGGACCCTTGTGACTCTGCCGTCTCCCTAGTGCTTAAGCACAAGCCCTGAAATAAATACCTTGTCTGGGAAATCTGCTGGGCCTCATGTTAATTTCCATTACATAGGGAGCCAAAGAGCCTGTGGTTTTTAGCAATGACAATTTAATAATATTTACTGGTGGACATGTACTTGGGATAAAAATGGCCCTATTTAAGGTTTTGTATGCTATGATGACCTCTTATACGACATTTTGAAAGCTTATGCTTTGCCTAGAATTAAGCTGACACAAGCAGCACAGTTAATAGAAGTTACTGGAGTTGCAATTCTTGATAGGTAGGTAGGTAGGTAGGTAGGTAGGTAGGTAGGTAGGTAGGTAGGTAGGAAATACATGTTTGGTGTCCATCAAATAGGAGAGCAAATTTGGAGAAATAGAAGCTTCTCAACTTTGAGGGGAAGTAAAATATCTCATGGAAAACTGATAGCTGATTTTTTAGAAGCTGTACAACTGTCCTGTCAGATCAGTAACCATTTGTAGAGCTCACATAGAGCAGAATGACACAATTTTTAATGCAACTATTTTGCTGACAGAGCTGCAAAAGCAACTGTTAAAATGTAACAGATTGTAAACTTGGAAGCCTCACTTTTAATACAAGAAACTTTTGTTAATTTTCAAAAATATGCTTCACAAAAGGAAACTGATGAATGAATTATAAAGGAGGATAAAACATTTGACTGAACTATGAAAATTACCTAATAAAGTAACCCCTATACCATACTTATTATTCATTTGATTAATAGTGTGTCATTGACATACTCATCTAAGTAAAATGGGGACTTTAAAGACCCCAGACTATTACTGTACTTACATAAAAATAAAATTATTCCAAAAATATTAAAGAGATGAGCTGTTTGTCAGAAGAATTATTTACAGTCTATTCCTAAGGTACATGTGGCAGTTTTCCCCAACCAGCTTTCCCAGAAATTAAGTGGCAGTTGGATTTCATAGAATTAATGTCTACAAAAAGTAAGATATTTTGTCTAGTTATAGTATATATGATGTTTGGATGGTCTGAAGTCTTTCCGTCTTTAAATGTGAATGTGCAAGCCCGGTAAAGTATCTTTTAATACCCATGATTTCCACTTTGGGGCTACAGAAGCATAATGAATCAGAGAAAGGAAGTCATCTTATTGTGATATCCTACCTTGTTTTAACTGGAATTGCCTCTCCCTTAGCTGAGAGAGCCGGACAGACTCCATTTTGGTTCCTTCACTTGCAGCCCCTTACCCACCCCCACTTTTCTTCAAGGACTTAACTTGTGCAAGCTGACTCCCAGCCCATCAAAGAATGTAATTACTGATAAGATACTGTGGCAAGCTATATCCACAGTTTCCAGGAATTTGCCCAGTCGATAGTACCCTAAGCCCCCGCATTTGTGTCCGGTTGATAGCACCCAAAGCCCCGCGTCTATCACCTTGCGATGGATTTAAAGCCCCTGCACCTGGAACTGTTTGTTTTCCTGTAACCATTTATCTTTTTAACCTTCTTTTGCCTGTTTTACTTCTGTAAGATTGCTTCAGCTAGGCTCCCCCTCCCCTTTCTAAACCAAAGTATAACAGAAAATCTAGCCCCTTCTTCGAGGCCAAGAGAATTTTGAGCGCTAGCCGTCTCTCGGTCGCCAGCAATAAAAGGACTCCTGAATTAGTCTCAGAGTGTGGCGTTTCTCTACAACTCGCTCGGTTACAACATTATTATCACTGTCACCTAGTAATTATGCAATTATTTATAGATTTCTATAAGATGAATGGAACTCATTTGCTGAGATTAGGCAATATACTGGATAAAAATGGCCTAGCATTTTACTGTTAGCATTGTCAAAAATTAGAATGACATCTGCAAACAAGCGTGATATTTTTCCCCTTTGAACTAATGGTTGCCAGACCTATGAAATTCAGTCAGAAACCATGTCCTGTGCCCAATTTAACTGAATTCTCTCTTAATCATGTTCATACTTCAAGGTGCTTCTTTCTTTCCTAGAATCCCTAAGACACAAAACCATAAGGACCTGGAAGGACCTGTTGAAAGAAATTTGCCACCCTATTGACCAGGAGATTCGATTTATCTGAAAGTATTCCAGAGGTAAGATTAGCTGATCCTGTGCTAGAAGGATCAAGTGCTCTTGATGATCCACATGGCTAGCAAAGTGAAAGAAAATCTCACGCAGATTCATGTGGAGCCAGCACCTCAGAAGAATTTGACAATAGTTCCTACAAAGGACTCAAAAAAATTTTCTAGATAAGTAATTTTGGCTCTGAACTCAACTGAAAGAAGAAATTCTAGTGAGCTTATGCTCATAGACTGCTTTGTTGTCCTATTCACAGTAACATTATTTCAATTACTTTAAGAACCACATTTTATTAAAAAAATGTTATTTGTTACACTACTTTTTCTTTGTGTACTCCTGGTAATAATAGTTCCCACAATCACTTATTTCCAAACAGCTAGGAATTGGACTCCCAGTGATTAAGATGGGCTTAATGTTCCAGTCACCCTAACTAAACTTTAGAAAATTTTAGGTGGGTTTCTTTCTGACTACAGGTTCCTGACCTACTGTTTCTTAAAGCATTTAAGTTAAAAAAAAACTTGCAATTATAAATCCATTCTCTACCCCTTTGGATGTAAATATTCAACAAAGAATATCTTTCTCAAGAACCTCCAAGCCATTCCTTTGAAATGTAATCATTGAAGGAGGTAGCACCTGTCTCCCAGTCTCTATGGGAGGATAGGAGCTTAACTTCAACAAGAAACAATTGAAACGCAGATGGTCTGTATACATTGACTAATCTCTCATCTAAAGCTTTCCAGTGATTTTCCACTAACTCACTCCACTGCTTAAAAACCCTCCCACTTTTTGTTTCAGCAGAGTTGAGTTCAGTCTCTCTCCCCTACTGCAATAGTTTTAGGAAAAGTCTTGTTTGTTTGACTTGTCTGGTGCAATTTTTCTTTTACACAAGAATAGGTATGATCTGCTTATAAGTTCAACAGTCCAATTATTGGCAGAGTAAAAGTGAGACCATCTTCTTACTAATTTTTTAATAATCCCAAAGTAAAAGTAACTAATATGTGTCTAAATATTAATCCATAAATTTCACACATACAGGCACACACAATTTTTTAACTGATTTAAATGGAAGGATAATTTAGAATGAAAAACATCTAATTAACAGACAAATCTGACGTTTATAGGTAAGACTGCAAATGATAAGTCTAATATAAGTTAATTAGCTTTGGGACACAAGTCTCTCCAGTCCAAATATCAATATAGAAACAAAAGTAAATGTCTATTATTTGCAGAGATTTAATTGACTGTTATTATAATTAAATTATTGATTTGGGCTTATGTGAAACCTATAGGCTTTTTCCACAAGAATTGTAACAATTAAAGTCATGTATATTAAATACTGGAAGTTCAATCTGTACCCTTAAGAGGTGCCTCATAAGGATACTAGAAAATGGTTGTGTTTTCCATCTCCAAAAAAATTGGAAAAATGAAATAAATGCTAAAAGTCCTAGATTATCTTATAAATGTAATATTACTTACGTGATTGATGAAAACTCTGAATAAGTATTTTGGCCCTCCAAAAAATATTTTATTTAAAAATTTAGATATTTGAGTTCTAGGGTTAAGTTACACCTTAGGCTTGGTTTAGTAAGATGTCATGAGGATCTACAAAAATAATATTCAAATAGATAATTATTTGAAAGTATAAGCAATGTAGATACCACAACAGTTTATAAAATTAATGGATGATGGAGAATTTTTGTTCATGGCTAATCAAGAATCTGCTTGAACTATTCACTATTGGTTCACTTAAATATTTAAAGGTTATTCCTTCAAGGCTAATAATACAATAAATTTATAAATTAATTCAATTATATTTCTGATAATTACCTTGCTTTGTATTTTACATTGGATTTGCTATATATTTTGATAACTGCAAACTGCCCAGAGAAGAGTAGAAACAGCAATACACATAATTTAATAATTATCGTGTTATAAAATAGTAACAAAAAAGAAAACTTCTAAGTATAAATGCAAATCTTTAAAAAAATGTAAAAATTTTCTTGAAATTATAAAGGTAAGAGAACTCCCCCAACCCCCCTTCTCTTTAGAATTTCCTATAGAAAACCTAAAGTTGTAGATGCTTTCTTTTTCTTTCAGATATGTGTAAATGTTTTAAAAGCTAAAGAAAACACTTACAAGTTTTACATTCTAAGAATGTCCTTCTTAGAGGCCTTGGAGCTATCTTTTTGAAATAAGAACATCAAGGAAGATTGTATCCTGTCTTCCTGTTTCACTGAGTGTTAAAGCCTAGGCACTTGGCTCCATTATGTAACTTCTTGATTATTATAAAGATAGAAGTGTATATTTTTCTTTTGATAAAGACAATTAACATGTGTGTAATGGATTATATCTGTCAAGCTATATAAAAAGGGTGAGGTTTCTCTTTTTTGAAATCTCCTCTACAGATTGCCTCTGATGCAGATCACAATCTGGCTTAATTTTTATTTAACAGAAAAGCTGTTTCATTTCTTTTTACATTTTGTGAAGCGGATTCATTGGGTTGGTAGGTGATTTTATTTTAATTATATTTTCTCAATACTTGATGTCTCACTGAAAACCCTGCTCTTTGTATAAAACCTCAATGGCCAGTTCTTCTCAGCTCCCTCTCAAACACCTTGGTTTAGATTCAAATGGTAGAAACCTTCAACCCTGACAGTAAAGGATGCTGTGGGCTACAGAGGAAAGAGTCATATTCTTGTAAGACTCTCAAATGAGTCTTTAAATAGCTGTGTTACAGTAAGTAGTCAGACATGAGCAGGGCAGGAAAGGGCCTCCCCACACCAGGAATATTAGGTGATCATCAGGTGATGGCCAGGCAGTTATTAAACTGTCTATCTAATTGATGCAGCCAGCAGGAGGGAAAGGCAGTCTCCCAATAGATAGAAACACCTGAAACTGGTGATCAACAGCTTCCTGATAAGATCTCAGGAGTTGGGTGAGTGGGCTTAAACATGTATGCTAAGAGGTAAAACATTGGAGTTTAACTGTAACACTTGACTGGTAAGAGGAAAAATGCCTCAAGTACACAAGCATAGAACTTCAGTAAACACACTGGGCATGTGGCCCATCCCAAGTGCTGGCAGGCCACTGTGCATGCAGACAGCCCACCCCAAGGAAAACCTGGGGAGAAGAGATGCAAACCCCCTGGAAGCATGCCAACATATAAAACCCAAAGTCAAAGGTCAAAACACACACTTAAATCTTTCAAGTAGCCTGCTTGGCCCTTTTCCAAATGTACTTCACTTCCTTTCATTCCTGCCCTTAAAGTTTTTAATAAACTCACTTCTGCTCTAAAATTTGCCTCGGTCTCTCACTCTGCTTTATGCCTCTCTGTTGAATTATTTCTTCTGAGGAGGCAAGAATTGAGCTGCTGCAGTCCCGAACAGATTTGCTGCCACAGACAGTTGTATCAATATTTAATACATCTTTTTGAATGTATTATTTGTTAATTTAAAAAATGCTTCTTTAATACATGTTTATTTACAGGCTGAGTAACTTCAGTGTTCATAGTTCATTCTAGTCTTCCTAGTCAGTCACTTCCTGCTAAAATGAGATAAAGTCCTAAATAGGTGCGCTCAAAAATATTTTTCAAGAATTGAAATAGTATATAAAATAAAGAACATAATCTATTACACTTTTATTAGCCTTGTGCAGATGAAAGGCCTTAGCCCACTTCAAAAGTTCATTGAAAAATCAACTCACAATAAGGCAGATTAATAAGAGAAAATGTTGTAGAAAAAAACGAGTTCTTGTCACACGACCAGGAAAGATTGGGCTCATAGAGACATCTAAGTGTTAACGCCTAAGGTTCTTGCCTAGCCACGCCAAAGAATTGGTGTGGCGGCTGACCACAGTGAGTGATAGAGACATGGACCAAGAGAGAGAAAAAGCTGTAGGCTTTATTGAGCAGAGTGAAAGTACAAAGCTCCCACAGCATGGAAGGGGTCCCAAACGAATGGGTAGCCAGAGTTAGATTATGTGATTGCCTTTTAAACTCTTTAAGGCAGGAAATACGTGGGGCAATATGTTACCAGAGTGAAAAACAAAGGCAATTAACCATTTGTGATATGTCTTAGATCTTGAGGAAAACCGGAATTGCAACTTAGGTTTTATCTACTTTATGGCAACAGCATGGCAAAAGAGATAGGATTGTACAGGACTTTACAAAGTATGTTCACAAGGAATTCAAATTGGGAGGATAGATAAGGCCCACTGGTCACAGGAAAACGGGCAGTTAACATTACTTTTAACTTTAGTTTTGCGGGAGGGGGAAGGGAGAGAGGGAGAGAAGGATACAGGGAAACTTACAGCAAAATTTTCGCTGTTTATAGCTTTCTTGGGGAAGAAAATACATGCACAAATCCTGGTGTTAGGAATATTTTAAGCATTTATCTTCAATAGTGTTCATTCAGGACCAAAGTAAGTCCTGATGCAGGAAATGAGTGAGTTTCACAGTTTCTGAGCCCCTACTCGACCCAGAAAGCCCAGCTGGCACCTCCTCTTATAAGGGTGAGTAGAGGAATTTATTGGGCAAAAAGGAAAAACAAGTCAGCAAAATGATATGGAGTCCTGTGGTTCTTCACCTGACCAACTGAATCCCACGTTGCCATCCTGGGACAGGAAAGGCCAGGCTCCACCCCCTGCAAATGGTGCAAATGTCCCAAGGCTTCGCCCCGTCCTCCCAGTGCACAAGCCAGTTGGAAATGCTTTGGGGAACTTCCCCCTTATCTGCCTCTTGCACTTATCAAATAGGCATACACATTTATTTAACTGTGAGCACAAGGAGAATCACAGAGTGATTGCCTGATGTCGAAGTGAGTTCCAGAAGTTTATATATCATCTTGAGGTTACAGAAAGAATGGGGACTTGGATCCTGGCAAAACAGGTTAGGGGACAGAGAGAAGAGGAAATTGATTCAGGGGCAATAAGTAATCACTAGGGAGAATGATTGAATAGAGGAACAGAAGTTAAAATAACTTGTAAATAGTTCTTTTTGGAATTTAAATGATCTTTGGAGACAGTCATTGTATTGAAAAAGGGTGTGTTCAGGTGTGCTTACATTCCTGGTCTTCTCTCTTATAATGTTTAATAAAATAACAGGGAGGGAAACAAGAACAATTGTTCTCCTTAGTGGGTCAGTCTTATCTTTATGTAGATATAGGGAAAAGTCTCTTCCAGCACTTGATCTCTAAGGCCATTTAATTCAAAATGCTCATTATGGCTGGGTGCAGTGGCTCATGCCTGTAATCCCAGCACTTTGGGAGACCGAGGTGAGTGGATCACCTGAAGACAGCAGTTCGAGACCAGCCTGGCCAACATGGCAAAACCCCATCTCTACTAAAAACAGAAAAATTAGTCCAGCATGGTGGTGTGTGCTTGTAATCCCAGCTACTGGGGGGCTGAGGCAGGAGGATTGCTTGAACCTGGAAGGTGGAGGTTGCAGTGTGCTGAGATCATACCACTGCATTCCAGCCTGGGCAACAGAGCAAGACTCCATCTCAAAAAAAAAAAAAAATTTTTTTTTCATTATACCAAGGGAGCCCTATTTTGGGGTGAAATTTCCTGCATTCCTTAAGACCTATTGCCTGACTTTCTATAATCACTCAAGGCCTTTGGATGCATCCATTAGACATGAGAATTGTAGTCCTATGTTCTAACATATTTTTTGTATTATACAAATATGCAACTTTCGCTTTTTATGAAAAATGCATTTAATATTTTTCCTTCTAGTACAATGTTATAAAAAGTAATGTATATGTTTATTTGAAGTACACGAAATTCACTAAAATGACGATGATTAGAAAAGTTAAGTTAAAAAAAAAAAGAAAAAACCCTAACACATCACAGTAGAGTGACAGTTCAGAATGTGGGCCAATGCAGTGGAAGAATAATGTATGGTTTTTAAAATCAAAATGTATAAAGCATTATGGAATAATGGGACAATATAAATGTTAGTTCACTTAGCTGAGTTGTCAATAATTGTTGTTTTAACTTTATTTAGGGACATAGGATTCAGAAGTTTTAATTTATTGGCTAATTCAAAAGCATAATAAGGTAGGATAATGTTTGTCATGGGTCTTATTACTTTTACAAATAGATTTCTATATTGAGTTTTATTTTTAGAAAACTGAATTTGAAGGCCAAATCTTTAGCATACACATCTTTGTATTCAAAGTTGGAATATGGATACTTCATTGTATATATTTAAGACTCCAATCAGGTCTTGCTTATAACACTCATTATTTGTGGGAAGAAATCCAGCTTGTTTATATATTCTTTCTATATTTTCCCCTAATTTCTTCTTCTACAGCCACCTTTGAAATGCCTGCTACAGTGCAAATATTCCTGAGAACAAAAGGAAAAACAACTAAAAATTACTTTAGTTCATTTTAAACAATTCAATGTATTCAAAAACAAATACATATATAAAACAAATGCAAGCAAAACAGAAGTAAACCCTTTTTTCAGGGAAATCATCAGTTTTTTAACATTAGACATATGTAGCAAAAATCACAATGAAAAAATAATGATGAACCACACAGAATAAATTATTCCATATATTTAGTCATTTGTTGCCAATAAACAAAATGACAAAGATTATTTTTGTATTGTGGTCTAAAGTAATTCTGCGTTCCAAGAGCATATATTTATTATTGCCCTATAGCAGATCATATGGATAACTACATGTGAAATCTCATCCACATGATGAGAAAACTGCTCCCATCAGTTTGGTTGATTTTCCTGGAAGTGGTATCAATGAGTGCTAAAATCCCTAGGTGGGACTACAGAGCTCTACAGCTCATGGCATATCTACAGCTCATGACTAATATTTACAAAGATACCCTTTCTGTTGACATGTCTCAGCAGATGTGTCTTGGAGTAGAATATTTTTCCCTCTTCCTTTATAATTGCTGTTAACACCTAACAATAGTAACACAAGGCTTTCTGTAAGGAATTCAGGAAAATCTGAGATGAATAGAAGATGATTGCTGCCCTCAAGGGATGAGTGTGTATGTTTGTAAGTATGCATAGTGAAAGAGGAAAGCGAGGGTGCAAGATAGAGAAAACGGCAGTAAGAAAACATTTATTTTTCTTGTCTTAATAATTATAACACAAGGGGCTAAGAATTTGTCTGACTGGTCAATTCTCCAAGCCCTTTTCATACCGTGGCAATTAATCTCTAAAAAATATCACCTTTCGCCATATTTAGTATATGCTCTTCTTTCATTAGCCCATGGTCTTTGTCGGTATTTGTTGAAGTCAAAAGCAAAGTTAGGAAAGTATAACTCCTTGGATGCAGAAGAATTTGTTCAAGGCAAATATCATGTTTACTAGTATGTTGCCAAAAGGAGTAGGGCCTAGATTTTAAAAAAGAATGTTGCTGAATAGTAAAAACAATAGTATATATCTGACAAAATATAGGGCTCAACAAACTAAGAGCAATGATAGTCATCTATTTACAAGCCTAACAGAAAACAGAACTATCTTTTCCATAAAGCTAGTAAGAATATTATTTATTAAAATACTATTAAATTCAATAAATAAAAAATTTATTTATAAATTATTATATTAACCCAGAAGTGTGTGTGTGTTTAAAATTAAAAGGAGAATAATCAGGAAAAAGTGTTGTTAGCCTAAACTAACATATTTCTGAGAATGAGATTTGACATTGTACTAACTTATCCTGGAGAATTCAGAATTCCAAAGTGATAGAATGAAGAAGGTTTAGATATCCATACAAGCATTTTTTACCTTCTTTAAGATGTTTGCTCAATTCGATGTCATCCAACGTTAGTGCATACTCACAAAATTTTCAGAGGTGTCTTAATAGAAGATATTTTAAACTTTTATGTTGCTTGTTTTCATTTAGTTCTTACAGTGTTACCATGAATCTAATGAGTCTAATAGTGACACATGCAAAAGAAAATGCAGAAAAATGAAGGAGTATCACATATCTGGTAGAATTAATGTCTCACCCTCTTGGTCTGCTGTATGCAGATGAAAAGGGTAGACTAATAATCAACATCTCCTGGAGAGCTGGAAGTAATCTCAAGGCCAGTAATTGCATTACCATCACTATTAGTTCTCTCCAATAAATTATATACATTTCCACTATCAGATGAATTTATACGTAAGTGTAAAAATAGCACATGGGAAAGAATCTGTGAAACAAAGTTCTTTTGATATCCTTTAAAAGATTAAAATATTATTGTTCAAATCCTTTATCTGAATTATTATCAAATGTCAAGTTCATATTCTGATCTCTATTGACTTTTGTCACTAGACGACTCTGAAGTTGCCAGGAATAAATGCTATTTCAAACTTTGGGAAAAAACATCCTCCAAGTAACTCTAATGGTGTGAAAATGAACACAGAGATACAGAAAGAGATAATAGAGATAGAGAGAGAGAGAGAAAAGATAAAATGGGCCATAGATATGGCACAACAAATGACAGATGCAATAAATCTCTGAATTGTGAGTTTAAATTTGCAGTTTAAATTTTCATCATTTTAGAAATTTTTATCTATATGGCAAATTTAGCATGGCGTATGATGTCCAATTACAATGCTTTCTCTATTGCTAAATAATTTTATTGGTCATAACTTTGTAATGAATATTTCCTTGGAGCTAAAGCCTCAAGGTGAAAAGATATGGCACATTTCAATTATTTTTAAGTTAGCAAATTACAAAAAAATTTCTTTATACTTCATAAAAAAAGAAATTTTATAATTAATATTTTTTTATGCTTTGTAACTGATTTTTTTTTTGCAGGAGTATTTTAGCTACTGAATATGTTATGACTTTATGAACTATTTTTTTATGGAATAGAATAAGTAATTGATTTTACCTTTTAGAACCTAAATACTGAAACAAAATGAAACACAAAAAGCCTTATATTTACAATACTTAATTCAATACTTTGACGGAATTAGAAAATGTTAGAATGTTCCATAACATGTTAAATATGTATCAAAGTGATATATTATGTGTTTATTAAAATAATTAGAACATAAAAATTGAATATAGGCTGAAGTCATCTTCTAATAAAAGACTTAAATATTTTGATATGAGATGGCTTCTTCTTTTGGCTATGTGTTCTTACCTTCAGCTATTCAATCTTTTTAAATCAATTTACTTGTAAAATAATTTTGGTGCCAAAATTAACTCTCTAGCACATGAATTAAACTTAAAAAGCAAAAAGGAATTCACAGACAAGTAAAGAGATTGCTGAATAAAATGTCTAAATGAAAACTAGTGTTAACTGTTAGAAAAGCATTATTTAAAATACATTTCCTTCAGCTTAGGTTTTAAAATACATTTTTGAAAATTTACCATGCCCTGTGTTTAGTACTGTTTTGAAATGTGGGCAAGATGGGCCCCTTCTCTGATTCTTCCCCTGTAGAAGGCCCTCCTCTGACCTTTCTCTAGTTTAACTCTTGCTCAGGAATGTGCCTGCCTGGCTGAAATCTGTGTCCCTTCTCCACCTCCCCTTTGAGACCCTGCAGTAGCTTCCAGACAACAACATGATAAATACAGAAACTGTGTGTTACCTTTCAACATTTCTAGAGCCATTTGAAAAAGTAATTTTATGTCTGGTGAATTTCATAATGAAAATTAATGAGCTTGTATTTATTGTGTTTTATTTCTTTTTTTTCTAGAAACTTGTTATAAAATTATCAGTTCAAGAGGGATCAGAAATCAAAATCAAATCTATTTTACTGTTTGTTTGCAAAGCACTGTTCTAGAACACACAGGTATGTGGTACCCGGAATTCCCTGTTACCAGGACCAGCATAGGCCTTTTTTCCAGGTCCATATCCCACAAGTAGAACACACACCTCACCTGTGCATCCCTAGGTGCAATGAAAGGCTGTTTGCAGGGCGGGTGGACCGTTTGAACATGCAGGCTGGGCTGACATGGGTTATGATGAATGCAGCTGAAGTTGAGAGGAAATGAAAGGCTGTTTGCAGGGTGAGTGGACACTTTGAACATGCAGGCTGGGTTGACATGGGTTATGATGAATGGAGTTGAAGTTGAGAGGAGAGGGTGGCCAATTGGTCTCTGGGTCTGGCAGAGGGACTTTCCAATTCCTCCACATTCCAGCAGAGAAATCATATAAGTCTTAAAATTCAGGTTCACTCAAATTTATGTCAGCTTCTTTGGTGATTATAAATCCAGGTAATTCTGCTATCACAGAGTCCTAGAGTTCGAAGGAACTTTTGATTCAACTCTAAGTCTGTAAAATCTTTTAGCCAGTCAGCCAGTCCTATTAAAACACCTCTAGGAGGTGGGCCCAAGCCAAGTTCTGTCATATTTATTCCTACTTGAGGAAAAGAGAGTTACATTTTCAGAGAAGTATAATTTTGTTTCTGAGGGAGAACAGAAAGTTTTAGAAACACATTCTCTGATTTTGAATGGAAGAATACAGAACAAAACTAGAAATCACAGATTTTTCAAAATTAATATAACTTCTCAGAGTGACGACATTGTACATGATGAAGTATTTATACTTTGATAGACTACACAAACTAATGACAACATGACAACAGTCATGTGGAAATATAAAAAAAAGTAACACTATTTTCTTTCATTTTCCTAAGAGTAGCAGAAGAAAACTCAGCTATTTCCACTTGACTATTCACTTGGGATGTAAGGGAATGTCCCATCAACATATTTGTTCTTTTTCTGGTTTTATGCTGTCTAGCTAATTTTGGCATCACCTTCTTCAAAAAATTAGTTGCGGTCTTATTTCATTTACTTAATTATCCAATCCCTCTAGCCTCATCTGCTACTTGATCTCAATTATTTATTACATAATTAAATTCATTTTAAAACATTTCCATTCCTGCCCTCCAATATAGAAGGAAAGAAGGGTATCATATGTACTTAATAATGAGAACATTTAGAAGTCTGACAAAACCAATAATAAAAAATATAGTAGATTATTTGAGGCACTTGACATCAAATGAGAATGGATTAAACCCTATGAGAAGTAGGTATGAACAAAGTGAAAGGCTTGGTATGCTTACCCAGAAGTGTCATTTGATTAAGAAAGAGGTCAATTGTTAATCAATTGCTATATTTAAAATACATAGAGGTTTTCCTTTCACTACCTAAAAATTGTATAGTAAGGACCAGTGCCCTCTTTTTGAGTTTCACAAAAACATAATATACATAATTACAAAAACGGCTAAATCTGAATTTCTCTGTGTGCCTGATAGTCTCATAGTTTTATGATTGTTTAAATAGAACTGATTAAAAAAAAACTTCCTAGATTGCTCACACTCTCACTAAAGGGCAAATTTACATCCATTGAATGAACAGCCTAAAAGGTATTGGTTGTGGAATGAGGCCTTAATTTTTTTTTTTTTTTTTAACTTGAAGTTCGGGATACAAGTGCAGAACTTGTAGGTTTGCTACGTAGGTATACACGTGCCATGGTGGTTTGATGCACCTATCAAGCCGTCATCTAGGTTTTAAGTCCCATATGCATTTAGCTATTTGTCCTAATGCTCTTCTCTCTTCCTCCACTCACCACCACCGCCAACCAGTTCTGGTGTGTGTTGTTCTCCTGCCTGTGTACATGTTCAACTCCCACTTATGAGTGAGAACATGCAGTGTTTGGTTTTCTGTTTCTTTCTTAGTTTGTTGAAGATGATGGCTTCCAGCTTCATCCATGTACCCACAAAGGATATGATCTCATTCCTTTTTATGGCTGCATAGTATTCCATGATGTATATGTACCATATTTTCTTTATCCAGTCTATCGTTGATGGGCATTTGGGTTGGTTCTGTGTCTTTGCTATTGCAAATAGTGCTTCAATAAACCTATGTGTGCATGTACCTTTATATAGAATGATTTATATTCCTTTGGGCATATACCCAGTAATGAGATTGCCGGGTCAAATGGTATTTCTGGTTCTAGACCCTTAAGAAATCACCACACTGTCTTCCACAATAGTTGAACTAATTTACATTCTTACCAGCAATGTAAAATCATTCCTATTTCTCCAAGCTTCCCAGTATCTATTGTTTCTTGACTTTTTAATAATCACCTTTCTGACTGGTGTGAGATAATATCTCACTGTGGTTTTGATTTGTATCTCTATAATGATCAATGATGTTGATTTTTTTTTTCATGTTTGTTGGCTGCATAAATGTCTTCTTTTGAGAAGTATCTGTTCATGTCCTTGACCCACTTTTTGATGGGGTTGTTTGTTGTTTTCTTGTAAACTTTTTTAAGTTCCTTGTAGATTCTGAATATTAGATCTTTGTCGGATTGAAAGATTGTAAACTTTTTTCCCATTCTTTAGGTTGCCTGTTCACTCTGATGATAGTTTACTTTGCTGTGCAGAAGCTCTTTAGTTAATTTAGATCCCATTTGTCAATTTTGGCTTTTGTTGCAATTGCTTTTGGTGTTTTTGTCATGAAGTCTTTGCCCACGCCTGTGTCCTGAATGGCATTGTCCTGGCTTTCTTCTAGAGATTTTATGGTTTTGGGTTTTACATTTAAGTCTTTAATCCATCTTGAGTTAATTTTTGTATAGGGAGTAAGGAAAGGGTCCAGTTTCAGTTTTCTGCATATGGCTAGCCAGTTTTCCCAGCACCATTCATTGAATAAGAAACCCTTTCTCCATTGCTTGTTTTTGTTAGGTTTGTTGAAGATCAGATGGCTGTAGATGTGTGATGTTATTTCTGAGCTCTCTGTTATGTTCCACTGATCTATATGACTGTTTTCGTACCAGTACCATGCTGTTTTATTTACTGTAGCCTTGTAGTATAGTTTGAGGTCAGGTACCATGATGCCTCCAGTTTTGTTCTTTTTGCTTAGGATTGTCTTGGCTATACAGGCTCTTCTTTGGTTCCATATGACATTTAAAGTAGTTTTCCATAATTCCGTGAATAATGTCAATGGTAGTTTGATGGAGATAGCATTGAATCTATAAATTACTTTGGGTAGTATGGCCATTTTCACGATATTGATTCTTCCTATCCATGAGCATGGAATCTTTTTTTTCACTTGTTTATTTCCTTTCTTATTTCCTTGTGCAGTGGTTTGTAGTTCTCCTTGAAGAGGTCCTTCACATCCCTTGTAAGTTGTATTCCTAAGTATTTTATTCTCTTTGTAGCAATTGTAAACTGGAGTTCACTCATCATTTGGCTGTCTGCTTGTCTATTGTTGGCGTATAGGATTTTTTGTGACTTTTGCACATTGCTTCTGTATCCTGAGAGCTTGCTGAAGTTGCTTACCAGCTTGAGGAGTTTTGGGGCTGAGACAATGGGGTTTTCTAAATATAGAATCATGTCATCTGCAGAGACAATTTGACTTACTCTCTTTATTTATTTCTCTTTATTTCCTCTCTTTATTTCTTTCTCTTCAACCATCCTATGTTGAATAGGAGCGGTGAGAGAGGGCATCCTTGTCTTGTGTCGGTTTTCACAGGGAATGATTCCAGCTTTTGCCCATTCAGTGTGATATAGGCTGTTGGTTTGTCATAAATAGCTCTTATTATTTTGAGATATGTTCCATTAATACCTAGTTTATTGAGTTTTTAACATGAAGAGGTGTCAAATTGTATTGAAGGCCTTTTCTGCATCTATTAAGATAATCATGTGGTTTTTGTCATTGGTTCTCTTTTGTGATGGATTACACTTATTAATTTGCATATGATTGACCAGCCTTGTATCCCGGGGATGAAGCTGACTCGATTGTGGGGGATAAGCTTTTTGATGAGCTGCTGGATTCAGTTTGTCACTATTTTGTTGAGGATTTTTGCATTGATGTTCATCAGGGATATTGGCTTGAAGTTTTCTTTTGTTGTTGTGTCTTTGCCAGGTTTTGGTATCAGGATGATGCTGGCTTTATAAAATGAGTTAGGGAGGAGTCCCTCCATTTCAACTCCCTGGAATAGTTTCAGAAGGAATGGTACCAGCTCCTCTTTGTACCTGTGGAAGAATTTGGCTGTGAATCCATCTGGTCCTGGGCTTTTTCTGGTTGGTACTCTAATAATTATTGCCTTAATTTCAGAACTTGTTATTGGTCTATTCAGGGATTTGATTTCTTACTGGTTTAGTCTTGGGAGGGTGTTATGTGTCCAGGAATTTTTCCATTTCTTTTAATTGTGATGTCAGGGTGTCAATTTGAGATCTTTGTAGCTTTCTTATGTGGGCATTTAGTGCTATAAATTTCCCTCTTAACACTACTTTAGCTGTGTCCCAGAGATTCTGGTATGCTGTTTCGTTATTCTCATTGGTTTTACAGAACTTCTTCATTTCTTCCTTAATTTCATTATTTACCCAGGAGTCATTCAGGAGCAGGTTGTTCAGTTTCCATGTAGTTGTGTGATTATGAGTGAATTTCTCAATCCCAACTTCTAATTTGATTGCACTTTGGTCTGAGAGACTGTTTGTTATGATTTCAGTTCTTTTGCATTTGCTGAGGAGTGTTTTACTTCTAATTATGTGGTCAATTTTAGAATAAAGGCCATGTAGCACTGAGAAGAATATATATTCTGTTGATTTGGGGTGGAGCGTTCTGTAGATGTCTATTAGGTCCACTTGATCCATAGATCAATTCAAGTTTTGAATATCCTTGTTAATTTTCTCTCTCACTGATATATCTAATATTGACAGTGGGGTGTTAAAGTCTTCTGCTACTATTGTGTGGGAGACTAAGTCTCTTTGTAGGTCTCTAAGAATTTGTTGTATGAATCTGGGTGCTCCTGTATCAGGTGCATATATATTTAGGATAGTTAGCTCCTCATGTTGAATTGATCCCTTTACTATTATGTAATACCCTTCTTTGTCTTTTTTTATCTTTGTTGGTTTAAAGTCTGTTTTGTCAGAAACTAGGATTTCAACCCCTGCTTTTTTTTTGCTTTCCATTTGCTTGGTATTTTGAGCCTATTTGTGTCTTTGCACATAAGATGGGTCTCCTGAATACAGCACCCTGATGAGTCTTGACTCTTTATCCAATTTGTCAGTCTTTGTCTTTTAACTGGGGCATTTAGTCCATTTACATTTAAGGTTAGTATTGTTACATGTGAATTTGATCCTGTCATCATGACGCTATCTGGTTATTTTGGACATTAACTGTTGCAGTTTCTTCATAGTGTCATTTGGTCTTCATATTTTGGTGTGTTTTTGCAGTGGCTGGTACTTGTCTTTCCTTTCCATATTGAGTGCTTCCTTCAGGAGCTCTTGTAAGGCAGGTATGATGGTGACAAAATCCCTCAGCATTTTCTTCTTTTGAAAGGGTTTTATTTCTCCTTTGCTTATGAAGCTTAGTTTGGCTGGAAATAAAATTCTGGATTGAAAATTCTTTTCTTTAAGAATGTTGAATATTGGCCCCCATTCTCTTCTGGCTTGTAGGGTTTCTGCTGAGAGATCCACTGTTAGTCTGATGGGCTTCCCTTTGTAGGTGACCTGATTTTTCTCCCTGGCTGCCCTTAACATTTTTTATTTTATTTCAGCCTTGGGGAATCTGATGATTTTGTGTCTTGGAGTTGATCTTCTTATGGAGTATCTTAGTGGTGTTCTCTGTATTTCCTGAATCTGAATGTTGGGCTGCCTTGCTAGGTTGGGGAAGTTTACCTGGATAATATCCTGAAGGGTGTTTTCCAACTTGGTTCCATTCTAACCATCTCTTTCCCATACTCCAATCAATCATAGGTTCAGTCTTTTGACATAGTTCCATATTTCTCAGAGGTTTTGTTCATTCCTTTTCATTGTTTTTTATTTAATCTAGTCTGCATGCCTTATTTCAGCAAGACAGTCTTCAAAATCTGATATCCTGTCTTCCACTTGGTCAATTTGGCTATTGATACCTGTGTATGATTCACAAAGTTCTCCTGCTGTGTTTTTCACCTCCATCAGGTCATTTATATTTCTCTCTATACTGGTTATTCTAGTTAGCAGCTCCTGTAACCTTTTATCAAGGTTCTTATCTTCTTTGTATTTGGTTAGAACGTGCTCCTTTAGCTCAGCAGTTTGTTATTACTCAACATCTGAAGCCTACTTCTGTCAATTCCTCCATCTCATCCTCTGTCCAGTTCTGTGCCCTTGCTGGAGACGCACTGCAATCATTTGGAAGACCAGGGACACTCTGGCCTTCTGGATTTTCATCTTTTTGTTGTTGTTGTTGTTGTTGTTAATTCTTTCTCACATTCATGACTTTGTCTAGTTTCTATCGTTGTGGCTGCTGACCCTCAGATGGGGTTTCTATGGGGACTTTTTTGTTGTTGTTGTTGATGCTGCTGTTGTTCCTTTCTGTTTGTTTGTTTTTCTTTCAATGGTCAGGTCCATCTTCTGTAAGGCTGCTGCAGTTTCCTGGAGGTTCACTTCAGGCCCTATTCATCTGGTTCACTCCGGCACCTGGAGATGTCACTTGAGGAGGCTGGAGAACAGCAAGGATGGGTGTCTGTTCCTTCCTCTGGGATCTCTGACCTCAAGGGGCACCTATCTGATGCCAGTAGGAACACTCCTGTATAGGGTGTCTGAGAACTCCTGTTGGAGGGTCTTACCAAGTTGAGTGGCATAGGGAACAGTTCCTGTTTAATGAAGCACTTTGACTGTCCCTTGGTGGACAGGGTGTGCTTTGCTGAAAGGAAAATCACTCGTCTGGTCTGCCTGGATTGCCCAGAACTATCAGGAGGAAAAACTAATTCTGCTGGTCCCTGGAGACTGTGGCCACACCTCCCACTAGGGACTCAAGCCCAGGGAGATCAGAGTTCTGTCCCTGAGCCCCTGGCTGGAGTTCTTGGAGTTCCTGCAGGGAGGCCCAACCCAGTGGGGAGGGATGGGTCAGGTTCAGGTCTGAAGAGGCACTCTGGCCACAGTCTGCCACAGCCAGTATGTTGGGCTATGGGGGATACCTCTTGAGACCAAGCCATTCAGCCTCTCTGGCTCCAGCAGAAGAAAAGCGTGGCCTGGAGCTATAGAGATTGCTGCCACCCTTCCCCTGCCCTGGGAGCTTAGTGTGTTAGGCAGCTATCAGTCCCAGTGTTGGCTACCAACCCTCCCCCAAGAAGCTCAAATGACTTAGACAACAGGCAGCCACAGCTGAGATGCTGGCCACCCCTTCCCCTGAGAGCTCGGCAGGCTTAAGCAGATTCTAGATGAGTGGCTATTGAGAATCTGTGTGGATCTCTGGTTGGGACCCTAGGCCCTGGTGGCGTGTGCTTGTGACTGGGATCATCCAATCTGTGGGTTGCACAGTTCCATGTAAAAAACATGGTTTCTCAGGCTGGGTAGCACACTCCCTCACCACCTCCCTTGGCTATGGAATGGGGGCTCCCCTGCCCCATGTGGCTCTCAGGTGGGCTGCTGCACCACACTGCTCTTTTTCCTCTCCTTGGATCATGCTAGCCACCTAGTCAGTTCTGATGACAGAATCTGGATATCTCGATTGCCAGTGCAGGATTTGCATACTGTTGTGGTTCTTTTCAATGGCAGCCTCCGATCTCTGCTGCTTCTAGTTGGCCATACTGGCCCTGCCCCAAAGCCTAATTTTTAATCCCTACTGAAGATGCAGTTCTCATTGGAAACTTTAAATTTGATGGTGTAGGAACAACCATTTGGGTACTTGGTATTCTTTTGAAAAATAATACCTAATAGTCATTCTATGTTACTTATACAATGATTTTCTGTCCAAAAAGGATATCAATTGGTACATCAGAATTCATGATTGTCTTCCGAATTTTTCTAACATTGAAATAGGGTGAAAAATATGGTTCAAACACACATTTTTTTTAACATTAGGGATTGTACAGACCACTCCTCAATCCCAACAAATGTACTCTTTTTATATTTAACCAGTTCTAATAGTTGAGTATTTAAGATAATTTTGACATCTTTCTTCTGTATTTTACTAGGTTACCATAAATATATATATATATATATATATATATATATATATATATATATAATCTTTCTACCCACAATTGTGTGATACCAATTAGCTCAAATAGCTTTTTTTTGTTTTTTTAAGAAAACAGCAATAGGAGGACATAGCATCTATGCTCTTGGATGTCAGTTGGACAAGATGATTTCTAATATTTTATCCAATGCTGAGATGGAAGTTTTTTTTGTGGCAGATACATGAATGAAAGCTTCTTAAAAAGTATTTTTTAGTCAATTGACTAGCCAGCCTGCCTTTTCTTGTCCATGTTTTTAAGAATCTGAACCTAAAATCCAGTTTTCTGTCTTAAGGAGAAAAAGGAAAAGATATCTCATCAAATACATGTTTTACAATTTTATCTCTAAAGTGCATGTGATAGGATCTAACAAACATGTAGAGAGAAACATCTGCAATGTGTGAGGATTAATCACCAAATTTACTATGTATCATTAATATCCAAGAAACTTCAGTGTTTATGAGTGTCAGGTAAAGAAACAAACATATTCACTTGCAAAACAATGAATAAATTGATAAAGAAAGCAATCCACATTTTGTCTTATATCAGGTGTCACTTAATTAGCTATAGGCCCAGGCAGGCAACGCAAAGGATCTTAGAAGCTCAAGTGGAAAATGATAGAGGGATTAGGGCCACAAAGAGGCCCTCTCCATAGGAGGCAGAAGACAGTCCTAGCCAATTTTTGCCACATGACTATGAAGATCTAGGGTCACCAGTTTTACAAGAAGCCATAAATTCAAATTTTTACATGTAATTTTCAGTTCCTTAAAACTCTGTATTTGACAAATAATGATAGGAAAAAAGCACAGCTAATCATCAGAGCAGCTCTGTTGCTGCCAATTTATATATATACAATTTTACAGTATATTGCATGTAAAATATATGCAATTTTATATTATAATGAAATCTAAGCTATCAGGTATAAAACTACAATAAGATTTAGTAGAAACTATTGATTATTTCTGGAAAATGTCAGTTCAGTATGGTAATATGCCTAACAGGCTCAAATTGTTGCTCAGGTGCAACAAAAATGCTGATCATTTTCAAGAGAGGAAGTGTTAAGAATGAAGTTACAAAAATGTGAGCAACATAACTGATATAGTTTGGATTTGTGTCCCCACCCAAATCTCACGTCAAATTGGAGGAGGGACCTAGTGGGAGGTGAATGCATCACAGGGGTGGATTTCTCCCATGCTGTTGTCATGATAGTGAGTTCTCACAAGATCTGATGGTTTTAAAGTGTGTGGGACTTCCCCCTTTGCTCTCTCTCTCTCTTTCTCTCCTGCCACCATCTCTCTCTCTCTCCTGCCACCATCCTGGCTTCCCCTTTGCTTTCGGCCACCATTGTAAGTTTCCCGAGGTCTCCCAGTCATGCTTCCTGTTAAGCCTGTGGAAATGAAAGTAAATTAAACCTCTTTTCTTCATAAATAATCCAGTCTCAGGTAGTTCTTTAAAGCAGTGTGAAAACGAACTAATAATTGAACATATAAAGCATGTAAAATGCTGGCCCATTTGTCCATCACACCTTAGGAAACACAAAACAGAACTGTAGTAGGCCAGAGATAGACCACCAAATCATGTTGATCAATGATATCCACGTTGCAGACAGGGGAAAGAGGTTGAAGTTGAGGTCAAGAGTGCATGAAGACAGGTGAGTAAGTTTGGTTTTTGTTTTGTTTTCTAGAAAAGTAACACTAAAGAGCAGTAATATTGGAGCCCACAACATACTATGTGTGACTATGAGTTTAACCCTTGGTTTATTACAGGATTCTGGAATAATAGTTCTAGGAGGCCTTCTTGTAAAATTAAAAAGAAAATAAAAAGAAGAGGGAGAAGAGAATGAAAAGGAAAAGAAAAAAAAAGGAAAAAAAAATAGCTTACCTTTAGTCAATTTACATACAATAAGGGCATTACCAGTAGTAGCTGTCTATGCTGATACTAATTTTTTTAACATTTATATCAGTTGTTCTCCAACTTTGATGTGCATAAGGATCATGCAGTGATTCTGTTAAAATATAGATTGATAAATTCACATCCTGGAGATGTTGATTCACTAAGTTCGGCTTGAGGGCCTAAAAATCTACATTTTCAAATGTGCACCAGGTATTTGTGATGCATTTGTGATGCAAAAAGACCCTATTTTGAGAAGCATCAGGTTAGATGAGCAGGCCCTCACCAGACGTCAAATCTGCTGACACCTTAATCTTGTATTTCCTAGCCGCTAGAACTATAAGAAATACATTTCTATTGTTTATAAGTCACCCAGTTTACTGCATGTTGTTAGAGAAGCCCAACTGAACTGAGACAAAGTGCCTTAAATCTCATTGAAGAAGCACTAACAGATTCTATGAAAGTTAACAATAATAACTAAGTTACTGTGCATCTTCTGCTGGTAGTAGTGGGAGCGATCAATGTAAAACAATAATTTGAAAGTAAAATTTTATTAGTACCCGATAGGCTAAGGCAAAAATGAAACATTGGGAACTTACACTTGGAGCACTGTCCTAGGATCTCCAACTTCGCCCCCATCGCCAATTGTCAAGGTATCATAGCCAATCTCCAGATCAAATTCTTCAAAATTTATCTGGATAACCTAGCAGTAAACAGAAACATGCACCTTAAATATACTGCGTTGTGCAATAAAAACAACAAAAAAAGCAATGACAGAAATGCATTCTTTGTCTCTCTGCACACACACACACACACACACACACACACACACACACACACAAGCAGTTCAATTATGTATAAATATATATATAATTTCATAGTATGGCAGCAAGTCATGTTAGAATATTCTTAAAGTTCAATCATATCATTACATGACTTTTACTTGCTGTATTGTATTTTCTGCATTAAATTTTCAATGAAATTGCATGGTTTCTGTTTATAGAATACTCTTACTTGAAGAATGATTAAAGCAAATCTACTTTAAGAAGGCTTTATAAAAAGTATATGTAGGTGGAGAGTGGTTTTCCACATATTTGCATATATATTTTATAAAGTTAACATGCAGAAACAGAGTGTGCTATTTCCATTAAGTAGTAAAGCTTAAAATTTGTTAGAGCTAAACTTGAATCTAGATTGCCAGAATGGTATCAAGTTTATTTTTATGTATCGTTTGGTAAAAGAATTCCTCAAATATATTAAAATGAGCGGCAAAACTGGGAGCACAATACTTTGAGAGGCACACTATACCATGCTATGTAATTCAGCATTATTTCTTGCTAAAATATACTCATGTATCCATATATTGTTTATATACCTATGCAAAAATTCAAATTTAATTAAATTGCAATTTTAAAAATAGCTATAATATTGAAAAAATGTAATTAAGAATCAGTACAGAAAGAAATTACATAAAATTACATAATGTCCTGCATAGAGTCATGCTTTGAGCAAAAAATAATTTATAACAAAATATTATTCATCACCTGATAAAATGAATGCCTGAAGTTACCATATTATGAGAGAATAAATGAAGAAGATATTTCTTTAGTAATATTTATAACTATTTGCTACTTTGTTATTATAAAAATAATTAAAAATAAAGGAATTTATATCTTGGCTTTTTTTTGTTATAATAACAATTTTTTTTTTTTTTTTTTTAGATGGAGTCTTGCTCTGTCACTCAGGCTAGAGTGCACTGGCGCGATCTTGGCTCACTGCCAGCTCCGCCTCCTGGGTTCATGCCATTCTCCTGCCTCAGCCTCCTGAGTACCTGGGACTACAGGTGCCCGCCACCATGCCTGGCTAATTTTTTTGTATTTTTAATAGAGACGGGGTTTCACCATGTTAGCTAGGATGGTCTCAATCTCCTGGCCTCGTGATCCGCCCACCTCGGCCTCCCAAAATGCTGGGATTACAGGCGTGAGCCACTGGACCTGGCCAACAATTTTTGACTACACATATTTCTTGTTTTATAAAATATTTTAATATTTGCATTGACTAAAACAATTGTTTTGGCCAAGTTTAAATACAGCATGTGTATAAAGACTTTGAACTATACATTTTACATGATCATAATTTAAAAAATATGTGTATTTGTTCCACTTATAGTAAAATATAAATACTTCCCATTAATAATTACCTGTCAATACAGACTTAGATTGTTTCCCATTTTCTTTCTTTTTTTTTTTTTTGGCTACTATAAGCAACATGGTCATGAGCAGTATTAAACATCTTTTGGTACACATTTTCAGGTATGTCTCTAGGCAGTATACTTGCTAGGTAATAACAGCAAAAATTCATTTTATAACCTAGTACCATATGGTTTTCCAAAATTGTTTTACCAATTCAAATGTTCACATTCGTGTACATTGAATGCATTTATTCCTACCACTCTAGTAGATGTAAAAGTGTTTTTTTTTTTTTCGCATTTTCCTTAATACTAATTGAGTTACATATCTTTTTATATGTTTATATATCATTTATATTTCCTTTTCTGTGACACAACTGTTTGTGTTTTGGCATCTTTTTTCCTCAGACTGCTTGTCTACTTGTTATCATTTGCAAGAATTCTTTATATTGGTGATTCTGAAAACATTCCATTATAGCACACTTTGAAAACAATAATATTTGTAATACACAAAGGTGAACAGATGAAGCTGCTTATAATGGAAATTTTATTTTTATTTTTTGCCCAGGACCTTCTGTTCCATAGAGGGAGTTAAATCAATATCTTAGTTCTACCTGTGGCTCACTCATAGTACACCACTGGATCTGGCTCACTAGTTGAGATCAGCTTTATATATTATGGATACTAATCCCTTACATTATATGTGTTGCAATAGCTTCAAGTTCACAGCTTCCTTGTTAGATTATTTATAAGAAAAGTTATTAATTTTACCAGAGTAGGACTTACTTATCTACTCATAAAATAATAGATAAACAAATCCTACTCTGGTAAAAATTATTAATATTAATGACACAAGCTCATAAAGATGTATCTTCATATCTTTTATCTTTTGTGAATTGACTTTTACAGAAACTGCAAAGTAGGAATGTGTGGGAGGCAGAATTCTAAGATGTCTTCCAATATTCTAATCCCTCGGTGTAGATAACCTATATAATATCCTCCTCTTCAGTGTGGGCAAGACCTATGAAAATGACGGATTATCAATCCTATGATTAGTTTATATTATATGGAAAAGGTGAAGGAATATTAAAGATGTGTAATTAAGATCTCTAATCAGTTGACTTTAAGTTCATCAAAAGGGAGATTATCCTGAGTGGCCCTGACTAATTCAGGAGATTCCCTTTAAAAGAAGGTCCAGAAATGAGAGATCAAAAAACAAGCAAACAAAAAATCAGAAGAGATGCTCTCCTGTTGGCCTTGAAGATACAAACTGCCATGCTGTGGAAAGGCACATTTAGCATGGAGCAGTGGGTGGCCTTTAGGAGCTGAGGGCCTAAGTCCTACAACCACAATAATTGAATTCTGACAACAAGTGAGCTTGGAAGAAGCCCTACAGTTTCAAATGAGATCACATCCCAGACCAAAGCTTTGATTTCACCCCGGTACAACCTTGAAAAGAAGACCCAGATATCCATGCCCAGACTCCTTTCCTGTGGAAACTGTGAGATAAAAAATTTATGTTGTTTCATGTTGCTAATTTTGGGTAATTTTTTACACAGCAATATAAATTAGCACAATATTCCTTTCATTTTTCCCTCCAATATGAACATCCAGTTGTCTCAATACTTTTTATTTAATAAATAGCCCTTCTTTCTCCAATGATCAGCAAACCCTAAACATATATCACTATTCTGTATATAAGTATGTTGGATTTTGGATTCTGGATCTTGTTCTCTTGGTAAGTTTGTATGTACCCGAACTACCACAAATTGGCTTATTTTTATTATTGCTATAAGATAAGACTGTACCTTATAAGTCAGATACTCCACACACTTAATACTTTTGTTCTTTGGGAGTATTTTGACTACTCTTGGACCATTTGTCTTTCACATATCAACTTGTAAAATTCTTCAAAAATTTATTTTGGGCTTTCTAATGGAATTGCAGTGAATCTGTAACTGATTTGGTGAGAACTGACATCTTAAGGTATTGAATATCCCTACACACAAGCCTGACTTCTCTCTTCATTTATTTGGATCTCTAAATATATTTTAATAATTTTTTTAGTATATTACTTCTTGAAAATGCTTTTTGTTATTGAAAGTGGTATTTTATCTTTATATTTGGAACTTTTTTGGTATATAGAAAAGAAATTTATTTTTTGTTTATTGATCTAACTAGGCACTGGATAAAGCTTCCATATTATTTAAAAACATTTGTAAATTATTTTTAGTTTCTTACATAGCAAGCATGTCTTCTGTAAATAATATTTTAGGTTCTTCCTTTCCAAATTATGTAATTTTAAAATCTTAACTTTCTTGGATATCTGGTAAAATGTTTACTAGAACAGATGACAATTAGTCTCATTAAATTGTACCTCATTTAAGAGGGAATGCTTCCAATATATATGTGTGTATGTGTGTGTGTGTGTGTGTGTCTGTAGGTTTGCATGGTATTCATACATAGTTTTATACATTTCTTTTGTTTTCTTGTGAACTAATAATGACATGAACACTACCATGTTTCTTATATTTCAGTGAGAGTAACTCTCAAAGTACCTCATCTGTCATCCTGCCAGAAGGATAAATCCCATGATCTTCATCACCCCAACCTATTTCACAGTAGATATATGAGTGCACTGTAATTAAAATTAGAGAATGTTTCCTTTCATATGACTTAAAAGTCTAATAGGCTAGTGGATACAAATTAGGTAAATGACTGCCTAATTGATTGCTAGTTCTATGCCAAACTCTTGATATCCATTATAGTATGATCATATCCTAAAGACTTTGGACACCCATTTAATGGTAGATTTTATTTTGCCTAAATTGTAACTGAGACTCATGCATGTATGTATGCAACAATGAGAGCTCTATCTCACTTTAAATTAAGTGATGAATTAATTACTAACTAATCCATATACTTTTGGATAAGCACTTAACCACTGAGCTTTCACTGAATTTTTAGACACTTAATAATTCTTGAACAGTTTCAGTGACATACAATTACTGAGAAGCTAGAATATTCTGATTGAATTTTTATAATACATTCATTTTAGTTTGATTCATTTATGCTTATTTTTAACATTATTATTGAAATAGTCCACAGAAGTAAAACTTGTGCATTAAAAAAATAAAAATTAGCTTTGCCTTATTTGAAGCCATTAATATAAGTAAGGTATTACAGTAAAACTCCAACTTAGTATATTGAGATATGGTTAAAAGAAAAATATCTTTAATAGCATGTGTAAATAAAGCTTAGGAAAACAAAAACAAAATGACAACAAAACTTGTTCATTCTATAATGTAATAAGTAACATCAGGAGTCTGATGTAAAATTTTCCTTCTTTATTGATACTTTAATAATATGAAAGTGGCCAAATAGACATTTCCACCCATTTATTTTTGTATAATATAGAAAAGTTAATATAAAAAATCAACAAATAGTCATAAGTATAATAGGAATGCTTCCTCTACATGTTTATTTGGTAGTAGGGCTGAAACATTTAGTAAGAAAATAGGAAAAATATTATGCATTTAGTGTAAAAAGAATGCCATACATTTTGCCTGTTTTACTTCTTCCTAATCATTTGTGGAGTAAATAAACAAAAACATAAATTGCATTTAGCACATAGGACTAATGAAAGAAAAACTGGAATAATAAAATATACCCTTAAAGTATTTAAATAATGTATAATTGTCTTGATTTTTTTAAACCAAGTAAGTCACTCTCTTGATTTCCATTGTGAAATGGTAATTCCAACTGGATTGCTTAGTGTTGCTTATTGAGGTTTGAATTAAAACATTTAATCTACTAATGAAGTCAATTAAAAATAACATAATGCTTTTTAACACTGACTTTCCAGAAGTAAAAAATCCATAGATAGCATTAAATATTAAATACTTGGTAGATCCATTTCTCATAAGGCTCAATACATAGGTTTTTACAGGATATTTTGTTAAAAGTGGTACAGAAGCTATGTCTCATAATCTTTCTGTGAATCTTGCACAGATAATTTAATACCATAACTTCTACATTGTCATATTTTCTGAAGCCATGCGGAATTCCCACTTAATACCCATTAACATGAGTTTTTTAAATGGAACATATTTATATTATGTAAAACACTGGTCTCAGAATTATAAATGCATTATTTTATTTTGACCCTAAAAGTCTATGTTGTGTACACCTATACATTATTCTGGCTGCCCAGCACCTGAATATCCTCCTTTTGTCTGGGAAATTAGGAATCTTGGTAGGAAGTACAGCATACCTCCCAATATGGTCAGATCCTAGATTCCCCATTATTCATTGTATCCAGTGTACAGGCATGAGAACTAAGATTCCCTTATCAATCAGATACACATCTTATGTGTATAAATAAGGAAACAAAGATTGAATTCTGGCAAAGAGTGTCAAAAGCAACAGAAACACAGTTTCAGGGGCAACAGTGGTTGTAATATGTAGTGGCACTGAAATTCTAGAGCACAGCAGTCTTGTTCAACAGGTAAAAATAAATCCTCTCAGGAATCAGAGCCAGAAGCTGTGGAGCACTATGACAAGGTAAATGGATTCTATTACATTCCAAGCTTATCTAGGAACTCATTCCATTTCTAGAGAAATCAGTATTCACTAGTCTTATCCAGAAGGACATGATATTGTTCTGTGACCCAGTAACCACTCTGTGTAGCTTCAATTCTCTCTTCTTCTGAGTGGGAGTTTTTATGGAGTTACCCTATTTGTTTTCTATACTTTTATATTGGATTTGGGATAGCCTATGTTTTAGCCACAGTTCTTTAGACAATGAGGAACTACCTGTAAATATAATGGAGAAGCCAGTGTATCACTTAGGGATTCTGGACATATCTTTGTATGCAGTAAATGGATGAAATTTTAGGTTTTCTCTATTAATGTAGATAGAAAGTATGTTTTACATAGGTATTTTTTCCAAAGTGAATGCAGGAGAAGAAAAATGGGTCTGGAGAGGTATTTGATAACCAAAGGGGAAAATGTGGCAGATGCTATTGATTGCTTACCCAACAGCCACCTTCCGTATTTACCCTTGACCTTTTCTTCTCAACAGGACATATATTTTGTTCTCTTGTATTCTTTTCTGTACATCCTAATACTCAGGGACTGCTCATCCAATTATGAGTTTCCTGAGATGGGTCCTAATCACTCTATGCCCCATTCCATTTGCCAGTGATTCGATTACACGTATTTGACCTAATTCTGGCCACTGGAAGATGATTAGCAATTTGCTGAGAGGCTTTTGCAAAATGATTTCTTGGTTTTCAAAGAAGTACAAAAAATCAGTCTGCTTTGAGGTAATTCTATCTGAATGTATTCAGCTATTACAACCATCTCACAATACGTAGTTTGAAGATAAAGCAAAACTACATGTTGAGATGTCCAGAACCTAGGAACGGTGTTTTTCTGTGTGCGTGGGGCTTGCATGCTTCTGGACAGTATGCTTTTTAAATAATGCATTTGTTATTTAAGTCATTCGATTTGAGGTTTCCCATATGTAAACTGAAGACATTCCAATGAACAAATCGTTTTAATAAATTCTCAGTTTAAAGGAATGCTTTGCCCAAGTAATTTTCCCATGTTTATTTGGCTACTGGTGATGAAACTAAACTTCAAGTTTGCTTGATGATAGTAATTACATGCTTAAACATCATGCTATTCTACGTTAACAAAGTAAACTTCTGAAATTTAGAAAATATTTTCCGTGCATCCCAAATACCTCATATCATGTTGTTATAATAATTTATAAATATGTTCTTTGATGTTGGGCATATGCCTCATGTATTAAATAGTGATGGCAGGGAGAGACAATTTCTGAAACCTAACAACTAATAAATATTACATAAATTCTTCGGGAAAAAAATATAGAAAGCATCTATTGATACAAGTTCTTTTGTATTTCATGGTAAAGTCTGTATTTGTTAATTCAAAATAATTCTGAAAGCTGAAGAAAATACTCAATATTAGACATTTTTTATTTACATAATTAGTACAACATTCAAATTAGCCTTTGATGATGTTTAACCAAACAAATTAATGATGCTTTAACTAATGCCAATACCAATACCAATACCAAGCTATACTCATTAGTGAGACAGGATAATATAGATAAGTCCACAGGAAAAGCCTGGGATTATAGCCCCATTTCTCTAAAAAAAAGTTATATTATTTTGAGCAATTCTCTAACTTATATGAAATAGTGTTTATAATTTCTATTTTTTAAGGTTGAAATATGTATTACAATAAGCAAGGATTATAAAATAACACATAGGATGCTTGATATATAGTAGGACCTCATAAATGGCAGTTATTATTAGCTATGTCAATTATCTTAAAATAGGTATTCGTATCTGTTCACAATGGATCTTGAGGATGAAGTTCTTTTTTCAGCAATCCCATTTGATTCCAAGATAAGAGTTTTTCCCCCAAACTCTATGTTGCTAAAAATTTACCTTTTTTGGGAGCAGCTTTTCTCCATTATGATTATTTCAGAATGGCAATAAGTCACTCTAATATTAACAATTATTTTTGCTCCCCGGTGTGGAAATCAGAATGCATTATATATGTATAATTACAAAATATAAAAACTTTAATTAATCTCAAGGTATGCAAATACCACGTTACACAATCAACTTGACATCTAATTAAAGCACTTCTTTCTTCATATACATTCTATACCTTGGCAATCATAGTCCAATGAGGGAAACATGACATAAGCAAGATGAATACAATACCCTGTGTTGATTGCTTTGGGATATAGACACACTGGGTTATATTAGCAGAGATGACAGCCACTCAATCCAGTTGGAGACTATAGAGGAAAGGATTCCCTGAGGTGGAAAACCCCAGACACTGCCAAGGAAGGTGGAGTTGGGAACTGGGAAAGAACATTCTAGGGTAGAATGTGAAATACGGCAAAGTGAAAAAAATATTATTTTTGTTTCTGAAACATAAACTGTGAGGCAAAAAGTGATGAGAAGGAACACTAGCGATGAAGGCAGAAAGCAGACCATGTTAAGGACTGTGAACTTTATCTTCTATATGAAAAGCAGCATATTACGATTTTGAACAATGTTGACAGGGTTATATTTAATTTTTTACATGCTCATTTTGGCAGCAGGGACAATCTGGATTTGAAGGATAACAGGGCAGGGTTAGAGAGATTGAAGACCTAAACTTGGACTGTGGAAGTAGGGATGGAGAAGAGTGGATTCAGACAAGGTTTCTTTGCTCTAAATTAAAATAATTATAATAGTTTTTTTTCCCTTTTTTTCCATACACATGAAAGCATTATTCAAAGGCCCACACAAAAATCTATGCCTTGGCAGGACTGTCTTATCAAATGTTATTGCTTGTAAATGTCTAATGCAGAGAGAGCAAAATATGGAGTACCTTTATTAAAAAATCATATAATTCAGAATAATTCTAAAACTTGGCTGCTTTTGTGGTATGTATTATAAGTGACATACATTTCACATCTATATGGAAAATTCATGTTAATGATGTTTAAGTAATAATCATCCTAAATTAGCTACTTAAAAATAAATATACAAAGGTAAACTTATATGAAATTTATGAAATAGGTAAATATTGTATGATACAAAATGCTTAAACTATGACACATCAGAATTCCTTATTTATTCATTTGAAAGTGATATCATTTTAGAGAAAATAATAAATATCTCATATTCTAGAAGAATTATGCATTGCAATATTTAATATTTTACTTACATATTTTATTACAGAATATATATCCCAAGACTCTAGGCTAGACCATTCAACAGTGCAAAATGCCACCTCAGGGAATTCTCTAGGCTAATCCACTTTGCTGCCAGCATCAGGTTAACAGTTTCAATCTTGCAAGGGCTCATATTTTAGAGATGGGGTGGAGGAGAGTCTGGGGACACTGAGAGCTACTGATGGAGTGATAAAAGCTTTTAGCTTTGTTTTATTTTTCTATGCCTTTAATATCTGTACACTGGTCTTCTCCTTTAGGGGACTGTTGGCATGTAACAATGACAGATTACATAAAGCACTACAAATGTTTCACTGAAGGGAAGAAGCTACATAAAATGAAAAATTCATCAAATATTAAATCCATAGCACCACAGTACAAAACCATTGGTTCCTTTCCATCATTTATTCATGCTTAGCTACTGGAGGATATAATTTAAATTCCATAATACATATAAATGATCAACTTGAATTTACAGATTTTGAAGAAAATCCTTGCAGATAATATTCTTGGTTTTAGGAGACTATTCATTACAAATTTGTATAAGTTAGGTCGTATATATCCAAAATATTTTGAAAAATATGTATGAGGCTAATTCAAATAAATTTGTTAAGAAGGGCTCTTTTTCTGTTTTTTTGTCCCTTATTAATAATGGGGTCATCATGGTCTAGGATACCTCTCTTTTCATTTATTTATCTATATCTATTTTTATATAAAAAAACTTTGACTCCAGACTTTGAGAAAATGAAAGTTTTGTTCAAAATGATTAGATACACAACTATAGTAGTGATATACAGATATTTATATACTTTCATATATAATGAACCATGCAATGAGTTTTAATTCCAGCCTCAGTTTATCCTTGTTATTTTTCTTAAGACACCAAAAGACAGGATGTAAGATACCAGCTTCTCAATGCATGGTCTTTGTTGTTAACCTTATTTTTGTTTATGTAATTTATTTAAACAAGGTTATTGAGTAGTGAATCTTTATCAGTTTATATCTGTGGAAGGCCCGGTTTACTTCTATGTCTTCCTGGACAAGCAACTTAGGCAGGAGTCCAGGAAGTTAGGGTACAAGAGAAATTACCTGCCACAGCTATGCAGGAGGAAAGACTTGTAGCCCATGAATGAATTCTCTCTGGAGCCAGTAGTTAGGAAAAGACTGGGGAAGGGTTTTTATTTCTGTCTTTGTGAAAAAGGTCACCGGTATTTTGATAGGGATTTTGTAGATTGCTACGGGTAATGTGGACATTTTAACAATATTAATTCTTCCATTTCACGAACTCAAGATATCTTTCCATTTATTTGTGTCCTCTCCAATTTCTTTAATCAGTGCTTTATAGTTTTCATTGTATTATTGTGGTTACCAGAAGCTGGAGAGAATAAGGAGGAAGGAGAAACTGGGAAAGTTACTTTGTCAATGGGTACCAAGTTGAAGTTTGAGTGACCATAGTAATAACAATGTAGTGTATATTCCAAGATAGCTAGAAAAGAAGATTTTGAATGTTATTATACAAAGGAGCAATACATGTTTAAGGTGATAAATATAATAATTATTCTGATTTGATCATTATATAAGGTATAGGGACATCAAAATATCTGTATTTCACTGCAACCTTGTATAATTCTGAACCCCAGAAACAATTTTTATGTGTCAATTATAAGTAAAACTTTAATAAAAAAAGAGTGAGGAAAGGTAGCTATACTACTGTTTCCTATTTTGTGAACTGTGCTTCAAATAGAAGGCTCCTATTTTAAGTTTTGGAGGTTAAGTTAAAACACAAATCAGATAATATAACTTCTATCTAAAAGCTATTGACTTATTTAATTGTATACACATATTTAAAAATATGACTCTTTACCAGCACTGTTATAGTGATATAGATACAGACTAACTTTTCTTCCTTCACTGGGGGAAGAATATAGTAAATTTAAAAAATATATAATAATCTTATAGAATATAAAGTCTTCAAACACTCATATGTGTTATGAAGTGTTTTAAAGAAAGATAAATCAAGGTAAGATGATAGAGAGTGGTGGAGGTGTTCAGTGATAGAGGAGGTGAGGGTGAGGAACTTGAGAGAAATCTGAATGAAAAGAGGAACTATTTAGATATCACATTCATCAGTGGTTTCTCATTCCATATTTGAATAAATCTCAAAGGGGCCTCTATGATCTAATCTTTCTTTAGTTCTACAGTCTCCATGTTGCCCATTCTCCTCTTTACCCACTATGCCAAGGGCCCCTGTAATCTTTTTAGTTTCTAGAAGACATCAGGGCCATAAAAATCCTTTATGAGGACTACTCACTCTGTCTCAGACACTCTTCTCTCTGCATTTCCAGTTCCTTGTCATTCCATAATATTGGCTGAAAAATCATCTGCTCAGAAAAGTATTTTTGACATTTCTAAGGGGCTTCCTCTTTATTCCATTAAGGGTGATTTCTTTACATGATGATTATTTATTCCTGTGTTTATCCTTTTATTGTCTATTTAAAGTGCTAACTAGAAGCTTCCTGATGTTAGCACATTTGTCTTTCTAAAAAATCGATTGCAATCCCAGGTTCTACACTGTAAAACTGTAGGATTTCCCAGGTAATGTCTAGCTAAGATTTACAATATTGGTATTCATCTGGCCACTCTAAGGCACATGAGGTGCTTTATGCTTGTCCTTGGATGTTAGAGATCGTCACAGACTGAGAATGTATAGGGTGGACACTGAAGAGGTCTTAGCAGGAAAAAAAAAGGTGGAACTACTACATCCTATCTCTGCAGATGTTGCTCCCTTCAAACCTTACCCCTAATATCATTGATGTGGGTGACTTTACTATTACATCAGAAGGGGTTAAAATTCAAAGCAGATATGTAATACTGAGCAAAGGAATTACACACATTTTTACACTTTGATATGTACATTATGTGATTCTTGCTGTGTGAGGGCAATTAAATCATCCAAATGACTCTCCTTCACATTGAATAGAGATTCCAGGAGACCAAAAAGCTGTAATACTAAGAAGGGCAAGTGCTGTGGGTAACACAGGTATAATATCACATTCCTCCTCTCTCTTCACAACCCAGTTGCAGCTATTCTTGAGGTGTTAGGTAGCTGGGGTAGGAGACAATGTTCCAGAAGGTTGAGCATGGCCCCACTAACTCTAAGGTTGTCATTAAGATAACCTTCCATTCTGCTGCAAAATATCTCAGTGACGGAAAGCAAAAGCTCACAGCTCTTGCCAGTTTCTTCTTCAAGCTCTCTTGGCAGCAGCCTATTCTGACTTAGAAGCATCTGCTGATGGTTTCCGGTGACTAATATCAGCAGGGAGTCTCCACAAGAATATTTCAAGATCTGAAATGTATGAGAGTGTGTGTTATCTGCACCGTAGGAAACTAAGCTCAAACGTTAGTGGAGGCATTATACCCATCTCGCTCTGGGAATTTATTAGTGTTGTTGGTGGTGGTAGCAGTTGCAGTAGTAGTTACAATAGTAATATTATTAACACTAATATTTTGAACATATATATTCCAGGCCCTGTTCTTACTGCATATCTCATATTATCCTTTCAAGAGTCATAAGAAATTAAATTATTGAGACCACAGAAGTCCAGATAAGTTTTTGGTGGTGATCTGTGATTCATTACACAATTATGCAGTGTCTATATTTATATACAACTAGGTACTTTTTATATTTGTGTATTAGTATATGAGGAATTTTAGCATCAAGAATGTAAAATATAGAAAGGACATACAATGAATATTTACTATTTATTCCTAATTATTCAATGAGTGGTATTACATCTTCAAAAGAATATAAAATACTCAAAGTCAATGACTATTATTGTAAGTATTAAACTCTCGTGATGTTAAAAAAACTATGTTGATTCAAGATGTTAAAATGAATCTGCCTCTAACTAGTAAAATTGCAATCCATAATTTTATACATGCAATTATGGAATTAACTAAAATATATGTGATGATAAAAGAAGTTGCTAAAATATTAGTTTAAGAATAAAATAAACATAAATGCTTTCTAGAATAAGCATCAATTCTATCCAAAAAGAGAGATTTTATGTTTGGTTTCTTTATACTTCTCTGTGCTTTTGTTTACAAAAACATTGATTAGAAGAATGATGATCACACTAGATACTATCATTTGAATGTCTCCCCTCAAAAATTCAGATATTATTAATGTGATAGTATTAAAGATGGTAGCTTTAAGAGGTGATGTGCCTTGAGGGCTCCTCCCTTGTAAATGGGATTTAGATGCTCATAAAAGAGGCAGCATTAAGCTCCCTTGTCTTTCTCACTTTCCATGTGAGGACACAGTGTCTTCTGCTGTCCAATTTCCTTGTTACTCCTCATTGCCACCTGGGATAGGCAGAATACCTAATTAAAGATGTCCACTCCCTAATCCAAAAAAAAGCTGTGACTATATTACCAGACATGTCAAAAGGGACTTGAACTTGTGATTCAATTTAAGAATCTTGAGATGAAAAGTTTATTCTGGATTTCTAGAGTGGGCCAAATCTATTCACACAAGTCTTAACATTAGAGGAAGAAGTCAGAAGAATGTGCAAATATGACATCAGAAGGACTAGACACATCTTTGCTGGATTTGAAGATGGAGGAAGAAGACTGGGAATGGACCTCAGCTAAGAGCCAAGAAAAAATAAAGATATTAAGGAACTACAAGGAACTGAATTCTGCCAACAAGATCGATTAACAGGAAACATTCTTTCCCAGATTTTCCAAAAAGGAATATAGTGTGCTGACAACTTAGTTTTATTGCAGTGAGCCCCATGCTGAACTGCTGACCCACAGAATTATAAAATAATGAATGTTTTAATTTATATTAATATTATTATTTGTTTTAAGCCACTAAGTTTACAGTAATTTGTTACAGTAGCAATGGAACTGTCACTTTTATAACAGCATCCAGACTTCATCATTCTTATTTCATTTAATAAAGCCACTGGCTCACCCTGCAAATTTACATAAGCCACATAAGTTTTCCAAACTTGTTTCTGCACCTATACAATCTATACAATAATATTAACTATTCATACAATTAATAGGAGGATTAAGTGAGAAGATACATAAAAATAGCTTAGCATAGTGCCTGTCACATACACTCAATTCATCTACAATTTAATATAATTAATTCAAAAAAATCAGTAACAGTAATAAAATCATGAGTTTTTTCCTAATATCTTTTCTCTTGCTAGCTAGTACTTAAAAGGGAATATTCTTTGTTCACTCATCAATTTTGGACTAAATATGTGTAACAGAGGTTGTCATATCTTTCCAAAACATCCATGTACTCCTTCTCCTACCATAGTAGAATTCCTAGCTGGTAGCAAGTTGTCCTTACTAAAGACTATATTTTCCATTCTCTCTTGTAGCTAAGTATGAGAATGTTGTTAGATTATTGCAAAAATATGATATAAATAGAAATGTTTTGAAGCAACATCAAGGAATATTTCTTAAGAGATAGCTTACATTTGTCCTTTGTTTTCCTTATTTATCACTTCCCCCAACCTGCTTCCTAGAAGGGTTAGACACCATGTTGCAACCTAAGATAAAGACCACAAATTGGGAATGGTAGGGTGGTGAGTTAGACTATGACTCTGAGAAATTTCTGGATCAGAGACACCATTAGTCTTGGACCAGATACATATCTTGTTTAAGTCTCTGTTAATGCGTTTTCTGTCACTGACATCCAAACCTAATCATAATTGAAAAGCCTGTGCATCTCGGTTGTTTTAATTAAGACCTTCTTTGCCCAGTCTCTCTTTTTCCTCCCCTATGCCGGCCCCAGAAAGACTGTATTTGGTTGTATAAAGTACATTAATTGCCATAATTTATTTGAATTCCTTACTATTTATGTCAAATTATTATTCAACACAGCTCTGATTATGCATATGATTCCGGTATAATCATAATACTGAGATTAAAATGGTGGGTATACCCAATGGTTAGTAGTGGGAACAGTAGTGGAAAAAATACAAACAAAAATGCTTTGCCATTTGCATATTTTGCCTACTTTGTTGGTAAGAACCAGAGACATTCCTAGAAAGAGCTAAAACACATGGAAATAAACAAGCAACTATTTTGTCTAGGAATAATTGCTCAGTTATTTCAATAAATATTCATTTGAAAAACTCCCACATGACAGTTACTTCATTAGATATTAAGGATGCATGGACTCAGGAACTGGTTTTTGTCCTTAAGGGTTAAACTAAGGAAAATAAGTGCACAAACATGTAAGTACAATGTAATGTGACAACACATGGGTCAGTTATGCAGAGTAAGCTTTCCCAATCTAGGTGGGAAGATAGGACAGGCTTCTAGGAAAAGGTAAAAGATTACCTGAGTCCTAGAAGATGCCATTAATAAACAGGGTCACAAGACTGGAGATGTGTAAACAAAGTGAAAAAGTATATTCCCTACAGAAGGAGCGGCTTATCCCCAAAATACAGGGTCCTAGAAGTGCTTTGGGGGCTAAATAGAGTGTTGAAGTATGAGTCTAACACAAGAGTAGTTTAGGTTGCCCATGGCTTCCTCTATAAAGCTATGCAGAACCATTTAAATATTTTACAAAGAAGACATTATTTCATCTCAGAATAAAACATCACACTGAATTTTTTGGAAAGTAACAGGCTTGGAGTAAGCAGAAAAATGAGATGAAGATTTGCTAATTGGAAAGCTGGTTATTAATCCAAAGGAGAATAATGGAAACCTGAGTGAGAGGGAGTTAAACAACTTCAAGGCATACTAATTAAATATAATGAAGTCATTGGACTTTGTATTTAGATATGTGAAGGAAAAGGGGAAGGATGTAAAATGAAAAATGTTTGAATTATTAATATAGAGGAACACTAATATTTAAGGATAAGGTCACTAGCAAAAGCCTGGAAACGTAGGGGGAAATTCAGGAAAACAGAGAATAAAGAGGCTGGGGAGGATAAAGTTTCAAGGAAAAGGAAGTAGTCAATAATATGACTCACTCTATACCTATGCCTTTCTTTTACTTAATTTATTATTTAAAAATGTGTTTTCATTATAAAATGAAGCATATATCTTATTTGATACTTTTTTTGTTAGTACAAAATTAAAGTGGAAAATGCATGTAATCTTCTATCTAGAGATAATTCTTTTTTAACATGTTAAAATTATTCTTAAAAAAGATAATTCTTTTTTAACATGTTAAAAAAGAAATATTCTTTTTTCCCCTTTCTTTCTTTCCTTCTCTCTCTCTCTTTCTCCTTTCCTTCCTTCCTTCCTTTCCTTTCTCTTTTTCTTTCTTTCTCTCCCTCCCTCCCTTCCTTCCTTCCCTCCTTCCTTCCTTTTTTCTTTCCCTTTATAAATACACTTTTTAATTTTCTTGAGATAGGTGTTGCTCTGTCACCCAGGCTGGAATGCAGCAGCAGGGTTATAGCTCATCCATCCTTAAACTCCTGGACTCAAGTGATCCTTCCACCCCAGCCTCCTGAGTAACTGGGACTAAAGACATGTGCCACCATGCCCACTTGGTTAATTTTTAAAAATTGTTTTGTAGAAAAAGGGTCTTGCTATGTTGCTCAGGATGGTCTCAAATTCCTGGCCTCAAGTGATCCTCCCACCTTGGCCTCCCAAAGTAGCTCCCAGGTATGAGTCACTGTATCTGGCCTCATTTTTTCTTTATTGATATTTATTTATTTATATTTATTGATATTTAATTTTATTGTACTTGCACAGAGTAATTCACTTTAAATAAAGTATTTCAATTAAATAAACCATTTGAACAAAAAAAATAAGTACCATTGGTAGGGGTTAGGAATAGTTAAGGTACTGCTATACAGATATGGTTCACTTAAGAGGAGGGGAAATAAAAGATCAGCGCCTTTAAAATTCTACTGCCAAGCCTGGGTGTTCTATAAATAGTGACCAGAGCTACTTTTCTTGGCTTGGGGAACCTTGTAGTTGGTTTTTCTAATTTCCATCTAATTGTTTTGTATCAAGATCTTCACTCTGCTACTAGGTTCTTTCTGAATCATGCTTTGTTAAGACTGCCAACCTGGCTTTAATTTCAGTTTATCCCTGTACTGCTGCCTCAGGTTTGGTCTTGTTAGTGCCTGCTCCATTGTAGTAGATACTGTCAATGCTCCAGGTGATCAATAACCCCCTTGGATGCTTCTTGCCCTTTCTGTTATCTGTTCATTATCTTCCATACACTATGCATTTGTCTCTAAACGTGTATAGCTATGAGTCTTCTGGAGACTGCTTTCAGGCTACAGGAGCCCACTTGGTCCACACATGAGCCCTGAAAGATCTGGGTATCACTTACCCTATGATCATGGGGTGCAGAAGTATGAGAGCACAGCTTCTTTGCCTTGAGTTGGGATAAACTATCAGGTGTAATTTACACTGCATGAGATCCAGCAGAGGCTTGGATTTTGTCTGAAATTGCACCTTGCTTAACTTCCTTCTTGTCCTGCCTCTCCCACTCCCTTAATAGTTTCTCCTGGATACACTTTCTTAATGAATCAGCAGCATATAATTCCTTCTCTTGGGCCTGCTTTTTCAGGAACATAACTGAAGACAGCTATAGTCTGCAGAAAAGTGACTCTCTATGCCTGGCTGAGGTTTCAGACCTGGCACTGAAGCTTGGCACAAGTACCAAATCTCCAAATATTTGGCGCAAAGAACTAGTACCTATAAATGGGCTGACTAAATGAAGTGGCAAAAGGCTATCTCTAAAGATGGAAAAGTGACAAGAATTGTTCAGATGACAGTGTTACAGGTGAGTTCAAGAGTGTATTCTGATGCCTGAAGACTTTATGGGGAGGAAGATTAAGATTGTATTTAATGGATCTAAAGAAAAAACATGGGCTTAAATGTATTGAATGTACAAAGGTAATATTTCACAGTTTAATAATTTTACCTTCATTATAAATTGGACCTTCACTACTTGTTTTTAAAATAAGCCAAAGAATGGAATGGCCTGTCTGAAAAGGAACTTCATCTCCTACTAGAAAAGGCTGTCCTTTACCTGAATTTAAGTTTGGGGCAAGTGTCCATAAAAACATAAGAGCAGAGAAAAACTCATTTAATACTTCACTTCAACAGAAATCAAATCTATGTTTCAGAATGATATGAAATGTTGTAATGAAGTTTTATCAGAACTATATGAAAAACCCAGTAACTATGCCTTATGGTAGCTCTAGAGAAAATAATATACAGGCACAAATATGATTTAATATAAATGTAGTTAGCATTTATTTATAAAGCAGTACAAATACCAACAAAATATTTGCTATTCATTGTGCACTCATCTTAGACTGTGCTGTATTAAAGCACCTAGTAATTTCCGAACAATATATATTGCTTATTCATATTAATTAATTATTTTATTTATACAATAAATGTTAACTGGTCACCCACTATGAGCTAGGTACTATGCTTATGCTTACACATCCTTAAATACTCAACATATCTCAATATATGTATAATGGTCTATCTGATAATGTCATTCACTAAAAGTTATCTTTGGAATAAGGGATGGGATGAAAAATAAGCATATATAATTCCTTAAACTTACAAGGTAGTTTCCAATGTACAAAGTGCTGTTTTATTTATTAACTTGTGTGATACTTCAAGACTCCTATGACATGGTGAGGCATGGATGATTACCCCTAATTTAAAGATGAGAAAACTGAGATTCAGAGAGGTGAGATGATCTGCACAACAATTCAGGGCTTTTGACTCAGGTTCACATTCTATCCATGTCTTATTCCACAAAAGAAAGGCTTTTATAAGTAGGGTGGGAAGCTCCAGAGTGAATTTTTAAATATGTACACTTAAAATCATACCAGTCCCTTGACCTCCTTCATTAATTCACCTTGGTCATGGTAAGCCATATTCTCTAAATTTTAAGATCCACAAGTGATGTGACGCAAATTTAAAACAAAGTAAATATTCATAGTTTTAAAATACAAAAACAAATATGCTTTTGTCTAGTGTTATGCAACATTTTTTAAAGCCATAATCAATACTTATTCTTTTGATGACATATTTTATTTCTTCCGACAATTAAGACTTCTACTAAGCTAGCGAGAGTTATAATCTGAAGTCAACCTCATATGCCTGTCTTTATTCTCTATGAATTATATTCTTCTATGCCCAGTTAATTTAATCTTTCATTACTCACCTCTCAAAGAATTGTATTTTCTTCGTTGTGAGATTTGCTGACATCCTGGAGTCATCAAAATTATCCTCATAACAATAACTCAATATTGATAAAAGTATATTACATTTAAAGAGAGCAGGGGGTGGTCAAAAAGCCATAAAGAATTATGCTCCTCTACATTTTCAGCTTAGTTCTTTACATTATATGGAAGAATTGTCTAATTAAAATCATTGTAATTTTACTATAATTTACATGTTTATATTGGAAGAATCACATCTCAAAAATCTATTAGCAACCTAACAAAGTAAAGGTAGCCAACACTAGCATGTGTTTTAATCACCTGGATTTTCTCCAACCAGATATGGATAAAAATAGAAGAAATAAGCATATTATCAATTTTCAGGCTATAGTGGAATGTGCTAGAATTATTCTAGAAGCAAACTGGGATGTTAAATATTGGATTAGACTCCATTTATACTAGATCAGGAGATAAAAACAAAATGATGCATATCATTATCTCCCTGTCTCAGAGTTTTTTGGTGAGAAGTAACAGAAAACCATTTTGACTGGCTTAAGTAAAATACGTATTTTAAGTTATGGGGTAGGACACAGAAGCAAGCAAAAGCTAAAATTCCAGACTAAATAAAGGATAGAAGCCCAGGAAACTTTGGGTTCTAGGTAGTAGGAAAGAATCAGTGATGACTGTAAGAGTCAATGCCTAGTTTTGAATCCAGTTTCTCAAAGTTAAATTGTAGCCTTTGGCAAATTACTTTCTCTCTCTGACTCTATTTCCTCATATGAAAAATAGGGATAATAATTGTACCTACATGTTAGGGTTGTTGTAAAACTAAATTAAATATTGCATGCAAAGGCTTTAGAAACATTCTTCATATATAGTAAACATCCAGTGAACGTTAACTATTGTTATTTACTATTATTCTGAAGTGTTTTCCTTCTGATAAATCAACACCAATATTTTTCAGTGTGTGCTACTTTTTTCAAGGTTCAGTAAGAAATGGAGTGACTAAACTTGGGTCACATGACATGAGGAGTGTATTAGTAAATGCTTAATAATTGGCTCTTTGAAAAACATGCTTATTAAAAATTTACTTATATAAAGGATGTGTAACACAGAATTTACAAATAATGACAAATATACAATATTCTTGATTATAAATTCCACACAGCCAAATGCTTTGCAGAAAATGCTTTTGTTGATGTCTGCCAAACATTTGTATCTGTAGCTAACTCATGGTTACAAATTGATGAATGGACTGGTATAGTTCTCACATGAATGTTGGTTGATATTTAATTTATGTTAATGAGTGAAACAATTATAAAAATGAATACATATGTTGAAACATCATTTGTTTGTCAATGATGTGAATGACTTCATTATTGAAACAGATCATAGTTTTTGAATACTGGAAGAATATTTCCTCAATTTTTTTGTGCCATTCACAATGTAATCGCTACAGACTCAATACACTTCAAAATTGAATCTTTAGTATCAACATTTTCTTCTTCACTTTCTATGTCTACACAATGAAGAAAAGTTCTGATTTCTTGAGTTTGCCTATTTCTATAGTGTAAATTGTACCACTGTGTCCAAATTGAAGCTGCCAAAGAGACTGAATACAGATTGGGGCAGAGATGCACTGTCTTTCATCATTATATAGTAGGTCCAGCATATGGTCAAAATAGATTTAAATAACCTCAGGGGCATAGCTAATAGTAAAGTCTAGTAAAAGATTATGAAATAATGAGTTTTGTGTAGTTATTACTTTTATTTTTAATATAACATTATATTTTAGTTCATCTTGTGTAGTTATTACTTTTGTTTTTAATATAACATTATATTTTAGTTCAGATGATTTCAATTTTATTATTGGATATGCTTAACAACCAGCTTGTTATATTCCTTATAATTACATCAGTGCTCTCAAGAGCTGATAAAAGTTACTTCCAGCATACCACTGTATGAGATCTTCTTGGCAAATGAAGGTGGAAGGGTTAGGGACAGCGTAACTTTGATTGAAGTCCCCTCCAGGACCACCCGGAATGGCAGAAAGGTAGTTTTTTGGCTTTTAAAAATTATGGAGAACAGATGGATGCTGTGTAAGCAAAAAAACTAACATGGATTCAAGTCTACTACAGGCCCAGTTTCACGTTTTTTCTCATTCTTCCCCCTGATAATCTACCTGAGAACAATGTAAAACCCATGAGAGAGAGAATCGTGACATAAAGGATACAAGGGAATTGTGATATAAAGGACCTTTGAGCCGGGCGCGGTGGCTCATGCCTGCGATCCCAGCACTTAGGAGGCCGAGGCGGGCAGATCATGAGGTCAGGACTTCGAGACCAGCCTGGCCAACATGGTGAATCCCCATCTCTACTAAAAATGCAAAAATTAGCCAGGTGTGGTGGCGTGTGCCTGTAATCCCAGCTACTCAGGAGGCAGAGACAGGAGAATTGCTTGAACCTGGGAGGCGAAGGTTGCAGTGAGCTGAGATCGTGCCATTACACTCCAGCCTGGGTGACAGAGCAAGACTCCATCTCAAAAAAAAAAAAGACCTTTGAATCGTCAGCTTCAAGAACTACACCTGGGATTAGTAGCTACTCAATACATACTTATTTGAATGAATAAGTAAGTATTCCCCAGTAGAAAGAAAGTCTCAGAGGATAGAATCAGTTGTAAAATTTGAGAGGACACCTATTAGATAAATGGCAACAAGTAGATGGCAGTAAAGGAAGAGAAAGGTTATTTTGGGAAGATTGGTTCAGGGGTCAACAGAGCAGTGAGGGAGCCAGGAGCAGCAAGTCAGAAAATTTGCTTAGAGAAGTTATTTTGGTGGGTTTCAAAGCTCCAGAAAGGAGGGTATGGATCAGCAATAGGACTTCAGTACCTGAAAAAGGGACTAGTGATGACAAGGGAAGATCCCAACCTAACAATGAAAGATAATAGAATGGACACATGGGTAGAAAACAGGACAGATTTCCAATCACTAACACCAAACTTAAAAATAAATCCCAAACTTAATTTTCATTATAGGGCATGTGATAAGATTAGAATTAAGGGTGACTTCAAGTTGAGTCCTAAAATATCAGTTTAGGACTGAAATTTGGATTTTTTTGTTTTCCTGCAAAAGTCAACATTTATACTTAATTGAAAAAAGTGGAGTCAATGATATAGTAAGAAGGACTGGACCCAGAATACAAGAAAGGGACTGCATGCTTCTCTCATTTGATCTTTTAATTTTTAAAGGCAAATACACTTGAGTAATTCTGATCACTGTATTTTATTTTTATCAGTGCTTTCCAATCTTGAATACGAGAAGTACTTTGTAAGTAATATGAAGGAAATTTGAATGAAAATAATTAATGGGACACTCACACGAGATAGAGTTGTTCATCCATTATCAATTAAGAAAAAATAGGTCAGGCATGGTAGCTCACGTCTATAATCCCAGCACTTTGGGAGGCCGAGGTGGGTGGATCGCGAGGTCAGGAGATTGAGACCATCCTGGCTAACACGGTGAAACCCCGTATCTACTAAAAATACAAAAAATTAGCTGGGCATGGTGGTGGGCGCCTGTAGTCCCAGCTACTTGGTAGGCTGAGGCAGGAGAAAGGCGTGAATCTGGGAGGCAGAGCTTGTAGTAAGCCGAGATCGTGCCACTGTACTCCAGCCTGGGTGACAGAGTGAGACTCCACCTCAAAAATAAATAAATAAATAAATAAATAGCAAGTGTTGTTCTGATTATATTAATAATACAAATACATTTTGGAATTTTTATTAGTAATGTTATATATTTACATTTCAAATAGTAGTTCAAATATACTTGAGACACTTAATCTGATTCTTCCACGGATATTTGTTTCCTGGGTTGGGAATGGGCAGTCTTCAATCACATAAAAATGTAACATTAGAAGAAGTATACAGAAAAATATGCAAGAATATTTTCAACTAGGCATCCTACTCATTAGCTTTTGCCAGTTGTTCATCACTTTCTTTTTTCTTTTTTTTCTTTTTTTCCTTGAGATGGAGTCTGACTCCGTTGCCCAGGCTGGAGTGCAGTGGCATGATCTCGGCTCACTGTAAGCTCTGCCTCCCGGGTTCAAGCAATTCTCCTGCCTCAGCCTCCCTGGTAGCTGGGATTACAGGTGCCTGCCATCATGCCTGGCTAATTTTTGTATTTTTAGTAGAGACAGGGTTTTGCCATTTTGGCAATGCTGGTCTCAAACTCCTGACCTCAGGTGATCTGCCCTCTTCAGCATATCAAAGTGTTTGGATTACCGGTGTGAGCCACCACACCTGGCCGTTCATCCACTATGTATTCTAACTGTGGCTTTCCCTCTAAGACTTTCTTTGAGATCTTTCAGTCTCATGGTTTCAAATAACATCTATAGCTGACAATTTGCAAACTTTCACCTCTATCCTTTTAAAAAAGGATATCTGGATTTTATATCCCACTTGATATCCAATCTAACAGGTATTTCAAATGTAACAAAGATAAACTGTTTTTTCTCCTAAACCAGCTCCACCTGTAGCTTTTCCCTTTTACTTGAAAGCAATACTGTGCTAATTATTTATCTGCTGTCTCTTAGCTCTAGCCAACCCTTCTGTATTCTGCCCTTTGATATTTGGGTTAGAACACTGCACATTACAATTCTCAGATTCTTTTTTTTTTCTTTAGTGGATGCCTAAACCTGCTAGCTCACATCCTTTCCTCAGAGGTGTGACCACCAACCATGAAAGATTTCCTCCTTTGAAATTTGAGCACCAGGTCTAGACTGTTTTTACTGCAAGCTCTTAGGTTCTGGTAATACCACAGTTTTTACTTTTCTTTCTGGATGAAAAAAGGATGGTATCTGTCTACATAGTTATTGCTTCTTCATTAATTTTTACTCTTTATGCATTACATATGCAATGCCTGTGTAACAATTCCCCAAATTAAATTCCATTCATTTTAAATAGCTAATACAGATTATATTTTTCTGACTAGACCTTGTCAGTGTAGTCATTCATATCAAGAGTGAGCCTAAGACTTTCAAAAATGGGTTTTGTGGGAGTGGTTTGCTTATTTTTTGGTCTTGCCAGAGCTGAGTTCTTGGACAGTAAAAAATTCATATGCAATTACTTATCTTTTGTGATTGAAACAGATTTTGAAAACAAAATTTGTGGGGAGAGGGCAAGGGGTTGCTGCACTTGATGGCTAACATATCCAAGACTACAAGGACAATGGAGGGAGATGGCAATTGATGACTGCATTGAAGCCAGAAAGAGAAATTACAGCTCACATCATGGTCAGAGAACAAGAGACCGTCTATGGTGAACCTGTAGCACTGGGCAGGTATGGCTAAAACATACCCCAAATTTAATTATGCAAGTTACCTAATTAGAATGTAATCTGAACTTACAGACTCACAAAGTTTCTTATGTGGAAGCTAGGGAATTCACTGAGAAGGAATGGGATCATGAAATTTAAAATGGAGACATTTGGATGCTCTGTGATAAAGTACAGAATCTTAAAACCCGAGTTTTCAGAGTCATTTCTGCCAATTTCTGCCATTCCATTTTTCCTTTCCCTGAAGTCCTAGCAAAAACTTCACCTGAGGCAATTACCTTGCAATGAGGCATTTATTCTCTTCAATATCCACCACCATCACCTTTCATTCTCCACACAGAGCAATCCAATAGAAATCTCAGTGGTGATGGAAATGGTCAATATGGTAGCCACTAGCAATATGTGGCTATTGAGCACTAAAAATAAGGCTAGTTTGAACTGTGATGTGATAAACTTGCTAGATACATTCTAGATTTCAAAGATTAAGAATAAAAGAAGAGATGGTAAATTCTTGCATTAATTTTATGCCAAATGCATGTTGAAATCATAATATCTGTGGTTAAATAAAATATAAAATTAAAATTAATTTCATCTCTTAAAAAATGTGGCTACTGGAAAATTTAAAATTAAAGATGCAGCTCACATTCCATTTGTATCGGCTAGACCAATATCCTTCAAACTCTTGCTCACATAAATAAAAAGATTTTGGAAACTGTACTTTCTCCTACAATTTTACATTGACATCTATTATTTAAAACTCTTAGTGTGAATAGCTGCAAAGGACGCAATTTCTACTCCAATTTCACAAGTATTTTAAATATAGTTTTCTCAAAATCTTGCATCATTAGTTAACTCAATTTATGGAAAATGTGCATGATATTTTATAAATGGAAAAACTGTAAAATCAATCAGACAAATCAGAAACTCTTTCTGTCTAAAAAAGTCAGACTTTGTGTTTTAATTAAAATTGGCCTATAATATCCTAAGTATCATGAGTTCTATATAAGGATAAATAGAGATACAAATAGAGGGATGAAAAAATAGATGGATGGATGAATGACAGATGATAGATGAATGACAATTAGATGATAGATGACAGATAGATAGATATATAACATACATACCTGTATACACAAATAAATACATAGAGAAATAGATGATAGAGACAGAGATGCATAGATGCAGACATGGGCATTTCTATGAGTTTGTTGCTTGGTTAATAGGATATGATTCCCTTCAAATATGTCTTAGCGAAGCTTTTTTTTTTTTTTTTCTTTGTCTCAAGATCTGTCCCTGAGGAGCTATGAATCTGGAATTTCCTATTCTAATTCTCCAGGGTTTTATTTACACTCAAGCAATGTAACATATTTTTATTCCAGTTGGAGAAGTAATATATGATTATCTTTTGAAACTTGGAAAAACAAGTATAAGAGGGAAATTAATAAAGAAGAACAAACAGATTGAGGTATGTCTTCAGTCTTCATTTCACACATGGAGCTAATGTTGAATGTGTACCTTAATGCAAGAAGAACAATTAATTCAAAGACTAGGTATGTTTAAAGTGCTAGTCTAATATTTTAACTTGCTGTTATAAAGAAACCCTCAATTATTTTCATTACTCAAATGCCATAATTAAAGGAAACATTCCCTTACAGAAGCTTGTGGAAGGGGCATAAATGAACATCAAAAATGTATATTAGTTTAGATTATAATGCTCAGTTATTACATTTTATTTTCTGTGAACTTAATTGCAATGTCTGTAAACTGATTAGTAATAATAACTTAATGTTTAATGTTTTAGAATAAGACAGTCACCTATAAATTATTCAACCATATAATGAAATATAGAAGAAAATTATATGTAATGATAATTTTGCTTTAATACATGTTAAGTCCAGTAAATAACAGGAGGGAAGTATGTTTCTGAGGAGATGGCAGCATTTGGCAATAAAAATAGGTGTCACTTAAGGTGAACTTACTTTATATAAGGAGTTTCACATGTTCTTATCTGTGCAACCTTATGATGTGGTATTATGACCTCTACTCTATGAAAAAGAGACTGTGGCTGGGCTCTCATAGTGAGAGTGACAGCCCAGATTGAAACTTGTTTAATTAATTTCATCAAGTTTTAAATCTCAGGTTACTTTTTCCATCAACCATGTACTTTTTAGTACATTTAGAACACCATAATTGCTCAAATATACAGGAAAACATGAACAATAATTACTGAACAAATTATAAATGTAGAGGTATTAATCACCTTGGTTAATTGGGATGTATGCCAACTAGTATAGCTGTATGCTTATTATTTATACCAACAATTTCCTTCTGAAAAGGGTTCCAAGGAGTAATCTAAGAAAGCAAATACTTCTAACAGTGTTTTTAAAACTATGTGCTATAAACTGTTAGGGCATCATGAAATTAATTTAGTGGGACATAATCAATGTTTTAATAATAAACAGATTACATTCGACTAGAATGGAAAATACAGGAGTGCATTCATGTAAGGGAAAATGTTTTATATGTGTGAAACTGTGGTGTGTGTGTGTGTGTCTGTGTGTTTGAACTAGGTCACAAGGTAAAATATAATCCTTATTGTGGCTCATGATGAATAATTCTTGTAAACAAATTTCTGTAAGACATCTTAAAAAAGTTAACCTAACAGATCAAAATTAAGTGTCTACATTTATTAATAAAAAATAGCAAAGAACTGAAAGTAATTATGTCCTCCTAAGAAAATAATTTGCATTTGTTGGAGAAAAAGGAGAAATAAATTTGAGTAGATTAGATAATATAAACAAGTAGAAATGTGACAACCTCTGAAACTTCAGGTAATTCTGTAATAATAATGATTTAAAGTTAGCAAAGCAAACATCTTATTGAACATGAGATAATACCACATGTTGATGACAATTACATGTAATTGCGAAGACAAAACAATATCTCCATCTCAATGCAAGATTAATTAAATGTGTTTATTCCATACTTTATAATGAATTTGCTTCATGTCTATCTTGGAAAAAGATATTTATACCTTACTGTGAGATAAGTCTTTGTACCTACACATATCTCATAAAGTACACACCTCTGACCTTTGCTAACTATGTGATCTTTGACAAGTTATTTATAGGCTTGCTTAAATGCAGACAATAAAAGTATCTCCCTCATGAGAGACTTACAAGGATTAAATAATTCATAAAAAGTGCTAGAAAAAAACTACTGAGAATAGTGTACGGCATGCTGCTAAGTGTTCAACAAATGTCAGTTTTCCAAGCACTTCATGTTTTTTTTTTTCCTCAACAACCAATAATTTGCACAGAGAAATAAACCAATAAATATTTGTTGCATTGAATTGAACTGATGACACAGGTTGGGTGGATAACATGATTTCCTTCATGCAACTGAGGGGTTTGATTTAGAAATTTACCCAAGTTTATAGAGATAATTTGGGGCAGAGTAGGTTTCTGATCTAGTTCTTCTGATTTATAAATCAGGGCTCTTCTATGAGACAAATCTAATAGTCCCTTGGTTGAGTTTTAAACCAACTCTGCTGATCTTAGAATTAGGTTTCAAGAACTTGATAAGTGATCACAAAAATTCCCGGGAGGCAATATATACTTTAATAACAATGAATTAATAATGTATTTCAAGGTCTTATTAGCTTTACTAACAACTGTGTTTGCATTATCTTGCTTATTTCTTATGATACTATAAAATACATGTCTTTATCATTCACATTTCATAGATAAAGAAACAACATCAGAGAGGTTAAATAACTTAAAGTTATCTGAAAATTATACATCAGTATATGAAACACAATCTGAACCAATTTCATGAGCTCGACCACCAAACTTTAAAATCTAGCCCAAAGAAGTTATCACATAATTTGAAGATTTGAGAGAAATGATGATTTTTCCTATTTAGGTCCTCTCTATTGCTATAAAATCACATCTTACAAACAGAAGCAGGATAGCAAGAGCAGGAAAGAAAAAACAGCAAAATTTTCAGCTGCATTTACATTCATTGTGTTATAATTTTGCTTGAGGTATAGTGGCACATACATATTTAGATGTGTTACTCATATTAGAATCAAATAGAAAGGCAATTCAACTTTTTGAAATATCCATAATATAAATTCTTTATTAGTGCAGAGCACATTAAACCAACTATTTCAAATAAATAGCTATGTGATATATAGCAATAGAGAAACATTGAAATTAAAGTCAGCTATGTATAAAAACAGGATTGACCTGAATGATGTGTCAAACAGAAAAGACACAAAAACAGCCACTATTCATGATTCCTTTTAAAAAGGATACACTTACAACCTTCAAAAATGTATCTCAGAAAGCATTCATTTGTAATTTTAACCTTTTGGTTTATATGTTAGTAGCTTGGAGTAGAATTGTATTATTTTTATTTTTTCCCAAATTTCTCATATAAATCTGGTTTATAAACTGTTAAGTAGGGAATATTGCGCCAAAATCCTACTTGAGTTATAAATTTTCCATACTGCATGTTCCGTATTATTTCTTTGCCTTTGTCTTTATGATTATGACTTTTTTTTTAAATCACAGATGGTGTTCTCTTACCTTATTTGTATTCACTGCTGTGATGACCCAGACACATTGTGCATTGCTGTCATACTGGAACGGAAAGTTGGGAGATGTAAAGGTACCACTTGGTCCTTGAAGATTAGAGCCACACGTTTTCACTAAAAGAGAAATTGCATTTTAAAAGATGAACATATGTCACATGTAAAATTACAACAATAAAATATCTTGCAAATAGACTTTACATTCAAAATGACACAATTATAACCACATTGAAATATATATTATGGTATTCTAATGTCACTTATCAAAATACAGTGTTTTTAACACCCTGGGATTCACAAGCTCGATATTTTCAACATTAATGGAAAACACTAGTTATGAATAGAAATTTGAGGGCATGATAAATGCTTCTCTGACTTTAAATAGGTGTGTTTAATTAGAGAAAGGTATATGTACCCAATATTGTGTTAACAAAAATATACAAAGAGAGTGAAACAGAGCCTTGGGTTAATGAAGCAATCTAAGAAGTGTTTTCATTTGTGTTTATTAAGTACCCTAGGACTCACAATAGTGCAGTTGAGAACCATCAATAGAAAAACTTCTCTTTCTGTACTTATAACTATGAATTAAAGAACTCAGACTAAAAAAAAAAGCAGTTACATTTAAGTAATTGTAATGAATTCCCACAAAAGTTGAAAGTTGTAGCATTTTCTCAGTTTTCTAACCCATCTTTCTTCTACTTAATAAATGAGCTAGTGACCATACTGTTTCTGTTTCTTGCTTCTTGATGACCACAAATTTCTGGATGCCACTGCTTTTGATTTGGATATCTTTGCCCCGTTCTATCAAATCCTGCCCATATTATCATTTTCTAATCTGTCAAAAATAATCTATTGTATATTTAAATGATGAACAGTTAAATGTATATTTTCATATGCACTTAAATCTGTACATAGTTATCATCATCACCACTTTGAAAATCAGTTGATGGACCTCCTAAAAGTTTGCTTGACATGGTCAAAGTCATGCTTCTAGTATACAGTAGTCAGAATTTCAGCCCAGGTCTTCTGATTCAAGTCTTGTTTTTTACATCACTAAAAGTGTGTCTTTCTTGTATGTTACATGTAGATTTCTTTATTAGTTTCTTCTCTTAATAGCATAAATCTATTTCAGACAACTTTCCTGCAACTTGATGGTTATATCTTGTGTTGATTTAATAGTTACAGTACTTTTAATTATCTTGTGAGTGTGTGTGTATAATTTCTGTATTTTAACCAATAAAATCATATTATTTTGTATAGAAAAAATAATAAATTGTATTTTTCTTCCCTTACCATTATTTGCAATTCAATCTTTTTTCCCCATTTACTACTTAACTTCTTGTAAATACTCTATGCTCACTACTCCATTTTTCTCTCCCCTTTCACTCTTCAAAATATTTCAGTCTGATTCTCATTCTCATTTCAGTGTTTAAATTGCTTTTTCAAAGCCAGCAATGAACTCATAATTGCTAAATGTAGTATCTCTTCATTTTTCCACATATTTGATATCTCAGCAGTAATGCAAAATATTGATAATATTGATTAGCTTTGTTTGAAATTCTCTGCCTTCCCTTACATAGTATTAAGCTCTCCTGATTATTCGCATGTGTTTTAAATAGTTCTGCTCTACCATATTATTTGTTCTTGTTTTATTTTTCCCATCTGACCCTTAAGTAGCATAATTCTAAATTGACTTAACCTTCTCTTTTCTATTTGTTCAATGGTTTCTCTGAATAGTTAAACTAATTCATTTCTATGACTGGAAAGGACATTTCTGTGTTGATAGCTCTCAAATCTACATCACCAGCTTTGGCATCTCTCCTGATTTCTAGACTAATTTTCTGTCCGCTGGACATTCCATTAGATGCTTTGAGGAAGCACTTTCAATTAAATATTTCTTGAATAGACTATCCAGATCCTCGCCTTGCATAATATATACTCCTCGAGGTCTATTCTGTTTTCCTCTGTGGAAACATCTCTGTTTTGCTTCATTTCTTCTCTTCCCAGTGTCCAGTGCTTCTTCCTCATTTTTCTTGTACTGATAATAGCTACTGAACCCCTTTTCTAGACTCCAACTTCTCTATTACATCCTCCTCACTGCTACTATATTTATCTTTCTAAAACACAGATTTAATTACATTACCTAACTGCATGAAAGCTTGGTATCTATTTCCGATGGAATAAAGTACAAATTCCTAATAGGGAGTATAAAATTATTCCTGTGAGGACCTAAATTTATTTTCTAGTACAATGACCTGCCATTTTACATAGTCATACACTTTACTTGTGCCAGAACAGACATCTTGCTCTTCTTTGATTTACCATACTCTTTATAATTTTCTATATTTTTCATGCTGTTTTCTAGGTCTAGAATATTATTCCTTCTTACATTTACTTGCAGATATTCTATTTACTTAAACAAAGCCAAGGTGATGTGCCACTTCTTTCCATAAGAAGGGTTTCTAATTCTTCCACTAAGGATTCTGTAATGGATTATACATTTCATAGCACATTATTTGAACAGCACATTTATACAAGTGTTTAGGTGCTAGTGGCCTGATAAGGAATGTAGCGTGAAAGAGTCTAAGACCTTTATAGAAATGAGAAATTTATAGCAATCACAAAGCAATTGGTTTGTAGTGGCTATAGCTTTCTGATTGAATATACTCCTTCTCTGAGTGGTACTTAATACTTCGTAATTCTCTGGCATCCTTTGTTTTCTAAACTATATACACACTTAGAATCTTTTGAAGTCAAGGCCTTGTTTATCATCTTTGTTAACTCATAGTACAATGGCTTTCATGATGTAGGTACGTTTGCTAAAGAAACAAATATCCAAGTTCTTTCGCACAGCTCTTAAATTAACTATAAAATAGTGCTCTCTTCATGCTGATGAAGAATCTTCATAAATATGTTTCACAGTGAAAAACTGTCTTCTATGAAAATGATTTTCTTTTTCTATAAGAATAAGGCAAAAACATTTATAAAACGGCAAGTAACAATCACCTGTAAATATTTTGGTCTGTTTATCTGCTTCCATCCAAACCTGACAGTAACCACTTAACAAGTTGTATATCTACAGACATTTTTGTTTTGTGGCACTATGAGTTTTTGCATATTTCTTGTTTTCTTAATGTATTTGTGTGTTTTAACAAACATAGCTAATTCTATAATATTAGTCTGAAGATTTTTTTGCATATATCATGACGACTGTTCTAGGTCAGTACATATAGGTTTTTTTCTTTTGCAGATTTAGCAGTATGAACAGAAGCTGATAGAACTACTGGACGTTTTTGACAGGCTTCCACTATGAGAATAGCACAGGATGATTAGGAGGTTTCCTTAATCCTGCAGTGGGAAATAAGAAGACATGTAGAACAGACCTGCTATTTGAACAGAGTTGCAGCAGTTCACACATAGCAACACAAATACAGTGAAGATCTTGGTACATTTATGTATTATGTTTTATAGTTGAAAAAATAAAAACAAATTCATTATTATGGAAAGCCAAACTGCAAAATCTCAGTGGCTTACAACAATGAGTAATTTTCTCTTCAATTCCATTGTATTTGTGCTTTATACTTGTGTTATTATTGTAGGATTAATTCTTAGAAGAAATATTAATTAGTTACAATATGTGAGCATTTAAAACTTTGATAAATATACCTAAATTACTCTCCAAAAGTTTGTTCAGTATACTCCCAAAAATAATATTAAAAAGAGAACAGTTCCCCAGGCTGTCGCCAAAATAATAGTATCAATCATTATGCTTTTGTCATTCTGTCAGGAATGTCACTGTTTTAATTTCCAATTCTTTCTCTACATTTTTAGTATGCTTTAACAGAAGTATTTATTGTTGTCTCTATTTTTTGCTCTGACTTTTCTCTTTGTACACTTTTCCTCATTTCAATTTTTTCTTGCTGATCTATAGAAACTTCCTGGGTGTTACTAATATTAACCCTTTTATATGTGCTACAAATACTTTCTTACAGACTTTTGTTGTTTTCGATTTTGCTTTGAATTAACTTTTCTCTGTAAACATAAAAATATGTGTAAATCTGTCAGTGTCTTCTTTTAGATCTTGTATTTTATATCTCACTCAAGAAAGATTTTCTTCAAATCTAAGATTGAAATACAACCTTTATTTCTCATTCTTTAATAGTTTTATTATATTATAATTAAACTTCTTCTACAAATTGGTTTCATATGGGGCAAGGTAAAGGAGCATTTATAGTAAATTCTATATTATTCGTCATGAACTGAAAATACCATTTATATTATATTTATATAGACCGTACATAAATGTATAAGAAACCCATATATGTATCTGAGCCTTTTTCTTAATATTGACCTACTGATCTATGATTATTCTTTTGCCAGTACCATACTGTTTTAATCATTTTTTACATAGATGACACACATCTCTCCATTCTTATTCAATTTCATAATTTCTTTATTATCCATTATTATTTATATTTCCACAAACTTTAGTTGTGTCCATTTGTCAAAGTAAAGGAGATTGGTGTCTGTATTCAATTTTATTGAGTTCAAACATTATTTTGATACAAATTTGCCTCTTCAATGGAGCCTTTAGTAACACAAAGGAAATAAATAAACGTGATTACAGTAAAGTAGTACATTTGAGAAATTCAGCTGAAATTTCCTAGTATATAAGAATTCCATGCCTACAGTCTCAGAAAAATAGAAATAGTAGAAAAAGAAAAAAAACCTTGTAAATAAACCAATGAATGTATGAAATCAAAGCAAGTATTGGGTTATAAATTAAATATGACAACTTTGGTCATTAAAGATTAGAACAAAATGTGGATCCCCACACTAGTGATACCATTCAATATTGTCTTAGAGGTTCCAGGCAGGGCAAAAAAATAAAAAAAATTTGAAGAGTTACATAATTTGAATAAGAAACACATGTCATTATTTACATGCAATATAATTTTTGTCTTACATTCAAGAGATATAATAATTTATCTAACACAATATGCTGTATTATTTTCAAGATTCCTATATTTTGGTTTTAAAATATATAACTCATATAAAAATGTATAGGTTTCTTTCTTTTTTTTGTTTTTGTTTTGTTGTTGTTGTTGTTGTTGTTTTAGACGGAGTCTCACTCTGTTACCCAGGCTGGAGTGCAGTGGCATGATCTCGGCTCATTGCAACCTCCACCTCCCAGGTTCAAGCGATTCTCCTGCCTCAGTCTTCCAAGTATCTGGAATTACAGGTGCCCGCCACCATGCCCGGTTCATTTTTTTGTACTTTTAGTAGAGATGAGGTTTCACCATGTTGGCCAGGCTGGTCTTGAACTCCTGACCTCAAGTGATCAGCCCGCCTCAGCCTCCGGAAATGCTGGGATTACAGGCGTGAGCCACCGTGCCCGGCTGTATAGGTTTCTTTTATAACAAAAATAGTTAGCAATTCAAATGGAAAGGTCCAATTTATACAAGCAGCAGGAATTATATATAATTTTAAAAAATATATTTAGCAAAAGACATATAAGACAGAAGTCTTATAAAGGTAACTACTAAAAAAACAATGAAGGGGCATTAAATAAAACTTGTAGAAACGGAAAGATAGGGCATGTTCTGAATGGGACAGCTTATTATCATAAAAATGCTAACATCCTGATTTGAGCAGTTTATAATGAACTAATAGGTTAGCTAATATTTATGCGTTTCCTATATTTATGATTATCTTAACTTTTAGTGCTTTAGACAGAGTTGATATTTTATAAAATATTTTGCTTATTTCATTCACATGCCACCTGTGTTTTTATAAAGGAAGATTAAAAGGGCTACCCTATACATTTTACAGTCCTGTTTGTGGAATAAAATGAACCAATACCTGCAGAGACCTTGCAAAATACTGCTAACATCGATAGAAGTACAGAAGCAGAAGCCAAAAGATTTATTCCTAGCTTGTCTACCAATGTATTCCTATTTTTTCCTCAGGTAAAACACATACAGTTAACCATGCTTTGGAAAATGCCTAGGAATAATGTTAAGTACAGTGAAATATGTTTAGCTTTAACTGTAACCTTCAGGCATTTAGATTTGTGCCAGATACAATGTTTCAACTACACAAGTAAGACAGGCTGACATTTTATTTTTTGGCTGAGTAAGGACATGATTCACAGGTTAAGGATTCTTTTTTGCACAGAATATATCAACTGAGATCTGTCTATTGTTGTCTCTCGGTCCACTGTGCCCTGAAGTACCTTTTTCACTCTCTCCTGGAATTTTCCTTCTTGAATTTTTCCATCATGATTTTTAAAATAAATTGAAGGACTTTTGTAATCTTACTCCAACAGATTCTTAGAATTTGTAAATTCTGTAAAGCTCTTTCCACTAACTTACTTGTAATTCCTTAAACACAGTGAAAATGTTCACACTTTAAGACCCTAGCACTTTCTATTTTTCTCACCTGGCATAAGTTTCTACTCAAACAGTATTCCATACAAGGCCTATTCTGCTTAATATCTCTAAACTTTAGTTTCTTAAGTATTACCTTTACATACCCCACACACACACACACACACACACACACACACACACACACACAGACCATTGTTTATTGTCTGTTTTCCTCATTAGAATGTCACATTGATGAAAGCAAGAACTTGGTTTTGTTTATCATGGAATCTCCAGCACATAAAATTGTGCCTGCCACATGGAAGACACTCAATGAATGAATGAGTGAGCAAATGATTAAAATACTTAGAGTCACAACAAAGATTTGGTTTTGTTTATCATTTATGTCTTCCAATTTTTTTCCCCTTTGGGCTTTGGTAGCAATTCAAGCTTCTACCTTTTGGTGAATGTAGAATGTGGTAATTAATCCACAAAGGATTCATTAACATTGTGTGAACAAGCACGTCCTACTGCCTGCTGTTCTAAGGCTATGTATTAGGGTTGTTGAAAGATTTCTGGTAAGGAACATTTTGTTGATGGTATGAGGAGTATGATAGCATATGTCATTAAAGGAGTTATTAGTATGAAGTTTGTGGTTCATTTTTCATCTTTAGGATGAAGTTTGTAGTTCTTGTATCTTCAAATCTTCAACTATCCCTGCATCTTCATATTTCCACTTGAGCAAATTCAAATCACCTAGATCTCAGCTTTTTTTAACTTGTAAACTTAGATAGTTGTGCTATGTCACCCATAAGCTCTGATAAGCCTAATATGATAATATGATTACATCATGCAGCTATCTATGTGCTCTGAATGGCTTTCCCAAGAGATGCAATGAAGTTGATAGAGCCTGAAAGTTATATTCTTGCCCATTGAGGCCTTTACTATATCAGAGTAATGTTATTATTATTATTTAAACTGTTTGCTGACATATGTGACATGGAAAATAATGAATCCGCTAGAAGAATCAAGTTTGATTCAAATGTATTTGCGGCATTTCCCTTTCTGTGGTTGTTCACCTGAGAGTTAGTTAAGTGTTGTAGTCTTGCCCCTAGTAGAAGTAATTACATTTCTATCTATCTTTACAGTGGCTTCTTTGTTTATTAGCCAGGCATAAGGATGAATAATCATAGTGTCAGAGACTAACTTGATATTCTCTGAAAGTAACTTGGTATTGACAACAGCATAAACTATAATTCTTCTGCTGCACATGATGTGATAGACAAAACAGGCCATATTATTTTTTACTTAATAGTTTCTATCGCTTCTAGAAATTCTAACTTGTACTTGGGAAAATTAGATATTCTAATAAGATGTAACTATGTAACAATGAGTGAGTATGTACAGCTCAAATCTTGTGAAGTGCAAGTCAGGATAGCCCAGACGAAGAGAGATGTACCAACAAAGGACTTACTTATTTAAATGTTTCTCATTGGGCTGTGTTAGGCAAGACAATAAATATTCTTAGGGGCAAATATGAAATCACTGGAAATGGATAAATGTTGGTACCTAAAGATGGACAACTTTCAGCAGACAATGAGATTCGGATGTTGAGAGAAATGGTGTGACTATATCTCAGCAAGAAAAGGGAACTATCCCTGACTTCACAGAAGTAGGCCAAGGCAAGTGCTACCCACATGTTTCAGGTACCTTTCTAATCTTTCTTTGCTCAACCATCATCATTGGTATTTGAATTTTATTCTTACCATCCATTCTTTGAAACAAGGCTGATAGTTTGAGTTTCTGTCATGGCATATCATTCCCCTCAAATAGCCAAAACAATCTTGAGAAAGAACAGAGTTGGGGGCATCACACTCCCTGATTTCAAACTTCGTTCATGCGTTGCTTAATGATGGAGGTACATTCTGAGAAACGTGTTGTGAGGCAATTTTGTCATTATTAAACATCATAGAGTGTGCTTACTACACAAATCTAGATTGTGTAGCCTACTACAAATCTAGATTGTGTAGCCTACTACACTATGGTATAGCCTATTGCTTCTAATCTATATACCTTTTCAGCATGTTACTCTACTGGATACACTGTATACAATAAAATGCAGACAATTAGAACACAATGATACTTGTGTATCTAAACATATCTAAACAAAGAAAAGGTAAAAATATCATACAAAAAAATTAAAAATGGTACACCTGTATAGGGGCACTTACCATGAATAGAGTTTGCAGGATTGGAAGTTGCTCAAGGTAAGTCAGAGAGTGAGGAGTGAATGTGAAGGCCCAAGGTGTTACCATACACTAATGCAGACTTCATAGATATAACTATAAATTGTTTTTTAAAAATTGTTACTTAAATAGTGAATTAACCTTAGCTTACTGTAACTTTTTTACTTTATAAACTCCACAATTTTTTAAACTTTTGACACTTATAACAACACTTAGCTTAAAATGCAAACACATTGCACAGCCATACATCATTATTTTATTTCTTCATATGCTTATTCTATATGCTTTTTTCTATTTTTACTTTTATTTTTTACTCTTTATAATTTATTTAAAACTAAGACACAAACACACACATTAGCCTAGGTCTACACAGGGTCAGGATCATCAGTAGCACTGTCTTTTTTCTCCACATCTTGTCCCACGGACAGATCCTCAGGGGTAATAATACACATGGAGCTGTCATTTTCTAGATGACAGTGCCTTCTCCTAGAATACCTCTTGAAAGACCTGTCTAAGGCTGTTTTACTGCTAAAAGAGTACACTTTCTTTTTAAGCAGAAAGAGTACACTCCAAAATGATGATAAAAAGTATGGTGTAGTAAATACTTAAACCACTAACATAGTTGTTTATTATCATAATAAAATATTGTGTAGTGTACATAATTGTATGTGCCATACTTTTATATGAGTGGTGCAGCAGTTGGTTTGTTTACACCAGTATCACCAAAAACACATGAGTAACATGTTGTATTAAGATGTGACAATGGCTACAATGTCACTAGGTGATATAAATTTTTCGGCTTCATTATAATTTTATGGGACCAAGATTGTATATGTTACACATGACTGTATATGCAAAGCTACAGTAATCATAACAGTATGGTACTGGCATAAAAACAGACAGATAGATAATGAAACAGAACAGAAAGTCCAGCAGTAAACCCATAAATATATAGTCAACTAACCTGTGACAGGGTCACCAAAAATACAAAATGGGGGAAAGAATAGTCTCTTCAACAAGTGGTGTTGAGAAAATTGAATATCCACTTGCAAAATAATGAAATTGGGCCCTTGTCTTATACCTTATACAAAAATTAGCTTGAAATGGATTAAAGACTTAAATGTAGGATATGAATCCATACAGGTCCTAGAAGAAAACAGGAAAAAAATCTCCTTGACATTCATCTTGGCAATGATTTTTTTGAATATGACAACAAAAGCATAGGCAACAAAAGGAAAAATAAACAAGTGAGTCTATTATCATGATATTGATAGGAGGAGAGAGTGGGGATTTTGGTGGATTCATTTTAATTATTTATTTTCTCTCATGGAGGAAAAAATCTGGCTCCTGGGACTGAGTGAACACCAGAAGAGGAAAATGACAGAGCAGTGACAGTGTGCTTAGCTATTAAATTTTAAAATGTGAATTTATTTTGTATTCCAACCTACTGGCATAAGCACATTATCTGTGTTTATAAGAAAAATTCTGTTGGTTGAATGAGAGGATTAGACATATTATAATTGTATAAACTTCAATAAGCATCTAGCACTGAAAACTCTATATCTATGTCATAAACTGAGAGTAAGCAGTTATATCACAGGAATCTATGACCCCAAAATAAAATTAATGTTTTTATTATTTATTGATCAAATATTATTTCTGGGTATGAAAACAAATACAATCTCATAGTTAAAACTTTGTTTGCAGTGTGGTGTTTCCTCAAGGATCTAGAATGAAATACCATTTGACCCAGCCATCCCATTACTGGGTATATACCCAAAGGATTATAAATCATCCTACTATAAAGACACTTGCACAGGTGTGTTTACTGCAGCACTATTTGCAATAGCAAAGACTTGGAACCAACCCAAATGCCCATCAATGATAGACTGGATAAAGAAAATGTTGCAAATATATACCATGGAATACTATGCAGCCATAAAAAGGAATGAATTCTTGTCCTTTGCAGGGACATGGATGAAGCTGGAAGCCATAATTCTCAGCAAACTAACACAGAAACAGAAAATCAAACACCACATGTTCTCACTCATAAGTGGAAGTTGAACAATGAGAACACATGGACACAGGGAAGGGAACATTGCACACCCGGGCCTGTTGGGGTGGGGGACAAGGGGAGGGAGAGCATTAGGACAAATACATAATGTATGCAGGGCTTAAAATCTGGATGACAGGTTGATAGGTGCAGCAAACCACCATGGCACATGTATAACTATGTAACAAACCTGCACGTTCTGCATATGTATCCCAGAACTTAAAAATTTTAAAAATTTGTTTAGAAAAATATTAAATCAATTATTTGCCTTTTCAATTATTTATTTATAAACCTTTATTTTAGGTTCAGGGTACATGCGGCAAACATTTACATGGGTAAACTTGTGTCATGGAGGCCAACAATCACATGAAAAAAAAAACTCAACATCAGTAATCATTAGAGAATTGCAAATCAAAACCACAATGAGACACCATCTCACGTCAGTCAGAATGGCTATTTTTTTTTTTTTTGAGACGGGGTCTCTCTTTGTTGCCCAGGCTGGAGTGCAGTGGCTCGATCTCGGCTCACTGCAAGCTCCACCTCCCGGGTTCACGCCATTTTCCTGCCTCAGCCTCCCGAGTAGCTGGGACTACAGGTGCCTGCCACCACATCCGGCTAATTTTTTGCATTTTTTTTTTTTTAGTAGAGACGGGGTTTCACAGTGTTAGCCAGGATGGTCTCGATCTTCTGACCTTGTGATCCACCCACCTCGGCCTCCCAAAGTGCTGGGATTACAGGCGTGAGCCACTGCGCCCGGCCCAGAATGGCTATTTTTAAAAAGTAAAAATAATGAGATAAAAAATTTCACCAAACAAAATGACTATTAGATAATATGTTTTTAATTCATTTGTGAAGGCTGAGTGCTGGATAGTTTTTATTCTGAAAAATCACGAATCACACAAATATTAAATTAATCCATATTCTGTTTGAAACACTATGCTGGGTGGAGGTGGAAAGATTAATAAGACAATCAAAGTCGTTGCCCTAGAGAGATTATATTCTAGAAAAAAAAAGAAATACTAAACTAGCAGATAAATCTGGTTTTACAAGATGCAATGGGAGTAAGTAATAGATTACAAAAGGCTATTCTTAGGAACTGATGGAGAAAAGGAATTGTTTTACTTACATATTTTATTTCCATCTCCCCCCACCACTCCCCAGTAATTTCGGAGTTTTTCTCCTGCAGCTCATGTAGAAATGAAGAACAAACTCATTTTAGCCAAATCAAGGTACAAGGTGTCCATTTCCATGGTAACATTTGATAGGATCTCATCTTTTAAAATGAATACGTGATTATTACCATTAAACATGGTTGAGTTGAAATGCTTTAGGGATGTGCTAAGGAAAAGCATCCCCAAGTTGGCAGATGTATACTCTTTGAATGTAAAACAATGTGCTGATGAAATACTGACTGTGAGAAAATGAAATGGCTCAGGATAGTAAATAATTTTTCAGAAATTATAGAAGATACAAAGCCTATATTAACTTGAACAGAAAATAAGTATTTCCAAAGTTTTAAAAAATGTTTTCCAAATACTTCTAATAAATTAGTAACCTAGGAAGAAAGAAAATACCCAACAATTGAAAAGCATTTGAGGCTTAATCTTCAATGAAGATCATAAAAGATATGCTGTAAAAAACGGTTAAAACTTGGAAGAAATATATTATAAAAAAGGGAAATGGAAAAATAGGAAAAGTGAGAAGACCAGCACTGGAAGTTAGAGCGCTGTTGTTTTCATGGACGTGCATAGCAATTGTAGAGAAAAAGTGAATTTAAAAAGAAAGGAAAGAAAGTGCAAACAACCTCATAACAGATTATTTCACACACACAGAAAAAAAACTCCATTAAATAAGAGACAGAGTTTTGTGTTGAGTGTCAAGATTTTAGTCTTTCTACACAATATTTGGTGTATACTTTCAATGATTATGTTCAAACATACCTTCTCTTCCTTTTTGGGAGGAAAACTCTTAATAGTGTATGGGAAGGAAAGTTATACCCAAAGTTATGTTTACTACATTATGGTGAAATGAAATCCTACACTGTAGTTTCCTCCATAACAATTTAACCACAAAAATAAGGATTTAAGTAACGTATATAAATGTGCAACATTTTTCATGTGTCAGAATTCATTTTATTCTTATTTTCCTTTAATTTTAAAATATAGTGTATGATATAATCCACTGGAAAAATACTGAATTATTGATCTATCAAAGACCTGTTATTAAACTATAGATAATAGGAGTAGGCACTGTTCTCTGAATCAATTAGAATTCTCAGATTCTTGACAGTTGGTCATGAAATATACAAACACAAGTATCTGAAGGTGAATGATAAAACCTATTTAAATCAGCATCTGGAACTATCAATAAGTAGTTCAGTTCAATAACATTTAACTGAACATCCCAGTCTCTACATCTTCATGAGAAACTAATAAACTGTCAAAAGTGCAGTTACAATTAGGACTAATCTTCAAATACATCTGAGTGTCATCTGCATAAGAATGGGAGTCTAATCCATGTCTGCACTAAAAGAAAGCATATAAATGTAGACTAATAATGAAATGCACCCGAAGTAGGGAACTCGAAAACAGAAAAAAGATGCTGTCGAAAGGAAAAGAATTAAAATCAGCAAGAAGCAGACTGCACAGAATCAGATAAATTTGATAAAAATGCAGCAAATGCAATTCCTATGAAAGACGAGAAATATAATGTACAGATTTTTCAAGGTAAAAAAAAGTAAGCAAATTCATTTTTTTCTAGTTCTTTGTTGTTTAAAATTTATCTTAGCCACGAAAGTCATGTTTATCTACAGCGCTGCCTCCCTTTGCTCCTTGTTTCTCTGAATCATCCCATTAGTATTAAGGATGAAAAGATACATGGTATTAAGTCACCAATAAAAATAAGTCATGTGAATTACTTATTTATTATGCTTTTCATAAAAATAAAAACAAATCCAACCTAGCCTATTTTTCCCAGTAAGAAAATAAGACATATTAAGAGGTGAGATAGAATGATATAAATTATTATGCACAATTTATATAGAAAGCCTAGCATTCTCAAGGTCATCCAGGAGGGAAGGAGTGTGGAAGAGAGATGAGAAGTAAGAACAGAAAGAATTAAGAAGATGATCTGACTAAGAAGATGATGTGTAGTGAAGAAGCCAGACAAAAACCTCAGACAACAAATTCTACAAAAGATTCAGTTTCAAGTTATTTACCACCTTTGATGTGGACTGCCCTCATCCTTTCCCAAATTATCCAGGAAATTAACTGAGCCAGTTCTGATCTGCAAATTTACAAACTGTTTTTTTGTTTGTTTAGATGAAGTTGGAACAATGTCTACTTGAATTTATGTTGAATGGACATAATCCAAAAAAATCATAAAGCAGGAATTTGCAGCTAGAACTAACCATTAAACATTAAGTCTCCACCTAATGGCACAAGAAATTAACTGAAATTTTGGAAGATTTTAGACCTCCCCAAAATTTAAAATTGGATGTTAGATTAACTGATCTACACCTGAAAAGGCAGGAAACCCTGGTTAATAATTTGTAATTTCATAATGCACTTCCAAAAGTTACTTCCATAGCTTTTCACATGTTATTTCCTTCATCAGAAATATTGTCTTTTATTTCTTAATCTTTTAGCTAAAATCCATTCTTCCAAATCCTTACTTCTATTAGTGCACATATATTATATTTTAATTATCTGCTTACCTCTGAGCTCCTTTATGTCAGCAACTACATTTTGCATCTTCTAATGACAAGAAGTCAGCTTAAGGTATAATATCTACCAAATGCTCAACAAATGTTTTTAAATTTTTAATAAATAATTAAGTAAAATTAAATATACCATTTCTTCTAGATTTTCTAGTTTATTTGTGTAGAGGATTTTATAGTATTCTCTGATGGTAGTTTGTATTTCTGTGGGATCAGTGGTGATACCCCCTTTATCATTTTTTATTCTGTCTATTTGATTCTTCTCTCTTTTCTTCTTTATTATTCTGGCTAGCAGACTATTTTGTTAATCTTTTCATAAAACCAGCTCCTGGATTCACTGATTTTTTTTGAAGGGTTTTTCATATCTCTATCTCCTTCAGTTCTGCTGTGATCTTAGTTATTTCTTGTCGTCTGCTAGTTTGAATTTGTTTGCTCTTGCTTCTCTAGTTCTTTTAATTGTGATGTTAGGGTGTCGATTTTAGATCTTTCCTGCTTTGTCCTGTGGGCATTTAGTGCTATAAATTTCCCTTTAAACATTGCTTTAGCTGTGTCTCAGAGATTCTGGTATGTTGTGTCTTTGTTTTCATTGGTTTCAAAGAACTTATTTATTTCTGCCTTAATTTTGTTATTTACCCAGTAGTCATTTAGGAGCAGGTTGTTCAGTTTCCATGTAGTTGTGCAGTTTTGAGTGAGTTTCTTAATCCCGACTTCTAATTTGATTGCACTGTGGTATGAGAGACTGTTTGTTATGATTTCCGTTCTTTTACATTTGATGAGGAGTGTTTTACTTCCAATTATGTGGTCAATTTTAAAATAAGTGTGATGTGCTGAGAAGAATGTATTTTCTGTTTATTTGGGGTGGAGAATTCTGTAGATGTCTATTAGGTCCGCTTGGTTCAGAGCTGAGTTCAAGTCCTGAGTATCCTTGTTAATTTTCTGTCTCATTAATCTAATATTGGCAGTGGAGTGTTAAAGTCTTCCACTATTATTGTGTGGGCGTCTAAGTTTTTGTAGGGTCTCTAAGAACTTGTTTTATGAATCTGAGTTCTCCTGTATTGGGTGCATATATATTTAGGATAGTCAGCTCTTCCTGTTACATTGATCCCTTTACCATTATGTAATGTCCTTCTTTGTCTTTTTTGATCTTTGTTGGTTTAAAGTCTGTTTTATCAGAGGCTAGGATTGCAACCCCTGCTTTTTTATTTATTTATTCATTTTTGCTTTTTATTTGCTTGGTAAATATTCCTCCATCCCTTTATGTTGAGCCTATGTATATCTTTGCACTTGAGATGAGTCTCCTGAATACAGCACACCAATGGGTCTTGACTCTTTATCCAATCTGCCAGTCTGTGTCTTTTAATTGGGGCACTCAGCCAGTTTACATTTAAGGTTAATATTGTTATGTGTTAATTTGAACCTGCCATTATGATGCTAGCTGGTTATTTTGTTCATTAGTTGATGCAGTTTCTTCATAGTGTCGATGGACTTCACAGTTTGGTATGTTTTTGCAGTGGCTGGTACTGGTTTTTCCTTTCCACATTTAGTCCTTCCTTCAGGAGCTCTTGTAAATCAGGCCTCATGGTGACAAAATCTCTCAGAATTTCCTTGTCTATAAATGATTTTATTTCTCCTTCACTTATGATGCTTAGTTTGGCTGGATATGAAATTCTAGGTTGAAAATTCTTTTCTTTAAGAATGTCAAATATTGGCCCCCACTTTCTTCTGGCTTGTAGGGTTTCTGCAGAGAGTTCCACCGTTAGTCTAATGGGCTTCCCTTTGTGGGTAACCCAACCTTTCTTGCTGCCTACACTTAACATTTTTTCTTTCATTTCAATCTTGGTGAATCTGACGATTATATTTCTTGGGGTTGCTCTTCTCGAGGAGTATCTTTGTGGTGGTCTTTGTATTTCCTGTATTTGAATGTTGTCCTGTCTTGCTAGGTTGGGGAAGTCCTCCTGGATAATACCCTGAAGAGTGTTTTCCAACTTGGTTCCATTCTCCCTGTCACTTTCATGTACAGCAATCAAACATAGGTGTGGTCCTTTCACATAGTCCCATATTTATTGGAGGCTTTGTTCATTCCTTTTCATTCTTTTTTTCTCTAATCTTGTCTTCATGCTTTATTTCATTAAGTTGATCTTCAATCTCTGATATCCTTTCTTCCAATGGATCAATTTGGCTGATACTTGTGTATGCTTCATGAATTTCTCATGCTGTGTTTTTCAGCTTCATCAGGTCATTTATGTTTTTCTCTAAACTGGTTATTCTAGTTAGCAATTCCTCCAGCCTTTTTTCAAGGTTCTTAGCTTCCCTGTATTGGGTTAGAATATGCTCCTTTAGCTTGGAGGAGTTTGTTATTGCCCACCTTCTGAAGCCTATTTCTGTCAATTTGTCAAACTCATTCTCTATCCAGTTTTGTTCCCTTGCTGGAGAACAATGATCCTTTGGAAAATAAGAGGCATTCTGGTTTTTAAATTTTCAACCTTTTTGCATTGGTTTTTCCTTATCTTTGTGGATTTATCTACCAACGGTCTTTGATGTCGGTGACCTTCTGATGGGTTCCTGGGCACATACACCCTCTTAAAATAAACCAAGAAGAAGTTGAATCCCTGAATAGACCAATAACAAGTTCTGAAACTGAGGTAGTAATTAATAGTATACCAACCATAAAAAGACCAGGACCAGACAGATTCATAGCCAAACTCTATCAGAGGTACAAAGAGGAACTGGTACCATTCTTTCTAAAACTATTCCAAACAAGAGAAAAAGAGAGACTCCTCCCTAACTCATTTTATGAGGCCAGCATCATCCTGATACCAAAACCTGGCAGAGACACAACAAAAAAAAAGAACATTTCAGGCCAATATCCCTGATGAAGATCGATGTGAAAATTCTCAATAAAATACTGGCAAACCAAATCCAGCAGCGTTATCAAAAAGCTTATCCACCATGATCAAGTCGTCTTTATCCTTGGGATGCAAGGCTGGTTCAATATATGCAAATCAATAACCATAATCCATCACATAAAGAGAACTAATGACAAAAACCACATGATTATCTCAATAGATGCATAAAAGGCCTTCGATAAAATTCAACAGCGCTTCATGCTAAAAACTCTCAATAAACTAGGTATGCTGGAAGCATTCCCTTTGAAAACCAGCACAAGACAAGGATGCCCTCTCTCACTACTCGTATTCAACATAGTATTGGAAGTTCTGGCCAGGGAAATCAGGCAAGAGAAACAAATAAAGAGTATTCAAATGGGAAGGGAGAAAGTCAAATTGTCTCTGTTTGCAGATGACATGATTGTATATTTACAAAACCCCATTGTCTCAGCCCAAAAACTCTTTAAGCTGATAAGCAACTTCAGAAAAATCTCAGGATACAAAATCAATATGGAAAAATCACAATTGTTCCTATATACCAACAATAGACAAACAGAGAGCCAAATCATAAGTGAACTCCCATTCACAATTGCTACAAAGAAAATAAAATACCTAGGGATACAACTTACAAGGGATGTGAAGGATCTCTTCAAGGAGAACTACAAACCACTGCTCAAGGAAATAAGAGAAGACATAAACAAATGGAAAAACATTCCATGCTCATGGATAGGAAGAATCAATATCGTGAAAATGGCAATACTGCCCAAAGTAATTTATAGATTCAATGCTGTCCCCATCAAGCTACCATTGACTTTCTTCACAGAATTAAAAAAAACTACTTTAAATTTCTTTTTTTTTTTAATTTGAGAAAGTTTCACTCTTGTTGCCCAAGCTGGAGTGCAATGGTGTGATATCGGCTCACTGCAACCTCTGCCACTCAGGTTCAAGTGATTCTCTAGACTCAGACTTCTTGAGTAGCTGGAATAACAGGTGTGTGCCACCACACCTGGCTAATTTTTTGTATTTTTAGTAGAAAAGGGGTTTCACCATGTTAGCCAAGCTGGTCTCGAACTCCTGACCTCAGGTGATCTGCTCGCCTCAGCCTCCCAAAGTGCTGGGATTACAGGCATGAGCCACCATGTCTGACCTTAAATTTCATATGGAACCAAAAAAGAGTCCATATAGCCAAGACAATCCTCAGCAAAAAGAACAAAGCTGGAGGCACCACACTACCTGACTTCAAACTATAACTACAAGGTGACAGTAACCAAAACAGCATGGTACTGGTACCAAAACAGATATATTGACCAATGGAACAGAACAGAGTCCTCAGAAATAACACCACACATCTACAACCATCTGATCTCTGACAAACCAGACAAAAATAAGCAATAGGGAAAGGATTCCTTATTTAATAAATGGTGTTGGGGAAACTGGCTAGCCATATGCAGAAAAGAGAAACTGGACCCATTCCTTACACCTTATACAAAAATTAACTCAAGGTGGGTTATAGACTTAAACCTAAAACCTAAAACCATAAAAACCCTAGATGAAAACCTAGGCAATACTATTTAGGACATAGGTATGGACAAATACTTCATGAGTAAACACCAAAAGCAATTTCAACAAAAGCCAAAACTGACAAATGGGATCTAATTAAACTAAAGAGCTTCTGCACAGCAAAAGAAACTATCATCAGAGTGAACAGGCAACCTATAGAATGGGAGAAAATTTTTGCAATGTATCCATCTGACAAAGGGCTAATATACAGAATCTACAAGGAACTTAAACAAATTTACAAGAAAAAACAAACAACCTCATCAAAAATTGGGTGAAGGATATGAACAGACACTTCTCAAAAGAAGACATGTATGCAGCCAACAAACATATTGAAAAAAGCTCATCATCACTTGTCATTAGGAAAATGCAAATCAAAACCACAATGATATACCATCTCATGTCAGTTAGAATGGCAATCATAAAAAGTCAGGAAACAACAGATGCTGGAGAGGATGTGGAGAAATAGGAACACTTTTACACTGTTGGTGGGAGTGTAAATTAGTTCAACCATTGTGGAAGACAGTGTGGTGATTCCTCAAGGATCTAGAACCAGAAATACCATTTGATCCAGCAATCTCATTACTGGGTATATACCCAAGGGATTATAAATCATTCTACTATAAAGACATGTGCACATGTATGTTTATTGCAGCACTGTTTACAACAGCAAAGACTTGGAACCAATCCAAATGTCCATCAATGATAGACTAGATAAAGAAAATGTGGCACATATACACCATGGAATACTATGCAGCCAGAAAAAGAATGAGTTCATGTCCTTTGCTGGGTGTTGCAGGAAGTCAGGGATCCCGAATGGAGGGACCTGCTGAAGGCATGGCAGAAGAACAGAAATTGTGAAGATTTCATGGACATTTATTAGTTCCCCAAATTAATACTCTTATAATTTCCTATGCCTGTCTTTAATCTCTTAATCCCGTTATCTTCGTAAGCTGAGGATGTATGTCACCTCAGGACCCTGTGATGATTGCGTTAACTGCACAAATTGTTCATAAAGCATGTGTTTGAACAATATGAAATCTGGGCACCTTGAAAGAAGAACAGGATAACAGTGATGTTCAGGGAACAGGGGAGATAACGATTAGGTCTGACTGCCTGGGATCTGGGCAGGACAGAGACATATTTCCCTTATTGCCCAAAATGGGTAAGAGAAATGTCGCTGAATTCTTTCCCCAGTAAGGAATATTAATAATTAACAGCCCTGGGAAAAGAATACATTCCCAGGAGGAAGCCTCTAAAATGGCCGCTCTAGGAGTATCTGCCTTATGCAGTTGCAGATAAGAGATGAAACATGCCCTAGTCTCCTGCAGTGCCCCCAGGCTTGCTAGGATTAGGAAATTCCAGCCTAGTAAATCCTAGTCAGATGGGTTCTCTGCCCTTGAACCGTGTTTCCTGCTAAGATGTTTATCAATGACTATGTGTGCCCAGTGGGACATGGACCCTCATTAGCAATTCTGGTTTCACCCAGAACTTGTGATATCACTCTGACCTTCTGCTTTGTGATATTTTATTGCCTTTGAAGCATGTGATCTCTGTGACCCACACCCTATTAGTACACTCCCTCTTTTTTGAACTCCATAATAAAAACTTGCTGGTTTTGTGGCCTGGGGGGCATCACGGAACCTGCCGACATGTGATGCCTCCCCCAGACACCCAGCTTTAAAATTTCTCGCTTTTATACTCTTTCTCTTTATTTCTCAGACCAGCTGACACTTAGGGAAAATAGAAAAGAATCTACATTGAAGTATCAGGTGCTGGTTCCCCTGAGAGCTGGGACATCAATGAAGCTGGAAACCATCACTCTCAGCAAACTAACACAGGAACAGAAAACCAAACACCATACGTTCTCACTTATAAGTGAGAGTTGAACAATGAGAATACATGGATACAGGAAGGGGAACATCACACACCTGGGCCTGTTGGGGGGTGGAGGGTTAGGGGAGGCATAACATTAGGAGAAATATCTAATGTTGATGGCAGTTTGATGGTTGCAGCAAACCACCAAGGCATGTGTATTCCTATGTAACAAACCTGCACATTCTGCACACGTATCCCAGAACTTAAAGTATAATAAAAAAATTAAATATACCAAAATATAATTTTAAAAAGGCTTAAGTTAACAATTTAATGCTTAAATTAAATGCAATAAAAAGGCAACTTATCAGAAAAGTACCTCAGAGTAATTTGGTTATCACTTGTAATTCTAGACAATCTTTCTTTCTAGAAAAAATCAAATGAATATTGATGATCTGTTACAATTATTTTTGGAGATAGTTATTCAACACTAAACATTGACTTAGAATGTTTCAATGCAAAAAGAATAAGGTGGGATCCTACGCTTAAGGAGCTTGCAGTCTTAAATGGATACAAACAGGCCCTTGTAATAATAGCCTATAAGTACTAAGATAAAAGTAATCAGGAGTTATGGAACCATAAAAGAATAGACATTTTCGCTACCCTGATTTTAGAGAAGGCATCCTGGTGGTGATGTCAGAACTGAATCTCGAAAAGTCAGGATGCATAATCTTAGAATAGAAATTCAAAATGGACTTCTAGGCAGGGGGAAAGACACACTAAACAGCACATTGAATACAGAAAAACTCTGGAATTCCCAGAACATCTAAGGTCGTTGGGATTTGGGGCAATTCTTTTGATGGTGCTGGGGATGTAAATAAATGCCTATTCAAGGGGGTCATATATGATAGGCTACTACAGTTGTTGGATTTTTGTTTTTTTGTCAAGCTAAGGGGGGATACTTTGTGGATATCCAAAAGGCACTTGACTTACCTATGTCTAGCTTTAAGGAGATCGATCCAGCTGCCATATACAGATGGATTTAAGAGAGTAATATGGTAAGCCTATATGCAAGACTACAGGAAGTCCAGTCTTATAACTTTTCTCATATACTATAAAATCCTTAAAAATGTAGCTGTTTTCACTTTCTACATATTTATTTGACAAATACAATTGTATATATTTATTATGTACAACATGGTTTGAAATATCCATTTAGTTTAAATGCAGAGACATTTATTCATTTATGTATATATTCAGTCACTCATTCAACCTACACTATGTATTAAAGAACTATGATGCACTCAACTCTATGAGAATAATCACACAGTTGTGAACCAGGCCCTCCTTCATGCACCTCACGTTACAGGGAGAGAGACAAACAGGAAACAACCCAAACAAGTTGATTATATAATCATGAAACAACTGCTACAAAATAAAAGTATGGGGTGTCCTGAGGGTGTATATTTGGGGACTTACAACATTTTGAGGAGTCATATTAGAAAGTACTGTTTTTTATTTTTAAACGAATTAAAGGCTCATTAATACAAGATAATGGAAGGCATGGTAAAGACAAAGCATGTTAAAAATCTGGACTAAACAGCATTTTTTAAAGACATTAAATTGCATTTCTTTCAAATGTATCTAACAACCAAAGTGTTAACATTTTCTTACAATCCTATAAATATGTTTCTATGAATTGTTAAGAATTATTGTGAACAGGTTGTAGCCCTTGGTATGAAAATGATGCTGCTAAGCAATTTTTAAAGTAACTTGAAACAGGTTCTTTTTAGGTAGATTTACTGTTTTCTGCACTCCAATCTTTTTATTTTACTGAAGGGCTTAACAAATCCTTGGTGATATGAAGGCAGCATAATAGCCAACCGTTTCCCAAAATAATGAGGTTTCATTAGAAACTTTTTCCTGCTTAACAACAAGTAGAATATTCCCCTAAAGTGGCATTCAAGACCTTTACAAAGGGAAATAAAGGAAAGAGAAAAAGGAACAAATTCTTCCCGATTAGGAGACTACTGCTGGGAATTGGGTCAGTGAATCCTAGGATATGAGAAACACTTATTTACAGGAGAGTCTATTTCTCTATGCAAAATAATAATATTTTTAAAAAATATTATTGATTAATTCCAGGAACAAACATAATATTGTACAGAATGTCAACTGTCAAGGTCCCTGATCCCTAATTGAGTTTATTTTACTCATTCCTTTTTCTGGGAGACTGGTAGGTAGAATGGTATAATTATATCAATCTAAGAAAAAATTCTGAAAATCAAAAAGAAATCAGAAATAGGGAAGCCTTAGCATAAAACTATCATTCAGAGCTATACAGATGTGAAAGGACAAGAAAATCTCAGGACCCCAGAGTCTTTATGTCAAAAGGAAAAATTAAGCTTGGAAACTGAGTCTCAAGCAAAAATCTGCCTTTCCTTTTGTTACTAACCAGCAACAAGATACAAGACCACATGTCTCCCCAGGTAGCTTCCTTCACCCTGACAATGTAAATTAACAGCTTCTCTTTGCAGGTAAGAGACAAAGATAAGACTAGAAATCATCCCTTGCCCACCCTTGAGAAAAATGCAGATTTACTGAGCATGACAATGCATAAATGACTGTTTCCCTACAAGCTTCCTTTGCACATGGATTCTGTAAAAGCTCATTAAAGCCTCATAGGAATGTGTCCCCTTATTTCACTACCTACTCTACTTTCTTTGCTTTCCTCTTTTCCCCTCCTTCCCACTCTTTTCCCTTTATTTATTGAAGATCTCAAGATCCCCTTTGGAAAGCGTGTGAACCACAGATCCTACTGTGGCTTGTGTCTCATTTTCTTGGGCACATCCTCAATCTTGACAAAATAAACCTCTAAATTAATTGAGACTTGTCTCAGACACTCTTCGGTTTACATTGAACAAATACATTTGTCCTAAATTATGTAGACACTGGATGGCAAAAGAAAATGAATCCATCCTTTATCTGCCACACTGAAACAAGTTGAATGACACTTAAGAAACTTTTGATGCCCATAAACAGGTTAAAGACTTTTCATAACAGGAACTCCAAGAAATAATTTCTTTAGCCTAATAAGTTGACAGGCAAATTAGCTGAATCAGATCTCTCAAAATTCTAAATAAGAAAAAATACACAAAAGCTCATATTTAAGATTGAGAAGTGAAATATAAATGTCAAAATCAGATGCTGCATTCTGAAAAGCACACAGTGGGCCCACCTGGTAAATGTGAAGGGAGTGGTGAATAAAAGGGAGGGGTTGTGTGGCCATCTGGCAAGCAGATGTCCAGGATAAAGGAGCACACTTTTGCTTAAAATGTTCACACATATCTGAACCCCAGGCCAAGTTTTGCCCGATCTTCCAATTTTTCAAAGAGAAACTGAGAATTTGGATGTTTACATGAAATCTTCGATTTTCAAATATTGACAAATGATTTAAAATATATCAACCTATAATAGCCAAATAAATATGAGCTACTTCTGGAATATAAATCGTTGGTTTGTAATGTCTGATTCATATATTCTTTTTGATGTGAAATTAAAATAAGTAGGTTATTATTTCAATGGAGTAAGAGAGCTAGAAAACATAATTGCAAACTGATACTTGAGGGACATGATGGCAGTGAACCATTTCAGTGCTTCTAATTTACAAATAGGTAGTGTTTTTCTAACAAATAGTTTAAAAAATAAAAATCACTTACCAACTTATTAATTTTATTCTCTTCCTCAATACCACTTTTTAGAATTTTTTTGTAATAATTTTAGAGTCACAGAGAAGTAAAAATTGTACAGAGAGTTCCCATATTCTCTTAACCCAGTTCCCTTGAATGTTAACATCTCTTACAAAATCATGGTACATTTGTCAAAACTAAGAAATTACCCTTAGTATACTGCTGTACCAGTCTTTATTGGATTTTCGTCAGTTTTATACATGTTTTTTAAATAATGCCCTTTTCTCTTCCAGGATATTGTAATTATTTCATATGTCTGTTTAGTCTCCTTCAATGCAAATTAATATTTTGCCAATTGTCACTTTTTTTGTATGTGAGATTAGTATAAAAAATCAGTACCTTAATAAAACCAATGTGGAACAAGGTTGAGCACGAGTTTCTGAGCTGGCAATGTTTGGGGCCAGACACTAAACAGGCTGAAGTCTCTAAGGTAATAGTATGCCACAGAGCCCTTGGTTAAATCTGTCTGCATCACCAGTAAGTATCTTTGTAGTTAAAATTCTCACAGATTCCTTTTCAAGACTGTAGTTAACATCTTAAAAGTATGCCACAGGGTGTTTTAACCTGGACACAGTAAAACAGTGCTTTAGAAGTCAAGAAACAGAAACTGCACTGAGCTATTCAAGATGCCAAGTTATCTCCTTACTCTATCTTTTCAAACAATGTACAGACCTTATTCTCAGAGCAAAATACAATTGCAGTATGTGAGAGTATCACTCTCAGTTTTACAAGTAGTCAACTAACCCATTAGTATCAACCCATGTGAGTGATAAAAAATAGTGAACTTCCTACTTTTGCTTCTTCTATGACTCTTAGCAGACTAAAAATACTAGATAGCCTTGTTTGTGTTTATGCAGATTTCTCAATTATCAGATTCATGTAGGGTTTTTCGGCCTCCACACTACTGACATTTTGGATTAGATAATTGTTTTGTTATAGAGGGATGTCTTGTGCATTGCAGAATGCTTAGCAACATTCCTGTCTTCTACCCACCAGATGCCAGTGGCACATCCTTTCCCCCACAATTGAGGGGGAGTTGTGACAATCAAACTTGTTCCCAGACATTGCCAAATGTCTCCCAGCTGTCAGAATCCAGCCCCTTTCCCATTAAGAGCCACTAATTTAGGGGGACATCTTTTTTTTTTTCCACCTAATCTCTTTAATTTTTGCTTATCTCCTTTGTTTCTTTTTACTTGGTACTTTACCAAAAAGTTTGGGTAAAAGAGAAATTATGGGAATCAAGTATAAACTTCAGCTTCCATTGCAGTGGGAACTGATCATATTAAAGCTATAATAGATGATTGTTTTTACACTCAAGAAAGAAATAAAAATGTTGTTAGCATAAATTAAATACCTTTTTTTTCCAGGACCTTCTTATCATTTATCTAATTCCTACAAGTATTTGAGGATTTTATTAGTTATGCCTCTGGAAAGCTGTCCCTGAGAGACCCAATCCCAGTCCACTCTAAGGGTCCCTCCCCTGTGTTCTCATTTTGTTTATCTCTAAAAGCTATCTTATTATGTACAAATATCTTACTTCTACTGCCTTTTCTTCCTTGGTATACTGTGAGCCTCTTGAGGACAATTACCACATCTTATTCCTGACTGGTCCTTGATTTATCCTGTAAGCAATCAGTAAGTGTTTACTGAGTGATTGACAGTCATAGGAAATGTCCTGATTAAGATACCAAACTGGGAGATCTGAGATGCCAAGTAGCAGAATGACAGTACTGACTCTGTGGAGGTGAAACAGAGGAGCCTTCTAAGAAAGATTGAGCTGCAATAGTCATAGAGTTGGCTAAATATATGTACACAAATAGCCAGTATATATATATATATACATATATATATTTACGATGAACTATATGCTACTATAGTTGATGAACTAATGCCAATCACAAAATAAAATATCATGAAATATTTAAGGTAATGCTGTAAGACTTGCCACTGAAAAAGTTGTCAAGCTCTTGAAATATATGTAATTCCTCCATACTAAAACTACTCCTGACTTCATGTTCTTTTGTGGATATGAGATTCAAACCCTCTCTGAGGCCAGAGTCTAAGCTTTAAAAAACACTGTGTAATAAAAGTTTGCTGTATAACCACAATTAATGACAATGATGCTGGGTTTTTGCTTGTTTGTTTGTTTACTGCTTTATTCTCAATAGCTTGTGTAGTCTTCATATCTATTTAGTTGTACAAATTATGTCAAGAAAGAGATTGGCATTCTCAATGTTCCTTTATGGTCATGTGATTGGAGGAACAAATTTCTTACTTGTAAGCACATCTAACAATGAAGAGTTCACTATCTGTTCATCATCCTAGGAAGACAGAGTTTCACTATGTCTGGGCTGTCGAGTTACCCCAGGAAATAAAGGTCAGTGATGAATCTTTTCTGCTAAGAGGTCACTACTATATGACTATCTTAAGGCACTGAAATACATGTTCCTAAATATTTTTAGAGAAATCACCTCTTTTTACATTTATTAAATAGTAAATATTCTATATTACCCAATCCGAAAGATGTGACTTCCATATATTCAAAATATCAGGATTCTGTGGTTTTACTTGTTTGTTTTTTTCTGATGTTGATTTAGGATAAACATTAAGAGTAATTTTAAATAAATCTTTAATATAAATATCATAGAAATTTATCTCTGAAACTCTGAAACCAAATTGCTTAGTAAAAAAATTGTTTGACATTGTGTCTGTACATGTGTAACTCATATGTATTCATTTAATGACATATCAAATATAAATGTTAAGTCATTTTTCTTTTTTGCCTTTTGAAATGTTTCTTCTGTCTTTTTCTTTTTTTTTCTTTTTCTGAAAAGAAAATGAGCAAATTTTTAAAGTCTAAAGAAGGCTAGATCAGTTGTTTGCTCAAAATATGTTCCTGTTATCTTGTGTCGTAGAATTCTTTACTTTCAAGCAATTCCTATCCTGAGAAATGTGCTGAAGTGTTCAATGCTATAGTGTGAATTAGCTGTGCTATCCCTACAGATGATGGCAAACACAAATATTCATAGTGAGGGTGTACTACATACTAGATATTATTTTTAGAGCTTTGCCTATTTTATAGTATTTAATAATTTAGAGCAAAACAACAAAACATAGCACCTGTGAGATAAATATAGTTGTCCTATTATATTCTTGGAGAACTGGTGCCAGAACTCCCCTTGGATACCAAAATCTGAGGATGCTCAAGTTCCTTATAAAATGTGGTAGTATTTACATACAAATGGTGCACACTCCCCTGTATACCTTAAATCATCTCTAGAATACTTATATAATGACTGATACAATGTAAATGCTATATAAATAATTGTTATACTCTCTTGGTTTTTAAATATGTATTATTTTTATTATTACATATTTTTTTTCCTGAAAATTTTTGATCCATGGTTGGTTGAACTTGCGGATTTGGAGGGCTGACTGTATGGTTTAAGTGGACCTTGAGTGCATGGTCCAAATCTTGGCTCTACTTTCAAGTTGACCAAAATGAGTCACTGAATCTCTCTGTACCTCAGTCTCCTCACTGGTAAAATGAGGTAAAATAGCACTTCATAGGTTTGTTGAGATCAAATTAATTTATACAGTTAAAGCTCACCTATCATATAGTAAGCACTGTATAAGTGTTTGTTGTTACAATTATTTGTTTTTTTTTTTTTTTGAATAGTATAAAAGAATGTAACTGGGATTAGAGAAGTTAAATAACTCACCCATGCTCATTTGAACCCAGGACAGCTACAAAACAAAGTCCAAGCTCTTATCTTGTATGCTATAAATATTCATTCAATTTTTAACAATTCTGGTTTACTTTTGAGGTAATCTAATAGAGTATTAAAGAAAAAATATTACAATTAGTCATTGCAGCTCTTTTTATCTGCAACACGAATATATATTAATGTAAGTACTATTATGTAACTACTTATATACATTTGTAGTATGTGATTTTTTTCATGTTTAAACAGATAAAACTATTTCTTATTAACATGTCATTTTTACCAATATTTAGACACCTTTCTTAATTCCCTGGTCCTTTAAGAGCAAAGTTTTACAAATATGTAATGCATAAGTTTTTTCACATTTTCTGTGTATTATTTTATAGTATGGATAGTGCATACCACTTTAAAGATCATGTAGCCTGAAAGAATAAATGGTTGATTACTTAAACTATTTGATACTAGTCTTTATGCAAAAAAAAAAAACTTGAATGATCCAAGAACTTAGGATTGTCGTAAATTTTTCACAGCATTTAGACTATCACCCAAAAGATGGTACTAATAAAATAACATTTATTTAGTCCATAAATCAACTCAGTTAGTATTCTACTTGGTAATTAAATCCTATTAGTCAGTGAAAAATGTTTACATAATGCCTTCCTGGGTGGGAAGCTGTCCAACATTATTACTTCCTGCAATAAACCACAGCAAATTGTTTCAGGAAATATTTCCCCTACGTACATATATAACCATAGAACAGAAACAACAACAAAAATAACAAATATAAATCTTGGGAGAAATTGTCTTTGATGTCTATTCCTGAGAAACATATCAGTGATTTCACCATTCCCTGGAGATTAGCACAAACAATGTCCTTGAGGTTTAGGGAAATAATCTGAATTCCCTTTGGGATTATGGCCATACACAGAAACAAGTGGAAATGAAACAGAGATGTTTGCTATCCTTGTGTTTCCTGTAGGTCATTCTCTAGGGACATAAATTTCTGAATGTTCCTCAAGCACGGATAATCGAATCATTGGACTCCAAGCAAAAGGTTAAGTGGAGATTGATAGGATCTGGCTAACGTAGGCTTAAAGCCAATGGAGTGCTAGGAGGCCCCACAAAATTACCTGTCTTAGACTACGTTACTCAGAAACTATGCATGAATCAAAGACTTATGTGTGAAGGATTTTGCTGGTAATATGATCTCAAGGAGCAGCAATGGGGAACAGGTGAGGCGTTGAAACAAGCCCGGAATGTAGGAAAGCCAATACATGCATGTGCCATCCAATGTGCTACCACTCTGAGTAATTTTAGTTTGATTCTACAGAAACCTCCAATGAAACTTGTAAAATTCCTCTCAGAAAAACAGAGGAAACTGCAGAAGAAAGAAAGATGCATTTATTTGTTCGTTCATATCGCTTTGTAGGTTAAGAATTGACTCATAAAATATGAGCACTTGTGTAATTTCTGTTAGCGCCTGTGTAAAGGCCACTCACGTTCACAGATTTTTCTTTCCCAGGTGTCAGAGAGTCCATAGGGCAGGAAGCAAGATGCAGAAGTCTACAGAGGCATGATGAGGTGCACCTGCATGAAACTTAACTGGTCACCACAGCGTTGACTGGAATAAGAGATGAGGCCAAGAGGACTTATGGAGTGTACAAGAGACTTTGGACACACTGATTCCCTCATTCAAATGCTAATATTAAGACAACCAATTAACAAACATTGATTCCACTGGATATTTTTAGAAAGTTAAATCATTTAGAAAATGGTTTGTTTTAAAACTGAAAGCAAATCTCTGGTTTGCAATATTGTATTCTCTAATGGGAAAAAGGAAAGTTAAGCATGCCCTGGGTTTCTCTCCAAAACTTTCCCCTTGCTGCCCCTACGTTTTTCACATTTCCTTCTAATTCTTATAATTGAAATGCCAGGAAAATCCCCTGCTCTATTTCTGTCCCAAATAATAGATTTAGAGAGCAATGAGATATCATCATTACCCTGATGATATTCAGCTGTGCCATTCATTGCCTCTGGACTCAGATGGCACTCAGCCTCCATGATCCTTTCAGCAGCCAAGTCTGGAGGAGAGATGAGCTGGCATTCTTCCATATCATTAAAGACAGAGAGACCTGGCTAATATGCTTGAGAAACATCAAGGGACTTGAAAAAAGGAAGTTTGGGCTTTATCAAATGAGGTGATTCACACAGACCAGCCTAGCATTAGTTTATTTCTAGATCTCAAGCTGCCCAAGTATTTCCAGGCAGCACCTATGGAAATGTGTGTCTTTTGTCTTCTTGCAATTAACTTGAAACTTACAAGCTATATTCAATGATTTCATGTCTGCTTGGGAAAACTTCAAATTGAATTAAGAGCAGGCAAATTTGAACTTGGGCGGCGGTTATGTTGGTCCTGTGAAACAGAAAAGTTGGGATTCTTCAAAAGAAAAAAATGTATTTTTAACATATTACAGATGTAAACTCATTATACACTTTTTAAAGTAACTTTAAACTAGAATAAATCAAATGAACTAAAATCTTACTGACTCTACCCTCCCTTCCTACCTCCAGACTTGTAAGACAATATATTTAAAGACAGGTTGTCAGGAGAGAAATCCTGATAATTGGCCTTGAGTGTTCCCCATGTAAGATTCCTATCTTCTGACATGCCCTGACAAACAGCCAGATCATCACTGCTGAGGAAACAGAGAAGAAAGTTGCCTTCAGAATGTGTTTTTATGTGTAATATATGTGAAATGAATATAGTTTTAAGAAAACACAGAAAAAAAGCACTTGTTAATTATTAAATGCACAATTTTTACAGTGTCACAGTAGTATACTGTATTCAGTTTTGGCACTAATGGTTTATTTTCCCATTAAAATTCAACATCAGGGAGAAATAAAACATCAGTGACATTCTTCCCATCAAAATGCATCAAGTGACAATAGCATTTTACCATGTGGTTAAATTGCCACTATCTAAGATAGATGACAGTTCTTTCAATGATTGCCAGCACTTCTTTTAGAGGGAATGATAATGTCTTTGCTATAAGTATCTGGCATAAAGAGAAAGAAAAAAGTCTTGATATGAGGACAGCCATTTTAGAAACATGAGGTAACATTACTTTTTTTCTTAACCTATAATAGATACAATTTCATCCTGATGCCAGAAACAATGCCAAGTAAAATTCTTTTTCATTAAATGAGTTTACATTGTAGGAAAAATATGTCATAAGCATATGATACTTCAGGATAAGCCCATGCTACTGCAGGAGGCTCCCGAATTCAAGATGGTACTCAATTTCCTTAACTACCTGGGAATTCTACAGGTCAGCTTTTAAAACTCCATGCCCTCTTTCAAACTTCTGTCATTTTTCACTAAAAAAGCATAGGCTAAATTCATTTTCACTATTCACTATTATGCGACTTTCACTAATATGCGACTTTCATAGATGCTCACTAAATATTTTCTGAAAGACAAAACCTCAGCCATATAACTTGTTTCTCAATCTTCAGTCTTATTTAATAGGCATGGCTTTTTTGTGGGAAAAATGTGGAATGAAGGAGGTGAGAAAGTTATAGTATAAATGGAGCAGTCAGTTAATGTTTTGTTCTTCAGAATTTCTGAGAGCTAAGGATTGCTACATTGTCTTATTACTTATTCATATAATTAAGAATAGACATTTATATTTACAAGATTGCAGTTAGCTCTCAGATCTCTATGAAATACATACATCTATACATATTAATATTTATATGTAGTCTTTTAATAGTCACATTCCATCAGAGAGCAGGATAGTATGATTATTCTCATTTTTACATCAAGAGAATTTGTTCCAAAGCCACACGACAGACCTCCTGGGACTTGTAACATCCAATCCAATAGCTTTTCCTTTAGTCTCACTACTCGATGTGTGATCTGCAGCAGTTGTCGCATCACCTGGAAGCCTGATAGAAATGCGAAGTCTAGGTTCTTACTGAGTTTCACTGAGCCAGAACCGCCTTTGAATTCCCCAAGTGATAACTCTGCACATTCAATCTTGAGCAGCACTGCACTCTGCCATAGAGCCTCCTTCACAACGAGCTGCCCAGCAATCAATCAATTCATCAAGATTATTGATAGGAAATATTTCTCACCCACAGTTTATACCTAGTACTTTTAGCTTTATCATCCAACATGAGAAATACTTTAACTGGGCAGATGTTTTTTGGAGACAGCTCTAGCAGAGTGGCTGTTCTTCAAATGCTATGAAGCTTGAAGGGAGAGGGTTCTGATTTTCCAGGTATCAGGTTCTATCTAGGCCTAGTTCATTCATTTAGCATGGTTCTGCCCTCTTTCCTCATGAAACAGGAACTAAAAAGGACTAAGTTAATTCAGTTTAACCAGGCAAAATGTCAGGTTGTATGACATTTTCAGACTTGCTACTAAGTCAAAAATTTGATGTACATGTAACAACTGTATAAAATGGGTTTATTTCTGTTTTATACATTAGGAAACTGAGGCTTATATATAATTTGTCTATAGTCATATACATAGATTGTAGAATAGGAAATTAAATCTCCATATATCTGACCCCAGTCTGTTCTCTTAACCAAGAGGCTACTCTAACTCCCTAAATTAAGGTGAGCCTGTGTGCACGTGTGTGTGTATGTGTGTGTGTGTAAATGTGTTATCTTCAGGGCAGAAAATGTGGGAATATAAAATTATGTATACTACAAAAGTCTTATGATCTTTATCCATCTGGGATTGTAGATGTTTATTAAATATGAATGAATACTATATGTATTAACTTCTATCTCCTCTGTTAATTATTATTATTAGAAATCCATGTATTTGTTTATATTTTCCATTAATTTTGTACATGTATTACTAAGTATTCTCTCCCTTATTGCCATTCCCAGGAATATATTATTTTTTGTTGGTGTAGTTGAGCAAATGTGATCACAGGCCAAGAATGTTTTCAAATATTTGCTTATATAATTATCACAATTAACACATATAAAAAATTGTTCCTTTTTTTTCAAAGATTGTATATTCAATAACTCTATAGAAAGATGAATTAAAAGCCTTGAGTTTTAATTCCAACTTTGCTATACTTTATGGGACCTTAATATGAAACTGAACATTAATGAATCTCATTGCCATTTTTGGAAAATAGGGGTAATTATGCCTTGTTGAAAAATAATTTATTATGGTATCAAACCAACAAATGAGTCCTACATATATGAAGTTTTACTGCCCTTCAATAAAAGGAAGAATACAGGTAGTTTTTTAAAAGAAGTAGATACTGAAATTTGATTTATATATTATGGGAAAGTGCTTTATGGAAACATCAACACCTACTGCCAGCACTTTTGTACTTACTGTTCTCACTGCTTGCTTGGAATACAGCTTCCTCAGATATGTGCATATTTTCTGTCTTCAATTCACAACACTACTTAAATGGCATCTCAGAGAGGACTTCCCTGGCCATCACATCCACAACAGCAGGCTGTTTTTTATTCCCTCAGTTTTTCTTCACAGTACTTAACCTGCAATTTTTCTCTATTCCTAGTTCAGTATTTGTTTATTTTGTGTTGCCTACCTTAGAATGCGAGCTCTATAAAAATAAGAACTTTGGCTGCTTTGTTAACCATTCAATCTCCAGAGCCCAGAATCGTAACTGGCAAAGAGCAGATTTAGAGCAATTGTTTGTTGAATAAATGAATAGATAAATTAAGTCAATATATAGCTATAGGCAAAGAATGAATAATAATGGCACTATTAGTACTGCTGTTGCTGCTGCTGCTACTACTACTACTATAACAACAACAACTACTACTACTACTACAAAACTACTACTACTACTACAACTACTACTACTACTACTACTATCAGCTTAATAATTGGGTTTTTACTATGTACCAGGCACTGTATGCATTATCTTAACAAACTCTCACAACAACCTGTGGCAGTAGATATAATTACCTACATTTCCCAAATAAGGAAATTAAAGTTTTAGTTAGATTCAATGTACAGCAAAGATTGAGAATCAATGACTAGATTAAGTCATTGATTACCTGGTAACATTGGAATTACCTGGTAAACCTTTTAAAGTATTGGTACACAGGTTCCAATCTCAGAGTTCTGATTTAAGTGCAATTCCCAACAATAATGCAATTAAATTAAAACATCTAGGGATGGGAACAGGATATCAGTATTTTTAAAAACTCATTGTTCTAAAGTACAGCCACCATTGAGAACCACTCACTGGCTTAGATAAAGTAACTAACTTCCTCCAGGTCACTTGGTCAGGAAGTGGTGGAGCAGAGATTTAATCCCTGTTTCTCTGACTTCTTCCCAATCCTTCCTCCATATTTTGCATATTCTCTGAGGCAGACTCTCTGGTATTTGAGTGCCTTACCAACTGCAATATTGCTAACTGTGACTTTGAGATAATACGGTTTTATTTCTAATAGTGTGATTTTAAATTTTGTGTTCTTCTTACATTCAGTTTAGTTTCCTTACATGCAAGAACCTGATGGTAATTATTGCTTTCTGTTCCTGTGTACTGTACAAGTACAAGTACAAGTGGGTTTACAAAGTAATATACAGAAAGAACAGTATACTCTTCCAATGGATATGAAAGGTCAAGGCCTGAAAACAATTTTGTAACTATCATAATAATTTTTAAAGGAGCAGAAATGGGCTACAAAGGCACTGTGTTGTAACTTGATAAAATAAATAAGAGAGACTCCCAGGGTAAAATACATTGGATTTAAAGCCAAGTCTAAATCCTAAAAACCAAACAAACAAACAAACAAGAAACACAACAAAGGGTTTCTGTAATATCAAACTTGGGTTTGTTTTGAAAATAGATGATTTCAGAAATTTTTACTTACCACTTCAAGTTCCAAGAGATCATCATACCTCCAAATGTAAAAAATGCTTTTCAGGATTATAGCCTCAACTGTGAGAGATTCATTTGTATCAGCATATAGACCCAGATGGCATTGAAATGGTGCATTACAAAGTGGTAAATGATGCAAGCTCTGAAGTGAAGAAGAGTGGAATGTGAAACCCATCTTGTCACGTTTAGTTGTGTGTCACAGGGTGAGCACTCTAAATTCCTTGAGACTGTGGCAATTAATAATTGCCACAACAGATTAGTATAAAAATAAAAGATAATATAGACAAAAATATTAGTATAATATCTGATTTATAGTACTCAATATTTCATTGCTGGAGATTTGAGACTAAATTCCTTGAGACTTATATGTTTAAGTCTCATCTCAATAGAAAATGAAATTAATAATTGACACAACAGAGTACTGTGAAAATAAGAGATAATATAGACAGAAATATTAGTATAATATCTGATATATATAATTCAATATTTTGTTGCTATTTTTAGTAATCAAATACGCAACCTTCTAAAATTAAGACGGATTTAGATGCATGGAATGAATTTATGTAGCATAAGTCCATACAGGTATGTCTATTCATGTTACTTGCTACTACTAATGTATTAATTGCTTGGAAAATAACCAGTAATTTGAGGAGTTTATAATTTAGCTGGAAAATTAAAAGACATAAAGAGAATTGAAAAAAAAACACACACACAAGATATCACATTGATAGTATTTATCATAGATAAGCAATCACTAACACTGGAATGGATAATAAATGCCAGTGGAGTTTGGAAGAGGAAGTAATCACTTTTTGCTAGAATGGAAAAGAAAGGCTCATGGATGAGAGTTTGACTTAGAAGGCTATAAGGCTAAGTAATGTCTACACATTCCTCTTATTTGTCCCTTCATTTATTCAGTAACTTTTTATTGAATGCTTACTGCCTTTCACTCCCTCTTTTTGAGACAGTCTGGTGATATAACAGTCAACAAAACTCATGCCATGTCTGACCACGCAGAGTTTATATACTAATGAGAGATATCAGCAAACAAATGGTATATAAGCTATATATATATTATAAAAGCATAATTATTTTAAAAAATAATGTGTTGCAGAAATTTTTTAAAGGGCAAAACGAATAATTAGAATAGGTAGATATTTCAGCAATGACGGTAAGTGGAGCCTGAATAGATAAATTAATGAATTATAGGAACCTGATATGTAAATATTTCTGGGAAAATTGTTCCAGAAAGAGGAAAGCCCAAAGCAAAATTCTGAGAAAAAATATAAGCTGATTTATTCTAGGAAAAACAAGAAAAATGATCACATGTGCAGAATATTCTGAGTAAGGCTGAAAAATAATTTTAAAATACACATAAAGGAAAGAAAATGAATAGGTGGATGTAAGATGGCTGCCAAAGTGGACTTGGTTATACCTGGCAATTGAATGGGATTGGTGCTGAGCGAGGGGAATCAAAGACAAATCCAAGAGACTGAACAGAAAAGATTTTTCCCGAAATATTTCAAGAAAAGGAGCAACTTTGAGGAAAAATAAAGTGTTAATGTTAAACAACTTAAATTGAAGATGATGGTGAGACATCCTAGAGACAACAAGCAGCTGGAGATACTAATACTTAGAAGAGCGGTCAAGGTTAGATGGGTTTTAGGAGTCAATAGTTTGCAAGTGATAAAGTCCTGAAAAAGGAGATAATGCAAAACAGATGCTAAGAGAGTAAGAAAAAGCAGAAGAAGAAAAAGTAGGTTTTGTTTGTTTGTTTGTTTTTTCCAAATCTAGTCTTTTTATTGTTTCCTTTCTCAATAATGAAATCATCTTTCAGTGAGTTATCTGTACTGGTTTTAAACATGTCCACATATTCTTTGACACTCCTTCCATTGATTTCAGGCTAACTTTATCAATTTGTTCCCAGTGAATGTGATGTGGTGAAGTGATGCTGAATAATTTCCAAGGTGAAGTCATAAAAGGCTCCAGAGCTTTTACTTGGAGTTTGCCTTTGAATCTAGCCACTGTCTTATAAAGAAGTCTAACACCTACATAGAAAGTCCACATGTGGGTGTTCTGGCCACAACTCTAACATATCCCAGCATCAGCCAGCATCAACTCCAGGCCTGAGAATAAGAGAAACTTGAGACGATTCCAGCTCCCAGCTTTGGAGCTGCCCGATAGATATGAAGTGATAAAAAGATGAGCAATTTCTGCCCAGCCTTGACCAAATCACAGATATCTGAGAAAAATAAATATTGTTGATGCTTAGACTACCAAGTTTTGAGATGATTTGTTACATAGCCATAGATAATTGGAACATGGTGTAAGCAAGAAATTCAGAAGTAATTTATGATACCAAATTTTCTTTTACCCAGTACCACCTTATTTAATCCATCACCAAATCTTATAGATTCTTTTCCTACTATAGAGTCTCTGAAATTCATTTAGTTTTCTCCATTTCCACCACCACTACAACAATACAAGTTATCACAATTTCTTGTCTGGACAATGTTTGGTTTCATTCTTTATATTCCATCCATGTATTTTGTTTCCATTTATATTTATTCCATTACACTTTCCACTTATATTTGGTTCCATTCCTCATACTACATCCAGTTATATTTTGAAAATGCAAATCTGAATATATATATCCATAGCCTCTATAAAAAACAATGACTTCTCATTGCTCTTAGAATAAAAACAAGCTTCCATACCTTGGCCTATAAAAACCTGCCTCATCTGTCTCTTCTTGCCTCTACAGGCTATTCCAAAGAAATTATTTAATCTTTACCCTCTACCTCCTCTGGCTTTCTAATTTCTTCACCCCTGTTCCTCCAGCTGCAGATTTTGCACATACTACTTTCTCTGTCTGAAAGTTTTTCTCTCCTTTCTTTGCATACCTTTTAGTCATCTTTGAACTGTCACTTTAGTCATTGTTTGATCAGATAAATCTTCCCATTTCAAACAAATCCCCCATGTAATATTTTTATAGAGCCAAACGCTGCTGCTCCTTAGGACTTCATTATTTTTATAAAACTGCACTTACGTATGCATGCATGTGTGTGCTTGTCTTTTCACCCTTCTCATTCAGTAGGTTCAATGAGAACAGAGACCATGTCCATTATTTGTCAATGTTTTATTCCCAGAACATACTCTAGTGCCAGACACAGAATGCACTCAATATATATTTGTGGAATAAATTAATTAAGAACATATAAAGACATTTTATTCATCATTATAGGAGGAAATCATTACTCTAAGAGTGAAGGAAGTGAAGGGAGAAGGGAAATAGTCTAGATATCTACCTGTATGATTCTATTTGTTCCTGCCCTATTGATTACATTCCCTTACTGATTAATCTTGAGCCTCAGCTGATAAAGAACTCAGAAAACTGGGCAATATAGTAAATAATCTCCCAGATTAATTTTAACCTAAGTATCAACAGGTTAAAATGTTACTCTTTAGGAAAAGTGGTATTTCTATCGAGAACTCCCTAAAATACTATTTCTCTCTCTCTCTCTCTCTCTCTCTCTCTCTGTGTGTGTGTGTGTGTGTGTGTGTGTGTGTGTGTGTAGGGGAAGTCGTGGTAAGAAGAGATAAAAGAGTGAAAAAAATAGGCATAAAGCGGGAGGAAAAAGTGAAAGACAAAATACTCTCTAACTTTAAATACAATATAAAAGGACTACTAAGTAAATGCAGTAGGAAATATTATTTTTGTTATAATCTAACCTTCAGGTTTTATTATTATTGTTGTTATTAGAAGGCTAACAGACTGGTCTCCTTTTTAATGATTTATTCACAAATAACAAAATGGAGGTTTCAAGTTAAAAGAAAAGTATGTCCCGCTGTCTTTATATTTGCCAACCAGATTATTTGTTATACGTATAGAAATACTTCCATAAGTATAAATTATTATTTCCTTACTGCTGTGCCCAAATGACATTACACTAATATTTTAAGCAAGCTTCCAATGTTAAATAGCTTCATAAATTTACAATGTCTAATAAAAACCAACAGGAGAAAAGTATTAAGGATACTAGTCACATCCTTTCTAGTGCTTGAAGATAGTGATATTGGTGGACTGATTTCAAAGAATGTCCTTCTTATGCCTGAATAATTCAGTTTCTCTACCAGTAATATAATTATGCTTAGCTTGCTGATTAGATTGTATTTCTGTTGCTTTTGCATTCATAAAATTTATCACATAATATGCATTATGGTTTTCATTTGTATTCACGGTTCTCAAGCCCAATTTTTATGTTACTTGGGCATAAAAGACTTTTGTTAGATATTAGTACTCTAGTAAATTATTTTGCTTTTTAGTAAATGGACGCTATATTTAACTTCATTTACTTCTTATTTTGTATAATTTGAATGATAGAGTTTAAAAGTAATGCAATAACAATAAAATGTATAAACTTAATAGTAGTGCTTATTTTCACATAGTAAACAAATTTGACATTGGGTTTCAATATTAAAATAAAATAAAATTCAAAACATAACAAATATATATATGCATGTATATACATATATGTTTGTGCATGCACACCAACATGTATTTTCATACAAAATTACAGAAAAATTTTATTTTTAAAATCACAGTATGTTTTATCTTTTTATCACACATAAAATTATAAGATGATCATTATAAGAAGATATGCTGCATTTTTTTCTTTGTCACAAATCCCCAAATCTTTGTTGGACAACACCAAGGGAAACTGCAGAAGACATAAAATTGAAACTTTGGTTTTACTAATTTATACTGCTCTTATTGTGTAACCTGCAAAGTTTACATTACTAACTCTTCAAATAATTCATCTTGGTAAAGTGAATAGAACTTGCTCTTGAAAATGAGTGACACAAATGCATAAGATCAATGAGCTTAATTTCAATTTCTTATACAAATAAGCCACAACTCGGACATGTACACCATGAAATGTTTAAAATATTATAGAATTGCCAAAGTTTTAAATCCTTAATTTTAATGCATTGTGTGCCTTAAGTCTATTCCTACTTCAGTACTTTCATATAACCTCTAATAACCTGAACACTAATCTTACAATTGTCCCAGACTATGCAGAAACTAATAGAATTTTTGATTCTTCATTTACTAGTTAGTGGGGCAGAAAAAAGGCATTCATGGCTCTACCCTTATAGAAATCTAAGTATCCAGAACTAAACTGTGAAATTATCATATTGGTCTATATCTTTTGAAAAAATAATAATCAGATTGGCCTAAAATATGTGCATATAGGCACATTTTCACATTGATATTTTCAAAAGTTATTTTCATTCTAAGCATTTTAGTTTTTAATATTCTAAAGCATTCACTAAAGACTTCTTACTATATATTTTCTATATATATATATATAGAAATATACTATATATATTTTGGGTTAGGTATCTATACCAACCTAACCCAAAATTTTGCTTGTCTATTTTATATATATATATATATATATATATATATATATGTATATACATATATGTGTACGCAAATACATACACACACACACACACACACACACACACACGTATATAGCCATCATAACAGGTATGCTACAGGTATGCTCATTCTCCTTCAGGTAGGGACATTTCTCAACAATCTGGCAGTCAATCTCAAGTGCACAATGTACGAACAACCAGTGTCATATATATATATATGTATATATATGGAGAGAGAGAGAGAGAGTCAGAGAGAGAGAGACTTATATATATCTTCTGATTAGTTTTGTCGCTTAACAGGATTATTGTATGACATTATTTTTATTTGTTAGAATAAAGTACCTTCAATTTGGAAAGTTGTAATGTTTACTAAAGTAAAGTATACTGATTTCTTATTTGTAATTCCTTTTCTCTCTATTTTCTCTGACTTGCTACAAGTGGACACATTTTTTCCAATCATTCTATTAGTAACACTTTCTCTGTGCTCATGGGCAGGAAATAGGTAAATTGCCTTCTAGAGCCATCAGGGCAGTCCTGACCCATGGAATCATAGCAGGCTGCTGAGGAGGAATTTAGTGCCCTTGGGATTCAGTAGGCTATTTGCAAGCTCTTGGGAGACAATTCTCCATTGGTCTCTTGTGTGTATATATTTCCACATGCAAAGCCATTTGTTCTGGACTAGTTTTTCAAGAATGTTTGTATAGAAAACATCCTTAGTAGAGAAAATGACAGAGGCATTTAAATTTTGGAAGATGAGATGTGTCTCTCTCTAGAGTCTGGAGCAATAGGACAGGCATAATATAGTGCCTGCCCTTTATAAAATATTTGAGTCCTCTAAGCTCAGTCCTCTCTTGTAATTCATAGTATGTGCAACTGATACCTTGTTCTCTTCATGTGATACTGTGGAAGTTGGGGGTCAAGGAAGTGGCACTGAGGCTAATACTGTGGCTATCTTTAGTGCTGGGAGTAAACTGTGACCCAGGCACCTTTTGACTACCACTGGCATCCATAAAACTGTGGCAGTCTAAATTGTTAACTTGCAAGTATGGTAAAATATCAGACACTTTATAGTCCATAACAAATTTGTTTATGAAGATGGGATGCTGACAGAGAAAAAGCTCTTTAAAAGAAGAAGAATGAGGGTCTCACAGGCCAACTAATGGGATTTTAGAAATGTCTCTGGAAATCAGTGGCAACTACATGGACCAAATTTAATGGTCAACCAGGCAATAAATGGTCCTCCACTTTATTGCTGTTAATGAGGAGATATTAGGTAGAGGCTTCTGGCTGAGTATTATAAGGTAGAATCAGAGATAGCCATCCTAACAGGTACATTAATTCTCCTTAAGATAGGGATACTTCTCAACAGTCTGGCAGTCAGTCTCAGGTGCACACTGTAGTAATAACCAGTATTAACATTTTTACTGGAGAGAGGTGGCAGAAGTTTCTACTTGGTTTCAGACAAGTTATGGTGAAGGTTATGTATACTAAGAATATAAGAAATATATTTCATAAAGAAAAATAATGGCCACTATGGTAAGAAGCCAGGCAAATTGTGAGAATTTTGACTTTTGCTTCAGATATGAGGGGCAGTGAGATTAATACTTGATAAGGAAACATGACAATTGCAGGACCATCTTATGACTCAAACTCTTTTGCAGTGTGTTATGGCAATCATAGGTCCATTTAAATACAACATTAAAAGATCTTACAATTTTGTCAGTGGGTCCAGGCTGCTACAGTGGTGCTTTGGCCCTTTTTGGAAGATTTCACTGAACAATCTCCCATGAGAAACTAGAAATGAAACATTTTCTAATAGTTAGGCTTTTACTACCCCAGACTGAGTTTACAATTCTGACAAAGTTGACCTACTACTGGAGGATGAGAAACTGACTGAAGTACCTAGAAAAATTCTTGAAATCCGCCATTGTACTGCTCAAAACTGAAAGTAAATACACATGGCTCTGTCCCTCCATAAACGGAGAATAAAACCATTCTCTCCTTCCATATTTCCTGATTCCTTCCTTCTCCCACTTAAATGATCTCATCTACTTTAAAGACAAGGATGATCAGGGATGGGACTGAAGTCTTTCTGATCCCCAGTGGAGACCAAAGACCATTCTCAGCTGTCTTTGCTGGAAATATCCTGGGAAATTTAGTAGACAGGATAGTTCAAACTTTTATGACTCTATTAGATACAGGCACCTCAGTTACCATTCTACCCAATCTTGTGGGACACTGGATTCTCAAATCAAATTGATGGGGTTCGGGTAAAGTTCAAAATGGGGAAGAGGAGTTAATGAGGCCTTGTAGGAAGAGCCTTTCAGCAAATTCCATGTAACATTGTTGAAGATTCTACTTTTCAATAATAATTAGTAGTCATATATTACATGCTTGTATTGTGAATGCCCATATAATGTCAAAGAAATTCTCCCAAGTGAGAAGATCATCCAGTAGAAAAGTACTATTACCTTTTCAACCCCATGACCTTGATGACTTTTTTGAGCTATAAGTGTCTGTGACTAATGGTTTTACCCACTGGGCTTCTGGCAAAAGGAGACAGCCTTTATCTAGGTGTCCCAAACTTGTCAGTGGCAAGACTACCAAGCACACTGTTTTTCAAAAGCAGCTATGTTTAACACAGCTCTTGTTAAATCCCAGTGTCTGACCCATAGTTATTGTGACTCCCTAGCTTGATATGATCAAAGGGTAGGTCAACTTGGATTTATTGATTAATAAGGGGAGGAGGGTTCAAGGCCGTGCTTGTCAAATGGAAATGGCATTTTCAAAATGCATCCAGCCCAGTCCCAAGGGCATCTCAGCTTTACGTTTTAAAAAATGGCAGCTTTTCCTTTGAGGAGAAAATTTATCTTCTACTCTGCTATCTGGTGCAGTGGCCCCTCAGTTCATAGAGATACTTCTAAATATATGAACCTGGTTTGATGAAGGTACCCAATGGTCTGCTGTGGCTGTTCAAGCTCAGCGTTAGTCATGTTAAAACTAACATGAACCTGGTCACTATACGCACTGGGCAGAATTCATTCTTATATCTCTGGTCAATACCCCTCTTGATGAGCCTTATGGATTTACTGACTCTTGGATTGTTGTCAATAATCTAGCAGTTTAGTCTGCCACGTGAAAACTACGGATTTAATACAGTCCAAAAGTGATTGACCTATTGTCACAAAAAGCATTCAAAAATGGGTTGATAGTCAAAGCATTCTATGAACCTCTATGTTCTCTACCATGCATAAGCATTGAGAGTTGTTGAGAGTTGGAATGAACTCAAGAATTTCTAAATCTACTTCACCCACTTCTTCTGACCCACAAAGCTTTGTAAGGTAGTTTGGTCATTGAATGAGACTATCTCCAGAAGGGAATCATTGCTTCTCAGCTACTTTCCAGGTAATGATGAAATGGTTGAGGCATATATCAGCCTATTTTGCAAATTTAAGATGTCTTTGACCGTTTCTGAGCATTATGTGTCTTTCTTTCCCTAACGGCAACCACAGTCATTCTTGATACAACATCTGGGTGGCAGTCTTGGCAAAAAAAAAAAAAAAAAAAAAAAAGAAAAGAAAACATGGCCTAGGAGATTCAAATTTAATTCTTCTTTAGTGATCTAATATTTTTGTTATTGTTGTTGGACTCAAATATTGCTAGATTCTAAAGATAATTATCATTTGGTTGAGATTCCTGAGACCCTTTATAGCAGCTAACATGGGCTAAAGTAAAGGACATAATAAGTCATTGTAAGTTTTACAAAAATTCCCTTGTTCCCTAAAACATTTGAATAAAATGTTCCGAAAAGAGTATAAGATGACTGGAGACAAGGTGGAGTTATTATTATTAGAATGGGACACACTAATTTCATGGTGGCGAAGGGGGATCAACAACCCTGGCATGAGGGGATAGAGGTTACCATAAGACCTCAGGGAGTATGGGGAAGGGAGAAATGTTAATAATTTTTGTTTTTTCAGAATTACCCCTGGAGCCTTTTTTTTAAGAAGAAAAAACTCTGGTGTGGGATTCCTAAACTTTTACAAACACTGTAAATTTAACTTATTGATAGGTCTCTCATCACCTGCTGGATGTCTCTGACTGATTTGAACACAATCGTCCTTATTCTTACTAATAAGCTTACGGGAAACAGTAGGAAATGACTCAAACTTCTACATTTCCAAAGTAAAACACTTGTTCACACCTCTAGATATTTTTTCTACCTTTATTCCGAAAGCTGTCACTCTGTCATTCCACGAGGTAAACAAATGCCAACTTTCTAGTTGGATGTACAAATAAGACAGAGTCCCTTCCCAAACAAAGACCAGATTCAATCATTAAAACTGAATTGGGAAACTCACAGTTTTCTAGCCATTTGGGAGGCACTTTGAAGGCACTGTAAACTTGAGTGCCCTGGCTGATGTAGGTCCTTCTTAAGAATAGGGGTCCATAATTTTAAACATTTAAACAATGCTTTTTCCCCCCCAGAGACATGATGTTTAGCTGGGAACTGTCCTTATGTGGAAAATAGATATTAACTAGGCTGTCTTCCCAAAATATGGTGACATTCACCTTAGATGTATCAATAAAAGACATTCAAGATCTATTGTACAGCGCGGTGACTATGGTTAATGATGATATATTGTATTCTTGGAAAATACTAAGACAGTGAATGTTAAAAGTTCTTATCACAAAATAATGTTAGATAATACATTTTATAAATAGCTAGATTTAACCATTCCACAGTGTATACTTACTTTAAAACATCATCTTGTACATGACAAATACATACAATTTTGTCTGTTGATTTAAAACAAATAAATACATTTGAAAAAAGGTTTAAGATAACAATACCTATAGGTCATAAAGCCTTTAGATGACTAAGGAGATCTTGCCAATATGAGGCTACCATGCTTACTTAGGAGAGCTACTGGGAGGGAAGCTGATTCATTATTTATGAGGACCTTGAAGGTGGTTATCCTATGATAATAAGAGCAATTGGATTAGAAAAGATGTTATAAAGTTAGTCTCTGATTTATTAGCTGAAGTGATCAATGATGCCACCTCGGTTCTGGAAGGCACTGATGCCACCTCAGTTCTGACCTTAAGGTCAGCCTCAACTTACTGGCCAGGGTTGTTTTAGATGATAGAATTGCCCTAGATTTTCATCTTGTGAGCCAAGGCAATAGTTAATGCATCCTAAAGTATCTACATTAAAGATTTGGGACAAGTGCAAAGAACAATATAAAAACCAAAGGAAAAAGCCACCTGCCTCTCTAAAGTAGACACTGATGTTGATGTAATTTGTTCTGCAAGTTGAGTCTGGATGCCTGGTGATTGGCCTCATTCTGCAGTTAGGATTCCTGTTGATAATGATCTTAATTAAATGTTGTATGATAAAAATGGAATGGATTTGGTTCCAGCCTATGACATTCAGATTAATCAAAGTATCTGATTAATGGGAATTCTCATAAGAAAATACATCAGAAAGTTTAGATTGATGAGAAATAGCAAAATAAAGATATATGGTAGACAGTGCCCTTAGCTTATGATGTTTTGGGAAAGGCTACAGTGTGAATAACATTTTAGTTTCAATTACCTCTATCATAGTTCTTAACATAGTCGGCCTTATGTTCATTTTGTTTAATTGGTCACAAATCAATTTATTAGACAAACAGATTTTTATTAAACATATACTATGTGTATATATATATATATACACACACACACACACACATATATATCAAAAGTCAATATGTTATGGATGTTAGGGGTGGGTATTGTTAGGAGGCAATCCTCCATGTGTTTCTTGTGGTTGTGCACATCTTTCAAGCAAAGACATTGACTGCTTTTGTTCTGGAATATCTTTTTAAGGTTGTTCTTACATCAAACAGCACTGGAATTCAGGGACAGTTGTTCTTTCCAAAGCAAAACACAAATTTATTTTACAATTTTGGAAGATGGAGATAGTGTCTCCCTCCAGAGCAAAGATGTGGGCAATGCTTACCATCAATTATAAAAGATTTCAACTCTTTATGGCCAAGGTTTCTTTCCTATAATGCAACTTACTATATATGAGAATCCGATACTTGGTCCTATCCCTTTGGGAACTGGGGCTCAGCAAAGTGGCACCAATGCTTATATTCTGGCTACTACTTTTGTTGTGAGTAGTAAAGTATGCTTCGTCTCTGACCTACGAGTCTTTGGACTTCTGCTAGCATCTGTGAAAATGTGGCAAGCTGTATGGACTGAATGTTTGCATTCCTCCTAAATTCATATGTTGATGTCAAATACCCAATGTGATAGCATGAATGGCGCGAGTCTTTGGGAGGTAATTAGATCATATGGGTGAGTTCACATGAATGAGATTCATGCTTTTAAAAGGCCAGAGAGCTAGCTCTTCCTCTTTTTACTATGTGAATATATAAAAAGAAGTCAGCTGTCTGCAACTTAGAAAAGGGCCCTCAATGCAATCCAACCATGCTGGCATTCTGATCTCAAACTTCCAGCCTCCAGAACTGTGAGAAAGAAACATTTCTTCTTTAAGACACCGAATCTATGGCTATTTAGTATAGAATTCCAACTAAGACACTGTGAGTCTTAGTTGCAAGTCTGGTAAAATCTCAGACCCTCACAGTTCTAGATACGTACCTCTAACAATCCTATGAAGTATTCATGGGAGTTCACAAGGCTGCAACAGAATGACTACTGTTTACATCATTAGAACCCCCATCAGGCAGTGCATCAAAAACTTCACCCCAAAAAACAACCCATATAACTTTTCATGTTTTCATGAAATTAAACCTCTATAAAAGCTGAGAACCCTCAACTTCTTCAAAAAAGCAAGCAAGCAACCAACCAACCAAAAAAACGTCTCTAATAATTGGAAAAGGAGACAACTGCCCTTTGTATTTCTTACCTATTTTTTTCTAGCCACTGTCAACAACTAGGGATAAGCATCACTTAAGGTTTGGGCCAGTGCAATAAGGTAGGAAAATTACACGGCAGCAACACAGTTTAAGATTAAATATTAGATCTTCCTTTTCTCATAAATCTTTTTTTCACCTCACCTAAGGATTCCTCACTAGCTATCATCTCCCAAGGTTTCAGCCTCTTTCCATATTGCTCAATATTCCAATAACTTTAAAAAGTTTTCCACTGCTCCTCATCCCCTAAATTCAAATTCTTTCACTGATCAACCTTTTTGTTTGTCTTTAATCTTCCATATTACAACCATAGGGTTTGCACATTCAGATGTAAAACTGCCTTTTTCAAAGCTAGTTAATGTGTGAATGAATTGTAACCTCAAACCATCTAGGGTACGCTGCTGAATTATAACGAAGTATGTCAATGTGTATCATAATGTTTGACTATAAAGAAAATAAAAGATGAAACTGTGAATACTTACCTACCAAATAGTTATTTTTTAAATTTGTGGAGAAACTACTGGTTTTAAAAAGGAAGGAAGAACTTTTCAAAGGAATGACTCAGAAAAGACAAATCAGAAAAGGGAAAAGTTAATTCAGGAAAATTCTTTAGACAAAATCCATAAGTACTGCTGAGTTAGGGTTTAGGTGGCACAGAAAAGAATAGTCCCTATCTAAGAAGGCCAAACATCTTATGTATGCTGGGACTGACAGTCTTATTTCCAAGTAATTTTATAAGAGCCATAAACTTCACGTGAACTTTTGAAAAGCTGAACTGAAATTCATCATATTCGTAGTTTGTATATACTGCACTCTTCAGTGTTTTGTGCTCTTTAATTCAGTACGGTATAGTGAAAATAACATAGAGCTGGAAATCACACACATTTTGGGTTGAATCCCAGTTCCAGCACATATAAAAGCTGTGTTCTCTTGGGCAATTTACTTGACGTGTTTTCTCATCTATAAAATTATAGCATTAATTACTTGTAGTCAGTACAATTACTACTACAGAAAAGAAATTAAAGAAAAATTTAATATATATTACAAATAAACAGTAAAGGAGACTGAACTCAGGTCCTCTTAAGTCTGGGCTTCTTTTCACTAAAGGGGCATGTTGGGAGGAAATATTAACCATGGTCATATCTACCTATTTAGAACAGTGTTTATGATTGGAACTAAGAAGAAATAAAGTTATAAAAAAAGTTCAGAGTCAATTTTTAGAGGCTCCAAAATGCCAGGTTAACAATTTTTGAGTTGAATGATATAGCAATGAATTATCTGCAGAATAGAAAAAGTAATGTTTTAAAGTAAGCATATTCTATGATACTAGTGATATGTAAATCAAATGTGAGAAGGAATGAACTGGAGATGAGAATAGTTACATGATTATTGAAACAACACAGCCCACACCAGCATCATTCAAAATTTTCAGCTAGATGAGATTTTTTTGGTAGCTATGTTACATACTACATTTCTACTTTTAATGATAAACAAAAAACATGATAATATTAGAGATTCTGCCAAGTTCTGTAGTTAAAGTAATACAGCAAATCATCTATTTGTCTGACTACCATTGAATACCTTTTCTACCAAATTTATTCATTATTAATATTCAAATAGAACTTTAGGAAATACTAGCTTAACGTATTTCATATTCCTAAATCTTTTAGGCTTTAGACAGCTTGGCAATGTTATTAGAAGGGTATATCCTGTATTTAATATTCAATCTGGGTCATATGTGTATACATACATGTCTTTAAAATCATAGACCCTCAGTAAAGTCTCTATATTACAACTTCAGTTTCCTTAAATGTCTTTCTTTAAATAAGTTCTTTATGACTCTAGTCATTTAGCACTTGAAAGTAAGAGTGGCTTATATCTTTATAACTTTGTAGCTGCAATTCAATATCTGTTCTATAATTTGTTTGAAACTGCTCTCTTAAAATTCTAAATACACTCTCTGGCAATGTTCACTATTGTCTTTCTTAGTTATTGTAATTCTAAAATGAGCTGATCACATTCCTCCCAGGTTTTAACTTCATCAGACAATTTTGCCTTAATGAGGAAAAAAATAGGTTCACAATAGCCAGTATTGTTATTACTTCCTGTGACAGAAAATAGTAAACAGGGTAAACTTTTTGAAAAGTCAAATGTGGTCTTTGGTATTCATAGCCCAGAATAAATGCTAATATGTATTATTAATAAATATTTTTATGGTCATGAAAATGAAGAAAATTGGAGTCATTTAATAAAGATTTCACAAAAGTTTTTCTCAGCATGGTCTTTATGATGTTTTATTGTTCTTTTTAAAATACTCTTAAACAGGCAGGAAAAATAACCTGTGTCCTCCTTGCATAATTTAGAAATAAACTTTAGCTAGAAGACAACAAAGTAAATACAAATAATGGTAAGTGAGAAGATTTTCAGAAGTCATTTCTATAGTCTTAATGGAAAGCCATTTTTGCTTTATGTTTTTTATATCTAAAGGTTTTCTTGTCTTTTTTTTTCCCTCAGAATTTAGTAGAAATATCTAGGAGATGTGAGACATATTAATGGTTAAAGTAACAATATTAGAACATCCAAAGTGTTTATTTTCAGAATAAATATATACTTGTAAATCCTACTAAATATGAATATTTATCATTCAAACACTGAAATAAAAGTTTACCCAAAATCAAGCACATAAACATAAACTTATATTAACTCCAAATTGGTTCAGAGCATCGTTTTTTCAGATGAGAAACACAAGAAGTCATCCAAGATGTCTCCTTTTTCCTTGCCCCAAACTAAAAAAATATGTACTAGTAAAATAACACTTAAAAATCTGTCATAAATATTGGCCTTAACAATGTAACAGAAGTGTAAAATTTTAAACACATATTTTTTTTAAAAAATCAAATAATCGAAATAAGCCACTAAAGCAAATATTGCATAAGTTACATTATCAGTAGATAATAACATACAAAAGGAAAGGGATGTATAAAAGCAACGAATATGTTGAAATGTTGATACTTTTGACAAACTTTAAAAAAAATTCATGCTTCATAAAGGCATATTTGGTTATTTAATTTTCTTCTCAAAATTATTTCGATGCTGCAAACCTACATTTGTCGTGTCTTATTTCCTTGGAATAAATAAGCTAAAGATGGCTGAAAAGGGACAGTGGGAGTGCAAATGAAGTGCAGTTCATTTAGTTCTGACCTCATTTCATTTCTTCCCAAGAAACACTTATCTCAGAAGTAAATCGGTGCCATTTCCAGCTCGTAATACATGATAAGTATGAAAATGAGTTCATCTTTGAAATTTAACATGCAAATTTATATTACTTTCAGTATCTGGATTAAGTCCGGTTAGAAGAGGAAATCATGAGCTGCTGCTTCAACTCAGTGACCTCACTGCATCAAACTTCCACTTTGCCACTCTGTAGAACAAGGATATGATATGTGTAATTAAATGTCCCAATCAGCCTGCCAGTGAGTACGTTACGGTTCATGAATAAGGGAGAGACTCCCTAAGAAAACAGAGTGTCATTTTAAGTTGTTTTCGGGATCCTCAGTGCAGTTAAATTGACCAATTTATCACAGAGAGAAATATATTAACTGAATTATCCTCCAGAGACTTTGATTTAATTAACCTAGGATGGGAGTTAGGCATGGATTTTTCTTTTAAAAGCTCTCCAGGTGATTTTCACGTGCAGCCAGGGATGGGGATCACTGAGCTAAATGAAACCCTCAGGATAAGATCCTGTTTCTCAGTGGCTGCTTGGTGACTTCCCTGACCTCCCTATTCATAAAAATTTCAGTTTCATCCAATTTCATCACAGAACTGCTGGGTTTCTTCCTTCCTCAGATAACTGTACCTACTTTACAGAAAAAAATAGGGGTAGAGGGTTCTGCCATTTGAGAATGATGCCTTCTTCCATTTCCCCCTACAAAAACATTATACCTTCATCGGCTCCTTCCTCAGGGTCTTTCACCTCAAGGGAGAGTATGTGTCAATTTTTATCCAAGGGCAATGCTATCCCCTCTATTCTGAATCTCAGATTCTTAACCTCCTAGGACTGTAATGTTACAATTGGCTCAGATCTCACCTGTATTTTCAACTTCTCTCAAGCATTGTATCTTTGTCCTCATTACTTCAGTCTCTCACATCTTAAAAACAATCTTTCCTCATTGCATGTCCTTTTCCGTCTACAAACCTAGCTAGCTCTTGCCTTTGCTTCAGAGGCAAGCTTCCACTTTTCACATAAAGCCTCAGTTTTTTCACCTCATTATTTCTCAATTATTAGCCATGTGGCTTATACATCACTAATTCCAGTGAAAACGATTTTACCCAGGTCACTGGTGGCCTCTTGGTTGTTGAATTTAATTTATTTTCCTGACCATTTTGCAGCATTTCACAATGTTGATCACATCTGATTTATAAAATATCTCCTTGCTGTGGTATCATGACACCATTCTCTCTGGTTATGAATCTTTGCTTCTAGCTGCTCCTATTTTAGTCTTTCACAGGCTCAACTTCATCCTCCTATTCCTCATATTGTTGTTCCCTCAATTCACTTCTGTTTCAACTCTTCTCTACATTTTCTTATCATTCACTTAATCTAAAGTCATATTACTTTTTACCTAAATTACTGAACTAGTCTTCAAACTGGATACAATTCTTAGTCTTGTCTCTCTCAAACCATATGACATCTTCCTTCTTTTATATTTTATTTCATTCATTTACTTTAAAATATCTCCAGCTTATTAAGATACAATTGACAAATAAAAAATGTATATATGATATTTTGATATTTGTCTACTTGTGAAAAATTAAATCAAGCTAATTAATATACCCATCACCTCACATACTTTTGTGTGGCGAAAACATTTAAAATTTACTCTCTTAGTAAATGCCAAGCATGCAGTATATTATTACTAGTTATAGTCATCAGGCTCAACTTTTTAGATTCCACATGTAAGTGAGATCATACAATGTTTGTCTTTGTGCCTGGCTTATCTCACTTAGCAGACTCTCCTCCGGGTTCATCTATGTTGTCACATATAATAACATTTCCTTCTTTTTTAAGGCTGAATTGTATTCCATTGTGTGTGTGTGTGTACATATATATGTGTGTGTGTGTGTGTGTGTGTGTGTATTTATGTGTAATGTATATATTTAGTTAATTGTTATGTATGTATTATGTTATATATAATTATGTATTATATTATGTATACATTATAATATATTTAGTTAATTGTTATGTATATAAAATATAATTATGTTATATATTATATATGTTATGTAATATAACATATATACATTATATATAAAATAAATATAAGATATATCCATTATGTATAACATTATGAGAAGAATATTAAATAACCAAATATATCTTTATGAGGCATGAATTTTTTCAAGTTTGTCAAAGGTATCAACATTTCAACATATTTATTGCTTTTATACCTTCCTTTCCTGTCATATGTTATCATCTACTGATAATCTAATATGCAATATTTGCTTTAGTGGCTTATTTCAATTATTTGATTTTTTTAAGATCAAGGAGTTTTATATATATATATATAACATAACATATATCCATTATATATAAAACAATGGATGATTCTTCATTTGGTCATCCATTAATGGATGACACTTAGGTTGATTACATATCTTGGCTACTGTGAATAATTCAGCAATGAATATGGGAATGTAGATATGTCTTGGACATACTGCTTTCATTTTTTTTTGGATAAATATCTAGTAGCGGGATTGCTGGATCATATGGTAATTCTATTTTTATTTTTTTCAGGAATCTGCATACTATTTTTCATAATGGCTGTACTAATTTACATTCTTACTAACAGTATATACAGATTCTCTTTTCTCCATATCCTCACCAATACTTAACTCTTATATTTTTGATGATAGGCAACCTAACAGATGTGAGGTGATACCGTTTCAATTAATGGTACTGGGAAAACTGCATATCCACATGTAGAAGAAGAAAATTGGACCTTTATTTCACATCTCATACAGGAATGAATTTCAAATGGATTAAATAGTTAAATAAAGACCTGAAAGTATAAAACTATTTAAAAAACATAGAGAAAACTAATGTCTCTCTGACATTAGTGTGGCAGCGATTTCCTGTATATGACCCCAAAAGCATAGGCAACAAAAGCAAAAACAGACAAATGGCATTGCATCAAACTAAAGAGCTTCTGCACGGCAAAGGAAGCAATCAACAGGGTGAAGAGACAACATATGAAGTGAGAGAAATTATTTGTAAACCATATACCTGATAAAGGCCTTATGTCCAAAATATATGAGGAATTAAAACATCTTAATGGCAAGAAAACAACTCAATTAAGAATGGACAAATGATTGAGTAGACATTTCTCAAAAGAAGACATACAAATGGCCAACAGGTATATGGAAAAAAAATGTTCATACTCCATTTTCTAAAACATAATGGTCCCTAATATTTTAAGCCTTTGCCCACGGGGCTCCCTCAATCTGGTGTAATCTGCACATCCACCATTGTTCTCATCATTAGCCTTGTTTACTGCATCTTCAGGGTTCAACTCAGGTACTTTTTTCTGTGGACGCCTTCCTTAACAATCCCTAGTACCCTAGAGCAGTGGTCCCCAACCTTTTAGGCACCAGGGACTGGTTTGGTGGAAGATAATTATTCCATGGACTCGGGGGAGGAGTGGTATGGTTTCAGGATGATTCAAGCACATTATATTTATCATTAGATTCTCATAAGGAGCATGCAAACTAGATCCCTCACATGCACAGTTCACAATAGGGTTCACGCTCCTATGACAATCTAATGCTGCTGCTCATCTGACAGGAGGTGGAGCTCAAGTGGTAATGCCCACTTGCCCGCTGTTCACCTCCTGCTGTGTGAGCCTGGTTCCTTACAGTCCACAGACCACAACAGGTCTGTGCTGGGAGGCTTAGAGGAGCACTCCTTTTTTGTATAGCTCTTAGCATAGAATTTACAATAAACTATTGTAATTATATACTAACTTTTAAAACTCTTGGCGCCCACCCTTGAGAGTAAATTCATTGCAGGTAGAGATTTTTCCCATCCTCAATAAGTTTATGCTCCTCCACATTTCACTCACCCCTCTCCCTCTGTTTTTCTTTTTTTTTCTCCTCTCTCTCTCTCCTTCTTTCTCTCTCCCTCTACGGTTCCTTTCATCACCCTGTGGCTTTATACTTAGTTGTCTCTATCTTTAATGTCTTACATTTTTCAATCTCTATGTCTGTCTTTCTTTCTGTCCTTTTTGAATCCCTGCTTATCCTTTTCTATAAAAATTTTTGTACTCTTCTAGGCAGAGTGGTTCCTTAATCGTCTTTGAACGGAATGCACCATATTCATTTTTCTGCAGTAGCTCTTATTGTGATATATAGTAATGCATACTTTTTCGTTGCTGTTTTTCCCACTGGAGTAGCCCATTGATCTCTTTGAGGAGAAAAATTCATCTTTTCCCTCCCCTTACCTAATAATTACCACAAAATATCAATGTTATTAAATAAACAAAAGAATGATTTCCAAAATAAGGGAATAATATATAATAATAATAACCTCAGAGATAAAATGACCAAGTGGTATTTTCATGTCCAATGAAATTTATTTCCCAAAGGGTAATACTATCATTTCTGTCTTCTGTCTTTCCTTTGTTTTGAATTGTCTTTATGACAAATATTGACTGTGCAACCATGCCTCTGTTGCTTTAGGGATGTTCTCTGGTTGTTTTATTTTGAATGTACTGTGTTTTCAATGAGATAATACATTTCTTAACGGCATAATTTGTTCAGTTCTGCTCTGTGCTTCTTACATTGTGTCTAGCATAGTGGTAAACAAAACATCCATTCATTCAAATATTAGTGAGTATCTGCCATGTGCCAGGCATTGCTATTTGTTTGGGATGTTGACACTATTTACCTAGCTCCACAAAAATTACTGTAAGACAAAGTAAGCAGAAGAACATACTTCATGCCTTAATATGAGGAAAGGTCTGCCAAAATGTCATAAATTCTGAAGATTCATATCAAGCAGAAGACCAGTGACTTTTACAACTTCAAATAAATTCAATTTAAAGGATAAAAGTTTATCTCTTTCTCATCAATAATGTCTGTATATATTCTGCCTATGCCTTTTGTTTCCTCTTTGGTTCCCAGGTTTCATCATTTTTCCCTTTCCTATTGTTTCTTTCACTTTGCGTGGTACAATTATACATTTTGAGTGCATATACATAGCAACAGACATTCTAAAGGTTACAGTGTGATCACTTTTATCTATAAACCCTCCTTCCCAGAGCTAGCCCAGCTATTATTTTGAAACAAAGTGAGATTTTACTGTGGAGAAGCTAAATAAGGGAATCCTAACTGTAGTATATTTAAGTTTTCCAACTTTTTATGTGATCAGAATTAGTGGAAAGGCTATTAAGTCATCACAGATCTTCAAGATGCTTTTTGCTAGTAGCACATATTTTCAGCAAATATAGGAAATAAGTTTTTCTACATCACAGGGGAATTTTAAGAGATTTCATAAGTTTACTATGAACACAAAAAGTTATTCTATTTTAATAATTTTTCAACATTTCCTTTTATATAGGTAGCTTCTCCTCCAAAATTGCAATCACTGTGCTGATTTTATTAGCTTTTCATTTGTTCATCCTTGCATTAAGACATTACATTTCAGATTTTTTTCAGTGCTTGGTTTTTTAGTTTAGCGAAAGCGTTCATTACTAATATGGTTATTGCAGTCTTTTTTTCCTTGGTTAGTTGTTGTTTGGGCATGATGTAGCTCATTTTATCCCCATTAAATTTCAAATTTTTAGGCTTTTAAAATTATATTAGCTAAAAGTTAAAGAGTTGTTTTCTTTTGTATTTTTCTCTCCCAAAATTTAGAATTGTTACTAATACATTTTAAGAATTAAAATATTTATTTCCCATTTGAAAACTCTCAAAAATATCTTAGTGTATAGCATTTTCAACAATGACATTATAATCACCTTTATTTTTCTAAAGATACATTGTTTAAACTCAACATATTACAAGGGTGCACTTCATAATAAAAATGCATGAAGACAAATAATCTTTTACCTATATACAAAGGTAGATTTTAATGGTAAATAAAGCATAAGAGATCTGCAGAATCTAAATTACTTTGAAGCAGTTTTACAATCAATAACCATCATTCTGGCACTGAACAAATTTGAAACCTGTCTTTTTTAAATATCCAAAACATAATGCAATAAAAATAATATTTCATTAGCAAGAGTTTATTAAAATTTTTAAAAATTATTATTGCTTGTGTGTTTCAGGAACTGAGGCAAATTCTCAGCATTCAAAGGTAAAGAAGAATATTGAACTAAAAATATCCTTAACAAGTTTCAATACAGAAGCAGTCAATATACTTCAGAATATTTAGAATTTGCAACTGAAAGGAGACCATACAATCCCTTATCAACTTACAAATAATCCCTCATCAACTTACAAATAAGTAAACTGATGTTCAGAAGATATTAAGCAAATGAGCAAGGTTATACTCCTAGAAAATGATGAGTTGGAAAGAAAATGTTCTCTTTGATATCTGTGGAGATTTTCCTGCTATGTACCAAAACTGAATCAAGAATTTGTTCATTATATGCATATTTTTGTAATAATCTGAGAGCTAGGCAAAATGTATAGAATGTATTTCTAAACAATTGTTGGAAGGGCACCCTTGAAATGCAAAATTTCTAATTGTTCAGGGAGTTTTGAATTTAAGTGATCTATCTTCTACTAAGTTGTCTATAAATGCATCACTATTAATCTCCATCAAATAACATGTAAGTGATATCATTAAAACCTGTTAATTGTTAGAGCTTAGTAAGGCTTGTTTCCTAATCAAAATGGTTTAATAAAGCTTCACACTATGGCTTTTAGAAAAAAAAACCACTAAGAAATATGAATGTGTGATAAACTTCCATATCTACACCATCTGCCTATCTCCTTCACCATATGTCACTCTATTAATTGCTAATATCATCCTTATTATGCATCATTTCATCTGTAAGAATGTTCCACAAAACTAAGAAGGCATCAACAACTACAGAAAAACACCTGCTATATGCATTTCTGGCTGATAAATTTCAGCAGGTTCTGATATGTTCTTGGGCAAAATTTTCTAATTACCTTTGCATAACAGGAAGCCTACTAGAGCAACTTTCTGTAGTTGCAATGATCTTATTACTACCTTCTCAAACTGTTGGTTACAATTAATTAAATCTTCCTATAATATTTCTTAAACTATTATAGCAGCTACTGTATGTATAAAAATATGGGTGCAGTGGGTCACTGAGCTAAACACTGAGAAGAGGAATAATATATAAGAGGGAATTTGTAACATATGTAAAATAATTTTGAAAAAGTTAAGACCCTGAGCTTTTAATAAACATGAGTTAGTGAGGGTCGCAGCTCTTACGTTTGACCAGTAGTTGTCTATCATATAACCTGTACACCCATTTTTCCATTGTTTATAAAGAAAGGAATTGAACCTCATTTAGATTGTTTTATTCTATCAACAGTAATGGATGGGTAGACCATATTGATAACTGTCCTCTTTGGCAACAGCTGGAACAGATCCATTCAAAATTCGAACACTTTAGAGGCATTGATTATTTTGTTCTTTTTGAGGTGGCTTTTGTTGAAGAAGCAAGTCTACTGTCCATGAAATGATTAGGGAGCATTGCCAAACAAAATAAAATTAAATGCTATATTGTGTGGCAAAGACAGTAATTGTAAAGTAATTTTGAAGATGAGGAAATAAGGGAATATTGAAATAGGAAAGAATTTTTGTAGGAGGTGAAAACTGAACAAGACCTGGAGAGGTTGGCTTGGTCATTCAGGAACAGGCTAGACATATATGAATATCTAGGTGGCAATTCTGTTTATTATTGAGACATTGGGATAAACTTTTGGTACAAGTTAAAAAAAAAGTTGCTTAAAGGCAAATCATGGGTGATTTTGGAAATCAAAAGAGTTAACAATCGGCAACATCAGCAACTGCTGCAGCAACACCACACCCACCACCAACACATTGTCTCCATCCATAAAGCGAGACTTTAATGGGATTAATCTGTCAGTAACAGGTGGGATAAATTGTACTCTAAATGAAAATAAAAGTGATAGTTGCCGTATTGGAATTGTAGAATAGTGACAATGGGAATGGAAGTTTAGGAGTGCTTCTAGACATATTTCAAACCAGGAGATACATAAGATAACCTCTCCAATTTTATCTCACTCTACATCCTTTCATATAACTGACCAAACTGATTCCCCAGATGTGTCAATTCACATTGTGATTGCCCATGATACATTCTCTACATTTGAAATGACTTTCACATCCATCTTCCTCTGCCTATATCCACAATAATTTCCAAGTTCTGCCCACATATTATTTTCTCCAACTCAACGGCCATTTCCAAACATGGAAATAATCTTCCTCATCTGAATTTTGCAGAGGCTTGCACTAACTTGTAAACAAGTCTATTATATATTATCTAGTTTTGTGTTTACGCCTTATAAATCAATACAAAATAATAAAAATAATTTTATACTCTATATCACATATGGTACATAATCTAGAATACCTACTCATGTTCATAAGTGTTGAATGAATAAAAATAAATTGATCAGTACAACAATAAATGAATAATAACAATTTCATGCTTTTTGAATAAAGAAATTAAAAGGTGATGTCATGATTTTTATGGTTGTTTTTAGTATTTTCCCATTTCATTGTCTTCTTTTCTCATCCTCCCTTAATTACCCATTTCATTAATCCCATGAGTGGTTTTTGCCCTTGTAACTTAACGGACTTTGATTACTTGGTACCATCCTAATAAACAGATTAAAATTTGCCATTTTTTTCTTCAGTCTATTATTATTAACTATTTTAAATGTTTCCGCATTATCAAAATTATCAATGCTCAACCACATACTGTTTCTTTAAGTATCAGGAAGGTCTAAAATGAACATTCTACACATCTTCAACACATAAGGCTACTTTTTGCAAAAGCTCCAGCTTTTGGATATCTACTGCATATCCAACAAGGGAATAATTGTTTTCACCACTGTAAACTGGCAAATACTTTGTATACATAACCCATCTATGGAATAAGAATTGTCTCTGTTTGTGTAAAAAATATTAATATTAATTTATAAACTGCTCTTTTAATTCATAATTTGCTGTCTGTGTGAACTTTTAATCCCTTTAAAAATCACCATTTCTTGATTGCTCAACCATGCAATACACAGACAGAAGCTATGTTAATAATCTCTCAAAGGTGCAGTGCACTGATACTGCAATTTATGCTGTTGTCTGGAAAAAGCATATTTATTCTGTCCAAGAACCCATGAGACATGAGAACTACTCTTTGTCCAGACTCACAGTAGTCATTTTAAAACTTCAATTACTATTTCAGCATGTTCCCTCCATTACTGTTTCCACTACCACCGCCAGTAATTTCTAGCAACAAAATGGACTTTGTAAACCATACACATACGTGCCTTGCATGCAATGAGCAAATGCAGCTATGTCTAATATCTGCAAAATAAAATGTAAATTTAAATGAAATAATATCAACATATGAATCTTGAACATGTGCTTTTTTTATACTTCCTATATAATAATTGTTGAATATGAATACATATGTTATATATATAACATAATGTATCTTGCAATCTAAAAAGTCCAATCATACATTAATATTCAACAAATAGTTCTTGAAATTCAAGTCAGTAGAGAGCTGCTCTTTGTGCCATGGGGTTTATAAAAAAATAACAATGTAATATAACACCTTATTTTTGCCTTTGAACAATTTACTATCATAAGTATGATTCATCTTTTTAATCAAAATGAGAGTCTTGAATGAACAAAGATGCTATGTAGTCTCAATCTTACTTTATGTAGATCTTAAATTCCATGATCTGGCTATAACTTCTGGTGTGAGATTTTGTTCCTACATTAACATTAATCTCCTTTTCTCTGTCATCTATTTTCACATCCATTTTTGCTAACAAAAATGCACATATCTAATTTATGTGACATTGAAGTAGGATATTTGAAACATATCATTTTGAAGCCATGATGTTCACTATATTGCTCTTTATGGCTATAATTTCATCTTGAGTGAAGGACACAAGAAATCAGCCTTGTGTAATCAGTAAAATAGAACATTTTACTGTTCTATTTACTGCCATGACATTCATGAAAGTAACCCTTACAAAATGTATTATTCATTATTCACTTTATAAGAAAATATGAGATACTGTATGCTTCTTTCTAAGCTATAAAAAAGTGTGCCTTTCTCGTATCATAGGAATACTTGAATTTTATAGACAATGTTTTTTGGGTGTAAACTGGTCAAGTTTCTTTATATGTTTGGCAGCTATACTATTTAAAGAGAAGAAGAGCTAGAGAGAACTCGAGTACAGAGACACAGAAAAATGCAGAAACACCATTATTAAAAATAATAACCACCAGAACAGCAAACAAGCCATCAGAAATGCCAGTACGACATGATGAGGTATTCATTTTCAAACACAGTTTTATAAAGTTTAGAAAGAAGGAGGCTTATTTAATTTATGTGGAAATAGTTCATCTGAGGAAAGGTGATGCATGTGCTAGCTAGGATAAAGGAGGGGGGAAAGATTAGTTTTCATGATTAACAGTTAAATTGACACAACAGTTTAATGAATTAAAAAAGTTGATGTTTGTTCCTACAAGTGGTCACAAGCAGTTAAAGAAAAGAAAAAGGTAAGCAAGTGGAATAGATGGCAAAGAAACAGTCAGAAGGTGAAGAAGGAGTATAATAATATAGATATAACATCATTTAATTATATTCATATTTTTAAACATTTATCTCAATGAGATAATAGTTCTTTCTATACTCTGTCACAAGTCAGTGACAGATATTTAAATTTGAGGTGTAGATTTTAATTCTACTGGGAGGAATTATTTGAAATCAGACTGACCTCAATGATATGGTTCTTGCAAACCTTGATGTTTATGTCTAATGATATTGGCATATCTGTTAGTTTTTTTAGTATTTAAAGATGATGATATTTACACTATGGGTAGTCAAATTGACTTATAATCAGGTGTTTTGCACTGTGAATTACTTATTAAAACTCAACTACAAAGTCAGATGATTTTAATACATTTGAACTCCCATGTTAAAAATAAAAAGGTACCCCAGTTGGTTGTGTTAGTGCCTTTCTTTATTTTCTAAGTAGCTGTACAAAATGTCACTTGCCTTTCATAATATTTTCTTCTATATTTAAAATTGTCCTCAATGAGTTTTGTCCAGTCAATATTTTGCCATATATATATATATATACACACACACACACACACACACGCACATATACACATACTGGTATTTATATATATATATGTACACACATACGCGCGCGCGCACACACACACACACACACACACACACACACACACACATATATATACCTCCAGTAATTCCAGATAAGATATATATACATATGTATATCTTACATATATATACACACATGCAGATAATATAAGATATATATTTATATCTTATTTGGAATTATTGATAATGTGACATATAAAGCCAGAGAACTAACTGGTTTGTTCTAGATTAAATTAACTAACTGTAGAACCTGTGCTCTACCTTGACTGCTACCAAGTATTGTAGACACGGACACATAAGCAATTCAAATGGCAAACTATGCAAGTGGAGAAGAAATTACGGCTTTAAAATATCTGTATCATTGCCTATACAGACAGGGTAATTGTGATTTTCAAAAAATGCCGACAATGTTTCCAGAGTCTTGTATTACATACTTTATTCTTCAGTCTATGTTGTATGATTATTAATTGGAAATTCCTTGGGAACCTAATAGATTGATTCACATTTTGCAGATTTTCTATAAATATCAATAAATATATGAGCACAATCTTTCCTTAAAGATTATATTACAATTCAAAGACTTAATTGCAACTTAATTACAATGAAATAAAGGTTAAACTATTAAAATGTGTTCAGAGGGCATTATTATAAAACATTACCTTTACACACAGGCCTGTGATCACTCCAAGCAGCAAAAACTTCAGCTATCCGTTGACAGGTGATGCTCTTTGCGCCCTGTAGGACATAATCTTCATCACAAGAGAACTGCACAGTTGATCCAAGGCTAAAGTTAAATAAAAGAGAAAAAATATGATAAGAAAGATGCAACATAATAACTAGGCTTCACTTCTGCTGGCAATATCCAATAGGTCAAATATGTACTATAGTGACAAAAAGTATTTTGGAAAACAAAATGTGAAAGTATGACTTGTAGAAATGTAAAGCTATCATCAAATTTAATCATCTTGTTAATAGATGTAGAACGAAGGTCAAATAATTCACTAAGTTTACCATGCTAAGTAGATGGTAAATGTGAATCAAAATGTGGCTATTCTGACTTGAATTCCAGTACAGTGCTTGTGTTCATATCATATTACGGTGTTTTTCTGGCATGTATTTACATGTGTATGTTTGCAGATGTGTCTCTACATGTGTATGCATTTACACATGCATTTGTGTCTATAAACATGCATTTAATGTATTTAGAGATGCAAAATTGTACTGATTGATTTTCATAAGGTGTTTTTTTCTAAAAATATTTTAAATTTTTGTGGGTATATAGTGGGTGTATATATTTATGGGGTACCTAAGATGTTTTCATGAAGTCATGCAATACGAAATAATCAGGGAGAATGAGGTATTTATCCCCCTCATGAATTTATCCTTTGTGTTACAAAAAATACCATTACATTCTTTTGGTTATTTTGAACTATATGATTAAGTTATTATTGACTATAGCTATCTTGTTATGCTATCAAATAGTAGGTCTTTTTCATTCTTTCTATTTCTTTTTTTACCCATTAACCATACCCCTCTCCCTCCTAGCCGCCCCCACATCCCCCACTAACCTTCCCAGCCTCTGGTAACCATTATTCTAATCTCTATATCCATGTTTAATTGTTTTGATTTTTAGATCCCTCAGGTAAGTGAGAACATGTGATATTTGTCTTTCTGTGCCTGGCTCAATTCGCATAACAATCTCCAGTTCCACCCACGTTGTTGCAAATGACAGGGCTCCATACATTTTATGGCTAAATAGTCCCTTAACATGGCATAAAAAGTCCTACATGTCATCTCTCACTCATTGTGACACCTGATCAACATCTCTAGAAGTTAATCCGTATAACCAAAGAGAGATTATATTTACAGTCTTCTTAGACCTCGTCATGACTCCAAGTTTTATTTAGACTACTCTTAGAGCTTGAGCAACCTTAAAAGTTTACATAACGGTCAATTATCTGCCTTTTCCTTCTTTCTCATCTCAATAAACGAAAACTCCATTCTTCAAGTTGCTAAGGCCAAAAACCTTACAGTTATTCTTAACTCATCTTTCTGTCTTGCATTTCACAAGCACTCCATCAGGAAAATCCTGTCAGCAACACATTAGAAATCCAGAATCTAACATTTTTCAGCCCTACAGTGTTAATAGGAATCTGAGCCACAATTTCTCATTCATATGATTGCAATAGTCCTTCTTGCTATGTTGTTAGTTTTTCCTCTTTCTGTTCTTGCCTCCCTGCAATCTGTTCTTAAATAGTATCCAGAGCAAACTTTTCAAAGGTTAGTTCAAATTATATCACTTTTGTACTTTCAAATTTCCCATCCCTGTTTCACTCAGAATAAAGGATCACCTGTTTCACTCATACTAAAGAGATTGCCCTTAAAATTGCCGATGTGATTTGGTCTCTGCTAATTTGCAGGATTAATTTCCTATGCTTTCTCCTTCCATGTCTGTTCTTTAGATTTATCGACTTCCTTGCTCTGGCTTGAAGATATTAAGCATGTGCCTCCCTCAGGGTCTTTACACTTGCTGTTATATCAATCTGGAAAACCATTTCTTCAGAAGTCCTGTATCTCCCATTCTCAATTGTTCTGGTTTCTCCTCGCATGATATTTTATCCATAAGGCCCTCCCTTACTGCTCTGTGTAAAACAGCTACGCCTATTCCATTATCTTCTTCCATGTTATTTCCTATATACTATCTAATACACTGTTTATTTGTCTCCCTGCTTCCACTAAGAAAACCTCAAGTCTCTTATCTATTTTGTTTCCCAACATGTCAAACATTTCCAAAAGTATTGTAAGTTTATGTATAGATTTTAAACAGTGATTAAAGCTATCTTTTGCAGATTTATTGGTTGCTATCATATAAGACTGTCTAATGCACTCAGATATGTCCTTATCCCTATAACTGGAAAAATATTCTCTGTCAGGATACTCTCTCAAGGTTAATTAAATTTTTATAATCCATGGCACCCACTATTTCCCATTGCCTGCTGCATTTGCTGTGTTCAAGAAAGAGCAAGAAAAATACTAATGTGATTGGAGCACAGAAAATAAAGAGAGGGGTATGTGAAATTAAGTCAAGGAAGCAATTAGGGGTTGTGGTTAGATTGGTTACAACTTTCTAGGCCATGATAAGGATTTTGACCCTCATTCTGAGAGAATTGGGCAGTTGTTACAGGGGTTTAAGACAAGTGAATACTATGCTTTAAAATGAACTCATTGGTTTCTGAGTGAAGGATACAATTTAAGCGGCCAAAGATAGAAGCAAAGAGTTTAGTTAACAAGCTGTCACGGAAATCCGAGTTTTCATGGAGATGTTATGATGGCAACAAGTATTAGAAAAGTAGTAGCTACAAGCTAATGATGGTAAAAACTTTAGGGGATGGAGAAAGAAGGCCCAGTATAGGGCCTGGCCCATAGGATTCATTTAATTACTATTTTCTCACTAACATAATAAATTAATGATCTATCATGGTTACCATATTTGTCACAGATGATTATGATATTCTAGTTCTAACCAGGCTCTTCTTGCTAAAAGTAATAAATGACATCTTGTTTAAGTGATAGGAGTTTGAGCATGTTTCTTTTGATTATAGAAAATTAATTCACTTAGCGTGGAGACAGGAAATTGATAATAATAATAATTATAATTATTATAAAATAATAAATAACTGTTTTGCTACTATACTAAAGATTACCAGTAATGGTCTCTGAAGCTTCTATACTTATTTTTCCCCTACAGATTAGCCATCTCAACATGTTCTTCTCCCCTTAATACACTGGGAAAAGTAGTTTAGAGTAGTGGTGAACAGTTTAAGCTACAGAATCACAGGTATCTCCTTTCAAATACTAACTTTGCCCTAAACTTCAGCTTTCTCGTCTGTTGTGATAAAGTAATGAAATATTATTTATAAACTACACAGTGTCTATCACATATCAAGCACTCAGTTATTTCCCTCAGTTAGATTAAAATGAAGTCCTCATAGTCTAGGGGTTCTTGTCTTTTAAAGTCATTTTGAGTATCTCTGTATTCCTCCATTTGTCCCAACTTTAAAATTTCATGTCATAATTATATTTAAGTTCTGGTGGGGGAAATTTATTTTTGTCCATTTATAAAGTTTATATTCTCACATCCCATATCTCCCTAACATGAACCTTATGTTCCAAATACCATTAACAGTAATTTACTTTTTCTCATACCTTTGGTCTTTCTACAATGTCTACTCTGCCAGGAATTCTCATTTTCCTCATTTAGCTTAATCATTATTAAGATTTGATTTTAATTTTAGGTTACACATGAAGCTCTTATTAATTTATCCATTAAGAATTAAATATTTTCCTCTGGGAGGCCAAGGAGGGAGGATTACGAGGTCAGGAGATCGAGACCATCCTGGCTAACACGGTGAGACCCCGTCTCTACTAAAAATAAAAATAAAAAAATTAACCCAGCGTGTTGGCGGGCACCTGTAGTCCCAGCTACTGGGGAGGCTGAGGCAGGAGAATGGAGTGAACCCGGGAAGTGGAACTTGCAGTGAGCTGAGATCGCGCTACTGCACTCGACAGAGGGAGACGCCATCTCAAAAAAAAAAAATTAAATATTTTCATCTCTTTGTGCATTGCTTTCCCATACCTCAGTAGAACAATTGCTACAATGATTTAGGGGCTTAAGTTAAGATGGAGCAGTAAGAGAGAGAAATAGTGTAAAGATAAAGAAGGTAGGAAGAAAGGAGCCTTCTCACCTAGATGAGAGGACCATTTTCTACCTTACTATTTTATCTTAAGTTAGCTTATAAGATGCCATCTAAATGCATCATATATGACATTTTGGCCACATGGCCCATGGATGTCCTCTGATTTAGATTTTCTAGGTCTGCTCCTGTTTATGCTGCAGGAGGAGAGGGAATGGGATATTTTAAAATGCAGATTTAGAATCCAAACTGCCAAGATGGCAAATATTTCTAATTACTCATTTGTATTGTATAAGCCATTAATTTCTTCCCCACTAATGAAGAAAAGCATCTATATTGGGCATTTGCAAACATCTCCATCCAGGATCACAGCTACACTTCAACATATTCTAGACCAAAAATATAAAAGTGCAAAACAACACAGAGAGGACAGAAGTCAATGAAATAAGTAGCCTTTCCAGTAAAATCCAGGCTCAATCATCAGGAAATGGATATCTTAAACAAATGCACTGTGCTTTCACTGTATTAACTGTTTTAATATTTGAGTCAAACTTAAGAAAAACTTACACTCATTAAATATGTGTGTGTGTGTGTGTGAGCGTGTGTGTGTTTGTGTGTGTGTATGCATTCCTAGGAAAGTATTCAGTTACCATGAAATGACAAGGAGGACAAGCTGTATCCACTGAAATTCATCTGTCACCACAGAAGAGATGTCTGCCCTACCCAGCCAAATAAAACTTTCCACTTTAATAAGTTATTCATTCTGATACAACATTTCAAAACAAATGGCTGAGCACATTTTTAATTTGAAAGTACCAAGTCATAAGGCAAATGATATATAATGATATTGTTTGAAAAACTAGAGTTGACCTTCTCATGATTATGCTGGTCAATGTTTAAGTGCTGTCATCTTTTTAAAAATGATACTTATTTTGCAAAAACACCCTATAATATCAAAGCTGTCAGTAAGAGAAGATATGAGGTTTTTCAAAATACACAAATTTTACCTGTGTTGGCCCAAGATAGTGAATCTATAATTTTATTTACAATCAAATAGACAGGATATGAACAAATACAGAAATATGGAAGGACAGATAATAGTGCTTGGGTCATAGAAGAGGATCTAAAAAAAAAGCAGAGGAGGAATGAATCTTGACAGCATTACATCAAGAGTAAATTTGTCTGCACTTTTGTTGTTATTATTTTTTGGTCTATTTAAAAAGGTCTAGACAATTTCCTGACAGATGCAGAAATTTAACCCTAAGTAGCAGATGCATATTTTTCAAAATTATCACTGTACAAATAGAAATTGTCCAGGCATGACAGATGATCTAAAAATTAAAGTATCTGCAAACCATTTCTGTAGCAAAAAAATCAAAACACTAAACGTCAAGAAAATAACTATTACCAAAATGACCACAATAATGCTGATTTAATATCTTTAAAAGTCTAATTATTCTCTAAATGTCTTTAAACTAGCAATTTCAAAAATGAGTAATTGCACATTAGAATATCTAAGGTTATTTTACAATATGAGATTTTCTGTTTTAAAATTGTACAAGTACGTATTGCAGAAATTTTGAAAATTAAGATTAGCAAAAAAAAAGTGAAAACCACTTAAGCTCTACACTGTTAAAGGTACTTTTGAGTCTAATTCCAAAATTCTAGTTCTTCTCAAATTTGAATTATTTCTTTCTTATTTCCTTCTTGTAAAATTGGAGCAAGTGAAGCTCCTTATAGAGGGGTCATTCCTCCAACTAGTTTGGGATTCAATCCACCCCGCCTTGTCATTACTTGTACTATTAATTATTCCTTCTTTCTCTTGAATATTCAACTCTCATTTTAAGCTGGTAGTAAAAGTGATGGTATTAATCTGTTTATTTGTAAGTCATAAAAATTAAATGTTAATAAACTCTATCCAAAGGGATGATAAATTACTTTACTTTCAAAATATTTTGTTTCTGACTCTAAGTTACATTGATAAGCTTTGTTAGATATTACAAAGTATTTCATCTCATACCAAAACTTTTCTTCAAAACATAATGAATACCATGTTTTTTTATACCTATTGCCTATTTCCTTGACCTTATAAAATTAATGTCATTCTTTTGCAGAAATAATGTCATCCAAACCAAGACTATGTCCGATACAAAGAGAATTCAATTCAGCATTCACACACTTTCATATTTCTTTACACTGTTGGTTATAATCAGTCTGGATATTGTTACTGGGTATCTTGCTTTGTGGAATGCTTAAGGTCACTCACTACCTCATTCAATATTTATGCCAACTACTGCCCTATTTAATAACCCCAAGCTTGGTCATTTGTGTACAATTTCAAGTATACTAGAAAGATAATAATGCTACCTGTCTTTGCCCCTCCAATACTCAGCTTCAGATAAATTCTATCACTAGGAGTACATCCTTCTTCTTGTAGATTTACTTCCTCTACTTATATACTTCTATGAAACATAAAACAGTATACTCAAAAATAGTGTAATTCCAAAAGAAGCAATATTCTGGAAAAAGGAAAAATCCCAAAAGAAATACATTGTTCAGAGAGAAACGCAAAAGCCCTAGGCAAGTGCATTAGTTAATATAGATTTTCATATGACAACAGCTAGTTAAATAGCTAACCAAGCTAAAAGCAAATGTCACAGAAAAAGTTATAATTTCAAACCTTCAAGAGAAAGCATACTGATTATTATCATAGAGTCCTTTTCGTTAACCTCCAAAATTAACTGTGGTGAACTCCTCAGAATCCTCAAAAATCCTTGCTATAATACCCAATAAGATTTCAAGATTGTGATGTTCCCCTTCCTGTGTCCATGTGATCTCACTGTTCAATTCCCACCTATGAGTGAGAATATGTGGTGTTTGGTTTTTTGTTCTTGCGATAGTTTACTGAGAATGATGATTTCCAATTTCATCCATGTCCCTACAAAGGACATGAACTCATCATTTTTTATGGCTGCATAGTATTCCATGGTGTATATGTGCCACATTTTCTTAATCCAGTCTATCATTGTTGGACATTTGGGTTGGTTCCAAGTCTTTGCTATTGTGAATAATGCCGCAATAAACATACATGTGCATGTGTCTTTATAGCAGCATGATTTATAGTCCTTTGGGTATATACCCACTAATGGCATGGCTGGGTCAAATGGTATTTCTAGTTCTAGATCCCTGAGGAATCGCCACACTGACTTCCACAATGGTTGAACTAGTTTACAGTCCCACCAACAGTGTAAAAGTGTTCCTATTTCTCCACATCCTCTCCAGCACCTGTTGTTTCCTGACTTTTTAATGATTGCCATTCTAACTGGTGTGAGATGGTATCTCATTGTGGTTTTGATTTGCATTTCTCTGATGGCCAGTGATGGTGAGCATTTTCTCATGTGTTTTTTGGCTGCATAAATGTCTTCTTTTGAGAAGTGTCTGTTCATGTCCTTCGCCCACTTTTTGATGGGGTTGTTTGTTTTTTCTTGTAAATTTGTTTGAGTTCATTGTAGATTCTGGATATTAGCCCTTTGTCAGATGAGTAGGTTGCGAAAATTTTCTCCCATGGGGTGGGGGGAGGGGGGAGGGATAGCATTGGGAGATATACCTAATGCTAGATGACGAGTTAGTGGGTGCAGCACACCAGCATGGCACATGTATGCGTATGTAACTAACCTGCACAATGTGCACATGTACCCTAAAACTTAAAGCATAATAAAAAAAAAATTAAAAAAAAAAGATTTCAAGATTTTAAATTTAGTACAACTATTAAAAATGTGAGAGCTGAAGATTTTATTTTTATTTTGATAATTCTTTTTATGGAGACTAAGAGATAAATACTTGTCACTATATGATGTTTTTATTCTGCTTTGCTTTATCTCTTATATATAACACTCAATAGGTCAGATTTTGTGTCTTAATTAAACAATTTTTAATAGATCTTCAATTCTACATAAGCACAATATTTTTATATAACAAGTGAAGTATGGTACAGATCCATAACTGTGTTATAAAGTAAGAAAAGGCACATAGTAGGATAATGATATACTTTGATAGATAAAAGGCAATAAAATAAAGTGCTTTTGAAGGTTACTAGTAGAATGCGTTAGAAAGTAACATGAAAATGTTCAGAAAAATTACAATATACATACACTTAAGTGGCAAAATATAATCTAATTAAAAGCTTAAATAATTTTTTTTCTGTGACAGAAATGTTTTTAAGACATGAGTTAAAATCATTTGAATATAATAAAGCTTTCAAATAGTATTAAATGAAGATCTATGTTTGGGATCATTTTTGTTGGTATGATCATAGGAAAGAAAGTGGTTAAGATTATAAAGTAGAACTTGGTTATACAATCCCTTCAAATAAAAAAGTAAAATAAAATTAGTGTGAGAGCTAATAAATGAAATAATTTAATGCTATATTGTTTAGGTTGGTAAGCTTCCTAATGATTTCCACAACATGCTATTTTGAAGTTCACATGTAGGCATATTCATACAATACGCCTCTTTAAGCCATAAGGCAAGGTTAACATCTCATTCTTGTGACATTAACTTTAACTGTTCCCATTGCTATATCACTCCCTGTGTTCTCATCCCTATACTACTATCAGACAGCAATAAACTAAATAATGTAATGAAGATAAACCTATTTGTATCTAATTTTTCCAGGCTTATATTATATTAAACTTTGATCTCTTAATAGTGGCAACACATTAATTGTATTTTAAAAAGCCCCAGAAGACTGTGGCTCTATATTTAAGAACAGCTGTCAGAGAGAAATAAACCAGTTGAAGTAGAGGTTTAAATAGTTAAAGTCAAATCCACCTCAGAGTAGGGAAACACTATAGAGGCATAGATGAACTGAGCTTTGTGATGCACAATGTTATAAATTATCCAAAATGATCAAGTTTATTTTTAATCCTAATATAAATTATTAAAAGAATATTAAAAATTTATATTTGAATAGAGCATTCTAGTTTACAAAGTACTTTCCTCTATAAAATCCCATTTGATCTACTCTTGACGTTTTTACCAGTTAATGTCATAGAAATTTGCAAGAGTAACCCACAAGGCACTTTGTGAATGATATTTAAAGTGCAAAGACCGATGTGCATAGCAACTACCTCATTGTCTGTGAACTGTTCAATCTTTTATACACTGGAAGGACCAGTTAGATTAAACACTGACTACCTATGTTTAATATTTACCCCTTGAATCCTATATGGAGGTGCTGACAAGGAATAATAAATTATTGCATATGTCAGTAATGTAAATTTAGAATATTAAGTTGCTATTGCCATATTAAGCCTATAATATAAAATCAACTTTTCCACATTCAATTTATCAGTATTATAGTCCACTGAGAAAAATTTTGAGTAGAATAAATTAGGTTACCTTTAGATGAGTTACAGCTGTCATATTCCATGAATCAATTAGCTTTTTATTAAAATAAATCTGCCAAAGCAAACATACCTTAAATACTTCATCATTTTTTTTATGTTGCTATGCCTCTTTCATGAATAAAATGTGAACTTAGAAGGTGGGGTACTTTGTTTTTAAATCATTTTCATTTAACATAATGACTATGCTATAAAGCACTTCCTCTAATCATAAAGATTAAACTATCCTGATTTAAACAACTTTGGAATTAATGTCTCTTCTTGCATTAGAAATGCCTTTCCAACACTCTCTTCAATAAATGGTGCTGGGAAAACTGGATATCCATTACAGAGGAATGAAACTAGACCTTTATTTCTCACCATATAAAAAATCAACTCAAAATGGATTAAAGACTTAAATGTAAAATCCGAAACTATAAAACTACTAAAAAAAAAAAAACTTAGGGAAAATGTTCTAGGGAACTTGTCTAGGAAAAGATTGTATGGTTAAAACTTCAAAATCACAGGAAACAAAAAGAAAAATAGACAAATGGGACTACAGTAAACCAGAAAGCTTTCACACAGCAAAGGAAAAATCAACAAAGTAAAAAGACAACCTGTTGAATAGAAGAAAATATTTACAAATTACTCCTCTGACAAGGGAGTAATATTCTGAATTTAAAAGGAAATCAAACAACTCAATAGCAATAATATAAATAATCCCATAAAAGTGGACAAAGGGTCTGAACTGACATTTCTTAAAGGAAGACATACAAATGGCAAACACGTATATGAAAAATGTTCAACATCACTAATCATCAGAGAAATGCAAATCAAAACCACAATCAGATATCATCTTACCACAGTTAGAAGGGCTATTACCATAAAGACCTAAAGTAACAAATGCTGGTGAGGATGCGGAGGAAAGGTAACTCTTACACACTGTTGGTGGAGATGTAAATTAGTACAGTCATTATGGGGGGCAGTATGAAGAGTTCTCAAAAAACTAAAAGTAGAACTACCATAAGAACCAGCAATCCCACCACTGGGTATTCATCCAAAGGAAAGGAAATCAGTCCTTTGGGATATCTGCATTCCCATGTTTATTGCAACACTATTCACAATAGCTGAGATATGAAATCAATCTAAGTGTCTATCAGCAGATGAATGGACAAATGTAGTGTGTATACACAATGGAATACTATTCAATCACAAAATGAATGAAATCCTATCATATGCAGCAACATGGACGGAACTTCAGATCACATTATTAAGTAAAATAAACCAGGCGCAGAAAGACAAAATATCACAAATTTTTATGCATATGTGCAAGCTAAAAATGTTCATCTCATAGACATAGAAAGTAGAAAGATAGTATTTTTAGTAGAGATGGGGTTTCACCATGTTAGCCAGGGTGGTCTCAGTCTCCTGACCTCATGATCCGCCTGCCTTGGCCTCCCAAAGTGCTGGGATTGCAGGCTACTTGGGAGGCTGAGGCAGAAGAATGGCATGAACCCAGAAGGCGGAGCTCGCAGTGAGGCGAGATTGTGCCACTGCACTCCAGCCTGGGAGACAGAGCGAGAAAAAAAAAAGAAAAAAGAAAAATAGTTACCAGAGGCTGGGAAGGGTGTGCAGTGTGTGTGTGCGTGGGAGGGGGTACAAAGAGAGGTTGGTTAATGGATACCTACAGTTAGATAGAAGGAATAATTTCAGTATTTGATAGCACAGTAGGGTGACTATAGTTAACAAGATATTGTATATTTGCATTTCAAAATAGCTATAAAAGAAGATTTTAAATGTTTCTAAGAGAAAGAAATGGTAAATGTTCAAGGTGATGGCTATCCAAAATACCCTGATTTGATCATTACACATTCTATGCATGTATCAAAATATCATGTGTTCCCCATAAACATGTACAAATATTACACATCAATAAAATATATAAAAGTATTTCTGGTAAAAACAAAAACAAAAATAAGAAATAGTGCTCTACTAAATGTTAGGCAAATTTAGTATCAGTTTTATAAAATCAAATCGTGGATTGGGGAGTTGGGAGTAACTGCAAGATGACCTCTGAGATTTTTTTTTCCAGCTATAAAATTCAAGAAGTCTCTAAGAATAGATATGGTGCTAAAATACAAATAGATAGCTGTATAAGATGTTATCAAGTGGTGTATAATGATAAAAATATCTCTATTATTCAGAATTGGGCTATAGATTCTCTTAACTCTAAAAGAAAATTAAGCCCCAAGCGTTCTATAATGGTATGAAATAGAATAGTTCAAATTTTTTACCAGTTTGTAATATGAGCTGGTTTAAAATGTTACAAATTTTACACCGAATTGTAATATCAGTTCTGCAAAGTATTACAATATACCTTACCATGATTGTTAGAAAAGACATGGTCTTATATTTGCTGTCTTTCCACCATCTCTTCACCATCTCTCCACCAAGTCCTAGGCCAGCTGGAGCCCATAATGCATTAAACAGTGGAAATAGCAATGGAGTGCATCACACTCTGATACTCTGAATCATAGATCAGAGAAGGGTTCTATATAACGATTTCTGAATAAGTCACAGTGAATGTGTAAACTGCTACCTTAAAGTTACTATTTATATTTGAGGAGTTAAAATTAGAATGACAAGAACTCTCATTATTTTACATTAAAAATAATTCGACATTTTTTTTATGGTCAAATTAGAACCCAGTAGGTTAGACTTAGCAAGTTCCAAAAGCCTGAGCTAGTGAGGGGGTAAAGACAGTTTTGCCGTGGGAATAGAAAGTTTACAAACTTTCTATTTCTAAGGGGAATCTAAAAAATACCACTAGCATCTAGTTGAGGAGAGCAGGCCCCACAGGTTGCAGACAGGCATACAGAAGTACACTAAAGGTCTGGGAAGATCAGCAACAACCTTTTATGAGTCACTGGGATATGAGCTAAGACTGTAAACTCTTGAAGGGAAAAATTACATCATATTCGTCCTTTTATCTAGGGTTTAGCCCAATGTCTGCAGTGGGTACACAGTGGGTATTGGCTGAGTACATGAGTGGAAGGAAGAACACACTAGGATAAGGCATACTAGTTTAAATGCAGTCATGATGCAGAGCCTGGAAAGCTTTGTGGATGTTACACATTGTAATTACAAATATCATGTTGTTTTCCTGGACTCTGACAGTGGTTGGAGAAGTAGCTAGTTCCTGCAACAAGTCTTAATAAAATTCAAAATAACAGTACCAGCATCTATTTTTTTATGGCATATTTTGCCCTCTATTCCTTACTGGCTAAAATTACAGTTCCCAAAGTATGTTGAGCTTTTTGGGTTGCTGAATAGAACACATAGGTTGCTACAGTATACTTTAAATTTTTGAAGGAAACACAGATATCCATCATGAATTGTGCAAACTACTAGCTTGAAGTAATTCAGTTTCAATATTATACAACTATTAATATATTCCTTTCAATGACATTGATGATGCTGGATTTTCAGTGGCTGCTCTGATGAAAAGCAAATATCATACCATTTTGCTGTGGAGCATAAAATGAGGGTGGTAACATAAAATCTGAGTCCAAGGTTTGAGAAATTGTGCAGTGCACAATGCTAAGTTTTTAGAACATAAATTCATAAGTTGCTTAGCCACAGCTACTAAACAGAAGTGTTAGGTATTTCTTTGGGCCTGGGAGCCTGGAAAAAAAAATTACTAAGACACTCGGGACACTGTGATGCAAAAATATTTGGGAACTTCTTGTGCTAAAACTTTGCACGTCACTCTGTGAATCTAGATGTATAGTGTGCAAATGTTTTCTTCCATTCTGTAGGCTGTCCCTTCATTATTGTTTCCTTTTCTGTGCAAAAGTTTTTATCTTGTGTAACCCTTTTTCTGATTTTGTTTTTTTGCCTGTGCTTTTGGGGTCATATCAAAAAATCATTGCCCAGACCAATGTCAGGAAGCTTATTTTCTAGGTTGTTTATAGTAGTTACATAGCTTTGGGCCTTATGTTAAATACCTAAATTTATTTTGAGTTGATTTTTGATGTGAGATAAGGGTCTAGTTTCATTCTTCCACACATGAATATCCAATTTTTCTGACACCATTTATTGAAGAAAGTGTCCTTTTCTTACGGCGTGTTCTTGGCACATTTGATGAAAATCAATCGGCTTTAAATGCATGAGTTTTTGCTGGCTTCTCTATTCTGTTCCATTGGTCTCTCCTTGTTTTAATGCCAATACTATGCTGTTTTGGATACTATAGTTTTGTAGTATATTCTGAAGTCAGACTGTATGATAGTTCCAGATTTGTTCTTTTGCTAAAAATTGCTTTGGCTATTTGAAATCTATTGTGCTTTCATGTGAATTTTAAGGTTTTTATTTTATTTTATTTTTGTATTTCTGTAGAGAATGTCATTGGTATTTTGTTTGAGAATGCACTGAATCTGTAGATTGCTATGGTTAGTATAGACACTTTTTTCATGAGCATGGGATATCTTTCTATTTATTTGTAACTTATTTAGTTTCTTTCATCAATATTTTATAGTTTTCAGTGTAGAAATCTCTCACCTTTTTTGTTAAATTTAGATATGTTTCAAAAACAGAAAAGATGCTATAATGACTGGATTAGAGTGGGAAATAAGAAGAATGATCCAAAATGAGCTCAATTATGAAAAAAAAAACAGGTTGTATGGGGATTTTTTTTAAGTATCAATTTATTCTAACTGCAAGGGGGAAGTCACTGAAGAATTTTAAGCAGAAAAGTGACGTGATTTGATATAGTTTTTAAAATATTGCTCTGTTTTGTGGTGAATGTATTACAGATGACAACAGCAGTAGAAGAGAGATGGTTTAGGATGTTTGAATGGTCTAAGTGAGAGATGATAGTGGCTTGCATTAGGAAGGTTTCAGTTGAAATGGAGAATATTGGATATTTTTAGAATATGCCTTGGAATAAAATCTCAAGTATGGGTAGAACTTCTTGATGGATTCAATATGGAGAGGTGCAACTAAGAGTAGTTACTAGTTTTACAAAGACTTTTATGAAAAAAATGCTAATATAGTCTGTTGTCACAGACTTCCTCGCTTCTGCTATTTCCACATTTAGTTTAACAGTGACTTTATATTTCCCTTCTTTCTTCTACCCCAAGTCTCTTGCCTCTGTCTTATTTTTTCTATCTTGCTTACCCTCAAAATATTCTCATTACTTGGACATCTCTTCTCCTTGTGTCTCATTCCCTAATTTCCTTCTCTTATTCCCATTTTACTTCTGTACCTATGATCCATGTCATTATATTAAATAATTAAAATCATATTGCTTCTTCACTTTGTCCAAGTCACAGCATTTACAACATAATAAGGATATTTTCTTTCACAAAATTTACATATACATAATAAAGCTGAAGGTCACTCCTATGGAAACTTAAGAATATTAAACAGACTAATAATTCAAATTTTGCAAGGAAGGGTCTGACTAATTTGACTTTTTGAATTTGCATATAGGTTTTCTTTATCTTTAATCGTGACACTAGAAGGAAGCCTTAGTATTCCTTTTTCCTATAACTTTTTTTCAAAAACACCCTTGTAATTAAAAATGTGTGGCATAAAATGTATTCAATGATCTCACTTTTATAGAACTGAAATTACTCTTGGTATACCCAAAATATTCTAACACTACTCAGGCAGAAATACTCAGTTTATCTAGAAATACTTTAATTCATCAAAATTATTCCCAAAATATACTCACACTACCCAGCCAGAAATAATTGGCTTATCTATAAATATTTGTATTGATCAAAATTATTTCCTAAATACGTCAATATATTTCTAAATATGTACATTTAAACTTTACTTCAATAAAATATTACCATAATTTAAACTACCTGTAGCCTCAATTGTCTTTTTATTTTTATTATTTTTTACATTAACATTGCAATTACAGCTTGTTTTCTCCCTCCAGCAATGAGGAGACCATGAAGGTAAAGTAGACAATCTATAGAGTGTAGAAAATGTGATAAGGTGTGCACAGGGTATTAGGCTTTGTTATTCATGTTATCTTCTTTTAAGTTTGCCTACCCAACTTGAGTATTTTTATAAGCCATATATTTTAAATGTCCTATCAGTTTGGATAACATAGCTGGAGGAGATTTCAAAAATCTAGTCCTATTCTTTCTTCTATATATTTATACAACTTGAAATATATTTTTTTTGTAAGAGCTAGTTTTTATATGGTAATAATGTACTGACAGTTTTGAGTCACAAGAATCAAAAGAACAGTTATGCTTTTATTACTCTTTGTTTTTGGACCTAGGTAATAATGTTTTTTTTTTTTTTTTGAGACAGAGTCTCTCTCTGTCGCCTAATTTGGAGTGCAGTGGCACGATCTTGGCTCACTGCAACCTCTGCCTCCTGGGCTCAAGCGATTATCCTGCCTCAGCCTCCCAAGTGGTTGGGATTACAGGTGCCCACCACCACTCCTGGCTAACTTTTGTATTTTTAGTAGAGACAGGGATTCGCCATGTTGGCCAGACTGGTCTTGAACTCCTGACCTCAGGTGATCCGCCAGCCTCAGCCTCCCACAGTACTAGGATTACAGGCATGAGTTACTGCCCCCGGCAGGTAATATGTCTTTTAAGGTGCCATCCCAAAGAGGCCAGAAACACCTCTTCATACAGAGAACAGTAGGATAAATAGTAATTGCAAAGACCAATGCAATTACTACTTATCTTACTGTTACTGTTTCTGTATTGTCTGTATAACACAAGAAGAAGATGACAGTGCAAGTTTACTCAAATTCAATGCAGCAAGTGATTCTTAAGCATCTAAACATTTTTTGGAGATTGATGATTAAAAAAAGATAGCATCAGCATTCAAAAATAGAATAAATACTGAGCAGAAAGATAAAAGAAGCACACAAGTAAATTTTATTCAAGTCAAATGAGTTGTGAAAGTTGATCGTATGAATTGGTTCATTCTTGCCATACCCAACTAAAACAGTCGAGAAGCCAGGGGGGAAAAGCACTCAGAATATATAACATTGCTCTAGAAATGTAATTCTCTGCAAGTCAGGCTGCTGGAACTGCCTGTTGTAATCTGAGACCAGTTTTATCTATAAGTGCTGAAATAAGTTGCTGCAACATAAGGATGAATTTTGCCAACCACCATCACTCACCAATGGGAGCTTGCCAGCTCCCCAGAACTTTATTAATGCCCATGAACTTTCTCAAAGAACAATATGTAACATTTCTCCTTTAATGAAACCTGCAACTTTCTCTTTATTCTTCCAACATACCAAAGACCACCTGGTCTGACTGTATACCTCGAATTGTGATTCTTTCTTCTCAAATAAAATGTTACATTTAGAGATTTGTCTCTACATTTTTATTTTGACTTTAACAGAGCCAAGAGAGCATTGATAAAAGTTATAAGAAACCAAGGCAGATGAAGGAAATTCATTTGAAGGATAGGTTTCTTATAGGTAAAGATTGGCAGAATCTTATTTTAGGAAGCAAGAGTAGCATGTGCAATATTACACAGCTGATTAAGGGTGGAGGCATTTGGAAGGACAATTTGTATTAAGCAACTAGTAAGTTAGAGGAAATGGTAGTTTTTACTTTTACATTGATTTTTTAAAATACACACCACACGACTGAAGTGAAATATTTTTCGGTAAGAGGCAAGTGTGGCATTCTGTAATGAAATATGACAAAAGTGGAAAGATAATGCCAGAAAGTTAGGTTTCCACTACATTGAGGAAGAATTTAAATGCTAGAATGCAAATATATAAGCAAGGGGGAAAAAGGATCAAATTGCAAGCCATACTCCCTGGGTACAAGGCCTGTCTTTATTACTGCTAAGTATAGGAACTTCTGGTATGTGAGTTTACTCATTAGTAAAATAGAAATATTGAAACCTACAGTGTGTTAATACATTTAAAAAATAATGGTGTGAAAGTGCTTTTGAGTTAAAATATGATATATGTATGTACGTGATAACTGATATTATATCACCTCTTAATTCAATAGGTATGGGAAAAAACAAGTTTTTGATCAAGGAGTATTATTGCAATATTTAAAAGTGAGGAATCCTTTCCTGAAAGCCAAGTGTAATACTTCTTGTAACAGAATAAATAGAAGATAATTGCTTTTGTGCAGTTGGGAAGTTTTAAGTGAGTAAAGTAAAAGAGAGGGAACTGAAGATTACTAATGAATGAGATAGAAGTGGCATCAGTGTTGGAATGGATGTTGGAAAACAATGAAGACTTTTAAATCTTCATTCATTGGGAAAACGACAGGAAAATAGCAAAGACAAGGCAAAGACAGGTAACCAAGCATTTATTAGCCCCTCTTTGTTCTGGGTACTTCACTAGGCAAGTTCATGAGTCTGAGATAATCTAGTCCTTCACTGTGGCATTTCAGTTTGGTGCCACCCTTTCCATTTTTATTTAAAAGGAAAGACAACTTTGTGTAGAATAAATAACTTCCCCAAGTCAAGTAAAAAGAGCAATAGAACTTAAAAGTAAGTTCATCTGATTCCAAATCCCACGCTTTTACAGATGCAATGACATACTTGTTTTGTAAAAAATACTAATTCAATTGTTATAAAAAGTTGAAAATAAATATTCAACTCTCAGAAGAATAAAAATGATAAAGACCTGAGGGAAACATGGAAAGTCATGATTACAAACCCTTGAAAGGAGATCAGATTCTTGAAGAAAAAGTGAGTTTTGAAGTGTAACTGTGAAAAATTTTTATTTTTAGGAAGTGAGAAGGTAAAGTAGATTCAATAAAAGAGTGAAAAATGGGTAGTCAATGGCTACACTCAAGGAAACCAAGCTATTTCTCAGCCATTACATTCAAGAGAGCTTATAATAATTACAAATACTTATAGCAGTATGGTAAGGAAAGAACTGCCACAGATGTAGGCCATTCTTTAGGAAAGTTTACTTGTGAAGTGGGGAGAGACAGAACACCTTTGGAAGCTTCTATATACTAACGGTCTCTTTGTAATTACCAAAATAAGATTTATAACTAATATACTAGCATATTTAGAAAGTTCATGTAAGAAGAATGAGTGAAAATGACTTTATATTCAAAAGTATGGTTGATTTACATTATGATAATAAACTTTTCCTGAATATACATTATACAGTAGTGTTTTAATAGTACCAAATGAGTAGCATGTTCCCTGCTGTTTCACTGCTGAGATATACCAGCATTTTAATAATCCAGATACAAATCCAAAATTTGGAGTCCAAATTGTTATTTGCTCTCAAGAGAAGCCCAAATTTATGTTCACATCTAGTGTGACATAAGAGATTTCAATATCTCTTTTAAAATCTTCAAAATTCTCCTTTTCCTTTATATCTTCCTATTCAGTCAGAAAAGGCATCAATTAAGGCCTTTCCCACAGAAAGAAAGTCTATGAATATAAGGATCCCACAAGCTGAGCTTTCCCAAAAAGTTGGTTATAATTTTAAGGGCATTTAACTTTTTAATTTATTTTTCAGCATAGAAAATGCTGCCAACTTTATATCTCTTTGGCAGCATTTCTCCCTTTAAAAACTTGTTATATTCTATAGGTATTTCAAATTAGAAACAAAGCTTTTAAGATTTCAAAACACACCTGCTGGGACTATCACCTAGGAGAGTAGAGCACAAATGGTAACCAAAATATAACAAGTAAGATACCTTACTTCTCCAAGGATTTTCTCATAGATTTCCTCAGTGATTATAAAAATATTGATTACGTGCAAACAAGACTGTTTCTGTTTCATCAACTGGTATCTATAAGCCATTTACTAATACGATGAATTTGAGGTCCTGCTACAGTCATGTGATTAGAAAATTAATGGAAAATGCTAAACTGCAGTTTTGCTGTTTTAATCAATTCAATTAATTACATTTATTGAGCTCTCTTTGTCACACATACAGAAACATGAATACTCATATCTGATTACAAGGATCTTGCACTTAGAAAAGTTTCTAAGAGACAAGAAAAAAAAATTGGGTACTATAATGAAGGAAAACATGAGCTAAGAAGTTAAGAACCAGAGAGTAACTGATTGGAAAAGTAAGAAAAGCTTTATAAAAGAGGATTTTGAGTGAGCACTTGAAGAATATGTAAGATAACACAGGCAAAAACGCTAAGATATAACATTCTAGGAGGAAGAAACAACAGAACTAAGTAGTCCCAGAAAATCAGATATATTTGAAGCCAACTATGTGGGACAATTTGTTACCACACAAAATATGAATGGAAGATTGGGAATATTTTGAAGCATTTTGAATGCCAACACTGAGTACTTTTTGTATAAGTAGGCGACAGGAAAGCTCTGCTGGTGTTGAAGTTAGAAAAACACATTATTGTAGATGTTATGGATGGAAACTGTGGACGAGAAGGAGAAAAATCGGCAGCTTGTAAAACTGACATCACAATTTTCTAAAAATGTGTAAATAAACGATTAACTAAGATAATATCCATGGAAATGCAGATCAGAGAACTATTCTTATCTCTTCTACATCTCTTCATAATTGAAATATCTCTTTTATCCCTAAAGTTTTCATTCAAAGAGATTACTGCAATGTTAGGAAAATCATGAAACAGTAAATATCTGAGGTTGTAACAAACATGCTAGAGAAAGATTTTAGTAACATATTATCATTAAAATAACATGTGTATATGTGGATATATATCACTTAGTTCAAATATAATATGAAATCACGTGTATGTCTTTATTTTTAATTTTAATAGAATTTATTTTCTAGAGAATTTTCAGGTTTATAAAATAATCACAGAGAGTACAGAGGGTTCCCAAACACTACCCCTCTCTCCCCATCATAATACAGTTTCTCCCATTATTAATATTTTTTATTAGCATGGTAAATTTTTTTGCAATGAATGAATCAACATTAAAATATTTTATTAATTAAAGTTCATAATTACATTAGGGTTCACTCTTTGTGTTCTATGGGTTTTGACAAACACATAGTGTCATTATTCACTATTACAATATCCGACAGAATAGATTCACTGCCCTTATATGTCCCCTGTGCACCCTCTCTTCATCCCTCACTTCATCCCCCTGAACTCCTGACAACCAGTGTTTTTTTTTACTGTCTCTGTAGTTTTGTCTTTTCCAGAATGTCTTATAGTTGAAATTTTACCTAGGAGTGTAATTGTTGGTAAACCCATGTTTAGTTTAAAAAAAAAAAAAAAAACTGTCAACGGCTGGCATGAGTGTAAATTAGTTCAGCCACTGTGAAAAGCAGTTTTGCAATTTCTCAAAGAACTTAGAACTACCATTCAACCCAGTAATACCATTATTGCGTATATACCCAAAGGAAAATAAATTGTTCTACCATAAAGGCACATGCACAGGTATGTTCACTGCAGAACTACTCACAATAGCAAAGACATGGAATCAACCAAAATGATCATTAGTGATAGACTGGATAAAGAAAATATGGTACATATATACTGCGAAATACTATGCAGCCATAAAAAAATGAGTTCATGTCCTTTGCAGCAATATGTATGAAGCTGGAGGCGATGGTCCTAAGCAAACTAACACAGGAATAGAAAACCAAATACCAAGTGTTCTCACTTACAAGTAAGAACTAAACATTGAGTACACGTGGACACAAAGAAGGGAAAAACAGTCACTGGGGCCTACTTGAGGTTGGAGGGTGAGAGGAGGGTGAGGATCAGAAAACTACTTATTGGGCATTATGCATATTACCTGGGTGACAAAAAATAATCTGTACACCTTTTAAATCCCTGTGACATACAATTTACCTATGTAACAACCTGTATGTATAGCCCTGAAACTAAAAGTTTAAAAATAATAAATTAAATTAAAAAACTGTCAGAATGTCTTCCAAAGTGGCTTTATTATTTTGCATTCCCACCAGCAGTACATGAGCATTCCTGTTGTTTTACTTTCTCGGCAGCATTTTGTGTTGTCAGAGCTTTAGACTTTAGCTATTTTAATAGCTATGTAATCGTATCTGGTAGTTATATTAATTTGAAGTTCCCTAATTACATATGATAATGAGCTTTATTTATATGTCTATTTGCTGTCTCATATATCTTCTTTGGTGACAATTCTGTTTTGATGTTTTGCCTATTGTGTAATTGAGTTGTTTTCTTATTGTTAAATTTTAAGCAATTTTTCCATATTTAATATACAGAATGTATTTTTATTAGATATGTAATTTGCAAATTTTTTTCCAATCTGTGGAATGTTCTTTCTTTGTCTTCACAGTGCTTTTTATAGAGCAGATATTTTAATTTTAATGAAGTATGACATCAATTTTTTTATCGATTATACTTTTTGGTGTTTTATGAAATAACTGAACTTTCACTTGGATGGGGCACCAGGAGAACATGCCACGAGTTCTTTTGAATTTTCAGGGGCAGAGACTGGTAATTCTATCCAAAAACCAGTGTGACTTTCATAGTTGGAGGCAGTAATTCACTGAGTAATCACAATCTAATGTTCCTTTGAGATAAAAAGGGCCCAAGAAAAGATATAACTTTTAATTTAAGTCCTGACTAAAAGTACATTACTTCATAACAATTTGATTTATCTTTTGTCGGTGATTTTTATTCCTTTACAACCTTTCCATTTTTTATTCTTCTGGGTGATTTCCATATCTTATATGAGAATAATTTTTGTATTACATTTTTGAAATACATACAAAGTTCTTTTTCCCCCTTTGAAACAGATGAGTCTACAAATACTTCAACTTCTGCTTCTGAAACTGACCTTGACCTGAAACTGATCCACTCTCCTTTTAAAAGTCCCCCAATTTATATCGCTACTTGAAGATTTCTTTGCTCCCAATCCATGTTTCTAATCTGTATGCCTGAAAGAATTACTAGCAAGTTCCCAAATGCACTGAGTTTATCATACTTTTGCACAATCCTTTTTATGTTTGTAGCTAGGAAGCTCAGTAATGCTAGGTAGAAATTATAAAACCAAGCAGATTCATTATCATCAATCTCAAAAGGGCACTCAAATTTACTTAGCAAGGCAACATTTCTACATCAAGCTTGCTCTCCCACTCTTGGTAAAAAACTATTTTTCATTTTTCTCTCAGTCTTAAACTTTCTCTCCCATCCATCCTCATCTCCTTATACACACATTTTCATTTGATGGCCTTCCTAGATGCGGCGTTACTAACGTAAAAGTATTAAACATGAGCTTTCTCATCTTCCAATCACAAAATATGTAGGCCTAGCAGCATCTCTTCTCCACTTCTCTGTCTTCCTTTCTATTAGATTGAAAATAATTCCCCACTACCTGTCCTTGGGATCCCATTTATTTTCTCCTACAAAATTATGTTTCTTTACCTCTACCCTCTCTTTCCAATGCCACCAATAGATTTCTCTCTATAGAATTATTTGTACCAACCAATAAACATGCTTTGGTCTCTTGAATCTCTAAAAAGAAACTCTCTCTTGATTTCCTAATGACTACAAAAATGCCTCATTATTTCAGTAGTTTATATAACTTGAAGTCACCAAGCTGTAAACTATCTGAACTGTCTTTATTCACTCTTCAGCATATTTAAGTTGGTTTTCAACCTCTGTCATTCCACTGAAATCACTCTTGTCAACAACCTTCATGTTGTCAAATTCAAAACACAGTCTTCTGTCCTCCGTGCTCAATTTTTCAACAGTCCCTGCTTGCCCTTTAAAGGACTTCTTTTGCTTCAGTTACCCTTTTAGGTATTGTCATAGTCCTCTGGTCTCTCATGAGCAGGATTTGGCAGCTCCTTGTATTCTATCAGTTCGTCAAATAGATATTTGAGATGACATCACAAGTTCTCTTGTCTTTCTACTTATTTTAAATGATGTTATCTACACATAATTTTTTAAAGAAAATGATGTTTAACATTTTTATAATATGTATATATGCCTATGGTTCCCTGATATCTCTGAATTTCAATTATGTTCAACTAATCACTTAACATATCTGCCTAGAAATCTCTAAATCTTCTAAAATGTACAACTTCAAAACTGAACTCTCAATTATTCTCCAGAAATCTCTGGATGTTCACACTTTATTAAACATTATAATTCACTCCATCCTCATGTTGTTCAAGCCTTGAAAATTGAGCCTCATCCTTAATTCTTTCCTTTTTCTTACTCTCCACATCAAATTTTCATGGGATATTAAGGCTTTTATCTTCAAAAGATATCTTGAATCTGTCTCGTTCCCTGCCAACACCATAGTCCAAATCTCCACTGTCTTTCACTCAGACTACTGAAGAAACCTAACTAAAATTTAAGTTTTCTTCAATCACTGAGCTAAAATAGAAAGCATGATCTACTGAATATATAAATTGGATCAGGTCACTTACAAATCTTTACAACTTCCCATCATAGGCAGGTGAGCTAAATGAGTAAAGTAGCCTATGGGTACACATGGTGAGCCAGGGAGATCCTGCCCAGCCTAGAGAGACAAATTGTTAACTGGTTCTGAGCAGATGTTACCCTAAAAGTGTGTAGGTTTAAGTTGCCAAATATAATAAGAGAATACAGAAATATGTGTGTGTGTGTGTGTGTGTGTGTGTGTGTGTGTGTATAATATTCTGAGTTTTAAATGTTGTCTCCATTAAAAAAAACAATGTATTTAAAACAAAACATATCTTCAGTCCATATTAGGCTGAATGGCTGCCTGCTTACTTTCTCTGATGCAAATATTTGGTTTCTCCTTATTTCCTCTACTTCATTCTATTATTTTCTCCTATTTACGCTCTATAATTGAGTTTCACTGAACTCTATTTTCTGGAACAGGTAATCAAGCACTTTCTTTTCAGGCTATTCCTTCCCTGCCGGTGGGACACATATACTTCTTCCAATATCCACGGGAGTAGGACCTTCTTAAATTATGTAGGTACCCACCTTGAGACATGTTTATTCTCTGTCATAGAATCTTATTATTTTCTTTTTGACTTCTGAGTAATTTTCTACATTTGTGATTACAACTGAATGGCTTGAAATCTACTGCACTTGAAGGTAATTTTGCTCATTATATTACTATCACATTATATTATTTTTAGGTTGATTTCCAATAAATCATTAATCTAATTTGCAAATCATTGGACCAAGTAAATATTAATGTCATCAGTAATATTGTACATGTTACTTTGTAATAGCAGTTTGTATTAATAGAGTACTTAATTTGTCAAAAGCTGTATGGTTACTACGAGGCATAAGTTATCTCATGTGATCTTCTCCTCAACCGAATAAGATATACATTATTATTCTCAATTTTAGAACTGAGGAAACTAACTCTTGCAGAAGACAAGATAATTTATTTCAGGGATATAATCTGAATGAAATTTGTTTGACTTTAAAGTGCAATATATTATAATATAGTGATTAAAACGTCAGGTTTTGGAGTCTGCAAGTCAAGAGTTCAAATCCCAGTTCCATCAAATTATTAGCCAGGTAAATAAACTTCAGTTTTCTCATTTAAAATGTAGGGATAAAATAGTAAGTGCTTATAAGATTGTATAAGAAATAAAAAATACTTGGAAAAAATAATTATTTAATTGCTTATCACTTTGTGGTCTGTAAGATATAACCATTAGTCATTAAGGCTGAAAGATTTAGTTGATTTTAATAAAATCAGTATAACATGTCAAAGTCTGACTAGTCCCCAAATCTTTTGAATTTCTCTTTAGTGTGTTCCTTCAAATATTATTATCTGTATTAAGTTTCGAGCGTGGTTAAAGTTATGTAAACATTTTAGAAAATTACAATTGTGTTTGTGTGGAAATTGTATTATTGTTTTTCACTCCAAGTATAGCAAAATGTAACTTTAAGTCATTCTGAAAGATCCATGGGGGAAATTTATTATAGGTCTATATTCTAAGAACTATTTTTTTCTTCATAGAGATATTCTTTAGAGAATCACTTGTGCTTTATATAAATAAAATGAATAAGTAAAAATAAAAAATATGTGGTATCTGTAACTATAAACATTAGCATAAATAATTGAAAAATAAAATTTACCATGGACACTGTAAAAATAGGTATTTGTGAGTTTTCGTGAGATTATTATCTAATATTTTGATAGGCTTTTTGTAATCTTTTGTTTGTAATAGATTCTAGAGGACTAAGAAAAATTCAAGTTTATTAAAAAGCATTATTTGATAGTTATGTAAATTAATGGCTGCCACAGTATACTATGTAAATTCTCTAGGTTGTTTAACTTAATTTTAAATTGATAAAATTAATACTAATTTGTGATGGATATAAAACTTCTACTGAAGTTATAATTACACAATACAAATAAGATGTTTATAGAACATTTGCTGGAAGGTTTTACAGGAATTGCCTCATTTGAAACTCACCATTATATGTGGTAAATGTGATTTACATGTTGCAGAAGAAGAAACTCAGGCAAACAGGATAGAGCAACTTACCCAAGATCAGACAACTAATAAGTAGCAAAACTGGAACTCAAAGTTATGTCTTTAAAATCTAAATCCCATGATTTTTCACTTACTATATGATGAGAAATTAATCATTTAAACTAAAAAAAAAGTGTTCTAATAAAGTTAATGCATTACTTAACTAATCCCTTTAAAATAATTAGATATTATTAATAACAATACATTGATAAAATGCAGTTTGATGCCACTAAGACTTCATCTTTATATTATTAGCTACTTTAAAGATTTAAATTAAAATAAACCTTGACAAGATAAATAATGAAGTCAATATTTTAAAATATTACCTAAAATCTGATCCGATTCTCTTCCCATTTTCTGGTTCTCCTGGATCTGGGCATAAATTGGAAGCTGTTTTAATACCTCCCTCATTTACTGCAACAGCAGGGAAAAAAGAAAAAAGAAACAAAATATATGTGATTAGAAAATCGATGATATTAATTTTAAAATATACATAAAATGTATTATTGTATTTTGTCACTATAATCACTGTCATTTAAGCATTTGTTAAACTATAATTTTATAAAACAATAAAGAAAGCAAAAGCATTTTATGAACTAATGAGAAAATAAATTTGCTGTTCATATTCAATGACTTGTATTAGTCTTGCCTATTAACACATTAATATTTATCACTTTTGTTTTTAGTTTCCATCAAATTGGAAAATCTCTGGAAACACATTCTCAGGGTATCAGTGTCCAGAGTTTCCATTAATCACTGGCAACAAAGAAGTCAACCACCAGTTATGATAGTTTTATTTGGATCCTTATTATTTTTGAAGGTGTAATAAAAAATACGACTTTATGAAAAAAGTTCAAAGTTCTAACACTTCTTATCTGGTATATGATAAAGCAATTTGATCTGCCAGCATTAAAATACAGCAGTGGTGCAAATTACTAGGCATGCCTTTAAATTATTACATAATGGTGTAAACCAAAACAATGGCTTTACCCTCAAGCAACTTCCATGAATATGATTTATTTAGCTTTTGTGCACATTTTCAGCAGTTTCTTCAAAGCAGAAAGTCAAAGATGTATTAATTTTTTCAGTGAATGTGACCACATTGGATATCTAAATCCCCAAGTTAGATTTTTATTATTCAGTCAGATAGTACTGAAATATCTGAGTGATATTGTTTAATAAATTCAATCTTAAAGTGAACTGGAGGATAAATTCTATTATTTTACTTTTTATCAATTTACCTGCTTTTTTTTTAGAAAAAATAGTGCCTAAGTAGAGATTCCAGAGAGAAAAAAAATCTAAACCATCCAATGCTTGTTGTCCTCCACTGTGAACTGAAAACACAGGTAGATCTTTCTTGAAAGAATAAAGATGACTACTTCTACCTCTAGATATTCTAATGCAATAAATCTATGGTAGGACTCTGGCATCAGTTTTTTGGGAGTTTTTGGTTTTTATTTTAAAGAGACAGGGTCTTGCTTTGCCATCCATGCTGGTGTGCAGCAGCACAATCATAGTTCACTGTAGCTTTGGAATCCTGGACTCAAGCCATCCTCTTGCCTTGGCCATCCAAGGTGCCAAAGTGTTGCGGTTGTAGGTGTGAGCCATTTTAAAAATAATAATGACTCTCAAGGTAATTCTAATATAAAGTCAAAATTGAGAACCACTGGACTGCTGAATATAGTAATTTAATTCAAATTGATTCATCAGATAAGAAGATAGCTATCAGACGACTGCCCAACAGTTATAGTTGTGGTAAAGTTGTCGTTTTCTAAATTAAACATCGGATTTTGCATGTTTTTACAGCATTCTAAAAAAATAATTTTCTTAGTATTACCAACCATATCCTTCTTGCCAACTGTATTACAGCTCACTAATTCAAATCATAGGATATTTATGTTTTTCTTATTCTCTAACTTGCTATACAATCTCTCTTTACCTTTCTAGGTTTTTTGGCCACTCTTACTTTTGCCGATTCTACTACAGCGGACAAATTGAAAGGCATTGGCTCACAACTCTCTATATTTGAATTTCCCTCATGCCTTGACAGAATGACCTATATGCTAATGACTTCTAATTCTTTTGAAGTTCCTTTCTCAATCTTTCAATGGCCTATTTGATTATCTACCAAACTTTCCATTGTCATCTAATCTATCTACTTAAATTCAACCTAATCACTTTGATGCTTTTATGATTCCATTTTCATCCACCTACAATACATCTTGAATACCAGAGGAGGACTAAACTTTCTAAAACACAGTTCTTATTACTGCTCAAATCTCCAATTATTCTAGATTTTCTACTGTATCAATTTTATTTCTCACTAGTCACCAACATGCATCCATCACCCAAGTCCCGTTGTCTGTTCGCTGTTCTGCAATTTGCTGAACATACTGACTCCACACATTTGTGTTTTCTCCATGTCTCCATGTTTTCCTTTCCTTCCCCTTTAGCTATCAAAATCCTATCTAATATTCAAGACTTAGCTCAAGTCCCACTTCTTCCAAAAGATAATCACTCATTTTTTCCATGTTATTCTAATTTATCTTTTTAAATAGCTTGGAGTATTTCATTTGGACAATTTTTTATTTAATTTAAAATTATCTTAATACAGTATAAATTAATAGTTTCACATACCTTTAGTTATCTATAGAAAAAGATTATATACTTGATAAAAATAGAGAAAAAACATTATTTTAATATACCTATTTAATATATTTTCAACAAATATGTCCTAGTTGTTTGATTGACAATACCACCTTATATTTGTTATCAAAGAACTGAACATTTTCTGTGAAAAAATATCCTCTTTCCAATCTTTACAAGGCTTTTGGAAATATTGTAGTATATGTTTATTAAAATGTGACTTTTTAAAATGTGGCATGAAAATGAGGAAAAGAGGTGGCATGACTTAAGCCTAACTACTTTTTTGTATTATGACATATAACACAGATTATAGGGTAATGGACAAGCAGTTTGTGAATACATTATTAGAAAATAGAAATAAGAAAAATCCCATTTTTTACATTTCACTGTCATTTTGTGTTAAACTAAAATTTTGTTAAATATTTTATATAAATTTAAATGATAGTTAACACTTACATAATACTATAGGTCCAGAACTATTCTACATACTTTATGTGTATTACCCCATTTAGTTCTCACAACCATCTTAGGAGTAGCTACTATTATTTTACACCTCCTACAGGTGAGAAAACTGAGTCATGGAGAGGTTAAGAAATGTGTCCAAAGTCATACTGCTAGTTAATGGGAATCTATATTTAAACTCAGGCAGTCTGATTTGAGAAATTCTACTATTAACCCGGAGCTCTATAGCTGTTCAGAAAGCTCGGCAAGGCAGAAACTATGTCATTAACTACAATTCAAAACACTTTTCCAAGCATTTTACCTTAAAATGCAGAGCATGTGTATAATTTCACCACTTTCACCTAATTAATCCCAGTTCTTATTATTTTGATTGTCAAGTTATTTCTGTCTGCTTGAAAGTGTCATTTAAACCACCATTTCTGGACATCTGCAAGAGGAAAAACTTTCCAATTTAAAATGTAAGGATAATGAGAGAGCTTCTGTGTGGTACGTGTATTTAATGTTAACTGTAAATATTTAAAATTTTTTAAATTAAGAAAAAAAGTGCAATCTATCTTTCATTTCTTTTGATATTTATGTATTTCAGAATTGCCCATAGCTAAGTGATGCCAAGACAATTAAATGAAGTTAGTATTCATTCAGTCATCTGCTTTCATTTCACAGTGCCATTGATGCAATTGGACAGATTTATCACTTTTACTTCTTTTAATTTGCATAGCAACTTGCAGCATTTTAAGAATATGAGTGCTCTCTAAAAGTTTAATTACATGAATAGTGTAAGTATGATTTCTTATGGCTTCTGATTTTATATAGCACATAATATACCCTAAAGATAAAAATAAGTGGACTCTGACTAAAATTCACCTCCACATTACCTCTTCCAGCTGCTTACATTGTCACTTTTCTCAGATTTTTAAAAATTAATTTAAATTTTTATTTCAACTTATAATATCAAGTGCTTTGGATCTTTTTCTGAACTCAAACAACACTGATATCAACATTGTATTGTTGTTTTTTATACTAAAACCCTTCACATTCTACAAAGAGTTATCTCTTAACTAATTTAGCTTCCCTATAAAATATTGAATCCTTAAGGGTTGAAAATATATTTTATTCACTCTTTTACCTTCTTAGTCTAGCATAGTGCTGCCATGGAGGAACTGTGGAATAAGTGGATAATATGAATGAATAAAAGTATGGATTTGAAGAATAAGAAAGAAAACACAATCATTTATGGCAGGCTCACAGTTTCCTCATAATTCCACAATAATATTCTAGAGGAGCCTACTAAAGAATTGAGTGGATAATATGAATGAATAAAAGTATGGATTTGAAGAAAAAGAAAGAAAACACAATCATTTATGGCAGGCTCACAGTTTCCTCATAATTCCACAAAAATATTCTAGAGGAGCCTACTAAAGAATTTGGAAAGACTACTAGTTCATTAATTTTAACATTTTAAAAATATAAAACCTGTTTACTTAATTTTTTTTAAATCTATAGTTTCTTTTCTTGGTGAAATCAATTTTTGAAAAAGAACACGGGGTAGATAGGGGCAATTCAGAGTTCAGGTATAAAAGCTGAAAAAAAAAAAATCTGAATGAGCCTTTTAACAGCCAAACTCTGCCCATGAACACTACTGGAGCTTCTTTAATCTCTTGTTAATTCATTTCTTACTTAAAATCTAAAGGTGCCATTATGAGACCTTTAAATACACACATACTTTGGCAGTTTGGGAATTTGATGTCCTCCATGCTTATACTGACTTTGGGCCGTGCCCATCATAGAATTGATCTTTTTTTCAAAGAACATGAGCTTTATTATTTTTTCTTATTTGAAAGACGAATGTCAGATAAAAACTTTCTTTTTAATTATTTTGTCCTAGGTTGAATAAATAATATTAAAGAGATCAATATCTGAATGTGTATTTGAAATAGATATATAATAATGATACAAATTAAAACAATATAACTCTACTGCAAACAACCATGAAAGAATATGTTTTTGAAATGAGTTATTAAATACTTTAGAAACAAATTATAGTAAAATGAAATTTAAAATAATGTTGGCTTGCTATTTTATGACAGGAAATTTGCAAAAAATATTTTGACTGAAGTGAGAATTACTTATCTTCAAAAAAATGAAAAACCAAGAGTATTTAAAAAGATTTTTATAGAAAATACAATGAATAAATGCAAAATTTATTTTAAAATTATGGAGCAAATTAACATTTTTGCCTCATATTAGCTTTTTGCCTATTTTAAAGCAAATATTTCTTAAACAAGATATTTTTATTAGAATTTTTTTTCCTAGATATACACCCATGTCTAAATTCCCTTTTTGTTCACCTTCACAACCCATGTACAAGAAAAGTGGAAATAATATATATTTCCACTAAGGCAATATACCAACAGGGATATAGAGTTACATACATCTTACAATGCCTTGATAAATCCTAGATCTCTTAGTACAAATAGCCTGAATTTCCCTGAACATTTGGAAGTTTGAACCATGCAACATGTCAAATAACATACGTGTAGACAAATTGAGAAGAGGGTAAGCCATTCTAATACGCTGTAATTCTACTTAGAATTCAGAAATAAATATATTGGCTACACAAAATATTAGAAAAAAATGTAGTAAACATAACATTTAATTTTGCTAACATTTAAGTTTTATTTCATGATGACCTGAAGAAATTTGATATGTAAGAGTCATCTCACCTGGTGATTTTTTAAATTTGTCTTTTTTTATCATAGAAAATACATCTTTCTCTCAAAAATGTGTTGAATAATTTCTATAAAAGTCATATTGTAGCATTGCTTATTTTCCTTAAAAACTAACAGTATCAATCTTGAAAATGATTTTAGCCCCCAAAATACATGAAGAAATATTAATTATACAACCAAACCCTTTGAAATTAGCTGTTTAGTGCTTTTGAAACAGGTAACCCTACCAGATCAATGGTTTCCTAGTGATATCTCTTCTGGTTTTGGATTAATATTCTCAAGTCTAACTAATAAAATGTAAAAATCACATTTGAAAATTATGACACCATTAATATTTGATATAAGACTCCAAGTTTGTTTCTCGATAATTGATATAACTGCTCAATTTTTGTCAATTACTGTTTATATGTACAAGTCAATAAACATATAGATAAAGTCCTTTTTGATATAGCTATAATAAATGATTTTTGTTAAAGAAATAATTATAAACTTATTTCATGAGGTCATTTGGAACTGAAGAAAAATAAAGTTAAAAAATATACTCTTGTTGAAGAATAAAAGTAACAACATGTATGAAATTTGAAATAACTACTTATATATTAGCAATGTTATTTTGGAAGTCAAGTATTGTGTCATAAATGGCTTGCTTCAAAGTTTCTAATATGCAACAGTATTGTTGACAATTTCCTAATTTTGACTACAAAAATACATAGCTCTACTAAAAAAATTTCGTGTTTGGTTATGGTAATTTAAATGAATGCTCTAATTCAGTGATTCTTAATCTGAGATTTTGGGATGAACTTCAGAGCCCTGATTTTGTAAGTGAAATTGTGTACTTCAGGCCATTTTTAAAGATTTTCAAGAAGTGAATAGCAATAATTAATCAATCATTTTATAAAATATTTGATTTCATAGGTTTATCTAAATTACCTCAAATTAAGACTTGTTTTTTCTGAAATGAAAATTGCTATCTTAAAAGTAATATTTCTTAGAAAAGCACTTATGTTGAAATTAAGATATAGTCAATCAAGAATTCCTACAAGAAACCACCAATTTTAGAAATGTTACTCATTTTCGCCTCACCTTCTAGAACTAAACTTGAGTGTCCTCAAGACTTAAGATCAAAAGAATATTTTTACATCTTGAAATATAAAATAAACTTTATCAAAAATAATCTGAGGCTGGGAGTTTGCCACGTTAATCCATTAAATCAATATACATTAAAATATAAAATATTGAATAATCATCATGCATGTTACACAGATATTAATGCAGTTAATTTGGTAAATACACAAATATTTTGGTAAAACACATACAAACAACACAGACACCACAAACTTCACTCTTGCACTAGAGAAAGTAACAAAAAAGAAGTACACTCACAGATAGAAAACTTGTTGCTGTTGTCTTTCCCTGGAAACAATTTAAATCCTCTAGATTTAAAATCTATGGCCTTTTTCACTAGTTAAGAAAACAAACAAAAACATGTATCAGGAAATACAATTTTAAAATGAAATTCAAGTTAACAAATTTTGTTAGCATGGACTTATGCAAGATAAAGAAACCACTTTCTTAAGCCTGATATAGTACCCAGAAGAATTTTTTTTAAAGCAATATAATCACTTAGTAGTAAAATACTAAGCAGTGTAGAATGATTTTAAATATTCTACAGGGAAAATCCTGCATATACATAGTTTTTTAAGCTGTGCTTTTTTAAACTGTCCAGATTTTTATATAAAAGTGAAATCTTAGCAGTTTATGATAAACCACTTGAAATCATCAACTTTTACGGAATAAATTAAACTAGCAAAGTAAAAATGCTGGAGTATTAGAATAGTGGGAAGGATTTAATAGGTTTGTTCTTTAAAATAAATTTCCTAAAAATTTAGTCTATTTGAAATGTTAGAACACATTTAAGAAAATGACTTAATTAGAAAAGTTTAAAATTTATTTTAATAGCTCTGTCAATCATTTCCATTCATTATCATTGCTTTTGACACTACAATTGCTGTTAGTCCATATTGCACAAAATGTATGAAAGTGAACTACAGCTATTTTGAGCCCATCTAAAATATCTTACTACAATTTTTAGATATAGTAGTTGTACATATTTATGGCGTACATAGGATATTTTGATATAAGCATACAATGTGTAATGATCAAATCTGAGTAATTGGCACATTCATCACTGCAAATATCTATTATGTCTTTGTGTTGAAAATATTCCAAATCTTCTAGCTATTTTGAAATATAAGATACTGTTAAATATAGTTGCCCTATTGTGCTATCAAATGCTAGAACTTATGTCTTCTTATCCTTCTATCTTACTGTATGTAATTTTGTCCCCATTGACCAATCACTCCTCATCACCCTTCCCTACTTCAATTATTTTCTTTTACAAAACATGGTATATACAGGAAATAACTTGCTCAGTTACAGTGTGGAAATCTTTACATATTACTTTTTATCAGGTTTATAGTGAAGGATGACAGCCTTAAATGTTATGCAATTAGGTTTTCTTCATGCTATAAATTTAAAAAAAAGCAAAAATGATTTTTTGTTAGATGGCTTAAAATTACCACTTCACTATTTCTGAACGTCATTCTAAGCAATTAGTTCAAATTATGGATATTTATTGGTTTATGAAACATTTTAAGGTAATTTTTTTCTTGTTAATAACTTCAAAAGTAGGATAGTAGAGAAAGGGCCTGATGGTTTATGTGAATATAAGATATGAACTATCTATACACACAGCATATATTTTAAAAAAAGAGGAATATTATCGTTGGAGCAGGATTTATAAGGCTGATTCTTAGTTATTATTAGTTGTGGGATTTTGGACAAGAATCTGCCTTTTTACCTGCTTTTTTCTCTTAAATAAGCAGCTAAGACTAGATGGCTTCTCTCTTTATAGTTTAAGATTCTTTAACTGTGAATCCTTATTCATGGTGAAAAAATGACTACATCCCTCCCAAGTGACGCTTTTTGTTGTGATTCTCTTCTACCCTCATCCCCACCCCGATGGTAACCTAAAGTTTAATTCTTCTGAAGTGTTCAACTGCTCTAAGTTTAGTTTTGTCACATGTGAATTTTCTGCTGTCTCAAAATACTTTTTAACAAAATCTGCATTTTGTATTTTCTGGCATAATTCTAGATTTTTCCATTGGAAACATGAATTATAAGTAGGAATCTACCTCTACTTTTCTCTGCATTATAAGATTTGACTTTATAAGTATTAAAAATAGGTCTGAAGATTTCATGGTGATTTTAACACGTCTGGATTTCAAAAAGAATAAAGAAAACTAAAGGAAAAGATTATCAGACCAAAGGAGAAAATGCAAAAGAATAAAATCCTACGGATCAAAGAGTTCAATGTTGTAAATAATAAGTTACTAATATTGGGGGGCAGTGGCAGTGTGTGTAAAAGGGGACAGATTAGCATGCCTACTTACAAGTATCTTGATTTAATTATTTGGTTGGGTAAGGTTTTCCTGCTTCTAAAAGCACCTTAGTTTTCTCTTTTATAAGCATCTATATGTCAATTTATCTTTAATAATGATACATCTATACTTTTTAAATAAAAACTATAATAATTGTAATACAGATGCAGAAGATGAAAGGTCAGGAGAATATCCATTTTTGGACATGACAAAGTGTGAATTAACAACATAAAATTTAAATTCACAAAAAATTTAAAATATGTTAAACAGAAGACAAATATTTTAGCTGTTTATATTTTTAACGGAAAGAATAATGTATATCTCCTAATAAATAAATTAAAAAAATAAATATTGCAAGTATTAATTACAAGACTATTCTAAATCATGTATCAGGTATTTAATATTACAATATATACCATAAAATATAGATTTCACGATTTATAAAAGATACAGAGCATAAATCTTGACTTGTCATCAAGTAATGAGTGCTTCTAATGACCATATTTAACTTAGAAAATTAACCTGATTTTTTAACCTGATGCATTTCAGTAATAAGCATGTAAAATTTATTGTAGAGTTAATGTTAAAATAAATTATGGTATTTTATACAGGTTAAGGAAAATGTTTACACAGTGTGTCATGTGTGGCAATTCCCTCCACTGTATGGTAAGCTCCTCAAAGGCAGAAAAAATATTTTGTTCATGTCATATTTTTGTTTGTTTGTTTGTTTTGAGAATGAGTATCGCTCGGTCGCCCAGGCTGGAGTGCAGTGGCGCGATCTCGGCTCACTGGAACCTCCGTCCCCCGGATTCAAGCAGTTCTCCTGCCTCAGCCCCTCGAGTAGCTGGGATTACAGGCGTGTGACACACGCGGCTAATTTTCGTAGTTATAATAGAGACGGAGTTTAGCCGTGTTGGCCAGGCTGGTCTCAAACTCCTGTCAGGTGAACTGCCTGCCTTGTCCTTCCAAAGTGCTGGGAAACGGTGTAAACCCACAGCTCCCGGGCGTGTTTGTGTGTTTTTTGAGACGGAGTCTCGCTCAGTCGCCCAGGCTGGAGAGCAGTGGCGTGATCTCGGCTCACTGCAACCTCCGCCTCCCAGGATCAAGCGATTCTCCTGCTACAGCCTCCCAAGTAGCTGGGGTTACAAGCGCGCACCACCGCGCCCAGATATTTTTTGTATTTTAGTAGAGACAGGGTTTCACCATGTTGGCCAGGCTGGTCTCGATCTCTTGACCTCAAATGATCCACCTGCCCCGGCCTCCAAAAGTGCATGTCGTATTTGTATGAGTGTATGAATGAATATATATAATATTGTTAATTCTGAGTCTTTTAACTAAAGGTATTTTGTTGGGAGAATTCCCTTTATTGATCGTGAACTATGATGGGAGGAAGTGATTTTAAAAAATGAACACCCAAGATGAAGCACTTTCATTTGTAAATCTCAAGATGAAATACAGAAAAACTATGTATGCTCTAATAATTTTAGAAAGCATTAAATGCAAGATTGATAGGCATATGCACAAAGATTCATTTTCTTTTCTTTCATATGCTAAACAATTTTTAATCATTTTTAAAATTTTTCATTACATGTTCAGTTTGACTGTTTTTTTGTTTAGTGTAATAGAAATATTTTATAATACAAGAAAGGCCTGGCAGGGAAGAATATCAGGCCAGCAATCAAATCCCTCTTTATTTAGTTGTAAGCCCTGGACACTAGCAAAAGCACTTTGTTTTGTAACTTGTATTAGAGTAGTTTTAAGCCACGTAGTGGATTATCACTGTGGCGTCTTCCAGGTTGTCCGTTGTCTTCAAGATCAATATAAATTCAAAATTGCATTTAAAAACTTACAAAAAAAGATATTGATTGACTCTTACTTAAACCTCATCTAATTTTCATGTTAATCAGCTAAAGTCATTATTTGAAATGATTTAAATTAAAATGCCTACTATAAAAATTAACCATATATTCACGCATATAAATCATAGATTGATTTTGTTTCCAATATCAACTTTTTTGATGAAACAGGCATTTGTCTTTATGTTTTATGTTACAAAAACTTTGTAAGTGTAACTTGAGAACATCTGGTATTGGTGGGATAAAATAGATTGGGAAGTACTATATTTAGTGTTGGTACTGGCCTTTAATGTTAGGAAATCGATCATATTAAATAGGTGTAGTAGAAGGAATTTAAGTACAAGTTGGAGATTTGGAAAAGGTGACCTTCAATTGGTCCTTTTATCACTAAGCTTCTATAACTTAAAGTAATAAAACATTTCCTGGCTTGAAGTTCCTCTAAAAATTGAGTCCTTCATTACATAATCTCAAAAGTTACATATCTGAAATATATTATTCTATTTCATTGCTATGCATATATAGTGAAAATATGTAATATGCAGAACATTTATCTTTGAAAAAGAAGAAACAGACATGTTTAGTATTAGTTAGCAGAACATTGTTTTAATTAGAAATAATTAACTTTCATGTTTGCATGGGGCTCTCTTAGAAGACAGTGGCATTTATTAAATGTTTTCAGAACAGTCTGAAGCGCTCCTCATTTTCCACTTGGATTATATTCTAAGACAATAATGAAGGTAAAATGAATGGTATACTCTAACTTTGTATTTATTTTATTCTTCCAAGTTTGTGGTATTTATTTTAACAATAAAGTATCTTGGAAGTGTCAGTAGCTGTATTATAAACCTATAATTCAATCATATCATAATTCTTTTAAAAAGGAAAATAAGTTCTTATGAACAAGTAACTAGTATCTTGTTTATGTTTTTGTTTATTTCTGCTTCATTGTAACCTTTCTTTTCAAATGTACAATAATGCCTTTCTCGTCTTCTTTTGTGCTGTGTTTGATATGATACCTGGATGTGCGTTTCCCACTTTTTATTTTGAATTTATTAATTATAATCTTATCTTTTACTTTATAGTAAACTAATAAACTATACTACTAATACAATAATTTCCTTTTAATGTTTTGGATATTGAAAATAACTAACATGTCTCTAGGCGTGTATTTGATTTTGAGAAAGTGGCACATATCACTATTGACAATAGATTTATTTACATGAGTACTAAGACTAATCAGTCACTGACTAGGAGGTTAAAGTAATATTAAAACAGAGTGTGTTATTTTTGGCATTTTGCTTAGTGGATTAGGAGTTAGCAGACCTATGTTCTGAGTCTATAAGACATGGGACATGTCGATTAACTTTTCTATTCAGTTCTAAGAGATGTAATTCTTAACTATTTAGGAGTAGAATTTGGGTGAAAGGAAATAAAGACTAATGTCATCAGAATTATCAGTTCTATTCCAGAGATTTAAATGTGTAGGGGAGTTATAAAATTATTTAACTGTATAAAGATGACTTTTTTTTGTTTGTTTAAAAGTAAATAGTGGCTCTATGTTAGAAGTCAGCAAGTACAAAAATTTAACTTTTTTTTTTTTCTACATCCTGTACTGGCTGAACAAAACACTTTTCAGAACATACTTATCACAGAGGCTGCTAATGATGACTTCTTTGATGTAATCCTTAGACAAAGAAAAATCAAGAAACTATACTGCTGCTAGATTGAAAACTAAACAATATTTCTGCAGTATCTCCTTTAACATCTTTCATATAAGATTTACTACTGTATTAATAATACAATCTTCTGAGAAAACAATACATCTTATAAATGTTTCTGTAGCATAATTTTTAAAAAAGTGACTAGAGGTATCCTGCAACAATTAGATAATGTTTCTGGGTTACACAGGAAGACGATATAATAGAAAACTCAGTGACATAATGTTAAGTAGCTCATGAATCTTTGTGAAAAATATTTCATTTCAAAATATGTTTAAAATAAATGAAGATAAACTTTGTATAAAGAAAAGCAATGGCCATAATTTGATGAGAAATGTAGTAGTACAACTAAGTATTTTAAAAAGCACACAAAAAATAAAAATTAAAAAAAGTTCTTAAAGTACAGAAAAATTCATTGGTAGAGATAAACATACTAGGGATACACGAGAGTTAACATATTTTTGAATTCATAAATGATGGAACTGAACTAGTTAAATTTATTAGGAAATAGTATATATTCATTTTTATAATTATGTAAAATCGTAATGTACTCTCCATTTAAAAAATCATTAGAGACAAGTAATATGGTTCAGAACAGCCAATACATTTTTTTAAATCTTAAACTCCTAATTATGCCACAATGCTCATTTGTACATAGCACTTACTCTTGCATGTTTGATGTGTAAATATCAAATGTATGTGATGCTCAATTTTTAGGTGAAAGAAAATATATAATCACAATTTTACTATTGTGCTTAAATTACACAATAAATTTTAGAAATCAACATGTAGCAAGAATCTTTAAATGTTAGTTATTTGTACTAATATTATTTACCATTTATAATATTAAGGTCTAGTTAGTCTCAGAAGCCATTCTGATTTGTGATGCAATATACCAAAAATTTGTTAACTATTTTGTGTTATGTCTTTTTCACTATGTAGGGATGATACACAAAATATATTATCTATGTTCTCTGAATTTCTAACTTAAATTTTACTTTTCTATTTAAAGTTAGAAACCTCTCCAAAACTTTGATCAAAATGGAAAATTTAGTAGAAATGTATAAAACCATATAAATACAATCATATTGATTATATGAATAATTATTTAACGTATTTCAAGATTCTCCACTAACAAGACCATTTTCTATTTTACAAAAGAAGATCCTGAAGCTACAATGTCTTAGTGTTGAAATGAGGTTGACCTAGTTTCTAAATATTTGGAATCTTATTTTTCAATCATTTTAGGCTAAGAAATAAGTGTAAATTTTTCACTTGGAAAACTGAACAGAGTGGTGAGTATGGAGAGGAGACACTGTGTTTTAATAAAACTAATTTGTTAATTTTCATAGGCATTAAGGATTGGATAAAGTTATTGATTTTTATTTAGGAGACCGTGAACAGACTGCAAAACTATATAAAAAATCATGTAACTAATCATTGCATAAAGACTCTAAAATTTGTATATGGGCTTTCTTTCTTCCTAGAAATGGAGCAAATTCAGGAAACCATAGCACTTACGCAGATAACAGCAGATGCACCTGCAATGCTTGGCGTAACAGGTCTTACAGTTATGGTATGCTGTAAAATGTCAGGATTATATGAAAAATGTGGGATTTTTATATTCTCTTTAGGGATTCTTATAATTGGCATAATAAAAGTCACCATATGGGAAGGGTTACCATTGGTATAGTTCACAGATACTTTTAACACTTTAAAACTGTCTGCCCTTAATTTAATTGTTTTTAATCTTTATTTTCTGACAGCTTCAAATTAACTTTTTAAATTGTTTTCGGTTGTACAGTTAATATTAATATCCACTCAATTTATGCACTTTCTTGGGACTTTTTTTTTCTGATATATTATGTTCTCTAGAATACAAGTGATTTTCTTTTCTTTTGTTTTGTTTCTAATTGGTATTTTCATTTCAAAAGTTAATTTTATCATAGATAATTTGATTGTAAATTGTAACATGAAAAATGATAACTAATATTTTCTTACTCATGATAAAATATTATTACATTAAATATTTGTTTCGCACTCAACATAAGAAATCACTTATGTATATTATAAGGCCTTCTAATATGAGATTAATTAGGAAAGAAGAAACTTTTTGAAAAACAGCAGCCAAAGTTAATGACTTTCTTCAGACTGTGGACAGTGGCATATAGTCTTCCACTATGAATTTCATTAGTGCATTGAATAATTTTATAAATTTACAAAAAAAAAATACAGAAAGAAACAGAAGAAAATTAATTGCTTTAATAAATAACAACAGTCCATCATCCCTGTGATTTCAGGTCATTATATTTTACTAAAATTCACTAGAAATATTAATATCAGTGCCTAGATTCTGTTTAAAATAAACATAGATGGGTTCTGATGGTTGTATTTAATGCAGTGTTTTACTGCTAATTTCATGGCTATTCAAAATGCCAACACACTCATCATACCCATCTATGTTTTATATTTCCCTTTCCAGGTCCATTCTCCCTATTCTCCTCCTTGTTCTCTGCCCAGAAATTTGATCTGAATGGCTACATCCTTGCTACACAAATTGTGACATTGCATTAGAAGCACTGGCGTCACCTGGGAGCTTGTTAGAAAAGCAGAATATAGAGCACTACTGAGAACTATTGAATTAGAATCTGCAGTTTAACAAGATCCCCAGGTGATTCTTCCTAACATTTAAGCTTTTGAAGCAGTAGACTCTATCAACAGACTCCCTTAACCTCTGGGGGATTCCAGCAGGCGGATGAAGGGAGGGAGGAAAGTAAGACCAGAATTTTTATTCCACAGGATTCCTCACCATTGCAATTATTGGAGTTTGCTGGACTCTTAATTAAAGGGCATTTGTCTTTTAATGCAAGGCTACAATAGGACTTTGTCCAACATCTCACTTTCTTCCTTATCCCAACAACGTGGGAATCGTAACAGCCCAGCTGCTGCTACCATAGGTTACAGCATGGTTCCTTATGGTTTCTTTACATTCACTCATTCGGAAATAATCCTTTGTAAGTAAAACTTCCTCAAATTAGGCAACATTCTATTGTTTTGAAATGTACTCTGATGAACATACCTCTGGTACATGGAAATTATTAGAGATTTAATTGAAATCTACATCTCAGATACTGTATTCAACATCTCTTAATTTTTTTATGACCACCATTATACTTCAAAGGATAATATCTAGGTAGAATTATTGTTGGCTGTTGCTCATCATCCTACCATTGGTTGTTCACTCATTTCTTAGAAAATGTTTTGAAAATCTAGACAACGCAACTGTGCTGTTTTCTAGCAATTATGTCTGTAAGAAACACAGAGATTCACAAAGATAGAGTAGATAAACAAAATTTAAATGCGTTGGCTGTATTGAAATTGAAAAGTAATTCAATGAAAAGTAAAACTGGCAAGAAAAAATATGGAGTTAATAGAAATCTGAGATGAGTTGAATGTTACACTTTACTTTTGTATAACTTATACATGAGAGCAATATGAATAGTGTTAAATCAAACTGTATATATTCGTATCCAATATTCCATATCAATATTGCATTAAACTATGTATTTTTTCCTAAGGAAATAAGCTACCTAAGACATTTAAAACTGTGCTAATTTTTTTAAATAAATTTGTTCACATTTATCTTTACCTTACAGGATTTTTATATAACCAGAGTATATTTTCTTCTTGCAAATGATCCAGAAAGGGGCAGTATCATTTACTGGCTGTGCATCTAAAGCATTAGGTACTCTATGTGTACTATCTCATTGAAATCACAAAATATCCATGCAAAATTATCGCCCCTTTCAAAAAATGTAGAAATGGAGAAGAGCTAAATTAATTGCCCAAGGTTATCTATATGTTAATAAAATATGGTCATTCATTTGACTCTAAAACTTCAATACTATCATCTATACCATCTGACTATAGATAACATAATTCCATATATTCAGTCAGAACTCTCTCAAGTGCGTATCTTAGAAAACCATAAATAGATGCAATTAGTGTATCCTATCCTAATTTATTAATTTTGATATAAAATTTTAAGTAATCAATAATATTTGACCCTAAATATGTTTACCTTCATAAGGCACAAAAGCTTTATTAACTGGATTTAATATTGAATGAAGACATCAACTATCTGATGATAGTGCCAAGTATAACCCCGTGGCCTGAAGCCTCATAATACTTTATTTTAAAGGTGTGAACAGATGAAATTAAAAGGTGTAGCAAAACCAACTGCTATGTGAAATTCAAATAATCATCTAGTCCTTTTAGTAAAATCATCTTTGGCTGCATTCCTTTCTAAAGGGAAAGTTCAGAAGAGTTGATGAGACTTTTTTTTCCCCCTTAATATAAGCCTCCTCAATGAAAAATTTCTAACATCTCTGGGCTCTGGATAAAATTAATCTAGAAATTTCTGTCACTTTAGTTTCATTTGCTATTATGAGAAAATACAATTGGAAGAATAATTTAAATAAAGAGAGATCAAGCATCAACAGTAAAAAGCAATAGTCCATGCTTTAGAATACAAATGATGTAATTGTGAAGAGAAAAATATCCTACGCAATGCACCCTAAACCTAACACCACGCTGTTCTGCCACATATGAAGGTTCTGCTCTTCCTAAAATTGTAAAGATTAGTTGTGTGGTTTCACTCTGCGCACAGCAGGGTAGCCATATGCTCTAGAAAACTACATGCAAGGAAAGCAGCTTGTTGCAAAAGTGGGTGAAAATGCCCTGAAATAATTCTGAACAAGATAAAAATGTCTCTACATAGGACCATTTCTTCATATTCCAAAAGGCAGAGGAGTCTGCTTTGGCATCAGCTTTGAGCACAAATAGAAAGTCTAGCCCCATCAAAATATTTTAACAAAGAAAAAGATTTAAAAGTCACATACGCCACATTCACTGTGACGATCTCATTCACAGGTAAAAGAAGCTCTGGTAACCATTTGGGGAAATCAGCTACACACATAATGGTTTCATCTCTGATCTTTAAAGTTAAGCTTTCTCTTTTGATCAATTCAGTACATATTATTATCTTTCCTTATTTACTCATTCTATTAAAAATGAGATATAGTGTGTTAATATAAAAATAAGCTAACAAGATATCTGATTAACGGTTACAGGTGAAAAAAACAAAGTGGCTGAAAATCTGAAAAAAATATATAGGTTTCCTTAAAGACCTACTCAAAGGAAATAAGAACATTGACATCAGAAATTCTTAAAATCTTTACATAGGACTAACTCAAAAGCATGGCTTGAAGGGTAGCATTGGATAAAAATGTTAAAATGGTTACTTGCAGATTTGCCATTTGTGAATAAAATAAATTTTCATTGTTTAATATTGTCATTCAAGTCCTCAGGCATTCTGAGTACTTTTATCTAATACATTTTAAATGTGCATAAACCCGTTAACAAGTAAATTCTAACATTTTATTTTTTCTCTTCTTTCTTCTTAAAAACAACTTATTTAACAAAACATAAAAGAATTAGAAATATAAAAATGTATTTACTGTCATGAATGACATTGCTTTGACAATTTCAAAAATGTGATGAAATAAGGTAATGGATAGAAAATAAGGATGCTATTCAATAAATATGTATTTAAATGATAAATTGGTACATTTCTGAACATGAATTATTAAATAGCTCTATAAACATTAAACACAACTTTCCATTAAATAACATAATTAGGGAAAGTCAAGAGAACAATGGAAAAAGTAAACAAAAAGTATGGCAGGATATTGATAAAGCATACAATGATCAATATTTGTATGTAACTCTCCACCCAAAATGTTGACATTCCCCTATTTTTTGTATTCACTTTACCAATGTCAAAGTTCCGACATCCAAAATAAATAAATAAAATGAATAAAATTAAGTAATTCTATAAGAATTATACATAACCAGATAATTTTTTAAAAGTTATAAATTCTGCAGTCTATTATTAGTTATGCTTTAAAGATGCTATTAAAATAAATACATTAGTTAGTCTCATAAATAAAGACCTGGGAATTCAAGCAGACAAAGGTAATTTCACCATATATATAAAATAAGAAAACAATGCTTAAAGATTAACTCCTCAGAATTTTTGATTTGGCATCAACTTTTGTATACTTTTCTTTTTTCTCTTTATTTTCTTTTCTTCTTCTTTTTTTCATTTTTAAAAATTTTTTTTTTTACTGTTTTACCTCCATCTATCAACCTTTCAGGGATTTGAAACATGGTAAGTAAAGGGAAACTAAACCCTGATGTATTTTTCTCTTTGTTATTTGATACATTGAAAAATAACAACCATTTTAAAGTATAGAATTTTGAGTAAAATTTAAAATTTAGAGCTAAAATTTGACTTGGTGTTGATTTTCTTATTCATCTATTCCTTTATTGATCTTTCCAGTAAAATCATAATGAATGTCAATAGCTCAGCCATTCTTAAAGGTTGCCAAAACTAATTAGTGTCATTAACATTGATTCAGAAAATCCATCTGCCTTAAAATATCCCTTGCACTCATAAATTTCCCACCATTTGAGTCACTCGTATGGAATAAAGTTTAGTTTTTACTATATTATCCAAGATAGCTTGTCAACACTGTGATTATCCTAGTGGAGAACAAAATCCTATGAGGAATAGACAGTGTTGGGACTGTGTGATAAATGTTGTTCTCTCTCCATGATGATCATCTTCATCTAAGTTCTTGCTACTCAGTGTATGAGCAAACCTAGAGATCTGTTAGAAATGCGAAATCTCAGATCCAACTCCAATTCCATCAAGTCATGATCTGCATTTGAACAAGACTACTAGATGATTCATGTCCACAATGAAATTTGAAAAGCGTACTATAAGACCTATACTCCAAGAAACTATCAACTGTTACTTGCATTTCTGTATCTTATTATTTGTCTGCTTGCTCCTATTCACTTGAAATTTCTTCTTCAAATTCATGCTAAAGTGACTCCTTTAAAAATTACATTTGATAATATATGTTCCCTGCTAATGTCCACCAATGGTTTAGATAAAAATAAAGCTCATTTTTGAGGCCTAAAAGCCAAATGGTGTTTTTCCTACCTATGTTTCCCACCTCATCTACCTTACTCTCCTCCTGGTGCACTGAGTACAAGAATTAGTAGGTTTTATTTTTCTCAAGTTAAACTGAAGCTTTTTTTAACTAGCTGTTTTTTTTCCTGGTGTGCTTTCTCCTCTGAGAAATTTCAAGGCATAGCTCCAAGAGCATCTCTGTCTGCTTTCTGTTGTTTAGGTCTCAGTTTAAATTTTAACTCCCCAGAGTCCTTTCCTTACCATCCAAACTAAGGCAGCAATCCATCTATCATATAGCCTATTTTGATTTTCTGCACAGCCCTTATTACCATCAGACAATTATTTACTTGTTTATTGTCTTTTTCTTCCTCACTTGAATATAAGTTCAATAAAGCAGGGTCTACTAAGTTTTGTTCAATACTGTATACCCAGCAACTGGAAGACAGCTTGGCACTCAGTGGATATTTGTGAGAGAGAAAAAAAAATTAAAAGAAAAGAAGATGGAACAGAAAAAAACTGAAAAGAAGTAAAGAGAAAAAAGAAAAACAAAGAAAAAATGAAAAGAAAGAATAAAGAAAAATGAGTGAATAAATACATAGTAGAATGTGGTAGTGAAGAGAGTAAGAATAGCACTGTCATCTGTTGTTAGAAATAACACTGCCTAAAAGAACAGCTAGGACTGGACCTCCAAATAAAGAAGTTTTCGAATTTAAGGCATAGATGTGGGCATTGGGCCCAGAAAAAAAAAAGTAAATATGGCTGATTTCACATTTAATGAGATAAGTAGATTGTTAATCTCTAAATTCCTTGATGGTAGCATTGGCCACTTCTATGTTTGTTTTTACACTGGCTATAAATAATCATTAAAATAAGTACATGTCAGCTCAACACCAGTAGGGAATATAAAGTGATGGTAAATACATTAATTAATATATAATATTTCTCTATAGAATCATAGACTTTTGGGATTAAAAGGGACAGTGGCAATCATATTATTAAGATATTATTTGATGCTTTAGTGATTTCTAAATACCCACATTGTCCATTACAACCTATGCTTGAATGTCTTTGAGAATTCACTGCTTCTAGTAGCACACAATCTATATTTGAAAAAAAAAAACTGAATGTTAAATCAGTCTTCTTTATAATAAACTGCTTTGCACTGTCTTATGGTTCCCTACACTAAATTCTACAACCTATGCCAGAGGACAGATTTAATCTCTCTTACACAGAACAACATATCAAGCATTTCAAGACAGTTTTACCTCATCCTTCCTCACATGCCATACCCATTCTGTGGTAATTCTTTCTCTTATAATTGACCTATAATTTTTCTCTGTAATCTAATCTCTACAACTTTTTCTTTGGGAATAAACACTATGCAATATACTTTTGAATTCACCACTTGCTCAGTGAAAGATAAGATGTACAATAAAACCCTGATAATTGATTACTTGCTGGGCATACATTAGTATCCATAAAAATATATTTACATGACTACTCATAAACTAGCTCCCTCATTGTGATGATGCTTATTAAGATTTTAAAAACAACATATTTTAGATTTAGAAATTCATACTTTATAAAAGTCTTAATACAATATTTGAAAACAGTGTTAGTTGCTTGCAAACACTTGAAAACATTTAAAATATATTTTATGCATAATAATATAGCCTATTAGTGATGGGCACATAATAAGCACCTAAAAATTGTTACTTTCACACAATGCAGTTTTTGATGTAAAAGAGTGTTACACCAGTTCTTGAATCAAATTTGTGACATAGTAATCTTCTGACATAAACTGGCAATTTAATGTGAATATTAAATCTGTATGATTGTTTGCTGTTTTCTTATTTTTGTTGAGCCTTATAAATATTCAGATGAGCTTACTTGAAAACAATATAAATTATGGTAACAATAAAAAATTCCTGCTTCTTTGGATTAAAATTGCTCACCTAAAATAAACGTTTTATGCTGAATTAACCATTCTTACCTTAAACCTAAGAATAATAAATAATGTACTTATTTAAAAACTGTTAAACTAGAGTTTCTTTTAAGCTCTAGTGTTGGAGGAGAAAAGTCTACATCATATTCAATCTCAATTCAGCATAATTTCATGTAACTTTATTAACCAAAGTAATATCCTACTGATATGATCATTACCATTAAATGTACTGTGGCATAATTGACTATACTAGGTCAAAATAAACAGTAGTAATGTCTATAAAAACCTCATAACATATATTTATTTAATTCCATAAGATGTTGTAGTTATCTAAGTTAAATTCCCATCGGGAAGTCCAATAAAAAATAATAATTATTATATGTGTATATGAAAACGTTCCCAGAAGAATATACCCAAATTTTGTACTTAAAAACAGCAACTATCAAAACTGCTCTTTAACAGCTGATAGGACTTGTCCACATATTGAAAAAATTTCTATTATTCTACTAAAGTCTCCAAGAAAAGTAATGCTAAAGCAAAATACAGTGGAGTAAAACACATCTTAATTATTATTTAACATAATAAAATATGACAAATAACTCCTTGAGAAAGGATACCCAATTGTGCTTATAATCTGTTATTTCAAGTTTAACATCACTTAATGAAAGACCACATATCAGACACTAAATGAATCTTGAATGAATCAATACTAGTCTAGGACTATCAATACTAGTCTAAGACTGGGTTTTTATACAGTTTCTGCCAGTCCATAATTTTCTCCACAAAATAATGATATTTACTAGATAATTTGTAAGTTCCCACCTAATTCTAAAATAGATAATTCTAGAAATCCAGGAAAATTTACTTATTATTTCTAAAATCATGTCATTACATAGGTTCTTCTATTTTCAAGTCAATGTTAGGTAAATTCCTAAGGCTGTAATATTGAGCTTTAGGGTTTAGGGATTATTGAAAAAGATATTTTAAGTTAAATATTAACTTAAATATGGCATGAACCCAGGAGGCGGAGCTTGCAGTGAGCCGAGATCATGCCACTGCACTCCAGCTTGGGTGACAGAGCTAGACTCCCTCTCAAAAAAAAAAAAAAAAAAAAAGAAAAGATATCAAAAGAGATCTTATAGCTAAGGCAGTAAATTATTCTGATGAATTTACAAATGTCACTAGATATATATCCGTTATCTAATTTTAAACATCTGGATATTTTGTAAATAAAAAGTCAATTATTTTTAAGCTTACTTACATTAATGTATGTCTTCCTTCAAACATAAAACAACTTATTTATTTTTGTTGCAGACTAATATTTCTATTCAGCCTAAATACCCACTCAAACCATTTTGAATGGGTCTTAGTGACATAAATATAATTTACTAGTTTCAAACATTAATTCAGCTTGCTTTCTTTTCTTTTTTTTTTTTTTTATATGGAGCCTCTCTCTGTTGCTCAGGCTGGAGTGCAGTGGTGCGATCTCGGCTCACTGCAAGCTCTGCCTCCTGGGTTCACGCTATTCTCCTGCCTCGGCCTCCCGAGTAGCTGGGACTACAGGCGCCCGCCACCACGCCCAGCTAATTTTTTGTATTTTTATTAGAGATGGGGTTTCACCGTGTAAGCCAGGATGGTCTCAATCTACTGACCTCGTTATTCACCCGTCTCGGCCTCCCAAAGTGCTGGGATGACAGGCGTGGGCCACCACGCCTGGCCTCATCTTTCAATAATTAGTTCAAATATTCTCTGAGCAGCCCTCTTTGACTCATATTTAGAGGTTGTCAGTCCCTCTACTGTAATTCAATAACATTTCAAAAATACTGCTATGTAAGTGTTTCTCATAATAAATTTGTGATTCTTCTTTTTTATTTAAAGTTATGTAGACCGCTCTATGGCATTGATTGTATTGTTCATTCTCATGTACCTGCTATCCAGTACAATGTCATGCACATCACAAGAGCTAAAACATATTTTGTGAATAAAATGAAAATAACAACCATCCTATGACACAGGTGTTCTCAGCTACTGAGAAGTTGTGACTTTGGGAATTGAACTTATTGCTCAAGATCATAAAGCTAACAAGGGGCAGAGTATAGTCTCAGCCTAGTTCTTTGACCAAAACTCAAAGTTGATAGTAAGCAATTCTTTTTTATCTTTCCATTGGGAGAAAATACCTAAGAGTTTATGGCACTTCCAATCATTACTATGTTTAATGCTTATAACAACCCTGATGTAATATTTTGATACTACAAAAACTACTTTGCAAATATAAAATTTTAGCTATAATTGTTCATTTGACCTGAACAAACTCTCACACATAGTAGTTTGCAAAGGTGGACTAAAATGCAGTCAAAAATATTAAGTTCTCATTTTGAGGACTATTGTACACTAATACAGCAAAGTGAGGTGTGGTGTTAATATGCATTTTTAATAGATCTAAACCAACATTGTTTATTTTCTTCCTCTTTTGCTTCTTTTTATCTCAACGTGCAAAGAATCTTCAAATGGAGGAGACTGCAAATAATTTTCTGCTACTGAGAAAAAGTAGAAAATAAAAATTTTAAGATAATTTAAATTGTTGATGTTTTAACTATAGTACAATAGGAAAATTAATTGGAATGGTACCCTATAAAGAATTGAAAATATCTTTGAGAAATATTTTAAGTTTTTCCAGATTATTCATTAATTTTACAGTTGTTATTTAAATAAAAGTTATAGTGAGTTTATTTAATTTATCTATGTGTTAATTCACTTAATTAACACATAGATTAGTCTGTACACATTAAGTACAAAATACTGTGTGTAATCCATGTTTCTATGTGTTCATAATAATATTGATGTCAATTATTAATACATGCCCCAGTTTATGAAAACAGATAAACTGGGAACCATTAATGATCAAAAGACATAAAACTGAAAGTTTAACTGGAATGTGAATAAAAAAATTAAAAATATTAAATTATTACATACTGCAAAATAGCATGAACTTGCAGACATCGAACGGACCTATGCTATAGTAATCTCTTATATTTATGTTTTACACTGTAATTAACTTCAACAAAATAATATTCAGTAGAATATTTTTTCATAGGATATTTTTGACTTTATAGTTTGCTAATGGTTAATTATAAAATTATTTTGATTTTATAATCATTCAAGGGCTAAAAGCAAGGCCTTTATATCCAGTTCCATTTTGTGAATTTTGAACCAGTAATACAATAAAAGCAATATATTATTATGGATTAATGAAAATATTGTTGCCTTTATTTAAAAAAAACTGGTATTATAACTGTGACAAAATGTAGTTATCTTTAATACTGAAATATGTAGAGATTTCATTATCTTGAAGAAGGTAATTTCAAGCCTTTAAATAATTTAAGTAAATTTTCTAGCAAGTGAAATTATAAACACTTATTCATTAGTTTGACAACTATTTTTTAAAAAATATCTATTGGTCAGAAACTGTACTAAGTACTGAAAATGCAGCATGAATAAAACCCACCCACTCCTTATCCTCAGAGAGCTTAAATTTTACAGGAAAATTTATAGGGCTGATGATTACAAATGCAAGCTGCAATGGCAAGTTATAAGAGGAATATCTAACCTTCCTAGAGGTAACAATTTAAGCTAAATCTTGGAAATTAGAATTATGTGGTTAAAAGGAACAAGGATTAGCTTCTCAGAGTATCCTTAGGGAGAAAAGAATACAGTGTTTGGCTAATTAAAATAAATTGTGTTTTGCAAAATAATAGAGTGATTGTGAGAGTTACATGCGATGAATTTGGAAATATGGAAAAAAGTCAGATCATGCAGTTTCCCGTGGGTCATCACCAAGTCTCTGCTTTATTCTTAAGAGCATTGATTAATCACTGAAAGCTTTAAAAGAGTAGTGTTATACGACTGGATTTTTATTTGTAAAAGTTCATTTTAACTATATTGTGGATAATAGATCAGAGGAATAAGTTTTTTTCTGAAATATCTAAAAAAATTAAGCAATTGGTTTTCGGTTGTTTACCAACTCATTGAAAAAGTAACTTAAAAGACTCACTCTCTGCATACACACTGTAACTTCTTTAGTACTTTGATCAGAATTCATTTTACAAAATCTATCTTGTACCACTAGAATGGGTTTTTCTATGTCCTCGACTCTATTGCAATGTCCTGCAGGAAGGGGACATGCATTATTTATCTTTATTTCCTCTAGAACAGAATCTGGTACTGAGTAAGCATTTTAGGCATGTGTCTGAGCCAAAATTATTATTTTAAAAATAATACTAGTTAGATGTCAGCCATTTCCAGTTTAGAAATTTGGACCTGCTGGTAATCAAGTCTTAGAAGATAGTTTCATAACTAAGAGCATAGCTATATTTTGAGAACTTCAGAAAACACTAAGCAATAGAATAGTAGGTTTCCCCTACTCTTAACATTGATGAATATTTTTGCCCATAATATTAAGAGATTGTGTCTAGAGTGTAATAGATAAGTAGCAAACCAAAATCACTGAACTAGTAGTAAGTTATTGAAGAAGAAACAGAAGAACCAATTTGAATTAAAGTAGAAAGTTGATAAAAGTATAACAATTTAAGTCACTGTCAATAATGATGAATACATTAAAAATGTTTTCCATATAATGTTTTACATCTACTTTGAAAAATAAATGAGGAATACATTTCCAAGGTACATGGCACCACTGAATGCATATTAAATTCAAAATCACCATTTTGTAAAGAATATGGGGAAAGGTAAAACAGGTATCAATCTCTCAAACAGCACTGGGAGCTTATGATAATAATGGAGAAAGTTTGAGCACTGATTGGGAATCTACCCGGGAAGTACTCTTGAAGCTTAATTAAAATTTACTTGAAGAAACTTAAACATTTTATATGGAACCACCTTAAAAGTATTTAATTTAATTTAATGGTTGACTATTAAACTTTTCTATTTTCAGTCTGCATTATTGTTCCAAGTTACATAAAATTTTAATTTATAACCACAAAGTTTATCACACCACTTGACGGCAAACTTTGGCTAAAGTAGAAATTGTATTATTAGTTGGTTTTACAATAAACTTATGTCAGAAATTATCCTCCTTCTATATGATGGGTAATAAAATAATTTCCAGATAGCCTACCAATATTAGCTCATGCAATTTTCCAAAGAGAATGAAAAAATAGTTTTTAACATTTTAATATAATTTTACCTATTTAAATTTTCTGGTAATAAGACAAAAACTGTTTACTTTATTGAGTAAATCACAAATTTTAACACGGTCCCTATATTCTTATAAATGGTAATATTTATAATAGGAAAGTGAATATAGAATCAAGGTGATATTGATTTAATCTTTTTGAGAAGACTATTATAGGTTAAAAATTCATTTTAGAATGTGCCTCATTAAAGAGAATCAAAGTAAGTATTTTCAGTACAAATTCGAATGGAAACAAACTTCTGAGATATTTTTGTATTATTTTTAATTAATGTATGTAAAGATGTCTTGATTTCTATCCTTCTTGTGCTCTAAGTATTGAGCACAATACTTATACAGACCATTACTTAAATCATGGTCTGTATAAACCATGCCTAATCACACTGCAAAAACCATAGCCAGTTTAGAGAAAATATTTTGATATCTTGGAAATGTAGTAGATATTTTATACTTGAAATATGTTCAATTAATTAATGTTCTTACAGATACATATATCGATATAAATAAAGACCTTTTATTATTTTATACTACATTGAATTTTTTTCCTAAACTTCTCTATGACACTTGCCACCAAGAAACAGAAAAATGTATTTTCTAGACTTCCTTATTTTGTAAAAGGTAGGCTTATATTAACTGAGTAGAAAATTACCAATGTAAGATGTGGTTTTATGTCATTTTTCTCTAAAAATAAATTAGACATTTAAAGAATACTTAAATTTTGGAGGCATACTATCAATGAATAGCTGTTACCTTTTCAAAATGAGAAATCTTTCAATGCAATCATATGGGTCAGGCAAAGAATAAGCTATGTAAAACGATCACCAGATATAATGTTTCTATGTTTCCCAATCAAACTGTACATATTCTCAAGTACTAACTAACATTTGCATAACATAAAAATATCATGCAAACGCTAAAAATTACTACATGGGATAAATCATCTATGTGTAAATATATGCACTTATTAATCAAAACTGGCTACTTTATTTTCCTGTTTTGTGAACATCATCATAACTGGTATGGAATAAATAATAAGTATTTGGTACTTGTTTTTACTGTCCTGTTTAAAAATGATTTCTGTTCTACTTTTACCCCCTCCCCCTCCAACATTTGCATTGCACTTTGACTTATTTTTAAATTTCAATTTCTATGCTTTCAAATTATTCCAGTTTTGGTTGTTACTATCCATATTTTTCAGCTACTTTGAACTTTTTCTTTTGCTTTCTATATCTTGGCTCTCTTTCAGCTCATTCTCTAATTAGAATCATTACCAAAATATAGCTTTGGCTGTAACTAAATGGGCACAAGTAAAATAACATCCAATACCTCTATGAGTAACAACTGCAAGCTCTTTAGTTCTTTCTATCTGTTCAGCATGTCTTGGTCTTCTCCTGGTACTTTGTGTATCTGCTGGATGAGGAGAGAGCCCGTCCTTGGACGTGTTGGGGTCCAGACCTGAATTTCTGAGACTCGTAACTTGCACTCGCTGTTCCTCGGAAAGTCTATGGATGGTGACAGCTGTAACACTGGATACAGTAACATCTGCAGGTGTGCTAGCAACAGCAATAGCACCAGTGGTAGTCCTGTTATGCTCCTCTAACTCACCAGTGGAGGTAGTGTGGGTCAATGTAGAAGAACCTGTGGGACACAGTAGCACTAGATGCTAACTTTTTCTTTTTAAATTTTGTTTATTTTTTCTGATAAATTTAATCAATCATATTCTCTTCTATTACCTTAAGGATAATCAACATGAAGAGGCAAAACACAAACACGCGAGTAAATTGTGAAGCGCACTAGATCTGTCGGTTTGTTTCTATCAACCATCCTATGGATAGATATACACACAAAATATACCACATTTTAACTGTAATACATTGAAGAGAGCAGGTAAAAGGGTAAACCCTTTATGTGGCCCTGAATCAATCTTTTAAAAAAATCTACAGATGAATTTTAGCAACGAATGCCTGGCAAGTGTCAGGTTTTGATGGAATGGGTAACTATGTAACCACACTTTTCTCAAAAGTATGCTTTGAATAGTCTGCCATATCTCTTCACAGTTTCTGGGAAAAATATCAAAATTTTCTATTTTAAGACAAGCAAGTGAAGAAAAGAGAATTTAAAATCAAAGCCAAAATGAAAACAAATGATGAAAAAAAAGGGGCACTAAAATAACCACTATATGAAAATGTGTTTCTTAACCTCATTTGTGATGAGCTAAGTACCTTAGAATTTATCAAGTTTTTAAAAATTAGTTAATACTTTCTACTATTTTTAAGTAATATTTTAGTTTAACCAATTCTGAACTAATTAAAATTAAGCAAATTATGAAATTTGGAAGTGGTTGAAACTTAACTATTATTATACAGCACGTAACTTTAATTCACACAACGCTAGTTTTAACAATTGGTTGGGAATTTCTAAATATCTCATAAGCATTTCAGAGTGTGTATATGTGCGCATGTGTGTGTGTATAATATTACCACATTTTTATTCTAATTAAATATTTTTTAATAATTTAGAAGTATGTATTCAAAGTGTCAAATTAGAGTTTGCTTTTTCATTTTATTTAATGTTTTTTAAAGGAGGTTGTTCATGGTAGTTCATAATACTTATATAATGAAAAAAGTAACTTTATAATAGAAGCATGAAATTGAATGGGGGTATATTTAAAAGGATCTTGACAGCTAAAATCCTTAACAGCAACAACCAAAAAAAATATTGAAATTTGGAGCTGCAGCTACTCATTAGGAATCATAGTCAGATCCCGGTTGGAAAACTTCTGAATATTTTCTAAAGCCCCTGAGTGGTATATGTTTTTATACACTTTTCTTCGCAACATTTCAAAATTCTGTTAGCAATGTTTACTTAGATATTTTAGATAACAATGCTAGGGATATTTTAACCATTCTGAAAGAGAAAAAAAAGCAATGTCAATATGGTTTGAGAATACTCTGCCTTTTTTATTTTCCTCTTGTGCTGTAGACAGGTGATTAGTAGGACTAATAATTCTGCTTTCTGCCTTAAATTCAAAAAGGAAGAAAGGAAGTCAAACCTGGAGCCCCTCACTCACAGGCAAACAGAAAAGCCCATTTCTGCCCCTGATTCTTCCAGGTTGAGTCGTCATATCTGAATTTGATTCTAGAAATTCAGAAGTATTAAATGATTTTTGTATTTTGAAAGAGCCAAAAGTAAATGAGGTATGACGATTATCAAATTATTTTAAATATTTTAATGTTTTTAAGCATGAATCAGATAGCTTCTATTGAATATTTATCCAAGTTGTTTTGTGAATAACCTATTTCATAGATCAGAATCTACTAAGTTCACATTGGTTATATAAATCAGGTTGCAATATTTAGTCAGCTAATATTTGATAATAATTTTTTAACCACATGGTTAAGCAATAGCTATGCTTGCACTACTAAAATACAGTAATTGAACTCATGGTAAACTGTACATTTGTGATGTGCAGTTTCATACATACATCATGATGAGCTCATGTGCTCATTACTATGAAACCTGATCCATATTGTCCTCCTAGAGTTTAATTGAGCCTTTTTATTTTTGACAGGAATATGAAATCAGAGTAAAAACTAATGCTTTAATATTTTTATAACCTCATCATAATTTTCAGACTTTCAGGTTTAATTTTAATAAAAGAAACTATTAACTATAAACATATGTTGGTAATTATAAGCTAAATTTATGAGAAATAATGGAATTTATACTATGTCACATGTCTGAGCACGCCTACCTTTACCAAAGGGATGGATTAAATTATCATATTCCATCAGAGTCATTATGATCAATCTCAAATAATCCCTCGAATTTGAGTCAATAAATCTGAGATAATCCTTATGAACAGGCTTAGGGGGCTTAGGCTGCTTCTCTAATCACTCAAGACCTGCAGACCCAATCCAAACACTCACTTTCTTGAAGACCTCAGGGGAGAAACACAGTTCCAGACCAAATTTTGGAGTTAGAACTGATCTTTGGTAATGTCTAGACCCAGGACTTTCTAGCAGTCCCAATCTTAAAATATTTAGCATAAGAGCTATACTTCCCACCAACGGTGATGAAGATTCAGTACTATTCCCTTAACCTAAATTTGGGACAGTGTTTAAGGTTGAAATAAAGCATTAAACCCCAGAATTTATTTAATAATCATAATCTAACCAGATATGTATTCCAACCAGGTATTTTACTAACCAGTTCTTATGTTTTACTTATATATTGTGTTCATATTCTTTCCACACCATACTGGGAAGCAAGCTCCCTGAAGGCTAAAATTTTTGTATATTGATTTCACTGCTGAATCCCTAGCTCCTAGAACATTGCCTAGCACATAGTAGATGCTCCAGGAACATTCATCAGAAGAAATAATAAATAAAGAATGAATTCAATAGGACTAAAATAATATTAGCAATAATAAAAAGACACATTTCACAAATGGAATATGATTATAATTGTTACCATGCAAAAGTCGCATTTCAAACAGTGACATGAATGAAGAGCAATTTCAAAGCAGGGGGAACATAAAATTTTGGTTTTAACTTTCAAAAACATCACTTTGAAAAAGTGTGGAATCTGAAGATTAAGTTGCATAAGTAATAATTACTTCAAAATTTTTGTTGTTATTTCCAAAACAAAAGTTTAATCTGTTAGTATAAAATAGATTTACTTAGAATATTCAACGTTGTGTAGAATTAAAAGGGGATATATGTCATGCTTACAGAAAGTATAAATGCATCTAAACTTAGATATGTTTGATACATATAGTGGAACTATAAAGAAATAACACTGATTTCCTTTTTAAGGTAATAAAGTCATCCATTACCATACAGTTATGTCATATATTGCATTTACCATTTTATTTTAATATTAATGGTTTGAAATACTGATATTGGTAATATTTTAAATTGGCAGTGTATGAAACACAGATTTTTAAATTGTCAAGATTCACCACTTAACAGTTTAAAAATACTCAAAATTTTTGAATACACAACTATTTTATTAAGTAATTGCCAATGCTGGAAAAAGTCTTAGAATTATGTATAGCAATAATTCAATATTAAATATACACATAGCTATCCAATGTTAAAAGGATACTTTACTTTCATTTTTGAAAAAAATTAAGTATGCTACACAATTAGGTAAGCATTGTCTGACAGCACAGTTAAATGTATATATTACAAGACATAAAACTCAAAGGAAGAAAACGTACATTCAGAAAACTTTCTTCATTTGATATCAAATGATATATACAAGGTGTAGCTTATCACAATTAGATTATCCTGTCATTAAGTTACTTGAGAAAAATCTAAAAATAAGACGTTCACAATATGAACTTATCTGAAATATAATTTTAATAATGCTATTTAACAAAATATTCCTAAACTAACAAAAATGAAATAAAAATGATTTACATATATAAACATGCTTCACTAAGTCATAACTATATGTCATCTATGAAATTATGATAATGGAAAATCACTTGTTACACATATAAGTTTGAAATTTTATTTAATAGTAATAGTACAATGTTAAATTTGAAATTTTATTATGTGTTTTCAAAAATTTTTTGAAAGTTATTAATTTTAACAAAATATGTACCAAATAATACCTCATGATAGAATTTGAACTTCATTTTGATTAAATTTTTTGTCCTATAGTTTAAAAATTTTATGTTGTTTCTTTGTAATTATTCTCTAACTCATTACCAAAATAAAAAACAGAATATATTGCTAGAGATATGCATGGATGACCCAAAATATATAAGAACATGTAAAAATAACTACATATTCAAAGAAGTTTTTAGGTACTTATGTTTAGCACATTATGTTACATAAATTAGTTTAATATATTCTGTTCCTTCCTTTAATTTTAGTGTTTCATATGAAACATTTGAATGGAAATTTAACAAAATAATAATAATTTTGTGACATTGTGATATGTAATAAAGTAAAATGCCATAAATGTTTAACATTAAAACATCTAAAATAAAAATTATATATACACAAATAACACCAACATAAAGTCTAAATACTACGACTAATTCTATTCAAGCCATCATTTGGAGAGTCATTAGCATATGTAATTTAATGTTTGTTATTTTTTTCTTCTTTTCTTTAATATGACTTCTGTGAAACTTATAGGAAAACACACCAATAAATGAGGACACTTGCGAACTAATTGAATACGAGGGTATGAAGTGAAACAAAGCTCTGATTTGTTACATTTTTAAAAATTTCGTTTTCATTAAGCGTATGCTAGTTGCGAAAATAATTGAAATATTTTGCATTATAAAAGGTATTAATTTCAGTATTTTAAAATCTGGCTACCATAGTATTCAACAGTTCAAACTGGTAGATGGGTGCAAACTATGAATATGCAATTTAGAAAAGAGATGGATTAACTGAAAGTAGCCCTTAAAACTGTAGGGGAAATAGAAATGTTTTACCTTTGATTAACTGTTATTAAGTATAAAAATATCTTTCTGACTAGGAGAATTTTAAGTAAATCCTGGAAAAGAACTAGTTTATAATTTTCAAAAAATGTATATCTACATTGATCTTATAAAATTTGATTTCAAATTAAAATGCTGTATTTATGTTGAAACTTCATAAGATTAAAATCTTAAAATATATTACTCAATAATACAATATAGCCTTGATTATAAGAGGCATATCTAAGAAAAAAACTGCAGCAATTAAATTATGAAATGACAATGCAAAATTGGCTATCACTTGTGCCCAGATTTCTGAGAGGTTAAAGTAAAAAGAAGTTCATCTTAGTGATGTAAGAAAAAATTCAGTAATTCATGTAACAGATTTTCTAAGATTAAGAATAAATAAATAGGTAAATACTAATTTAAAAATATAATTGAGTTTAAATACATATCACCTTTCTGAATTTACTGACATATTGATATGTTTATTTTTATGTTATATATTTTGTTAAAGTTTATAAGCGTTAAATAGGAAACCAGTATTAAATTTTGCATTTGGATTTGCTGTCATTTATCATGTACAAGTGGCCTTGATGAAATAATATGCAAAATGAATGAATAAATAAATAATATATTTGCAATTCAATCTGAAACTGATGATAGTAAGATTTGTCAGTAAATGTAGTGGTACATCTACTAAAATCACTTTGTGACTAAATTAATAATTGTAAAACAAATATTAACAAATTATACACTATTACACAATGTTTATATGCAAGATAAGGATCTCAAATTATGAATTGCTAGAAATTTTAATAAACACACATGCCAAGCAACCATAAATACCTTTTTATATGAAATATGGAAATATCAAAACTTTTAGAAAGCCTTAAGGAGACTACAGTTTTGGTGAACCATGACAAAACAATACGTACACATAAATGTATGAATGTTATATTAAATATTGCAGTTTTACCCTAAGAAGGAGAATGGATAGACATCTCATTTCTTAGTACAAAAAATATAATAAGAGTGTGCTAGAGAAAAGCTATTTTAAATGGAGAGTTTAAGAATCTTGAAAATAGTATCTCTCTCTCAAAAGATCGTTTCTTGCTTCACCCAGTTGATTAAGAGAAATTTGTAGAATTAAAGTTCAAAGTAGTATCACTTTAATTTTTCATGCGTTTTGGAGGTTTCTCCGATGTGTAGAGGTGCATCATAGGTGTCATTTTTAAATTTAGATATGCAAATCCACAAAAACACACACCACTTGCAGAAATAAATTTCACACAATACAAACTGAATTCTTTTTAAGTAACTAAGTATAATAGTCTTATAAGGTCACAAAACTGACAATAAATGTTGAAGACCTAGGTTTTAAAAGAAGAATCATGGCATCATTGTTACATTTCACAATAAGAGAAAGAATAGGATGCCCCTCTACATCTTTGTACAACCATCAACCAGAATCCTGAATCTTTAGATCTTTTTGTTGAGACACCTGTCATCTCTTAACTAGAGTAAAAGCATTTGTCATTCTGGGCTTCCCCTAAACAAACAAAATGAAACGTCACACACACTTGTTTCATTCATTTCCACGTAAAATCTTGTGGAACAGCTGGCAGCTCTCATGGAAGAATATTTTATTGCAAGATGTCATGTCAGAAGCACCTCATTTTCATACCCTTGTTTTCTCTGACAATCCTTGCCTTATTAATATCATTTGAAAGCAGAGAACATGTCTTACAGAGGCCTTATCCCCTATTTCTGACTGAATATTTGATATATATGTGAGGAGAGAATAAATTAGTAAAAATGTCTAAATATATTACCTTCTTTCTGAATAATATAAAAGTTTTGTATTTAATTAATACTTAATGATGGCAAAATTTATTTTTCAGGATATAAACATAAGTAAAGAATTGGATCTGTTCAGATACATCCAAATAATGCAAAACACACTTATAACATACTTTTGTTTTATATTTCATGTGCTAGAATAGAGGTATGAAAAAGAGGAAGAAACATCCGACACACAGAAATTACTTATTCATTTATGTTTTCTCAAATAAGAGTATCATTTCCCCATCTGCTTCTTCTATCTCCCAATATTCTTTCCAAAAACCCAAAACCTGTATTTTATAATGATAGTATTTGTTTATTTTGAAAGAGAAAGGAGAAAAGTAAAGAAAATTTGTGGGTGGGGTTCCCTTTTATACCAATAATTATTGAAAGAAAAAATAAGAGCAGTCTTTATCCTAACCTACTCATCATATCCCTGGGTCACAGCTACCTTCACTACCTGAATGTATCTCTGTTTATCCTTTGTTTTCTTCCACAATGACTGGCCTTTAAGTTTGGGACCTATGGAAGTGTCATCATTTTTCATTAATTGTAGATGTTCTTTAATGCCTAAAATATACATAAGCCTGCTTTTATGTATGTGATATGATTTAATGGAACCAAGAAACTACGCTTATCCCCCACATCTTTCTCTCTGTGTACCTCAATGGTGTTAAAAGATGTTCTTAAGAATTAAGTATTGCCCAAAAAAATTATTCTCTCATAACCAGACAAATAACTTTTTGATTGATAGAGGGCCATACTAGATTAATTGTTTAACTATTCCACTTTAATTAGTTTATTATTAAGTTTTCTTCCCTTACAAAAATACTTGGGGAAATTTTAGAGATACATGTTTTGGGGAGAAGTGTGAAGTTTGCCATAAGACCATTTAGTGATTTTTATTGAGGCATTTATCATAAGTTGATATCTGATCCATATGATTGTTAAATAACTGGAAGAATAGGGTTCATTATTAACAGGTCTGGTGTAAAGAAGGTGTGGGTGGCTAGGAAGGGCTGCCATTCTGGAAGAAAGACTATTATGGTGTTGACTGTGAAAGGGTTGCTGAGCAACTGGTGAGAAGCTGCATAAATACGCTCAAGTAAAGTAGCCTAATAAGAAACACAGGCCAAAAACGTCTTACTTTCCTGCAACAGACATTTTGTAGAGCATTTGGTATTCTGTAGCAGCAAATTAATTAGTAGAAGGAGTTATTTTCTCGAAAATAAATACCAATTTTGGCTTAGAAAAAAATAGCATGTTGGAGGGGAAAAAAAACTTCAGAAATGATAAGAATATAGTCTATCATCAAAGCTATCATTGCCCTAAAAGCAAATATATTATATATGAATATTATATATGGGGTATTACATATAATTATATATTTGGATATTTATATTTGTCCATATTTAGAGATAAATGTATTTCTTATGTGATTATTATGCTAATTTCCTTTACACAAATACCTTTCATTTAGAGAATATAAGTAAAAAAGAACAAACAAAAACTGTCTTTTAATACCATCAATAAACAAAGGTAAGAACACCAAGATATACATCATTTATATTTGACTTCAAGTGTGCTTACTTTAGTTTTACTAAGGCAACAGATGATGTTAAAATTTAGCCATAAAATGTAACTATCTGATCAATAAAATCTCACAAATCATATATTTTAATGTTATAATATCTCGCCAACTGTCTTTGACTCTTTCTACTCTAGAAGTAGAAAGTTGGATCCTCAGGGTGATACAAATTAGAAGGTTAATTAGAGCTTCCTTCACTCAAATCTTCCCTGGAGGAGAGACAGATAAGTCTGTTGCTTAATTAGAAAGAAATTCCATCAAATTTAGAACAGAATATATTTGGAAAGACAGAAATAAAATGGGTGAAATATGAAGGAAGAGATTCAACAAACTACTTCGGCTTTACATATTTGTACCTATTGAAAAAACAAACCCTATCTTGTATTCATTCCAAAAAATGCAAATGTTATACATGAATCTTTCTAATACCCTACTTTTTCTACACCAATGAGAATGGAGATTTTTCCTCTTTCTCTATGTTTCAATCACATTCTAAACCATCCTAACTGTAAAAGGTATTACATTCCATCTTCTCTTTACCTCATCCTTGCTATTTCACAAACACAAATTAAATGACTATTATACTTTAGATACATGATAGATTATGATAGATAGATAGATAGATAGATAGATAGATAGATAGATAGATAATCTTCACCCATGTCTTTCAAGTAAACAGTCTAATAGCTATTTAAAAAATAACCAGAGCAATGTGATATGTTTAATAGAGGATACAGTATAACTAGGAAAACACAGCTGTGGAACCCCTTAGATTTGCTTACACAAACCAGGAAGACTTTCTAGTTGAAGAGACATTGGCATTGATCTTAAAGGATGAGCAGATTTTCCCTGATACATGAGGGATAAAATAACATTTTAGTCAGAGGTAGCAGATTAGAAAAAGGTGCGGTAGGGGAAAAGGCAAGACATATTCAGAAAACTTCAAATTATTTGGCATGGCAGGAATGAAAAAACGAAATAGTAGGCACCGAGACTTGAAGAGCCAAAACACTTCAACTTAACTTGAAAAAATGAAGCATCACTAAAGGACATAAAGCATGAGACTGATAACAAGATTGGCATTTTAGAGAGAATGTTCTTGCTATAATGTGGACAAGGTATTAAAGAGCTACATGGACTACAGGAGGGGTCACCAACCCCCAGGCCACGGACTGGTACCAGTCCTTCGCCTGTTAGGAACTGGGCCACACAGCCGAAGATGAGTGGTGAGCAAGCGAGCAAAGCTTCATCTGTATTTACAGCTACTCCCCATTGATCACATTACCTACTGAGCTCTGCCACCTATCAGATCAGTGGTGGCATTAGATTCTTATAGGAGCATGAACTGCTCAAGCAAGAGATCTAGGTTGCAAACTCCTTATGAGAATCTAATGCCTGATGATCTGTCAGTGTCTACCATCACCCCCAGATGGGACCACCTCATTGCAAGAAAACAAGGTCAGGGATCCCACTGCTTCTCCATTATGGTGAGTTGTATAATTATTTGATTATATATTACAATACAATAATAATAGAAACAAAGTACAAAGTAAATGTAATGTGCTTGGATCATCCAGAAACCATCCCCACCCCCGATCTGTGGAAAAACTGTCTTCCACAAAATCAGTCTCTGGTGCCAAAAATGTTGGGGACTACTGGACTACAAGCAAGACAAACATTTAACTGCTTCAACCACATGACTCTGAGTATTTTGCAATAGAGTTGCTAGATTTAGCAAATAAGAATATGGAACACTCAGTTAAATTTAAATGTCACGTAATCAACAATTGTTTTGTTATTTTGTTTGCTTTTAGTATAACTATATCCTGTATAAAAATGTTTCTTTTCTATCTGAAATTAAAATTCAACTGGGCATTCTGTATATTATCTGGAAACTCTACCTTGATATTAATTTAGACTTACAAACTCTGAAAATTTTCTACATACCAAGTAAAAACTAGTAACAAATATTAATCCTTTCAATGTAGGTATTATTTGATTGATCCTGTGAAAACTTTTGGAATGACAGAGAATGGGCATGATGACATCACAAGGACATCTAGGCAAAACTCATGAAAGCATCATTTTATTAAATGAGAAACGGAAAGAAGGCAAGTTGAATATAGTGTTCTAAGTTATTTTATTCCAAATATATTTAAGTCTTCAACCATTTTAGTATTAAAACCATCGAATGCTCTAGTCCTATATTCATTATAAAAATACATGTTCTATACTTGAGGAAAAAATTCATATTGAGAATTAAATCCATAGATTTACATATAAAAAAGTCAGCTTTCTGAATAATGATTCAATCCATAGAAAATTGAATGGAAGATATTTCCAGTAAGAACTTATTGCTCTTTGAATTATATACAGACACCGTAAGTGGCAACAAAAACTGAATATTTACCCAACCTCACAATATCGAGTAATACTTTTTGACCTGTTAGTCTTTTTTTATTCAGGTAATAGAAAATATAAAATGGAAAGTAAAAAATTCAATGTTCTCAATAGATAGATAATTAGGTAGATAAAGATATAAATATAGATAGTTTCTATGAGTTTCCCTCATCTTCCTCTAGCATATATGAGACTATATATCTGTGTGTATATATGTATATATCTATAACTATGTGGAGAGATATCAGGTACATAAAGAAATCTCTGAACTCTGAAAAGGCATTTAAAGTAAGAGTGTTCTATTTTATCAAGATCATATGCATATTATTTGGTTTGAATTTTTGATGACAATATTAATGCAAAAAAATTTAATCATTAGTGTAGTTTTAAATATCTAATAGTTTTATATCCACCCAGATAATTTTGCTGTATTCTAATTACAGATATGAAGATGAATATTCAATCATTTTCCTGAAGTATACTTTTAACCTTTATAAAGGTAATGAAAACTTGCTTCAGTCATCTGTGAGAAGATACCTTTGTATTTCTCCACATTTCTGAAGAGATGATTAAGACACTATAAACGTATTTGACATTCCAATATGTTTACTTTAAATAAATAGATACCAAAAATATTTTTAAAACATGGCATAAAAAGCAATAGACATTTATTGAGCACTTAGTATTTGCCAGACATAGTGCTAATTTATTCATTTAATCCTTAAAGGTAACCTATGAGCTAATAATGATAAAGCGCAGAGCTGCTTCAAAACATACACTGAGTCACATAGCTATAACTGGCACAGCTAAAAGATGGACCAAAATTGCACAGTCTCAAAATGATCTTAACTTCTGTGAAATCAGTGCCTTTATGCAGCCTCCCCAATACAGTATAGCATGTAAACACTTGTATGTGAGTCAATATGTTATTTACTTATGTTTTATTTTCACTATATTTCTTTTCCATCACCTCCTTTCTCAACAGAGGCCTGATTGCCTCCAGGTCCTCCTGTAATTCCCTCGGCAGGATTTTCATGCAGAGCTCAAAGGGAAATTTTCTCTATATTCCCTCCCTAGTTTTTGTTTCCTGAGAGTCTAGGTCCTTTCATGAAAGTACACCAAATGAAAAGAGGAGGGCAATGATGGGGAGGTGTTAGAGTTTGGGGAGAAGCAATGAAGATGATGTACACATCATCTCTAAGGAAAATAGAAGGGTCTAGGAATCTGTATTCTCACATTTGGCTAGGATTTCCTCACTCAGGCTTATCATGGAAAGAAGAGGGTCATCTGCCTTCATAGAAAATATGGGTTTGGACAATGATGACTAAATGGCTTTCTCCCCATAGTCTAGTCGCTACAAAGGCCTATTGGATTCTTGCGCAAATCAAGGGAAGAGAAGGTGCCAAATGTTTCTTCTACCCTCACCCCACAATGACCTACATAATGTTTTTCCTGTCAAATATGATAGGGGCTTTCAAATGTATTTGAATTTAAGAGAACAAAGTAACACTTCTTGCCTATCCACATCTGTGGATTAAATTTCACACCTGTTTAATGTGTAAATGCATTAAAAATGTACAACATATCTCAATAGCTTATTTTTGCTTGTTTAAATAATTTAGTTTAAGGGTGAAGTTTGATACCTCTATGTTCTATTTTGTCTTTTAACAATTTGAGTTCTTCTATTATAAAACAGTTCTTAGTAATCTAATTTCACTCATCTTTGCAAAGTATCTGCTGCTCAATAGTTACAAGACTCACATTATCATACTTGTGGCTTCTTACTATGTTGCTAATGTGTATCATTTTTGCCACCTTTGGGCATGAACAAAGATTCTGCAAGTTTCTGGTTCCTAACTTTTACCAACAAAGTCTTCTCCAATCTTCAGAAAATTTCTTGCAAGTCGTCTTTTTTCCCAGTCACACATCAATTTAATTTTTCATGGAGAGTGGATGTTTTATGATGAGGACATTTACACCAGAGACTCAGGCATCCATTAGTACTCAGCCAACTATTCCCCACTGTCCCTAATAATCATAGCCTAACACTTATTGATCATTATTTAATGCATATTCCATGATAAGCAATTCATATATAATAATCATAACAACCGTAGGCAGCAGGTACCATGAAAATTTATACAGCTGCGGGTAAATAAGTTGATTTAAGTAATTCATTCACGTATTCACTCAACAAGTATTTATTGTCTTAGGTCATTTATTCATTCTTCCAGAATTTTAGGCAACAAGAATTTGTCGAGTGCTTAGTTTATGCCAGAGGCTGGATGATCCAGAGGTGAACAGTACAGACACTGTGTTTCCTAAGAAATATTACATTCAAATGGGAGACAAAAAGAATGAACAGATAAATAAAACAGCAGGTAGTGAAACACAAAGTGATTTTTGAGCTAAAACCATAATAAAATGAAAGAGTTATTTAAGAAAAAGACCTGATATATGGCACTTTTACTCAGACTGTCAGATTACACAGATTTTTTTCTTAATCTTGGTGACACAATACTTCCTATCCAGTTATCACTTGGGCATTTCACTTTATTTCTCTATACTATGTTCCACAGTCTCTTGTGTCCTATGTTTCTATGAAACAATACTTATTTTTAGCCAAGATAATATTTTGCATCAATATTTTATTTCATTCAATGAATACTACATACTGAGTTTCTACCTTTTGCTAGCTATTGTTACATGATAGAATGCAATGGTGAGCATGGGAGATAACGTGAACAAAGGGATAAACAATTAACAAAAATAACAGAATATGTTTGTACTATGTTGCTGTGTTATATTAAATATGGTCACATATTCTTTGTGACTCTTGACTAAGAGGTAGAGTAGGTGTGACCCTACTAAGAGATGGAGTCTATTTCCCACCCACTTGGGTAAGGATGTCCTAATGACTTGCTGTGACCAACAGAGTGCAGCAAAAGGGATGATGTGTGACTTCTGGAGCTTCACTTTCAATATTCTTTGTAGCTTCCACCTTGGATCTCTTGGGATGCTTTCCTCAAACTGCCACTGATATGGTTTCACTGTGTCCCCACCCAAATCTCATCTTGAATTGGAATAATCCTCATATGTCAAGGGCAATGCCAGATGGAGATAATTGAATCATGGGGGCAGTTTTCCCCCTACTGTTCTTGTTCTTGTGGTAGTGAATAAGTCTCATGAGATCGGATAGTTTTATAAATGGGAGATCCCCTACACAAGCTCTTGCCTCCTGCCATGTAAGATGTGACTTTGTTCCTCATTCACCTTCCGCCATGATTGTGAGGCCTCCCCAGCCACGTGGAAATGTGAGTCAATTAAAATTTTTCCTTTATACGTTACTCAGTCCCGAATACGTCTTTATTAGCAGCATGAGAACAGACTAATACAGCCACGTAAGGAAGTATGTCTGGCTACCAGAAGATAAATGGCACAAGGAGCAAAACTGAAGTGTCCCAATTTACAAAACTGTGTTACGCCATATTGGACCTTCTATGATAGTCAACTATCTAGCTGACTGTAACTACACATGCGAGCAAAAAAGCATCTTGCCAACAAAGAGAATTGTGAGAAATAATGAAGCGTTCTGTTTTAAGCCTCTAATACATGACTTGTCTTTCACAAGCCATGTTTAACTGAAACAATGGGTTAAATGCTTGAGTTTTACGGAAGTATTTAATAGAAGCACTAATCTGGTCTTGGGGGTCAAATTAATAAACAGAGGCTTTGTGAAAAATGTTATGTTTAAACTAAAACCAGAACAATGAATAGGAAATGCCAAGGTGAAAAGAAAATAAGTAAATAGTCCAAACAGAGGCCTGTATTGTAAACACCCTGAGACAAGACAGATTTTGTTAGTTTCTAGGAATTAAAGACCACTTAGTATGGGTAAAGGATAAATTGCAAGCAGGAATATCACAGAAACTTAGCTTGGAAATATAAGTAGAGAGCATATTATGAGAATATAGTACAGCAGATTATGACACAAGCCATGAGAACCCATATGGACTTTATAATAATGCCAGCAGACACAGTCCTCCAACTCCACTCACTGTAGTTACCACTACATTTCTCTCTTCCCTTCTGAAAACCAAATGTGTTTCTTAAAAGAAAAGATAAATTTTCTTTCTGTGGATAGAAAACATTTTTTTAAAATCCTGAAATTAAAAAGTAAAATTTTTGTTGTTCCTAAATGTGATTACCTCGGGTCATCTCTAAAGAAAAATGGAAAAACAGAAGAAATTTTAACCCATAATAATTATCTGTCTGTATTCATTCACTCCATTTGTCATTTTTCTATTTTCCAATTTCATACTTATGAGGACCTACTTAATCATTTTTCATTTATTTTCAAAATGATATGTAGAATTGTTTGCTGAATTAAATATATATATATTGCTGCTGAATATATATATATAGTTGCTGAATTAAATATATATATATATTCCTGTAAAACATATTTCATAGGAAGATCAATGTAGGTATTTCATAAGAGGATAAAACTCATGTTGTAGAATTTCAGTCACTAGCTAGGAGATTGGGAAGGATTTGGTGGGACATCAGGAGTTCTCAGATCCCCCATTTATGCTGTGTAGTCAACTACAGTACATGTGCAAAAATGGTCAGCCAGTATGCATTTTATTTTGGATTATATTGCAAAATATGCTCTCTAAAAATGAATTTTTCTTTCAGAAAGATGGTTTATGCTATTAAATATCACCGAATCTGTGCAGTTCTTGCTTTCCTGATAGAAAGAATAAACAGTTTATGTACAGGTGAGTAAATTCTAGAATTTAATTAAAATGAAATTCAATATGGTGTGCCTTGGAATCAAAATTACAATAAAAAGTAATATACCAGTCAGTCAGTCAGTCAATAAAATAAACTGAAGTGTGTTGTGTAGAAAACAAAAGATGAGACACAAAAATATTATTATGTGATACTAAATTTCTAAGCATAAATATTTTATAATGCATTTCCTTGAGTCAACCCAGTGAAGTGATGTTTAGTAATTAAAAGTTATATGTAATGATGTGACTACATAGGTACTTTCGTTTTTTTGCAAAGTATGATTACTTACAATCATTTTTCACACCACCTCTTAGATGAGCTGTATATCACATGAGAAAGAACAATCAGTGTTAATTTAATTATAGTGTTAAGTAAAGGAAGTTGATATTTTAGTGAGCAGGTGAGGTCCTGTAATGAGTAAATTTTGATTAAGCATTTTTGCAATAATCAAAATAGTAGATCCTCATTATTCTTCCAGAAAATATCAGAAAAGAATCACTGGGCTAGAAAATGTTTAAGGTCTATAAAATTATGAGAATAAAGAATTTAATTGAATTATATAATACATGTATTTTAATATGTCTTCGTTCCTTCCTTCTTTTTTCTTTCTTTCTTTCTTTTTTGCTTGCTCTCTTGCTTTCTTTCTCCCTCTCCTTCGTCCCTCCCTCTATCTTTTTTTCTTTCCTTCTACAATTATATTAAGTGTTGGATGTATTCTAGGAATTCCTCTGGGTGCCAAAATGATAACACGAAGGAAAGAGATAGGAAAGAAAAATGTCAAAACATACACGGTGATTTCAAAAATGTTAGTACATGAAGACATAAATAGAAGGCCCTGATTGTGAATATCCGGGTTGTTGAGGGTAGCCTAGTTCGCCTTGGTCTATCATCTCAAAGAAGGGGATATCTTTGCTTACTCCTGAAAAATGAGGAAAAACAAGTCCCTCATGGGAAGATTTGAGGGCATAACTTTCCACGCAGAATGAAGAGCAGATGTAAAGGATCTAAGGAAGAAAACAGCATGGTATGTCTAAGTAGGCAGTGACTGAATAATAAGTATTAGGGAATTACAGGTTTGTAGGCTATTGTAAGAAGTTTGGGTTTTATTTACTTAAATTTATTCTAAGTCAGCAATGGAGAAGGGAAGATCTGATTTAAATTTAAAACAAATCACTTCACTGTCAATGGGTAGTGTTTGTGTGCCTGTGTGTGTGTGCTTGTGTATGTGCCTCTGTGTGTGTGTGTGTGTTTTTGTGTAGGGAGTTGATGAAGGTGGTAGTTTGCTGCTATAAGAAAAAATATGTGACACAGTGGCATGTGGGGATAAATGAGGTAGATTTCCTGGCCCTTTCCCCTAACAAGATCATCCCAAAGATGAAAAAGTTTGAAAATCACTATTACAGAGCTTCTGCACTGGAATGCACATTTGAAAAGGCTGAAAAAGTAAATACATCAGACCAGAGGTTCCACATTAAGAGTCAAGAGCAGGATCCATGCAGAATGAGAAACTGCCTGGGATGATACGGAAAGTATAATGAGTACTGCGATTTAAAAAAATATCCAAATGGCTAATTGAAACCAATGTTCCAAATAAATAACAGACCAAGTGCTGGGAATGCTAAAAGCTGAGGAGCAGAGTCCCTGAAAGAAACAGATGCTGTGAGCAGCAGGGAAAGGCCAGTGTAATTGGCACAAATATGACTGTGAATAATGCTTTTCTATGACCCTTTAAGCTGGAAAAGTATATCCTAGATATTTAGAAAATTTTCATCTCCAAAGTTTTAAGGAACAAGAAGGATACCAAAGCTAAAATGGGACATAAAATGATAGTATGATATTCCCACAGAATGGCATGCGTTGGATTCTTTATTGAATTAAGAAAACAGGCTAATATATTTAATGAGAGACACGCATTTCTTGACAATTCCTTTAATAAATATTTATTGAGTGCCTATTATGTGCTATGCACTATTATGCTGAAGATATAAAGATAAAAATCATATAAGGTCTTCTTTTCAAGGAACCATATTTTTAGAGGGGTACAGAAACAATAAACCCATAAATTAACAAAGAAAGAAAATATACAAAAGTAAATTGAGGACAATTTTAAAAGGAGCATAATAGAGAGTGACTGGTACCTGGTCAATGAAGACCTCTTTGATACAAGTATATTTTTTAAGGCCCTAAAACACAAAAAGGGGCCAACCATATGAAGGCCAGGGGACCTTTTTCCAGAAAGAAGGTCAATATTTCTGAGACATAGGCAGAGAGAGGAGAGGTAGAGATGAGTTTGGTGATACATGTAGGAGTTATTCACATAGATTCAAACAGTCAGCTGTATCAATTAACTTTTATTATGAATGTGCTAGAAATCTATAGTGAAGTTTCAAGCTTGACAGCTTGTACTACAAAACATCACTTATCTTACATGTAAAGAATGGGTTGTAGAGAGGCAATAGTCAGAGATTACACCAAGGAAGAAGCTCATGAAGTTATTAAGGATAGAGATAATATTTCTTGGTGATAATGGAAAATGGGTTGACTCAATAGACCAATCAATGCTCATAATTTTTAATTATATTTTACTTGATTTCTTCTAAATATCAGTTAAAGATGTGCAATTGTGCTTGTTACACTTATCAAGAAAATTTGTAAAGCAAACAGCCTAAGTGAAGTAATGTTCTGTATTTTCATCAGACCTGTCCAACTCAATGAACATGTACACACTACTAGCAGAAAGTGGGCTGTTGTGAAGAATAGCTACATACAAAAGACAACTAAAAACTGGAAAGGACCACACCAATGTGCTTCATTATTATTACTCCAATGCAAAGAATAAACACAATAAGAAAGAAGATATAAAATGCCCTTTTGTCAATATTTTTTCATGAAAAATTATCATACAGGAAATTAGATATGTAAGTTCCCAATATGTCTATTATAGCAAGGTACTGTGAAAGGTGCTTTCCAAAATACTATGGGATATAATTATCACAATAATATTACAGATTAGATATAATTACTTCTATGTTACACTGATAAAATTGAGATTCCAAGGGCTACAAATTTCATGGATTTGTCTCCAAGTCTAATGCTTTTTGTTCTATACTACAGAGACATCACACATCTTCATATTCAGGCCTTTTCACGTTATAGTACAGACCAGTGTAGCTCAGTGTTCATATGTGCCATGTTTACTTATAAGTTAGAATACATATAAAAGTAACTCAGTTCATTTATTCTCACATGATGGAGAATGTTGACTCAGCCAATTAAAAATGATAGAATGATGTATCACCAGTGTTACAAAAGTCTTTTATTCTTATATTTGAAAAGACAAAATGGTAAGAGTTTGGAATTACATGAAATGTAATCAGTATATAATATTTTATCAAAAAATAATAAATATTTTTCTTATACTTTACAGAGTGTACTCATTCTATAAAACATATTTTCTAGATTTAGAATTCCCAAGGCACTATTCTCAGTCGGAAGAGAAACATAATAGTTAATAAGGCATAGATTTTACTTTAAGAGAGCTATAGGATGTATACAAAATAGCTACAATTAAGAGAAGAATGGGAAAATAGAAAGATCATGTCTGAATTGCTACATAAGAAAAAAATATGAAGATTGCATTTGAGTGACATAGGCAACTGTGAGAAGGGGCAATTCAGATTGGAAAACAAAGTTAGTGCAATGATTAAAAGATATTTAAAAAACAGAAAATGACGGCACATTTAGTTTTGGTATAATAATGTGAGGGGAATTAGTAAAGGAGAATATATGGAGTTGCTTCAAAGATATTAAACAGCTCGAAGCAGATGTTTGTTGCTTTCTGGACACCTAGCAACCATAGTTCTAGTATCAGAAATTTATTTGAAGAGTTTTAACGTTTCGCACCAGTTAGCTCTTATCTCTTATTTCTAATTCTAAGTCTTACTTGGAGGTATGATGAATATTTAATTTAAAATTTACATTAGGAAATCTTAAGTAACAGAAAAGTTTAACTATTTAAGTCCTAAATAATTATGGTTCCTTAAATAAATATTTTAAATATTTTAGATATTTATTTAAGGACGATGGAAGCAAAACTAGTCAAAAGAAAAAGGGAGTCCTTGTCTCTAATTTTCACATCTCTAATAGTTCCAAGACTAAAATTCTATTAAGATGATTTAACCTGCAAAATGCAATATAATTGTTCGTTGAATTTTCTCATATCTGGCTGAATGGGGACATTTTCAGTTGTCTTTACCATTCTTAGCTAGAGTGACCTATTGAAAAATCATATTCTGTCTCTCTGAAGGATTGTGCGGTTTAAGTTGCCCTTCTATCTTAGGAGGTTTAGAATCTTAATTTCATGAACTCTGTGATGAGAAAGAAGATTTTTGAAAAATTTACCTATTTATTTTTTATATATTTACTGTGTATAATATGATGTTTTGAAATATGTATGTATGGTGGAATGGCTAAGTTAAGCTAATTAATATATGAATTATGTCATATACTTGTCATTTTATGTGGTGAGAACACTTAAAAATCTACTTTCTTAGCAATTTTTAGGAATGTAATACATAGATTATCTCTAGTCATTATGTTGTATAATACATCTCTTGAACTTATACCTCCCATAAAACTGAAGTTCTGTACATTTTGACCAACATCTTCCCAACCTCCGACCCTAGCCCCTGGTAACCACCATTTTACTCTCGACTTCTATGAGTTCAACTATTTTAGATTCCAAATATAAATAAGATAATGAAGTATTTGCCTTTTTGCACCTAGATTATTTCATATAAATAAATTTAGCATCTAATTTAATGAAGTCTGTTAAGAAAGGGAATTTTGAATGTGACTGCACAGTGCTTTAGTATTTCTGGGAGAAATGTACATAAGCACAGGCAGGGAAATAACAGGCATTATCTCAAACTTACTGGGAAACATATACATGTAAAATTCCAATTTAAAGTGCACTCACTGAGAATAGTTAATTAATTAAGTAGTTTCTTTGATATGGCTATCACTTAGATATTTTGAAGAGAGTTTTGAGACACCTGTTTCAAGCATATCTGCAAATATATCCATAATTTTAGAGTAGACAACCATGAAGGATTGTGTATGTGTGTGCATCCTATATCTTAGCAGGTTTTTAAAAATGACAGATTGACTTTTGGCTAGAGATGAACTTTAATTCAAAGGGTTAAATTTATTATTCTAGATTATAAAAATCAATATATTAGTATTTCTGAATTCTGAAAAATACCAATCAAGAGAAAAATAGTATAATAAATAATAGTGTTAGTTTCTTATGGAAGTCTTACAGCATTTTGTGTTCTCACCCAGGATAACAGAACTGTAAAAGAGATAAAATGCTGTCTTCTCATAGCCTGATTATGAATCCCTACTTCGGTGATTATTACTTAGAGACTTTTCAGGGTACTGATTAGTGTCTATGAATGCTGTACTTATTAATTTGTAAAATGGAGAAAAGTAACCACATCATAAGTTGTAATGATGAAATGAAATGTACAGGAGAAAATATTTGGCAAAGGGCCTGACATATACTCAATGTTTAGTGATAATGGTGAAAACAAAAAGTTGATAGAGCTTATTCAAATATAGAGATGGAAAATAATGAAATTATTTTCTTTTTCTAAAAGTCACATTCCAGCTTTTCAGTAAACTTTTCACACAGTTAAAATATTTTATTAACTAAAAACTCAATTTCTAAATTATGTATTCTTGAGCATCTGTCTTACCACATTTTAAAGTAATTACTCATCTCACTCAATCCAATTTATAATGTACATTAATTATTTATGATTCCTTAATGGATACCTGTTTTCTCAATGCAACTATCTTTATGAAATTTAGTTGTATAAAAATTTATATATGAATAACAGCTAATGATCAGGAGGCAGGTCATTTTTGACTAGGGAATTTACAGCCATCAGAATAATGATACAACTGTAAAGAATAAATAAAGGTGAGAATTTGATGGTCAAGGAGATATTATATCTGACTTTTTTCTTAGTTTGTATCAGTTGACATTTTCACAGGCTAAACCCTCTTCAAAACTAATTAATTGAAGATTTTTAAAAGTTTGATAGATTGCTTTTTATGCTAAATCTCTCCTATTAATTTGGTTCTCACAATAAGGTAAACTACCAATAAAGGAGTTAGAGTATATTTTTCAAATCCATCTTTTATTAATATTGTAATAGTCCCCCCAAAATTTTAATTAAAATATACGTATGTATGTACATGTATATGTGTGTATATATATATATATATACATATATATATAGTGAATTGTATTATAGCACAGAATTTGAAATAAGAAGACTTGCATTCAAATTTTGCCTCTATATGTCTCATTTCATTCAGGATTTCCTTCCCAATTTTCTCATCTACTGCCTTACTTTGAGCCCTACTCATGTTGGTAAGCATCAGATTCTTTCCCTTTATCTTTCCTTCTATTCTACAGAATGATTTATACATTACATAATTTTATTTTTTATGTTGGTGAAACATGGAACTCTTTCCACATTGAAATATAGCCTTGAAGATAGCTATTATTCCTTGAGAATAATTTAAATAAATAATGATTGTTTTAATGAATATTATTCAGTGAACATTTATTTTCCTTTTCCTTCTCATTACCCTGGAAGAATTATCCTTTTATCAAAAACAAACAAGTAAAAAACCAAACATAATCTACCTACTTGCGCTATAAATCACATCCCAGGACACCTCTGGGTCTTTGTTTCTATCTTATCTTCTTTGCTCGCCTGAACCATTATTTTCTCTTATTCTATATGGTCATTTCCATCACTACAGAAATATGTTCTCTTTCTTCAAGGTTAAAAGACAAAAAATAAAGTAAAATCATCTCCTGACTCTACATTTCCCTTCTGACTTCCTTCACATTCTTCTCTTCCCTCTTCACTAAATTTATTGAAAAACACTCTCTCCACAAACCATTTTTACTCCCTCACTTTACATTCACACCTCAAGCAAGTTTGTCCAGGGTTTTCCTAAATTTCATCACTGCAATAACCCCCATGTTACCAAATCCCATTTAATATGGTTTGGATTTGTGTCTCCACCCAAATCTCATGTAAATTTTCAATCCCCAGTATTGGAGGTGGGGCCTGGTGGGACGTGATGGAATCATGGAGGCAGATTTCACCCTTTGGTGCTGTTTTGGTGATAGGGTTCTCATGAGATCTGGTTGTTTAAAAGTGTATAGCACCTCCCCACTCTCTTTTTCTCCTGCTCTGGCCATGTAAGACACTCCTGCTTCCCTTTCAATGACTGTAAGTTTCCTGAGGCCTCCCCAGCCACACTTTCTGTACAGCCTGCAGAACCATGAGCCAATTAAAACTTTTTTCTTTATAAATTACCCAATCTCAGGTATTTCTTTACAGCAGTGTGAGAACAAACTAGTACACCATTCTATCTCTTCAATTTACTGATTTGACAAAATATTTGAGAATTCTCCATATGCCTGGACTCCTCTACTCACTCAGCATATAGCAGTGTACAAAAGAGTCAGATATCCCTGTCTTTATGAGGCTTTTACTGAAAGGATGAATAGCACTATGAAAAAAAAATAATGCAAGGGATGGAATTTTTTAACATCAGAAAACAGATGCAATTTTAAATAGAGTAGTTCGGAAGACCTTACTAAGATTTAAGATTTAATCAAATTTATGAAGAGTATCAGAAATTGAGCCACACAATTTAGGAAATTTTCTAGACAGAAGGAACAGCAAATGCAAAAACCCTATGACAGAAGGAGGTGTGACATTTTGAGGACCAGCAAGGATGCCACTGTGTGACAAGAGAAGTGGGGAGGCAAGGAATGAAGTCAGAGACGTAAGTTAGTAAACCATGTAAGTAAATGCAACAAGCTTTTTACTCAGTGAGATGGAACCACTGAAGGGTTCTGAACTGAGGAATGCTACTATGTGACTTGGATTTTTTAAATATCACTTGGTTGTTTAATTGCTAATATAATATGACAGGCCAAGAATGAGAGCAGATAGACCTTTTAGGAAAGGTCAAAATGATCCAAGCAGGAGAAGGTGATGGCAGGAAACTGAGTGTTTAAAATGCAGGTGGAGTGAAGTAGTCTATTGCGAATGTTTTGAAAGCAGAGCAAGGCAGGACTTGCTGATATGAGAAAAAATGAGGAGTCAAGGATGATTTTAAACATTTGTCCTGAATAAATGAGAAAAAAAAAGGTCATTTGCTGATATGAGAAAGACTGGAATGAGCAGACCATGAGAAAATATCCGGAGTGAAGTGAGGAAGATGTTAAATTTGAAATTCATATTGGAAATCTAAATGAAGGTGTTTTACAGGTACTTGCATAAGGTGAAACTGAAGTTTCTGAAGACATGAGCTGGAGATATGATGTTGGGAGTCATGGGCATAGAGGATTTAAAGCTATGGAACTGCAGGGGATGACCCAGAACTTTAGGCAGAAGCCTGAATAGAGATCAGAAATCTGAGGAGAAAATGACAAAGGAGACTGAGGAAGAATCACGGTTAAAGAAAAATGAAAGAGTATTATTCCAGAAGCCAAATTCAGAAAGTGTTTCAAGAAACTGACAAATTCTGATCATAGGTTAAATAATACATGAACTGAGAAATTGTGACTTCCACAAATCATAGGGGTGAAAATGGTTCAGAAAAGAATGAGAAGAGGATTTGGATATGATTAATTGTAAAAGAAGATAAATTCTTCTATGAAATTAATGTAAAGGAGAACAGAAAGGCTTTCAGAGCATGTCATATATTGACCACTTCCATCCTTGAAACATGTTTACTGGACTTTGACAAAATCACTCTCTTCTAGAGAGAGGTAAAGTGTTATCACCACAAAATGATAACCATGTGATGTAATGCACATGTATATGTTAATTAGCCCGATTTAGTCATTCCACAATGCATTTATACTTGAAGACATAATGTTGTACACAGTAAATACATACAATTGTATCTGTCAATGAAGAAAATAAAACTAAATTTGAAAAAATTACTCTTCTAGTTTTCAATCTACCTTATGGACACTTGGTTCTTGAGTTCTCAGTGCTTAATCTTTGGTTGTATTTTCCTGATTTTACATTAAGTCTTTGGGGGAAATCATTAAACTCCATCCATTTAAATGCTATCTTTCTGGGCTAAATGTCAACTATGACTCCAGCTTAGAACTTCTCATAAACTTCAGACATAGATAATCAGAGATAATTTTCCTTCTTAACACACCTACTCAATCATCACTTGCAACCACAAATATACTCTTGAACTTAAACATCACAGTCCACAGAGAAGGCATTCTTTTTTCCCCCATCTAAATTATTTTCTCATTAGAGATTTTTACCCAAAGGATTCAAATCAGAAATTTCAGAATTGCTCATAATTTCTTCTTTTTTGGTCATAGCAACATTCAATCCTGTCAATTTCAACATAAATTTATAGTAAATCTGCCTTCTCTTCATTTCTGCCTTCCATCTTAATCTAGGCAATCGTCTTTTCTCACCAGGATAGTGCAACACAACGCTGTTTCCTACATTCATTTTTGTCACACTATAGTATATTTTCCAGAAATGAAAAACAAAAAACAATTTCTCAAAGCTTAAACATATTTTCCCTCTCTCCTGCTTAAAATTCTTCTGTGTCTTCCTTATCACGGCCTGAGGACAAGGTTCTACAACCTTATTTCAGATAACTCTCACTTAATCCTGCTATGTTTTAGCCACATGGGCATTTTTAGGTTCTTCAAACTTGTTAAGCTTTTTCCTCTGCAGGGCCTTTGTTTATTCCGATTAGCCTCTTCTCTTCAATGTTGCTGTCCTGGCACTGCCTCAACTCTAATCTTCTCATGCCAAACTTATTCTCAGCTTTTACACCACTTCATTATGATAATATGTTCCCTGGCTATCTGCCTAATCTAGATCCTACATCCCCTGTATTATTCTCTATTCCAGCCCCTTCCATTTTTTCCTTTATAGCAGGTTTTCAAATGTAAGATTCCTTTCTTTGGTCTGTTTAATGTGTACTCACATACACACACTATATGTATATACAGGAAGTCCTCACTTAACATCATTAATAGATTCAGGGAAACTAATGGATAACAACATCATTTTTTTCCTCATCAATGTTTTAATAAAATGATGTTATTCGAGGACCTGCTGTAAGTCATTTTACTTAAAGCCACGGTATCTAAGAACCTATTGGAAGAACTTGCCCTTCTCTTTTACCATCCTGTCCCTTAGCAAAGTACATAGTACATTGTTAGTAAACTTTTGTTGAATAAATATATGGATGGATGAATGACTACTCTGGGCAGGTCACAGTGGGACTGAGGGAGTGATTTCTGAGAGAACTTCATTAAGAGTGGTCTCTTAAGGAACTTCATTAATAAGAGAGAGACCTACAAATAACTATAAGACAATATATCTTAGCTGGCTTGTAGAAGTTGTAACAGCTGTTTGAATAGAATTTGATAACATGAAAGCTGACTTTTGGTTTTTAGCACTTTTATTGTGTGAGACAATGTGCAAATTTCCTCGTCTAGAATTTCATTTAACACAATAGCCCTTTGCAAGTTTATGAGACTCCCGGAGCAGCTAAAATGTAAAAACAAGCTTTGAATTTAGGTGTCCTTTTTCCAAAGTATGCACTCATAATAAGAAATCTTATAAAAGATTCCAGCACTCAGAAATTTTATTTAAATTATTTTATGTTTTATCCTAATGCATTTATTATTTTTGATCACTTGTGCTAAACTATGGTTTTCAAAAAAATGTCTTTAGTAAAAACAAAAATAAATAAATGCTCATTCTCAGAAAGGAGAAAATGTGGAATCAGAACTGAGTCTTCCTTTAATGATGCAATTAGCTTCAATTAAAAATAAACTTTGAAATAATCACTTGGACTTAAATGTCTCTATTTGCTCAAGTATCATGCTGAACATGCCTTCACTGTCTTGATGAGAAAACTGGAGGTAAGAATTTTGAGTCATATAAAGACTCAACTTGCTAGTTTATCAGTTTTGTCTCAAGGGCTGAAGTAAGACTTAATGTGACTAGGTTATAACTTTATCACATGTTATACAACCTCTTTCTTGTGTTTTTTGACATTTGTTATAAAGAGATACAAACTTTCCTGTCAACATGTTTTACTAAGGATCATGTTTTTATCACCTGATATCTAACACAATTGACCTTTGTGTTTTTATAGATTTCAAGTTTTCAAAACAGTTAAATAAATATATGAGTTTATAAATTACAATGTGAGAGATAGTGGACATTTAGAGCATAAGTTTATTTTTAGTCATGATATAATTAACTAGTGTTGGCCAGGCACGGTGGTTCACGTCTGTAATCCCAGCACTTTGGGAGACTGAGGCAGGTGGATCACCTGAGGTCAGGAGTTCAAGACAGGCCTGATCAATATGGTGAAACCCCAACATTTCTACTAAAAACAATACAAAATTAGCTGGGTGTGGTGGCACATGCCTATAATTCCAGCTACTTGGGAGGCTGAGGCAGAAGAATCACTTGAACCCAGGCAGCGGAGGTTGCAGTGAGCCAAGATCGCACCATTGCACTTCAGCCTGGGCAACCAGAGCAAAATTCTGTCTCAAAAAATAAATAAATAAATAGATAAATAAATAAATAAATAGTGTTTCAGTTACTAATTTTTCTTATTTGTTGTTTGCTTATTTTTCCTTCAATTTTTGTTCTTCAAAATATTGATCATTTATTTCTCACCCTATAAAAATCTGAGTAACCTATGATATTTTAGCAAATACTTTCCATGTTAGGATTTTCTCTGTAATATTTTTGATAAGTGTGTTTTTGCTTGTCTCCTAACTTAAAATAAGGATAATGTCTATTTTATCTGGGAATGCAAATAAGCTATTAGAATAATAGTAATAATATCTTAGTACCAATATTTTATGGTTTAATAGAAACCAAAATAGGCCCTGAGTAGATGGAATACAGAAGGGAGGTTTTGAGGGAGGCAGAGGAACAAATTCAGGAATCTGATTTTTTTAGCGAGATGCTTTTAGAAAAGGAAATGAAGAAAAAGCATAACTTTGGATTAAGTTTAAAACTAGGATTTGATTCCAGGGAATAAGATTGCAGAAACATGATTCTACGATGCTATAGAAACCAGCATTGCTACTATCTTCAACTTAAATCGCACAAGAGATTATCTGTTTCATCAATATACAAATCAAATATATGTCATACAGGTATAGCTTTGTCAATGTATCTCTATTACTTCTGTGAATACATTGGCCTTACCGGATTAAAAAAAACATTTATTTTTCTAACATATATTGAAACAATTCCCCCCAAAAAAGTAAACAGTAAAAACTACTGTCAGAAATAAATTGTAATGATAAAATTTATTTAGAAAGGAATGCTACTTTTTGGGGAGGCTTTCATGATAACCATCTTGATTCAAGAGTTCCTCAGCCATAGACCTTTTTCGTAAAGTTTTCTATGAAGTTAAAAATGTAGAACTATGAGTAGTTTTAAAACAAGTTATTCTTTAGCAACAAAATATTAAGGACTACAATCCTCTTGTAGGAAAAAAAACAAATTTGTCCCATTTAGATTCAGATTGATTTTGGCCCACAGCCCTACTTATTATTTAATTAAATGGGAATACACTATGCAGAGCTATTAAGTTGTTTAGCCAAAGAATACAAAAAAATGTAGCATGAAAATACATTATAAATTATACAGGAAGAATTCTCACAGGAAGATACAAGTATTGCAAGGTCATCTACACACACAAAGGTATATTAAAGCATTCAACATCCAAAGAAAATATGTGAGAGAAAAGAAGAGTTATTGAACAATGTAGAGCAGGCTTAAAATGTTGTATCCTTTATTTGCAAAATAAGATTGTCATAACAAAAGATTCCCTGACCTTCTTTGACTTTAATCAGTGGTTGTAGGAAGATGATTCCATTTCAGAGCATTGAGCGCAAGATTTAGGGAGTGTCTTTTTTCCAAGGTAATTTTATAGCTGTGGAATCAATAGTCTAACACAATGAAAAAAGTTAAAAATTGAAGTCTGTGAAAGAACTACTTTTAGCACTTCTTATGCAGAATTTTATGGAAAGTAGATAAATGAATCAGGTAACTTTTAAACTTGCTAATTAAAGTATAAATAAATTATTTATTTATGGTTGAAATGTTTAGTAAATTTTATTAAGAATTTATGTAATTTAATGATAAAATTATAATGCACTTCTAAAAATAATGGTATCACCTAATTTGTGCGCTGCTTGTATTTCTATGGATAAATAATTTTATTTAAATTGTACTATCATTGTGTATGCATTAAATGTTATACATCATTATATATATACCAAATCTCAAGAGACATATATGTATATAAATGCATATTCCAAATGATATATATGTGTCTGTATATATACACACATATATATAGTGTGTGTGTCAAGTGATATGTAGAGAGAGACAGAGAAACAGGGAGAGAGAGAGGATGACTAAAATAAACCCAAACCAAAAACTACTACTGAGTCATTTGGTAAACCTAGAAGGAAGGACAAATCATTCGTTTTCTCAGTCATGGTTTTAACTACCACATTACACAATCAACCAATAACAATGGCTATATAACCACGGTTTAGATGACCTAGGATTTTTATAAAAATAAATACAGAAATGAAAAATGTCATCTTAGGACAGAAATATTTTACATGTTGACATATTCACAATATGTAAACTATGTAATTTAAATTAAGGCCATATAGAATCAAAAGTATTTGATTCTCATTTAGAATTAGAGCTGCAAAATAGCTCTCCTAAACATTAGTTCTCATAATTATATGTACGACTTAAAAAAAATGTAACATCAAAATATACTCTCAAATGTTTTGTCATCTGTAAGTAATTTTTGAGAGTCACTGACATACCATTTAAAAGAGAAAGGAAATCACTCAAGATTTAAAAAATAACTGAAAAGGAATATAATGACAATGTAATCCATCCTCCTCATTTTCATTATGAGTAAATTAAGATTCAAAGATATTCAGCAATTTTTATATAATGTAAATAGGATTCCAATTCATACATTTAGATTATCAGCTTAATGTCAGTGCCTCTCTTAATTTCTCTTATTTTTAAAAAATAATAAACAAATTTGAAGTGTGTAGGCTTTTTATCTCTGGTTCATCCTAGCCTGCAGTAATTCTCAACCATTCATTAATTTTGTATTATCTATTCCTTGTTGGTTTTGTATATATGATTTGCCTGATAACAAGATTTATCACAAAAAATTTTTCCAAACTGCAGCTTACTACATGAGTCACACAAGGACAGCTAGCCACTTAAACAACAGTTGCCTGTTTCAAAACTGTCTCACAAGGCAAGCTAAAAACTGCAAGGGCCTAACCATAACTTCAAGACTACAAGTTTTATCTAGCAACCACTGACACTTGCCAATGAACTTTCCTGCAAAACAACTTGCATAACCTCCTCTCTTCCCAATAAATCCCTAATAAATTCCTTTCTTTGTTCTCCAGAGATGACAGAGGCTATTTCAGTTTGTGCATACGTCCTGGATTAAAATCCTATTACTTTGTTTCTTCCCAAACAAGTCCTTTACTCTTGAAGATTTGTCTCTATATGTATTTATTTCAAGTTGACAGACTTTTGGACTCTTCAGGCACAGCAAGAGTTTAAAAGAAGAACAGAGTTAAAAGAAGACTGGTGGAAATATTTCGTTTCAGAGAGCCCTTGTAGATTGGTGAGGACCCTTCTAACAGCCTTTCTGAAAAAGTAGTGGAAGAGTGATACCTTTTAGCACCAGCCTAGTAGGGTGGGCTTTAATGGGATTGCCCTGCTATAGGATGTATTTTTTGCAGTTGGCACACAAAAAGGACTGGTGTCCATGTCTGAAAAAATTCTAAGCAAACTCATACAGAAATAAGCCACCAGTCAAGGAAATCTAGAGAGTGAGAGAAAAGAGAGCATCTGTGTTGGGATAAGCCTGGTCTTTTTGTGCTTCTCGGGGCAATAATGTGTAACCTGTTTTATCAAGGAGGATCATGGGATACCGATAAAATGAGGTCATTTGGGGTCTATCCAACCAGGCCCTCTGAGAGGTAGAACTACCTTAGCAGAAGGAGACTGGGATATGGAGGGGCAAGGGACTAATTCGGGCAAGTGTCCATTTAGATGCATCCATCTGGAATAAGGAATCCCAGAAGAGAAAGGCCCAGCTTCAATCACTTAAAAGGCCCTGGACATCCCATGACAAAATTAGCTTAAATGTCAGGACCAGAGAACATGTAGCCATCTTAGGTCTTAGGCCTGGGTCAGTCCTTTTATATCTTCTCCACCCTACCTCAGCTAGATCCAAGAAAGACCTGAAACAGTGGCAAGTAAGAAATTTGGAAAAAGAAGTAAAATACAAAGAGGAGAGACAAGAACAGTTAATCTTGTCCCTCTTCTTTCCTTATATAGGCTTCCTCTGGACGACAAGGCCCAGGAAGGGAGACCGTAAAGAAAAATTTGACCTTGAATCATATTTAGTGTTTTGATTACTCTCTAGGGCTTGGAATTTTAATTATAAAGTTGAAACTGTATTTCTAGTTGTTACAGGCTGAATTGCTCTCCTTAAAATTTATGTTGAATATCTGACTCTCAGTGCTTCAGAATGTGACCATACTTAGACAAATGACTGTAAAGAGGTAATAAAGTTTAACATGAGGTCTCTAGAGGGAAGCCTAATCCAATATAATTAGTGTGTTTCTAAGAAGAGGAAATTTGGACATAGAGAGCAAGACACTAGAAATATATGTGTGCAGAAGAAAGACCATGTGAAGACACAGCAATAAGACAGCCATCTTCAAGCCAAAGAGAAAGGTCTCAAAAGAAACAAAACCTACTGACACCTTGGTCTCAGACTTCTATCCTCAAGAACTGTAAGATATATATTTCTGTTGTGTAAGCCACCCAAGTTTGTGGCACTTTAGTAATTTGCATTAATTTAGTGTGGTCATAGAACCTAACCGAGTTTTAATCCTAGGGAAGGTTTCTGTTGAGGGTGTTTTTCTTCCATCAAGCTGAAATGATTTATTTGAATTTGTCAGTATACCTAACTGGAAAAACTAGAAGATACCTAAGGTTATAACTAAAATCTCATATGCATTTGTGATATTTTTCTTTTTGCATACAGTTGCTGCATTTTCTAACTCAAAGAATTAATATCCTTATGGGGAAAACGTAATATAATGGAATGTATAAAATTAGACTTATGCTAGATAGTATTAGAGGACACTATTAACCCCCTTATGTAAAATTATATATAAAGAAATGAGAAATATTCATTCCATTTCTTAAATATCTCAATATCTTCTCAGAACCTTTTTGGCGGGGAAAAGACCTGTGCTACTTGTCTAACAGTAAGTATGCATTTAGAAGTACTAAAAAGAAAAAAAAAAGAGAAATTAGCTTTCAAAGGAGTATTTTTTAAATTATTAACAGTCAGAATTTTGTTGAAGTCCCTTATTTTATATACTCCTTTTAAGTTGCACAGTGGTGGAGGGAAATCACAATTTTATGTGAATTATGGCTTCTAAAGTTCTGAAATAAGGCAGTCCAGGAAATACAATAATCATAGAAAATAAATCATAAAGAGTGAACAATAACAAAAGCTGAGGAGCAATGGAGAAAAATGACACTGTATCATGTTCTCTCAGTGTATTTATGTGATTTTTGAACTAATTTCTTATTTTCTTATAATTGGCTAGCACTAGCTTAGCTGCCATAAGACGGCTGCTCACCTTATCTGTTAAGGATGAATAATCAATATGGTAGCCTCCAGCCACTTGTAGGTTTTAATCATTTGAAATTAGCTAGTATAACTGAGAAACTGAATTTTTAATTTTATTTAATTATAATTAATCTTAATTTTAATTTAGAAACAGGTAGTGAAAAATACTTTTCATTACACACAACTTTATTGTTTTATAGGCTACATTTTAACTGTTGCATCATATAAGATGTAGCTGTATTGTAGTGAAGATTTGGGAACATGCATCTTTCTAGTACTATATATTGATACTAAAATCTTTCTAGTACTATATATTGATATAACATTCCATGTATTTGTTTGAATATTTTATGAGAAAGCAATAATTACAGTGATACTGAAGTAAATCATAATTGCTAACAACCTATTTATTATATTAATTATAAGTTTTCTTCTAGTCTATAAATAAACTATTCCCATAGAAAAAAATCAATGTTCAATATGAGATGTGCTATAAGTATAATGCCCTATAATTTCAAGACTTAATATGAAAAATAAAATGTAAAATATATTAGTAATATTTTATATAGATTATATGTTGAAATGTTAATATTTTTGCCATATTGCTTACATATAATTAAAATTATTTTTGCCTATTTCTTAAACTTTTACATGGCTACAAGAAAAATTAAATATTTATATATGTGTGTTATATCCTTTTTGGCTGGTGCTCTGCAAAGGAGTCTAGAACCATGTGGAGGTTAATCAGAAGGTGAGGGATACCAAAGCTCTCCACGGGAATGATAAATGGGGATACTTCATATTACTGTGAAGCCTTGCTACCATGCAAACAACTTTTATGTTACTGACATTGGGAGTAGTAGATTCAGTACAAGAATTTTGGACCTAGAAAGAACTCACAGTCCTGAGATATTAAGTAATCTATTCAGGTTCACAGACTGAAGTCGGTATTCATATTTACTAACTTCTAATCCAGTGCTCTTTCCAGAACAATACTTGTATGAAGAAAAATTAATTCCTGGGAATCTCTATTTCACTCTGTTTTCCAATCTTAGCTTCTATGGCCATTTCCTGCTACTAAAACATCTGCTTTGAAAAAAAGCCCTTGTCACGTTGAAAAACTAGAAAAATTGTGTTCACTTGGAAATCTGACAGAGTATATGACCACAAAATCTGGAGTCTCATGTTAGTTATGAAAAATCTAAACAGTAATTGCTATATTTTCTGTAGGGAGGGAGGATATTATCCAATGAAATAAGGTTATGTTCTTGTTAGTTTGATAATATGATGTTTTGATTTGAACTTTTTCAACAAACATGCACTGAGTATTATGAAATTATTACCTTTCCCAATAAGGGTCTTATAATTCTTTCACCTCAAGCTGTTTTATAACTACAGATTCCTTCTTGAGTTTTTCAATAACAGCCGGTAGTACCTGAACTAATAAAAGGTTAAATAAACCTGTAATAGCAGATGGTATTATTATTTGTTTCACTAGTATACATACAGTAGCAATGAATAGACTCTGCTGATATCTCATATGATTAATTTGTAATATATTTGTCTGTTAAATGTTTGACATAATTTAATGGGGATAATTTTTATTATAATATCTATTATATAGATACTTGTAATTAAGTGGTTGTTTTAAATTAACAAAATGATAAATAAGCACTTATATTAAGACTCAGAAAAGGTGTCTTGGAGTACAAGGTGGACCGCCCACCTTGTGCACAGCAGAAGTAGATCCCTACAAAATTTTCAGTTACAAGGAAGTGAAGCCTCTAGTGAAACTATCTAATATTCACTAGTTGGGTGCATCCCATCACTTTTAAGACTCATGGGCTATCAAGAAACTTTTTATCTAGAAGCTTTCTTGAAAAGGGAAGGAGGAAGTGATATAAGCCCTGAAAGTTTGAACATTTATCCTAAGAAAGCTGACTTTTATTCTAGAAGAGATTGGCAAATTTTAAGTTTATTCTCTTATCAGCAGGAATGTGGGAACAAACAAAATAGTTATGCAAAATGATCTATCATTTTATCAGTTTAATAATTACCAAGTACTACATTTGAACCTAGTTTAAATTTTAGAAAATATTGTCCATATTATAACTAGTTATTGACAGATTATCTCCTATTTATTGTAGTTGGTACATTTAAAGATAGTAATTGAAATAAAAATCATTAAGTTGTATGTGGATTTTTACAAATTCCATGAGATCATAACATGAGGCTATTATAATTTGTCTTTGACTTTATAAGTACTCCAATAAAGAATAAATAAATATACAAACAAACCCATATTTACATGTATTGAACACTGTCTTAAAATTGCAAAGGTAAGCATTAAAGTTTTGGGGTTTTTAAGTAAGACTATCCATGATATTTTCTTTTTAATTATAAACCAGAGTCACTACAGTATCAATGCTATGAAGATTAATCCAACTCCCTAGAAAAAAATTGTATAAGGGATTCTCTAATCTTCAAAATCCTAAATCCTGTGACGATTTATTAAGTACACTCTTTTTTTCTTTATACTTTCCTGCTGTACTTTGACCCAAAGCTTATTATTTTCTGATTTTAAGTAATTATTTTTATCAGAATCTGAATTTAATGTTTCTACAACTACTCTTTTCTCATGAATGATGTCCTCTAATAATTCTGGCAGTCTCAACATTAATACATATTGTTAACTCCTAATCAGAAAAAAGGATTATAAAACAGCTAAAAAAGATAAAGGAAATAATCAACATGACTCCTAAAATTATACTTTATTTCTAAAACCTTATTTTATATATTAAAACTGTACCCCAATTCTAAACACAGTTATATGGATTAACTTTTAATTCATGAATTTTAAAATGTTAAGAAAGATAAAATGTTTTACTAGAAATTGTTATATTGGACTAGAGTTAAGCAAAAAAGTGTCACTAGCATTGTGTTTCCAATGTAGAATAGTTTGTTCAGCTTACCAGGGTATGTTTCACAGCAAAAATTTTATTTCAGGGAAATTTGAAGTAAAACAATATTTAGCCACTTTTCTATCAAATACACATACAACTAATGAACAGAAATTTGAGACAGGAGGTATATAAAAAGATTGCCAAATCTAAGGATTAGAATTATTTTGTTAAAAGTGTAGTCAAACTTTCATTTTCAATATTGCAATAACTAAAACTCCTTCTTTACATTTATAAACTTTCCCAGTATTATTGACTTAGATTTTAAATTAAATTAATGAATTTTATAAAATAGGAAAAATATAATTTAAAATCGTTCTTGATTAATTTAATAAAAGGCCTTAAATCTTATACTGGCATGACTGTAAAATATTCATTTGTATCACAGAATAAATGCTATCAGAAAATTTTTAATAATTGCTTTAGACAGACCAATGATTATTTAGATAGATCATTTTGATTATTAATGTTTGATTATTTTTGCTGTTTCTGTAGACATTGTACTAAAAAGAAGATGAGTCTCATAGACTGTCAGGTCCATAAAGCAAGAAGTAAAATAATTTTCTATGTTTTTGCTTCACAACAAAAATTGTTTTAAAAAAGAATTTCCAAGTGAAAGTATTTATTTAGCATTGAAGGAAACTTGAAGAAAGATGATAATAATGTCAAAATCAAATACAAAGAAAAAAGTGCAAGATTAGAGATTATTCTCAAATACTACATACCAATGAAACTCAAAATTCTGTTCTCTTAAAACTCAGTAAATAAAAGTAGCTCTCTTACTTCATAAGCTTAAAATAATGCAGTTGGCCTATGTATGAAAGCATGTTTTGAGATAATAATTTAAATATATTATTTATAATTTTCCCATAGCATATACTCAGTAAAAATTAAATAAAACCTACTATACTATGAAAATATATATATATTTATTGAATATTTCTGGAATTACACTAACGAAGTTCCATCTACAATCTTTACCATAAAAGTAATCTACTCATCTATGTCTAATATGGTTTGGCTCTGTGTCCCCACTCAAATATCATCTTGAATTGTAATCCCCATGTGTTGAGGGAAAGACCTGTAATCCCGATATGTTAAGAGAGGGAAGTGATTGGATTATGAAGGCGGTTTCCCCCATGCTGTTCTGTTGATAGTGAGTGAATTCTCAGAAGAGCTGATGGTTTTATAAATGGTAATTTTTTCGGCACTCACACATGCTCTTTCATGCCTGCCACCATGTAAAACATGCTTGCTTCCCCTTCTGTCATGAGTGTAAGTTTCCTGAGGCCTCCCCATCCATGCAGAACTGTGAGTCAATGAAACCTCTTTTCTTTATAAATCATCCAGTCTCTGGTGGTCCTTCATAGCAGTGTGGGAGCAGACTAATACAATGTCCAACATCCCTTTGATAATACAGTTCATCTAAATTGTCTGAACCAAAAGTTATTGGTCTTCTCTTTTCATGTCACACTCCTCCACCCTATCCTTAGAATCATAAATACAACTCATATTGAGAGTTATAACATTAGAGTAGGGGTTCATGACTAGAATGGTGGGATATATGATTCCCTGTATTTTATTAACAACGGATATGGTGAAGGTACAACAAGAAAGAAAAACAAAGATAGAAAAAATATATCATTGAACATATTAGTGAAAGCAAAGATTAGAATACCATCTCTCTTTACAGAAATTTGCTTTGATCCTGTGCTCTATTTTTAAGCCTGGACTATATTTATGATTTCAGAAAATCTGTTATAGAAAAAAAAATTGTTTCTCAGTTTTACTTACAAACTAGCCTATTTTAAAAATCAGTTCCAAGAAAAAGTGTTTTTCCCTTGAGAAACGTGGGCATCCTCATTTGTGATAGTGAGAAATATAAAGCCTAGTGTTTTATCTTTTTAACTGTAGCTCCTGGATTCAAATTTTATGTTTCATCACAATATTTAAACTATTCATTTTTCATAGTTAGAATGTGTGCTTTCTCATCTGTTCCATATGTTATTATCTCTTTCCAGTGAAGACTCTTTATTTACTTAATGTCTTACTTATACTATAAGAAATCTTTAGAGAACAAATGAGATCGGGCGAGTTAAGGGTGGTATGGCTATCCATTGAGGTGGTTTGATTATAAATATCAAAACTCAAATCTGACTAGAGGTAAAAGGGAAATAATTATAAGGTCATGGTGGGGGCTTCCAGAGCCAAAGGGAAATCTACAAAAGCAGAAACCTAAAAGGACAGGAACCAGGGCGTTTGGAGGATCTAGATAGCTAATCTTCAGGAAACTGAAGGATCCACTGGCTCCAACCATTTTTCTTCTGCTCTTTAACCACTGGGCTCAAGAGCCTGGGGAGCGAGTCCATTGTTTATGTAGTGGATTGATATTCAGTATCCATTCTGCCCTCATTCTAGAGCCCCTTCAGTCATTGTTAAGGCTAGAAAGCTAAACACTATATTCCATAGTATAGTTTGCAGACAGTGTTCCAGAAGGTACTTAAAAATATTCAGCTAGTCACATGTGTTTGTGTGAGGTCAGAAGGGCAGAAGTGAGGTGGAGGCCACATTTGTGTTACTTCTGCAATTTCTGGTGCAGAACATAGATTGCAAGGTTGTTGATTTTTCTGCAACAGCTTTAGCTGAAATCCCAGTAGCTAGCCACTTATCAGATACTGAGAGGATGGCATGGGTCATCCATTTTGTTGGTGCAGTCCCAGCAGGCATGTCGTGTCTCTGGAGCCAACAATTGTGGCCATGGTTTCTAACCTGTTAGTCACAGCTAACGTTCCTATTTCTGGTACCAGTGGTTACAGCAACAATCAGAAGTTGGCACTGTGGTTCCCACTTCCTTGGCTTTCTGATGTTAACAGTTCTCTTTGCAGACTATTATTTGTTATATAACAATTATTTGTTCTGCAAATAATTAGTGGAGACTCCATTCTCTGTAATAAATCCCCTTCTGCTTAAACAGGTAAACAGTTCCATTTTAGTCCAACTGGCCATCATGCCTCATATGCCTACCGCTTGGTGGGGCTGATTGGCAGCCCCACCAAGATTGCACACACAATGGAAGAGGGATAATTCCCCCAGAAGAAAATGAGATGCCCTTATCAAGAAAAAATTAAAAAGGGATGACTGGTTGTGGGTGGCAGAAAATAACAACCAACCATCCTGTAAATGAATACAAAGATAATTAATCATCATTTTCAGGGTATCTTGTAAGCCCATTACACAAAGCAAAGTTTTCTGAAGTCCTGAAATATTACAACACATTATGAAAGCTTAACTACCCCCAAGGGAAGGAGTCAGGGAATGTTTCAGAGACATCTGATCTCAGTCTTAAGACTCAAAGAAATATGAAGGTCTTTCTAGGTAGTGGGAAATTAATGACTTAATTTGTACTCTGTGTCTGTATGTGTGTGTGCACACGTGCTCATGCACATGTGTGTTGAGTATCTAAATAAAGATTGAAGAGTCAAAAAAAGAAGAAGTCTTAATACCTTTTAATTTACAAAACAATAATATGTCTGGCTACTGTGACTCTGTTTGATAAAAGAAAAACCAATGCTCAGAGAACTCAGCAATTAGTATCTTTATGATTCAATTCTAACCTTCTGATCCTATTCTTTACTTAATATACTATGCTGCATCCCCCAAAATCTTATTTACCTTTGTTCAGTAACTGTACACAGGTATTTATGTAAAAACTTCCCAAATATAAAAAATGGATGAACTATGCCAAAGTTACTTGTTTTTGACTGAAACAATGGGCATCTAAAATGCCAGAAGTCTCTGTGTAATTAAGGTATATGAAAGGGCATTTTCGATATGGTTTGAAAGTTCTGTCCAATAAATATGCTTTTCTTTCAATAGAAGATGCCCAGTTGATCCCAAAATGATCATAGCCTATTTGAGAATCTATGTAAAATATCATTATCTTTCATAACTTTTAAATATTGTGTGTTGCTATTAATATATCTTTATTTCATGAAAAATAAATTTCTGTAAAATATTTGCCTGCATAAGAAGAATCACATACAAAAAATTTTGGAAGAAAATATAAAAATCAAATTGTGATTAAAATGTAAGGAATTTAGAGGCTTGAATCAAGAATATAAAATTACTCATATATTTACATATTTAAAATTGATTAAATACTGCAATGCCTAAACTTACATGATAAATACAATTATATGAATGCCTATAGCTATGGTATTTATGATTGCACATTGAAAGAGAAATGCTGAATGTTGAATAATTTTAAAAATGAGATATTTCATACTTGTATTATTGAGCCTTATGAAATAAAAATACTTTTAATTAAAATCTTCTATAGGTAAGATTTTCTTTCTTGGACAATTGAGTGTTATCTAAAACTCCCCTTCCAATTTAAAAAATAAGTAAATATGACAATGTATTCATCGAAATGGAAAAGAATAGAGTTTAGTTTATACTAATGACCAAGTGACAATAATATAGAGTTTTCAAAAAATAAGTAAGAGGACTTCCAAACACCACAATTAAAGAAAAGTTTTACTATTTAGGTGAGAAGTAGCACAATCCAAGTTCTCATTAATAGAGGGTTAATGGAACTTGAATGGAGGAACAATAGTTTAAAACAAAGACAAATATAATGACATAATATTGAAGTGAATTTGTGGGGGCAGAGTTAAAAACTAAATAACTTTTTTTTTTAATCAAAGAAGAGACAGTAATAAATTATTTAAGTAAGAGATTTCTATTATAGGTAAACTAGGAAGGCAAAAGATGTTTTATTTTAAATACGAGTGGGCATATTCAATACAGGAGCTCAGAGTGAGAATGTATTTTACGTATTAAAGGCTTTCTATTTAAACCACATTTTTAATACTTTTGAATTGATATAGAACTATGCTTTTTAGCATGCTATTCTCAGTCTCTACTTAATCCTATTTAAAATTATAATATCTAAAGCATTCAGGAAGCTAGCATATAACATAACTTAAAGGTGGTTATATTTGGGAAAGCACAGCAGTGTGTGTCTATGTACCTACTCCATCAATTATGGAACACACTATAAAAAATAGCTAATGGCATTCAATGAACCCACTAGTAGTTTGCAGTTAATTTTCATGGTATTTAATAAAGGATAGAGATTAAATAGAAACGTTATGAGTAAAATATTCAGTCTTTGGAAACCTGCAGATTCCTAAAAATATTAAATAATTATAGGTAAATCAATAATAGTTACTGAGTACTCGGTAAATATATGAGTTATTTAGAAACTGAGCTGCATGGAGACTTAGTTTTGACTTTTGTATAATATATTACACAAAATTTTCAATCTTGAATTAGTTTTAATGTAGACACCACTAAAATGAAATAGTAGCATGGAACAATGTAAAAAGCATCGTTACCATTTCATGATAGGGCATGTATTTTGGCATGACAGAATTATGATTTTGCAGCCATTTAAGTTATCTTAGTACACATATATTTTTTAATTTAAATTTCTTCATTATGATTTCAAGATTTACTTCTCAATTGAATGTATGCTGTTGAGGTAGAATATTATTTTAAGGTAATGCAATCAGAAAAAGCAAGCCTAAATTAGGAAAGTTTTAAAAGAATAATATGCAAAGGCATATTTTTATAATAAAACTTTCCCTTAATCTTATTATAAAATCAAAGCTTCAATTTTCTTAACCACTGCATTTCCTCTGTTATATCGATATAAATCCCATCCCTCTTTTGAGTCCCTTTTCCTGCAGCAAATAGAAATAAGTTGTACCTCATAAAACACATCTTTTCCATTTTACTACAGTGATGCTACTTTTCAGTGCCGAAAACGCATAATGCTTGAAAACCACAATTCCAATCTTAAAAATACTGCAAAAGTCAATTAAAGACCAATGAGTAGCATGCTGAAATTTATAAGTAAGTACACAAATCGACTGGTAGCTTTGTGCCATTGTCTTATAGTGCAAAACAACCCTATCTGAAGGTACCAGCTCCATGAAATCATATTGCACAAAACAAATGAAATATCGCTTAATATTTGAGGTAGGAGATCTATTTTTTTGCTCCAGTTTCTACATATAAATATAAAATATATGCTACTTTATTTCTGTTTAGAAAAATAATAGAAGCCATTTGACCAGAAGATTCCATGAATCTAGTAGAAAAGATCACAGGAATCGAAGAGGATTGATTTTTGAATTTCTGCCATGCCATTGGCCTTAACTAATTGTAGAAAGGAATCAGAGCCACAGAGTTAGGTGGATGAAAAACTCCACAAGTAAAAGGGTCAACCTAGAGATAAAGAAGCTTCACAATATCTTATTTTCAATAAAATAGTCCTCTAAAGTACACAAACTTTTAGAAATTGAAATTGGGAACAGGATAAAATATTTTTGCAAATTTAAAAGTGACATTGCCTTAAACTGTTTAAGATTCAAGTTACCATGCCTAAACAGCTATTTTTAATAAAATATGTGAAAATAAATTTTTCTATGAAAGTTTATTTTTGAACTCTAAAGATTTAGTGTTTTGTGATGGCTAATATTTTCTATTATGATACATGTTAACACATTGCATAGTTTTAAAAGCATATTTGCATTTATGTTTCCATTCCAATTAACTACTTTAGAAATGATCATTATTGCAGATTTTCTACGTGGACTTTGTCGAAAATCTTGATTTTAAGTTACTTTCCTAAGAATTTTTATTACAGTGATACTCAGTGCACTATTACGAAAGTCAAATTACAAATCACATCAAGCTGTTGCAGTTTTTGAGAGAAATCTTATTAATAGAACAGCTTCAGAGAGGTTACTGGTTTTCAAAATACAAATTAATTGTTGAATTTTGTATTCCAAAGAACAATATATGATTTAATGCCATTTTGAGTACTAAATATAAGCTTCCTAAAGTCATCATATTAAATTTTCGAAGTGCTTAGGACTGAAGACTACTAAAGGGGAAAGCATTAAAAAAAACAAAAAACACAGATAAATGGAAGAATGTAACTGTGGCAATGCTTACTATTCCCTGAAAAGTAGCTGATACACTACTGAGAATGAAATGAATTATTTACATAAGTAGTCTGAAGATAAAGTACACTAAGCTCACATAGTATTACAGAACATTGTAGAAGCTACATTTTCATTAGTACTCCATCTTCATAATAATCTTGTTCCAAAGAGTTTTTCAAGTTAATGCATCAAATATTATATCCTATGTATTGAAAATTATTTATGTTAACACAATTGGTAGATAAAACTCCTAACAAGGTTAATTAAACTAGCAGTAACAAACATGCTGCATATGGAGGTGAGTTTCGATTGAGAAAGAGCGTACATGCAACTGAAGGTTTTCTGCAGTGATTTGCGGTACAACTTCAGATAGTATATCCAATTGCTGAAGCACTTTATTAAAGAAAAATATTGCATCTGCTACATACTACCTTTTAGAAATCATAATATTCATTATTCTGAATATTATACTATAAAATCAACTAACTTTAATACTGTAATTTAGTTATGATCACATTATTGTCTCAGCAACAGCATGACCATTTTTTTCAATACAAATTCCAATTTCTAAATGCTAAAGACATTTTTCTATCACAAAACATAGTTGTGTACACCAAAATTATTTTACATATCAAAAGAGGCAAAGGTATTCCATAAGTATACCTTGATAGGGAGCACTAAATCCACGGTATCGATGATTGCTGTCTGTAACAAAATGCAGTCTGAGCCAGTTTTTGTTGCTGATAATTGGTGGTGGTATATTCATTCCAGATAACCTGAATTACAAAAGACAACAACAAAAAAATTTAAAAAGCTTTTCAGCAGTAAACGTTTTCACAAAATTGGGACCAAACAAATGTCCAACTATATTCATGACTTTGCACTGTCAACTTTTTAAGCACAAATGAAATAGTTCTTTTATGCATAGAAAAGTCAATCACAGAATAGTGCAATTCCAAACACATGCTGTTCCAATCAGGTTGTGTGTATTAATACAATCAACTATAAAACTTTAAGTGCACATGATTTTTGATTTATCCAAATTTATTTACTGCACCAATAATTTATTTATGGTATTGTTTTATTAGTATTATATAGTTTATCATTTATTAATATGTTATATATTGTTTATTATTTATTATATCTTATTTATTATTTATTATATATATTGTATTCTTATTGTTAATAATAAACATAACAGATATTGAGCTGATGGTGCTAGTCAACGTGCTTCTCATATATGTATTGATACAATAAAGTTACAAAATCGAAAGACCTCATAAATTGATATCCTTATTTCCAGAGTGAGACTGTACAGTTATTTTCTTATACTCCCTCCTATCCACTTAATGTTTTTTCAGTATTTCTCACTGGATGGCAAATTTCACAGTTTATTTTCATAGAACAAGCATTGCTTTTATGTAATTTCATAATCTTATAAATGTTCATGACTAGCTTTCATTAGAATATATAATTCTGGCCGGGCGCGGTGGCTCACGCCTGTAATCCCAGCACTTTGGGAGGCCGAGGCGGGTGGATCATGAGGTCAGGAGATCGAGACCATCCTGGCTAACAAGGTGAAACCCCGTCTCTACTAAAAATACAAAAAATTAGCCGGGCGCGGTGGCGGGCGCCTGTAGTCCCAGCTACTCGGGAGGCTGAGGCAGGAGAATGGCGTGAACCCGGGAAGCGGAGCTTGCAGTGAGCCGAGATTGCGCCACTGCAGTCCGCAGTCCGGCCTGGGCGACAGAGCGAGACTCCGTCTCAAAAAAAAAAAAAAAAAAAAAAGAATATATAATTCTATAATGTATTAGAGGCCTGATCCAATGGAGAGGCAGAAAACAGATTGTATATATCCAAACAAATATAGTTGGATATGTAGTCTTCACATATTTGGTTGCAAGAATACCATTTATAATATACTCAAAACAAGTATCTTAAAACAAAATATTGGAACTATGCTCCAGATATTGGTCATGATTAATATATAAAGTACCTCTTGCTTTATAATTTTTTGAAGATTTCCAGCAAAGCAGTTTTTATGACATCATGAAATAGAAAAATACTGCTGTATTATACTTCTACCATATATCTAACCATTTAAATTTTAAGTGTTTGCTATAAAGCCAAAGTAAAAGAGTCTCCAAAGCAAGGCTATTACATAGTTAGGAAGAGTTTCAGATTAAGGTTTCTTAATAACACGTTCTTAATAATAAGAGTTTCAGATTAAGAGTTTCAGATTAAGGTTTCTTAATAACAAGTATATATTTCCTATTCTTCAAAGCTCACAGTTTTCTTCTTCAGAAGGCAAAATAAACAGCTGATTTATTATACTATGTTTGTGGGGTGGGAGTGTCAAGAGGAATTACAAATATTCTCTCACCTTTTGGCAATTAGTCATGCTAGGGGAACAGTAGAAGGAGGATGGAAAATCTGTCATTGTATATGTAATCAGTGTTAAGGTGTAGGTACAGGGATGCAAGGACCCTCTAACCAATACTCTTCATCTTTATCCCTGAAAACCCAACTTTCCTAAGATGTGTGGGAGCTAGCCACCACTTTTAGTGGATGACCACCTGCCCATTAAAATGTAAAATCACCTTTATTGTATTATTGTGTCTACTGGTGTACAGAATGTTGAATTCCAATATGAAAACATTGGGATAATTTTTATATATTTCTCATTTTTATTCTTGGTTTGCAGTGCATTTTCCGTAATGTTTCCCTATAAATCTATTTTCTCTTTTCATAGGGATGAATCTGTTTATTTGTTGAGCTGACTGACTTTTTTTCCAATCTGAATTTAGTTAACAAAAATATATAATATAATTGTATAATTTTAGACTCAAGTTTTAAAATTTGCTTTCATTACTTTCAGAAAATATACAGGTTATGTTTACTCTTGTTGATTAAAATAGTAACTCAGTGAAAAACTATTTGGATTTGTTTCAATTATATTTTCAATTGAGTAGCATAGTTCATGCCAGATTTTGATTTACAATTTGGTTTTGTTCAATTCCCTATTTCGATGAACATGAATATCCGTTAGGGAAAGTTTAAATTATTTTTGACAGGCTGCACACATTTCCAGATGTAATGAGACTACAATGCATGGAGGTGTGTAATACACCAAAGCAGAGTTTGGAGATGACCCCCTAAAAGACCCAGTTCAGTACATGAGAATCGGCTCCACAAGGACATTAAGAAATGCGAGAAAAGAAAAAAGACAAAATGTTCAATAAAAATGATAAACTTTCCATCTTTTCCAGGGACATGAAAGGTAATTTCAGTAATAGAGTACAGTAAAGGCAAGTAATAGCTACTGTGTAACTGCAGTTTGCAACTTGAATTTACTTTCAGTAATCTAAGGGAGTGGACCTGAAGAAAGTAGAGCTGCAGTAGGGAGAAGTAGAATGTGCATGAGGTGGAGCAAATAATGATAATTTAACAAGGGTGAAACTAAGAAGTATTCCTGACAGCCTCAATGCTTCAGTGTATGAGGCAAGACCTTAGATAAGCCAAGAAACTGAACTAGAAAGCACTTGTACCACAGCATCCCTCTGCCACCAGAGAGAAATATACAGTCATTGGTTATAGGCGAGTCACATGGGCTTTGAAAATCACAGTCACTGAATAATGTTCATTATTTACACTCATTCTAAACAATATGGTTTGGTTTATGGCTTATGGAGAAATCTCACAAATAAATCTCTATATCTCTGTCCTTATTTCACATGTTATCAGGAAAACCAGGAAATGAGGGATTGAGAATATATGCCACTTGGAAAGATTCCATTAAACTACTTAATTTAGATAATTACTAAAGGAGATATTCTAAAATATAACTTATTGTTATCCCTGTGTCAAATCACTGTGGTCATTTAAGAGTAAGCAAATTCTAGCATAAAGTCAATGAGAATAATCTTTTAATAAGAAATAGATTGTACACATTTATTCAACAGTTATTTACCAAACATTAACTATATGACAAATACCAATGGTAAAGGTTGGAAATATGATAGTAAGCAAGAGAAAAATCATGGTTTTATACAGTAAAATTAAAACATACAAACAAATAAATAAATAATATATATTTCAGATAGTGGCAAATGACATATAACAACAATAACAAAAAACCCAGTAACATGATAAAGAATTTCTAGAAATAAAGTTTCCATTGTTTTAATATATTTTCCATTTCACCCTAAAAATCTCCATACTCAGGATTATATGTCTTAAACCACTAAAGGGGATTTAGGATAATTATATCAAGAAAAATATGGTCATGATAAATGTCATACATTTGTTCCCTAATACTCTAGTTATTTGTATCAGAAAATTTGACGTGTCTCTTGAGTAATAAATACATTGTAATGGAATTACTAAAAAATTATTAATGACATCAAATTTCATTGCATGTTTAATGAGGAAAGAAATACTGACAATAATACAGAGTAACTTATAATTAATCTTTGCAAAAAATTTTTAGTTCTCCAATTTACTGCAGAAATAATGATTAAATCATCAATTTATATTTAAAATCCTATATGTTTCTATTGTAATTAATCCTTTAGAGAATGTAATTATAATCCTTACAACATGATTTTAAGAATTAGTTAAACATAAGAAAATTGAGAGAATGACAGCTTTTTTGATAAAGTTCATAAAACTATTCTGAGCTTATTCTTTTTTTTCTTTAATGTTAAACCGCTTTTATTATAAGATAAATTGTCAGGTCCTCATTTCAGCCATATCTGGTTTTCAAACTTTCTCAAATTTTGTAGTTTCATCAACAGCTATCATTTTTGATTGCTCTGACATCTACTTTTTAAAAAAATCTTCCCAATTCCCTAAAATCATCCAAATGTAATGGCCTATCTATATTATCCATAGGTGGAGTCAAATCTTAAACTCAGGATTTTTCACATCATTACCTCCATGACTTTGTATCCCTCTTTTTCACAATTCTCCCACTTTCCTCTAATTTTACTTGTCTCTCTCTCTCTCCCTCTCTCAAGCATGCTCCCGTGCTTTCTCACTCTCTTGCTTTTAAACCAGTTTTGACCTCCTTCCTTCTCTAGCACTTAGATAAGATGTATCCATCATGAATCTTCATGAATGTTCTTTATGACCTTGTTAGATTATGGCCCTATGTTGAGCTGCTATTAGTTGCTCAAATTTTATTCTTTCATCTTATCCCTGGAACTTTGCATATACTTCGCTTTGAGGCTGAAATAAATATCCTTTCTTTACATTTATTGATTTACTCTAAATCTTTCTCAGGAAAACCAGACAAAGTTCCATGGTTAAGAGAGGTGCCCAATCTCCTTCTCTGTCCTCACAGACCACCTGCACATGTTCTCATCATATCTTAATTTTTTATGTTTAACAGACACATAACAATTGCACATACTTATGGGGTACAATGTGCTGTTTCAGTACATACATACATTGTGTAATGATCAAATCAGAGTAATTAGCATATCCATCACCTCAAACATTTATGATTTCTTTGTAGTAGGAAATTCAAAATCCTCTCTTCTAGCTATTTTGAGATATAAAATATCTTTTTCGTTGACTATAGTTACCCTACAGTGCAATAGGACACTGGTACTTATTCTGCCTTTCTAGCTATAAATTTATACCCATTGACCAACCTCTCCTATCAACTCACCACCTTCCTCAGTCTCTGGTAACCACTGTTCTATTTGCTACTTCTATGAGACCATCGTTTTTAGATTCTGAATATGGGTGAGAACATTTGATATTTATCTTTCTGTTTCTGACTTATTTATCTTAACATATTTTCCTTGAGGTTTACCCATGTTGTCCCAAATGACAAAATTTGTTTCTTTCTTAAGGCTGCATAGTATTCCACTGAGTATTGTGTGTGTGTGTGTGTGTGTGTGTGTGTGTTTGTGTGTGTGTGATCACACTTTCTTAATCCGTTCATACATCATTGGACACTTAGAGTCGATTACTTGACTATTGTGAATAGTGAAGCAATAAAAATAGGAGTTCATATAGTTCTTCAACCTATTAACTTCACCTCTTTTGGATATTTACCTGGTAGTAGTATTGCTGGGTCATATGGTAGTTCTATTTTTAATTTTTTGAGGAACATACATACTATTTTTAATAATGGTTTTACTAATATATATTCTTGTCAACACTGTAGAAGGGTACCTTTTTCTCTGCATCTTTGCTAACACCTCTTTTGTCTTTTTGATAGTAGCCATTCTGACTAAAGTGAAGTGATATCTCATTGTGGTACTGATTTACATTTTCTGGATGACTAGTGATGTTGAACATTTTTTTCACACACCTGTTGGCCACTTTTCTTCTTTTGAAGGTTATCTGTTCTGGTCCATTGCCAATTTTTTCATCAGTAGTAAAGTCAGAGCCTTTAGTGTATCCATCACTGGAGTAATGTACATTGTACCTATCAAGTAATTTCTCATCATCCACCCCTCTGCCATCCCTTGACCTTTCCAAGCATCCATTGTCTATCATTCCACGCTCTACCTCCATGTGTAAACATTATTTAGCTCCCATTTATAAGTGAGACATGTGGTGTTTGTCTTTCTGTCTCTGAGTTGTTTCACTTGAGATAACTGTCTCCAGTTCCCTCCATGTTCCTGAAAAATATATTATTTCTTTTTTTTTAAGGCTGAAATGTCTAGATCTTTTTCAGACTCTTCATAAATTTCCTTTCTTTAGTGTCTGCTACTGAAGTCTTTTGTGTTCCTTTGGAAGGCTCACATTTCTTTGCTTTTTCACATTTCTTCTTTCCCTATGCGTATATCTGTGCATCTGGTAGAAGAGTCACCTTTCCGATTTTATGTGGTAGTTTTGGTAAAGTGAAACATTTTCATGTATATGCGTCTTAGGGTGTGGTTTAGTAGGGTGTTTTGGCTTTGATTCTGGGTAGAAGCAGGAGTGTGGTTTATGTGCAGTTTCTTCAGCTGTAATTCGCATCAGCAATGTCTGAGTGTGTCAGTGCTCTGGACTGCAAAAACTTACGGTAATAATGGCCACCATGATAGTTTCAGACTACGCATACTTGGGTGTGATAGTTTGGCTGGCACTAGGGTGGGCTTGCTGGAGTCCAGGACCTCCACTAGGCCAGCTATATTGGTCCAGGAGCATACCGATGCAGTGAATTATCTAGGGTGGAAATACCTTGCAGTGGGACCACCACAAGGCTAACTGGTGGTTCGGGCAAATGCTCACATACATGAGTTGACTGGTTCTGGAGTGGGTTGGCAGGGGAGTGGAGCCACCACTGGGTTGAATGTTGAGCTGTCAGGCACACATGGGTGTGATAGGTAAGCCATCTCTGTGGTGATTTTCTGGGGAGTCAGGACAAGCCCAGGGTCAGCTTTCCCACTCTGTATAACTGCCTGTTCCATTGGAGCAGGGCATAGCATAGTCTCAGACACTGGAGTCACAGCTGTTCTGCTGAACCTAGGCTCCAAGTAGCCAGGTTTTTGTTACTGCAGCCATCTGTGTGAGTGTAGTGGAATGTCAGTAGCACATCACGATGGATAAACAATGACTATTGGCTCCCATAATAGGATGCACTACAGCTATGGGTCTGGTACCATCAAGATAGTGATGTGCTATAGCACCCTGGGTCACAGGGATAGGGGGTGCACATAGGCTCCTCACTCTGGAGCAATGCAGCCATGTTAACTCCAGGAAGCTCCCCAAACTACATTCAGAGGCAGTGAGGACTGTGGGCCTTTCTTGCAGCAAGAACTGTAGATGTGTATGTCGGGAACGGGGACTGCTGGTGGCCTCCAGCTTAACTTTTTCTCACAAAAAGAAGTCTCTCCCATCCCCAAGCTCATCCCAGCAGGGGGAACAGAGTGGCAGAGATAGGTGCTTCACTTACTTTCTAAACTTCCATTCTGGGTTTCTGTGCTTCACAGAGATTTCACCACTTCCTTGTGGTGAAGTATCCAGCATACTCTTCATTCACTCTAGTTGGAATGTAGTTCTCTATTCATTGTTTTGGTCCTTTGTTTTTGGTTGGACAAGTACCAGGCATCTCTAGGAAACTATCTTGCTCTGACCACAAAATTTATGATTAGCCATTTATTACTTTACTTAGTGATAAGTTTTCTATGTTTCCTATTATTTTACATTTTCTTTAACAGGGCTGTTATATCCCTGATACTTAGCATAATGATTGATGCATAGTGAGTGTATACTGTCTTATATATGTCAAGAAAATAAATGAAGAGAAGTTATTTGGGCACATGCCCTAACTTTCAGTCTCTTTGAATTTTTATACTCTTTATAAGTTAGGTCAATATTTCAATTTATATTATTATTAAATGTTTTAGTTCTTTTCTTATTCAAGGCCCATCTAAAATTCTATCTCCTTCATATGTCTTCTTCAACTCCCCTGGCTAAAATTTATATTTTTGTTTTCTGAATATGAAAAGCACTTGGTATAACTCTTCCTATGGCATGTCTTACTGCTTTCACCTTGTTTATATTATATAATCTATGTTCTAAATTATAAGAAGCTGAAAAGATCTGCATGGTATATATCGAATCCATAAGCACATTTCAAACTGTAGATAATGAATTATGCTAATTAAGTACTATCCTATTACAAAATTTCTCCAAGTGTGTTCTGAACATTAGCAACCAAAAATGCCTGGGGATGGAGGAAATTACACTGTCCAATAATTACTAAATTGCTCTTTTGTAACCATATTCTCTTCCTGTAGTTTTAAAATGTTTTCATCTAGAATTTCTTAAAACTGCCCAGCAAACATTCTCCCATTTTCATGCTTTGCCATAATATCAGTAACATGCAATGAAATTTATTCTAAGCCATTGATATTGTTCATTGCCTCATGTCTGAACAAGAATGCATTTTATAGTCCCAAGAAAAACTAGCATATTCAAAAATACTCAAAAAAATAAAAAAAACTTTCTGTTGTGTTGTGCGGGGTACTAAAAGTTGAAAAAATATTTTAGGAACTAAATTAATTCACTTATGGAATGACGTTAAATGCATTAATTTTCCACACTGTGCAAGTCATGTATGTAGAGTGTACAGATGTTTACATAGACCAGGTGGTGTTTCCTTGTCATAGATGCCTGACTGTGCTATTGATTAGGTAGTCAAAAGTCACTGGACATCAGGACACAGAATTCTGCATGGTTTAAAAAATAGCATTACAAATCTAAGTATTGTGTTAGGCAGTCCACTCTTCAGAAGCAAGATATTACAAAGTAGTTACAAAGCAAAGGAGATAATTGGCTATAGTAAGCTTTATTTCCTTTCCTTCTCCCCTTTTACTCTTAACCACACACCATAAAACCCACATACCCTATTCTGTAACTCTCTTCTGATTTCCCACTTATCACTTATTTCCAGGATCTATCCTTTAGATGAATTCTCTTATAAAAAATGGATCTTATAGATCTGGGTTCCTTTTATCTAGAAACATGCTTCAGAAAAATCTATGTTTATATATTAGATATAATATGTATAGATTCAAATACCAAATTTTAATCAAGATTAAATGCACAGTTTGCATAGAATTACAGGCATACCTCTTTTTTTGCATTTTTGTTTATTGTGCTTTGCAGATATTGTGGGGTTTGTTGTTGCTGTTGTTTTACAAACTGAAGGTTTGTGACAATGCTGCATTGGGCAAGTGGCATTTTTCCAATAACATATTGTCACTTCATCTCTCCATGTCACATTTTAATAATTCTCATAACATGTCAAAATTTTCATTATTATTTCTGTTATGGTGATGTATAAACAATGAAATTTGATGTTACTCTTCTAATTGCTTTTGGGTGTCACAAACTGTGCCCATGCAAGATGGTGAACTTAATCAGTAAATGTTGTGTTTGTTCTGACTTCTCTACTAATCAACCATTCCCTTGTCTTTCATTTCATCCTTGAACATCTCTATCCCTGAGACACAATATTGAAAGTGTGAAAATTAATAAATATACAATGGCCTCTAAGTGTTCAAGTGAAAGGAAGAGTCACATGTCTCTCACTTTCAATCAAAAGCTAGAAATTATTAACCTGAGTGAGAAAAGCATGTTGAGAGCCAAGATAGATCTCTTATGCCAAATTAGCCAAGTTGTGAATGCAAAGGAAAAATTATTGAACGAAATCACAAATGCTACTCCAGTGAACACACAAATTATAAGAAAGCAAAACAATCTTTTTTGCTGATACGGAGAAAGTTTTAGTGGTTTGGATATAAGATCAAACCAACCACCATATTCCCTTCAGCCAAAGCCTAATTCAGAGTAAGGCCCTAACTTTATTCAATTCCATGAATACTAAGATAAATGAGGAAGCTGTAGAACAAAAAATCTGAAGCTATCAGAGGTTGGTTCATGAAGCTTAAGAAAAGAAGACATCTTCATAATATAAGTGCAAGGTGCATCAGCATAAAGTGACGTAGAAGCTGCTGCAAGCTATCCAGACGGTCTAGCTAAAATAATTGATGAAGGTGACTATACTAAATGACAGATTTTCAATGCAGAAGAAGTAGCTTTCTACTGAAAGAAAATGTCATGTAGACCTTTCATAGCTACAGAGAAGTCAATGCCTGGCTTAAGTTTCAAAAGACAGACTGACTGTGTTGTCAGGGGTTAATGAAGCTGGCAACTTTAAGTTGAAGCTAATGCTCATTTATTATTCAAAAATCCTAGAGCCCTTACAAATCATTCTAAATCTACACTGCCTGTACTCAAAAATAGTCCAGGACCATATGGATTCACAGCAGAATTCTACCAGACATTCAAAGAAGAATTGGTGCAAATTATTTTGACACTATTCCACAAGATAAAGAAGGAACCCTCCCTAATTCATTCTAAGAAGCCAGCATCACCCTAATACCAAAACCAGGGAAGGGCATAACCAAAAAAGAAAACTACAGACTGATATCCTTGATGAATATAGATGCTAAAATCTGTAACAAAATACTAGCTAATCAAATCCAACAGCATATCAAAAAGATAATCCAGCCTGATCAAGTGGGTTTCATACCAGGGATGCAGGGATGGTTTAACATATGCAAGTCAATAAATGTGATACACCACATAAACAGAATTAAAAACAAATATCACATGATCATCACAATAGATGCAGCAAAAACATTCAACAAGATCCAGCATCCATTTATGATTAAAACACTTAGCAAAATTGGCATACAAGGGACATATCTTAATGTAATAAAAGCCATCTATGAAACACCCACAGCCAACATTATACTGAATGGGGAAAAGTTGAAAGCATTCCCTCTGAGAACTGGAACAAGACAAGGATGTCCACTCTCACCACTCCTCTTCAACATAGTACTGGAAATCCTAGCCAGAGCAATCAGACAAGAGAAAGAAATAAAGGGCATCCAAATCAGTAAAAAGGAAGTCAAACTGTCACTGTTTGCTGATGATATGATTGTTTGCCTTGAAAACCCTAAAGACTCCTCCAGAAAGCTCCTAGAACTGATAAAAAAAAATTCAGCAAAGTTTCCGCATAGATTAATGTACACAAATCAGTAGCTCTTCTACATGCTAACAGCAACCAAGTGAAGAATCAAATCAAGAACTGAACCCCTTTTATAATAGCTGCAAAAAATAAAATAAAATACTTAGGAATACACCAAACCAAGGAATTGAAAGACCTCTGCAAGGAAAACTACAAAACACTGCTGAAAGAAATCTTAGACAACACAAACAAATGGAAACACATCCCATGCTCATGGATGGGTGGAATCAATATTGTGACAATGACCATACTGCCAAAAGCAATCTACAAATTCAATGCAATCCCCATCAAATTCCAACATCATTCATTACAGAATTAGAAAAAAAAAATCTAAAATTCATATGGAAGCAAAAAAGAGCTGGTTTAGCCAAAGCAAGACTAAGCAAAAAGAACAAATCTGGATGCATAACACTACCTGATTTCAAACTACAGTATAAGGCCATAGTCACCAAAACACTTTGGTACTGGTAAAAAAAAAAAAAAAAAAAAAAAAAAAAGATAAGCATGTAGGCCAATGGAACAAAATAGAGGATGCAGAAATAAACCCAAATCCTTATAGCTAACTGATATTTGAAAGCTCAAAATTGATCATGGACTTAAAAGTAAATCTACGAAACACTTAGAAAAACATATCACAGAAAATCTTTGAGATCTTGAGTTAGGTGAAGTTTCAGAATTAAGCCCAAAAACAATATTCATAAAAAATAATTAACAAATTGGACATCATCAAAATTAAACACTTCTGCTATGAAGAAGATACTGAATAAGAAGATGAAAAGACAAATACAAAATGTAAAAAAAAAGTGTTAATATATCATACACTTGACACAGAACTTATATCTAGAGTATATAAAGAATTCCCAAATGCAACTGTTAAAAAGAAAAAAATTCACAAAATAAGAGGAAACTTGAACAGGTATTTCACAGAAGAGGATTTACAGATGGCAAATAGTTACATGAGTAGATATTTGGCAAATGCAAATTAAAATCACAGTGAGATATTATGATACACCTACCAGAATGGCTAAAATTAAAAACAGTGACTATGCCAAATGTGAGGATGCAGAGAAACTGAACCACTCATATAATGCTAGCATGAATGTAAAATGGTATACCAACACTGGAGAAGAATATCAGTCTTTTATAAAACTAAAATTGCACTTGCCATGCAATTCTGAAATTGTACTATTGAGTACTCATTATCCCAGAGAAATGAAAGCTTATATTCACACAAAAACCTGTACATGAATCTTCAAAGTAGCTTTACTTATAATAGCCCAAACTTTAAAGAACACAAATGGTCTACAACAGGTGAATGATTCAACAAACTGTAGCATATCCATATCATGGAATACTACTCAGCATTAAAAAGGAACAAACTACTGATATACACAACAACTTGCATAAATCTCAAGGTAATTATGTATAAAACAGAACATTAAGAGCAAAGGAAAAAGCGAATCTCAAAAGTTACAGATTATGTAATTCCATTCATATAACATTCTTGGAATGAAAAAATTAAAGATATATAGAACTGAGTAGTGGTCAGTAGGTGTTATGGTGGGGCAGGTTAGGTGGGAAATAGCTGTTCCTCTAAAAGGATAGCTGAAGGGATTCTTGTGATGGAATTTCCCTGTATCTTGACTATAGCATTGTGATAAAGTGCACAGAATAAAATACACTTGCACACTCACAATAAATGCCTGCAAAATTGGTGAAATCTGAATCAGTTCAGTAGATTGTAATTGTTATGTTAATTTTCTTGTTGTAATATTGTGCCATAGTTATGAAAAATGCTTCTCTTGGGGGATAGTGGGTGAACAATATATGGGGTTCATATGGTTTGGCTTTGTGTCCCCACCCAAATCTCATCTTGAATTGTAATATCCACATGTTGAAAGAGGGACCTGGTGGAAGTGATTGGATTATGGGGGCAGTTTCTGCCTGCTGCTCTCATGATAGTGAGGGAGTTCTCATGAGATATGATGGTTTTAAAACTGGTAGGTTCTCCTGTGTGTCCTCTCTCCTGCTGCCCTGTAAGAAAGCGTTTTCTTCTCTTTCGCCTTCTGCCATGATAGTAAGTCTCCTGAGGCCTTCCCAGCCATGTGAAACTGTGAGTAAATTAAACCTCCTTGTTAATAAATTACCCATTCTCAGATAATATCTTTATACAGTGTGATAACAGACTAATACAGAGAGTTGGTACTAGTAGAGCGAGTTACTCCTATAAAGATAACCTGAAAATGAGGAAGCGACTTTGGAAGTGGGTAAAAGGCAGAGGCTGGAAGAGTTTGGAGGGTTCAGAAGACACGTAGATGTAGAAAAGTTTGGAACTTCCTTGAGACTTGTTGAATAGTTTTGACCAAAATGCTGATAGTACTATGGACAATGAAGTACAGGTTGAGGTGGTCTCAGATGGAGATGAGGAACTGACTGGGAACTGGAGCAAAGGTTACTCTTGCTATGCTTAGCAAAGACTCTGGTGGTATTTTGCTTCTGCTCTAGAGATTTATGGAACTTTGAGCTTGAGAGAGATGATTTAGGGTAACTGCCAGAAGAAATTTCTAAGAAGCAAAGCATTCAAGAGGTGACCTGGCTTATTTTGAAAGTGTACATTTAATATGAATTCATAAAGAGATGGTTTGAAATTGGAATTTACGTTTAAAAGGAAAGTAAAGCATAAAGGTTTGAAAAATTTGCAGCCTGACCATGTGGTAGAAAAGGAAAACACATATTCTGGGGAGGGATTCAAGTCAACTGCAGAAATGTGCATAAGTAATGAGGAGCTGAATGTTAATAGCCAAGACAATGGGGAAAATGTCTCCAGGGCATGTCAGAGAACTTCACAGCAGCTCCTCCCATTCCAGGCCTAGGAGGAAAAAATGGCTTCCTGGGCTGCACTCAGGGCCCCATTGGTCTGTGCAGCTTCAGGTCTTGGTAGCCCACATACCAGCTGTTAAAGCTCCAGCCATGCCTAAAAGGGGTCAAGGCACAGCTTGGGCCATTGCTTCAAATGGTCCAAGCCCTAATCCTTGGTGGCTTCCACGTGGTATTGGGCCTGCAGGTATGTGGAAGACAAGAGTTTGAACTTTGGGAGTCTCCACCTAGATTTCAGAGGATGTATAGAAACACCTGGATGTCCAGGCAGAAGAGCTCTCATGAAGAACCTCTACTAGGGCAATGTAGAGGGGAAATGTGAGTTGGAGCTCTCACACAGAGTCCTCACTGGGGCACTGCTTAGTGGAGCTGTGAGAAGAGGGCCACCATCCTGACCCCAGAAAGGTAGATCTAACGACAGTCTGCACCATGTGCCTGGAAAAGCCACAGGCATTCAATGCCAGCCATGAAAGCAGCCGCAGGGGCTGTACCCTGCAGAGCCACAGGGGTAGAGCTGCCCAAGACCTGGGAGCCCACCCATTGCATCAATATGCCCTGGATGTGAGGCATACAGTCAAAGGAGATGATTTAGGAGCTTTAAGATTTAATGACTGCCCCAACAGGGTTTAGACTTGCATGGAGCCTGTGGCCCCTTTGTTTTGATAAATTTCTCATACTTGGAATGGGAACATTTACCCAATGCTTGTACCTGCATTGTATCTTGGAAGTAACTTTTGATTTTGATTTTTTTTTTTTTTTTTGCTTTTGCTTTTGCTTTTGCTTTTGATTTTACAGGCTGATATGTGGAAGGGACTTGCCATGTCTCAGATGAGACTCTGGACTTGGATTTTTGGGTTAATGCTGGAATAAGTTAAGACTTTGGGGAACTGTTAGGAAGGCATTATTGGTTTTGAAATGTGAAAAGTACATGAGATTTGGGAGGGTCTGGGGTGGAATAATATTATTTGGCTCTGTATCCCCAACCAAATGTCATTTTGAATTGTAATCCCCATGTGCTGAGGGAGGTACCTGGTGGGAGGTGATTGGATCATGGGGGCAGTTTCCTCCAAGCTGTTCTCATGATAGTGGGGGAGTTCTCAGGAGATCTGATAGTTTTAAAAGTGGCAATTTCCCCTGTATACTCTCTCTATCTCCTGCCACCATGTAAGAATTTGCTTGCTTCTCCTTTGCCTTATGCAAACCTTATATTCTATGTTTCCTGAGCCCCATCCCCTCACATCCATGCAGAACTGTGAGTCAATTAACCTCTTTTGTTTATAAATTACCCAGTCTCATTAGTATCTTCTGAGGAGTGTGAGAACAGACTAATACAAGGATCTCTCTGTATTATTTATTGCAATTCAATGTGAATTATTTCAAAATAAAAAGGTTTTAACCTTAAATATTAGATCAAAATTATTCATAAATTTACAGCAAAATTACTCTTACTAACCCAAAACTGGAAACAGCCCAATTGTTCATCAACTGATGAATGTATACACAAAATGTGATATATTCGGCAATAAAAATGAAGTACAGATACATGCTATAACATGAGTAAACCTTGAAAACATCATACTAAGTGAAAGACAACAGTCACAAAATATCATACATTATATGATTCTATTTATATAGAACAATCAGAATAGGCAACAATAAAGGCAACAATAAAGAAAGTAGATTAGTAATTGTCCAGTGCTCCTGCTGTTGGTGGTGGAGATGGGGAGTTACTGCTAGTGAGTGTATGTTTTCTGCTAGGAGTGAAGAAAAACTTTTAAAATTAGTAGAGAGTGTTTCAGAACACTGAATATAATAAATACCCTTTGACTTACACTATAAATGGGCTAATGTCAACATATGTAAATTATATCTCAGCAAAGGTGTCAGAAATACATAATGGATTATTAGTAAAAATAGAGAATATACCATGCAAATATTAATCAAATCAAATAAAGAATGGTTAAACTAATGCTATACAAAACAGACCACTCAATGAAGAATACTACCAGAGGTAGAATATTACATAATTATAGAAAATAAATTCATCAATAAATTTTAACTATCTAACCATATTCATGTATATTAACATGAAGCAGAAACTGATACTACTGAAGGAATAGACAAGTCTACAACTACAGTTAGAGATTTTAACAATCAACAACCAGAACATTAACAGCACATAGAAAAACTTTTATAGAGTATTACACTATTGAGTTAGAATTGCCTAAGCTTCCATTTTAAGAAGAGAGAAAAAAGAAAACAATCTATGCAGGAGTAAAGGAATGATAATGACAAGAGCTCAAAGCAATGAAATTGAAAGGAGAAAAAGAGAAAAAAATTCTAAATCCTTGTTCTTTGAAAAAATCAATAAAATCAATAAATGCTTTCCTAGACTGATCAAATAAAGAAAGATAGGGAGGAATACAAACTTTGTCAGGAATGAAAATGGATTATCATTAGATGATGTAGATATTTCAGTAATAAGGCAGTATTATAAACAAGTTTATGTACATTCAAGAACATAGATGAATCTCAAAAGGATTATAAGTGAAAGATCCATATACTGTATACTGTATGGATGCATACTATATGATTTAATGACATTCTGAACAAAGACAAGACTATACAAATGGAAATCAGAACAGTAGTTGCTGAGGGCTGGAGGTAATGAGAAGGAAGTAACTACAAAGGGCCATGAAGCAACTTTTTGGCATGAGGTAAATATTTAATATCTTTATTGCAGCTATATGATTGTATATGTTTGTCAAAATACATAATGTTTTATGCATAAGAATGAAATTTACTGTAAATAAAATATACATCAATACATCTAAGAAAAAAATAATTTTAAGATGTTTTTGGCTTGCCAGTCAATAACATTAACAAAATGTTACTGTGCTTAGAGGCATAAAATTGGAGAAAAAGAAATTTATTCACTGAAATAAAAGGATCAGAGGTATTTGAAGTTTTCTGGAAAAGATCATCTTCCCTATGGTTAGAGGAAATAAACCTCAACTATTATTAGTACATATAGAAATGTACATGCAAACTATAAATATTCTAAATTGCTTTTCCTTGCACAGTAAGGAAATGCATTCATTATTTGCCCATAATTGCATTCTCAATACATTCCATTCCCATAAATAAACTATTGCTTATAACAAATTTTCTTTAGGCCTCTTGAACTGATACAATACCCACGAGACTGGTTTAGAAAGCCAATGTTTTAAAAGAAAAACTAATTATAAATGAGCTAGCTACTTACTTTATCTACTTGAGATTAATAATTTTATTTATTGTTTTCATTGGACTAACTAAATAAAATTAATATCTATGTTGGATCTAGTCTTCACATTTTCTCATTCACAATTTTGAGGGTTATTGCAATTAAAGAACATGGTAAATGTTGAACATGAAATAAATGATCAGTGCGTCTATTCAAGGTGATCCCTGGAAAGTGTAATGCCTAACTTTTCCATCATTTTTCTTATTCTAAGCACAATATATGAATACTTATGAATTTAAAATTGGATTTTAAATATCTTTACCTTCATCACTAAATAAAACTTTTATTCCTATATTCCTAGGAATAGAAATGTAACAGCTTCAGGTTTACTCAACAGTAGACATGTGTGTCTTCAATTACCTATTCAAGAGCACCACTGATCTGTTTCTCCAAATACCACATATAATTACCTTATTTTATAAGGAGAATGTGTAAAATTTTAAAGATAATTACAGAGCAACATGTGCAGAAAGGATGTGGCTGCTAAATCTAGAAAAGGTGCAATTCAATCCCACTGTACTGCCCATTCCCTCTTTCTCCCTCTGAAAATCAAAGAAACAAAGAAAAACATATAAAGCAAAACCTTTTGTAAAACTGTTTATTTAAACAAATATTACTCTTCTTCTGTAGTTTATCTCTATTTCACATTAGGTCTGCATATTTCTGGGTAAATAAGTGAATAGTTAACCTGCAAAATTTATTAATCCTGATTTATGGAGGATGTTAGAACTTTCAAAAATTCCCTCGTTTTCTCACTTCTTTACATAAAGTCTTTACCAAAAATATTTAAGGAGACATTTTAGCATGTGAACTATGCATATATTTTGCAGGTTGATATTAGTAATAATAAGACACAGTATTTACAGAGAGCTATTTGCTATGGACTGCATACAGTTTCAGGTGCATTTTTTATTTAATTCCAGAAAGGAATACCCATGCACTATGCAATGAAGTAGAAATTTTTCATGGTATGTGGCTGTGAAACAGATGTATATTGCAAATATTGCTATTTTATTGATAAGAAAACCAACATGATTTGTATTCCAGTTATTCTAAGAGAAGGGAGCATTACAATTTGTAGTGACATAATCAGGTATATATTAACATTTATTTTATTTATCTGATAATCTGGCAGTTTAAGTACTAATCTTATGTTCATATAAGCCTGAAAGTAGTTGAAAAAGCTTGAAATCACTAATAATATCTGTGGTCTTCAATTTCATTACTTTAATTTATTTCCAATATATTTTTAAAAATGTATATATTATGCATTTGTTTTCTATTTATGTCATTCTCAAGACTGATACCTCTCAAAAGAATGTCTGATAGGAGAGATGTTATTTTCTACATTATTTATCTTTTTATTTTCCTGTATTCATTTCATTGATTTTTCTAACAATCTACAAGCAAAATCTGGTCTATTTTACAAGCAAGATACCTCAAATCCCAGTATGTTGTACTACATTGACAATTTTATGATGTAGTTACAATTTTATTTGAAAAAATGACAAATGTATTGGTATTCTTTTAGAGATATGACTATAATTAGCTTTTTTGCTGTTTTTAATTTTCACTATGCATCAATATCTATCAAACCCCAAACTCCAAGATCTCAAATTAAATTTGTTTTAGGACATTAGGCAAGGATCAGACAATGGATTTATTATGCAAAGGCAAAACAAAAAAAAACAAAACAGAAACTGAATTTCATATTTTCTTAATTCTCCAGTCAAATCTGTAAGCACATTCAGGAATAATTTTGAAGATAATATAATAAAGGGGTTATTTATATGGAGTTGTGGAAAAGGAATCAAAATGGAATGGGGTGGCACCAAGGGTCATGTATTTCCATTTGGAAAATAATGGAAACACCCGTGCAGAATGACAGCTGGTGGCTGGGACTGTCATAGGGAAAACATCAGTTCCACTCAATGGCTCAAACCAAAAGGAAGCCAGAGGGCAACAGGGTCTGCAGACAATTAGGCAGAAAATAGACTGGGGCAAAAGGGCAGGAACAGAGAATGAGTTACACAGGTGTCAGTCAACATACGTATTACTTATTTAAAGATATCAAAGATGAAAGACTGTCTAGTAACAGTAGAAAAAAACTGTAGTTGGAATATAAAACATATATGTAATAGAACATTTACAGTTAGACACAGTCATAAAGATAACATAAAAATCATCACAAAAAAATAAATCGTGCTTATATTGAGGTATTTTTTTCTTAAGCTAAGAAACCATTCATTGAATAATTGTCAAATGTTTTCTATATGCCAAGTACTCTTTCTGAAAGCATATTAATGAATAAAACAGATACAGAGTCAGCTTTTTCATGCTAGTGAGGAGACATCACAGAATAGAATTTAGCAAGATTACAGCAAAAATGGAAATTATTGTATAATGAAGTAGAAGAGAGTAAAGGGACTGAGGAATCAAGGGGTACATGGCCTAGCAAATTCTCCCATCTTCTTTTATACTCTCAGTGAGGGGAAAATATTGTGACAAGTTGAGTGTGTGCTTTCTGGCAGCTCCAGGAAGTGTCCAGCAAAAGTACCTGTATAGTTTCACTGTCATGAAAGGAAAGGAAAGGAATTCCTTACTGGGAGCCCTTACAGGAAAAACAACTTAGGGAAGAAAGACCATAATATAAAATCCCTCCCTCCCAACATGCATTTGCCTCTGGATTTCCCATACAAACAGGTCTCCAAACTTATAGTATTTGTAACGGTTATAGTCAGAAAATGAATGCTTTTTCTTTGGGGATGTTTCATTTTACTTCATGCCATTTTATCTTTTTATCCAATTTTAAGGCTAATAACTATTAACATGACAAATGGGGAATGAGTCTCTGTACCATATTTCAGCCCAGATATAATTTTTGTCCCTTGAGGGTTCTCTAAATGTATTTTTAAAAATAAAATGTATTTTAAAGCTGATTTTTATGGTATAGTGTTCTATGAAATCCTTTGAATTACACGTTTACTGAATAAATATTGTAGTACAAAATCCATGGTATATAACTCTATAAATTTATTTGAATGAGTAATGTTCACTGAACAGCTACCATAGTAAAAAAAAATTAACCATGTTGTATTTGCATTTTTTCCTACCAGTTTGAATTAAAGATAAAATATGTTTATACATTTAAACATAAGTATTTATATCTATGGTTAGAATCTTATACATATTTGTATTTTTAATTTTAAATGCTATATAACCTACTTTCAGATAAACAATGTTGAACAGGAAGACCCTTAATTAAATGGGTTGCTTACTTCACTTTTATAAGAAATTTAAATTGTGGTATACAATTAGCTTATGAAGATATATTCACAACAGACACAATTTACATACACCCTTGCATACATATGCACAAATAATCAGGCATTTATTTATATAAAACATTAATTATGGGATTGTCCCCTCCAGGATACTAATCACACTAACTATAGTTCTCATGGCCTCCACACACATTTATTTGTGTTTTGTCTTTTAGAAAGAGAAGAAAAAAATAAAAGCACATAAGTGGCACATACGGATTGTGAGAGTAAGGAGTAGTAAAAACTTAAAGAAAGAAGGAAGAACAAAAATTGTATCAGGACTATTTAAATGAAAAACAGGACAGTACAGAATTGGCCAGATAGTTGGCAACAAAAATTTTAATAAAAGAAAAACACATATGCCCGTACTCCAAAATGAAAACCATCAAATACAATATTATAGTACCTTCCTTTTAATTTATTCAAGAATTATTTTTTCACTCAACACTCTCTTACAAAAGTTAATTGAGCACTTTATATATGTTGGGTACCCTTCTAGGAGTCAAAACAACAGACAAAGATATCATCCTCAAAGAACCTGCATTCTTGTTGGAGAGGGAAAAAATAAACATGAAGTAGTAAGTACACAGCATGCCAGGTAGTGATAAGCTCTACAAATGAAACTAAGTGGTGTGGGTGGTACAGAGAGATATATGGTTAGAGGTCTGAGAAAGACCTGTCTGATAATGGTCCTATTAGCAGAGTTATGAAGGAAGTGAAGACGTAAGCCATGTAGTTATATGAGATATATCATATATATGCATGGAATCTTGAGCAGGACTCTGTAACTCGAGTGGAGTGTCCAAGAAAGACAGTGGTTAGGAATGCTGTTGGAAAGATAGCAATGGGCCAGGTATAATATGACCTTGCAGGGTTATTGCACAGTCTTGTGATTATAGTCTTCCATAAGGAGAAAGCCATTGGAACATTTTAGTAGAGGAATATCATGTCTGATTTGCATCTGATAAAAACTGAGCTGATGTGTTGAACAGAGTAGGGTTAGGGCAGGGACAGGTGGAAGTTACTTGAATAACCAAGTGATAGTTGCTGATATGTTCTGGGAATAGAATTGATGGCAATGGAGGTCAATAGAGAGGTTGCTTTCTGACTTAATTTTGCTGAGAGCCAACGGAGTTTGTGAGAAAGGAAAGAGTCAAAAATGACTCTAAATTCTTGGTCTAAGCAATTGGAGAGATGGAGAATCCTTGATTAGGTGGAGAGCACCATCAGATGTTGAAATCTGGGAGAAACAGTGAAAGCTCAGTGTTGGAGATGTTAAGTTTACAGTGCTTAGAAGTCCAAGTATTGATATCAAATACACAGGTGGCTAAAGGAGTCACCAGTATATACATATGGTGTTTACAGTAACATTTCTAGATATGCACTAAGACAGTGAGCATAAATAGAAGACCAATAACTTGCTCCGCTTCTGGATTCCCCCCACACACCAAGGTTTACTCCAGAGGCACTATAAAGACAAAAGGTGGGGCCAGAAGCGGTGGCTCACACCTGTAATCCCAGCACTTTGGGAAGCTGAGTTGGGCAGCTTGCCTGAGGTCAGGATTTCGAGACCAGTCTGGTCAACATAGTGAAACCCGGTCTCTACTAAAAATACAAAAAAATTGGCCACACGTGGTGGTGTGCACCTGTAATCCCAGGTACTTGGGAGGCTGAGGCAGGGGAATTAATTGAACCAGGGAAGCAGAGGTTGCGGTGAGCCGAGATCGCGACACTGCACGCCAGCCTGGGTAAGAGAGTGAGACTCCGTCTTAAAAAAAAAAAAGGGGGGGGTGGGGGGGAAGGGAAGTTTTGAGAAATTTTCTCCAACAATGGAATGTGTGGGTCCTACCTTGTACCCCTCTGTACATTAGGGGTGGGGAAGTCAGGCTTTGGTGTGGAAGAATAAAAATAGGAAGAGAAATGTTAGAATTCCACTCTCACTTCTCATCCACCCTCGCCTTGGGATGTCATTGTGCTGCCCTCACATTGGGGGAAAATTCCTCAATTTCTCCCTACCTTGTCCTTGCTAAGTGATACAGGACTGTCACTTAGATCTGAAACTTTTAGAAAATCAGTTAAAGACCACTTGGAGGAGCCTTGGGAGGTTTTTGCTCACCATCAGTTCCAATCTAAAGGGATTTGGAATAGCCTAATTTTGAAGTATATCATTTTTATTATCAACTGGTATGAGTTATGTTTACACTAAGGATATTAAACTTTTTTATTTTTCCCCACTTTATTGTCTTCCTTTTTAAACTTTTTTCATGAAAAAAATTGTTATGTCTGTATTGTTTCATTGTGATTTTCCAAATTGCATTTATGCTTAGAAAGCCTTTTTCTATTCAGAAATTAAATGAATCTTCATTGTGTACCTCCTACGATATACTTTTGCTTCTGTTTTATACATTAAAATTTTTAATCAGTCTGAGATATATTTTGCTTCAAAGTAGGAGATGAGATATTGATTGATTTTTTCCTATGCAGCTGTCAGTTTTCTCAGTACCATTTGAAATACTCTATTCTCCATTTGCTTATGGAAATTCCTACCTCATCTAAACTATGTTCTAAAACATACTAGAATTAATGCTTTGTTGTACTGATTTCCTCAATTTTAATATGTATCTACAACATTTTTAAATGATCATATCTCTTTGTATTTCTACATTCATGTCATGAAACACTAGCTTCATTTTGTATGTTTTTGTAAATTTTTATGTCCACCTGCATTTGTTTTCAAACTTGTTGAGTTGCTGAAAAAGAACTTTGAGCTTGTCACTGGGGTTATATTGCACTCGTTTTGAAAGAATTAACAGCAGCGATCATGGTTAGAAACAGTAAAAAAACTAGTATAGTAGAATCACAAATTAATTAGAATAGACTCACCAATGAGAACAGATACCAGATAGACAGCAAAAGTATAAGATTAATACTATGTCTTTGCAGTTATCTCTGTCTTCTTTAATATCTCTCAGTGAAGTTAAATAGTTTTCTTTACAGTACCTGCACATTTTCTTTTAGGAAAACTCTTTATTTGACATTTTGCAGAGGTATATTTTAGCATTATAATATAATCTAACGTTATAATTTTTCTAATGTATTTTGTGTATTTATCTTATGCTCAGTTTCTTGATGTCTCTTCTCAATTTTAAGTATTATTTACATAATTCTTCTGGATTCCCTAGATTTATGTGTCTTTTCCTTTCAAAATTAAAACTCTTCCAATTTCAAATTTTATTTATTTAAATCAGAACTTCTAGTGTTAAATACCAAGTGTACTTTCGAACAGAAATATAGGAATATGAGGGGAGCCGGGAACTTTGGTTGCATATAAAAGAAGGAAATGGAAATAATACAACTGAAGGAAAATATAATAGATCACCCAGCCAGATAAACCTTAAATGTGCTGCTTTTAACCTGGCCTCTAACTGCATGGAAGGAAGCCAACCTCCACGTTGTTCTTCAATCCAGCAATCTGCATTTCCACCTAGTTCCAAGTTATCATCAATTATTATTTACTCCTACTTCCTAAATATTCTTCTTCTGAACAATCAGGACTTAGACCAGATCCTCAACATATATAAACAAAATTATTATAATAGCATCCTAACTAGTTTCGTGTCTCTAAAAAATATTCTATGCACCTTATGTGTTGCAAATATAGTATTCTTTCTAAAACTTGTTAAGTTGTCACACGAATCTTAAAATCAGTGGTACTCAAACACATACATAATAGGTCACCCTTAAATACAAACATGCAGGGTCTGCAAGATCTAACTTATATTTATGTCTTAATCATCACTTCTCAATTCTTCTCCCTCCTTGCCTTGTTCTTGCTACGAAATCTTGCACTTTTATGAAGACATGTACTGTATCATAACTAAGCCTTTACACAGGTTTTATTCTTTTTGTAGAATGTCTTCTGTTATCTCCTCTTATGTATTTTATTATGCCAGATTTTTAGAGACTTAAGTCAGCATCATTTTAACAGGAAAATGTTTCCAGAAGTTGTCCAAGCTGTGTTAACCACCCAACTTCAGAGCTCAGTATCCTCAGTATCCTGTGATCAAAACATTTTTTACAATATGTAAGAAAATTTAGAGTAGAAAATTATATTCCCCCTTCCCTATTTCATCCACACTGTTTTAAAGCCTTTGACTGACTGAATTATTCTTGAAAAATGTTTTGCTAAATATGTTTCTTTGTAACTTAGATTTCAAATTGTGAGCTAAAGCAAGAATAAGAATATAGTGAAAGTCTGAACCCATAAAAACAAAATATATGATCAAGTACAACCATGTTTAGTTAGTAATTTTGTATCTAATAATTTAGAAGAAGCAACTTCTTCCTAAAAGGAAATCATTGTTCTAGGCTTAATTTTGGAAAAAAAAATGAAGAACTCTTTGAGAATAAAGCTGTGATATAAAATTAGACAAATATGATTTTATAAGCACATACATGAGAAATCTCAAGAAAGAAACCCATTCCATCACATATCCTAGGATTTTAAAAAGCAGAAATTTAAAAGTTAAAAGATAAGTAGAATCCTATAATTATATGAATTCACTCAGCCCTACCTTAAATTCTTTTCATATAGGTCAATGGTTTTATAAATCAATAAAATTTGTCCAGTGTTATAGACCAGACACTAAAACATACGAAGATAACAAGAGTGTTTCCATCACTAAATTCTTCTTGAAAAGATGAAGAAATGAGGATAATTAATATCTGAGATTGATATTTCAAAGTATTATGATACTCTGACTTTGGAGGATAGTTGGAAGTTTTACAAGCACAAGACAGAACAGAACATCCTATTAAGAGTAAGAAATATGAAATAGCAAATTTTGTTTTCCTTCACTTTTTCAATTTCAATTTTTAATAGGAATTTACTTCCTCTAAAGGAATGTTACTGTCTTCAGTGTCTAGAACAGTCCATAATAGGTAGTAGTCATTCAATAAATTCTGTTGAATGAATAGATAAAGATTGTTAAACATTTTTTTCTGATTTTGACCCTAACACTATGCCCAGCCTAGACTGATTCACAGCCCAACTCTTGAGAGACACAGAGCAGATATAATCATACAATATTCTATAAAGTATCTTTTCACTACAAATAAGTAAAATGCCAAAAATTTAGTCATTTCCTTAAAATTTAGTGGATTCTTATATGCCTTATTGAATAACAAAGAAAATGCTGTAATTAGTACTAGTTTTTTGGAACTGGAATATAACTGTGAATATATCAACATAAATGTGGCCCACATGTTACCAAAGTTTAAAAACCACTAATTTACACCATCTCATCCTTTTTTAACCTATTTCATTTTCTCCAGTTTCTCCCCAAATATCCTTTGCATTTTATTGTTCTGTAATTTTGTTTATGCTGTTATTTCTTTTGTCTGAAAAGATAAAGTATAGAAAATCTTGTCTGGAGAGTGTGAAACTAGTTAGGATGCTGTTGTAATAATTTTGATTATATATTTTGAGGACTTGCCCAACTGACTTGACAAACTACTACTTATCCTTAAATATTCAGCTCAAATGTCACTTTTTCACTTTTCTGTGAAATGTGTGTTTCATCTTGATCCCACAACACTTTATATTGCCTCTATTTTATGTGCAACGATCTAAAAATCCCATAAATATTTGTCTACATGTATTACTATTATTCCTTAAGGGTAGAGAAAAAAAGTCCAGTATCCATACACTCTTTAAATCTTGGTTAAATGAAGGGGCTAAACAAAACAAAACAAACAACAACAAAAAAACTGCTTATGATACCAAGAACAATCGCCTTGCAATGCTTTTTTGAATGCCCTACTAGTTTTCTAAAGGCATACCTGCATATATTGGTTACTCAATCATTCCTGACACCACCCTTTCCATAATTGTACCATTTTAAAGAATTTTATTCGTTTCAACCAAAACGTCTCACGTTATTGTCTTTTTGTCCTAACACAAACTTTGGGGTTATTTGGAATACATCTAACTCTTCTTCTAAATATATGCCTTTAAATATGTAAAAGCAGCTGGTCTATATGCCACTAAATTCTAATTTTACTCTAGTCTATGGTTTCTAAATTAAAATCATTGATCCCGTTCCTCTAATTCAAACAAAAAAAATAAAGCCAAAGCAAGTAATAAACAAAGCAATTATAAATCTACCAATCTTAAAAATTCATATGCTATACCATGAAGACTTCTTCTAGCACCTGAACTGAACACTGGGAACTGGAGTGTGGTTCAGACAGCACACACCTCTGCTAATATGAAAAATTGTAACTATTTCCATGTTTCTTCTCAGGCTAAAATTCAACTTACACTTGTGCCTCACCAGCACGAAACTCGGCACATCATTTTACTTTCAGTTGTTGTTGTTGTTTTTAATATTAGACGGAAGAGTACAAATTCTAAATACTAAGTTTTTTTCCTGTAAGCCCTAGCAATAATTCTTTTCATAAGACAAGTTGTATATATTTTTTTCACAGAATTTTCTTTTAGACCAAAATATCTGGGAAATTTGTAAACGACCCTTTTTACTTTTGCCTGCCTTTAAATGACTGAATCGATTTACTTTTAAATGTTTTACAAACAAACAAACCTTTTATTGAAGTAATTCCAGAAAAAGAAACTCTGGATCCTCAGCTCATGTGGTCTATCGGGAAGTACCCTCAGCCTGGCAAGCGCTTCCACTATTCTCATTGCCCAGTCAGCGGCCTCCTTCAGACCTCTGCTGGGATACGACTGTCTCAGTCAGGCTGACGCCAACCACACGAGGTGCGACCCCAGGTGTGTGAGGGAAAGGCCCCTACCCCACAGGGAACAACAGCCACGGGGAAAGGAAAAGCCCTAAAACCCTCTTGCGGAGTTTTAAAAAAGAAAGAAACAAACAACAACAACAAAACAAAACAAAAAAAGCCTTATTTGAACAAACAACAATAACAAAACAAAATAAAAAAACGCCTTATTTGTGCCCTGAGTCTTTCTCCACAAGAGCAGCCACCCAGGTGTCTCCCTCTGAGAGTTCTGAAGTCCGCGGGCCTGAGAGGAACGCAAAACTCCCTCATTCCGAGTCAGTCACAAGAGGCCCCGCCCCCAGCGCTGCTGGATGCAGCGTCGATTGGCTGCCCCTACTGTCAAGGCCTCTCCTGGACGATTCTTCTCCACCAACAACCTATATCAGACATGAGATTGGCTTATGCACTGCTGAAGTCCTGCCCCCGGCTTGAGGAGGCCGGCGTCAAAGAGCTCTCCACAGCCTCTGCTGTTTTTATTGATACAAGGACAAGATTCATAAGGGAGTCAGGGACTTGGAGGGGCGAGGGTCTGAGCGGCCCTGGAAATTTCTGAATCCCAGGGCTGGAAGGACATGGAGACTTCTCCAGTTCTCACACTTTACAGACGATGTAACCTTCTCTCACAAAAGGTCTAGGGGCAGATCTGGTCTCCAAAAGAGGGACATGATGCTAAGCAGGTCCTGGGAGAGCAGGCTGTGCCAGGAAGAGTTTATTCTGCGTCTCTGTTCTATCTAGCTTTTGAGCTCAGAGATGAGGCGACTATCTAAGTTGGCCAAGGCCAGGGTATACACCATCAGGTTGATGGAGTTCTGCAGAAAGTGCAGAGCAAAAGCCTGGCCTCCACGGAAGAAGAGGAAGTTCTGAGTGGTCTGAGGGAGGCTGGACATGCACTCAGGGAGCTGAGCCCCGATGGATGCCTGTCTCCTTTATCCCATCCTGTTGTTTCCCCATTAACACTTACCACTTTCTAATAGTTACCGTAAATATATTTAATTACCATTTCTTCACTTATATTTCTTGTCTATCTCTTACTTAAAATGTAAGCCTCGTGAGGAAGGGATTTTCTGTTTTGTTCACTGATGCAACCTCAAAATATAGAACGGTTCTGGCACAGAGAATGTGACTAATAAACATTTTGGAATAAACTAATTCTAATATTTCATTTGTTTTTATGGAAGTCCAAAACAAAAGTGCTATTTGGTTTCAGTTATCCAAAGTCAACCACATAGACAGTATATTATTTGTTAAATCTTGTCAAAAATTAACTGAACAATCAGGATTTCTTCCTCTATTTTTGAATTTACCAGAATAAAAAGCCAAAAATGTTGAACAATTAAATCCCAGTTTTATGTTCACCAAATTGTCTTAATTGGAAACTTTTTACAAAAAGAAAGATGCAAGTATCTTGTGATAATCAAAATAAGTATCCTAGAATTTTTAAATTATTTGTAGTCATTTCAGGAATTATGACATTTTTCTTGAGAATTTGTGAATGCTTAAATGTATGGCTCCAGACAGTTGCAGAATAATGGAACAAATTATTACTAATTACATTGCTTAGTGGTGTGCATTTGATTCTATAAATAATCAGGATAGGTCTGGGTGTGTGTCACAGTGGCAAGCATAATCAAATATTAAAGAATCCGTAACTAACACAATATTGTTTCAGAATACTACTGTAACTTCTTTGAAATTAGGTCTGTATCTTATAAAGTTTTATCTTGTTTTATATGTATGCTTACCTAGCGTACCAAAGAGGAAAGACAGACTTCCTAAGGAAATAAAGCAACTCTGAAATAATAGCCAATGTGGGACCATGTACTGTTAGATAGTTTGATGTAACTTCAATTCTTTTTTTTTTTTTTTTTTTTTGAGACCGAGACCGAGTCTCGCTCTGTCGCCCAGGCTGGAGTGCAGTGGCGCGATCTCGGCTCACTGCAAGCTCCGCCTCCTAGGTTCACGCCATTCTCCTGCCTCAGCTTTCGGAGTAGCTGGGATTACAGGCGCCCACTAACACGCCCAGCTAATTTGTTTGTATTTTTAGTAGAGACGGGGTTTCACCGTGTTATCCAGGCTGGTCTCCATCTCCTGACCATGTGATCCGCCCGCCTCGGCCTCCCAAAGTGCTGGGATTACAGGCGTGAGCCACCGCGCCCAGCCAAACTTCAATTCTTACTCGGAAAAATCAGTGGCAATAAAGTGAATACAAACAGCTTTTCTATGGATACTTTTTTAACAATCCACAGAATTCATGCTTTTGTCAGTTATATTAAAGTCTTTATAAAGCAGTATTTTATGACATGAAGCAACATTTTTCTGAAAGAATACTCTAGATTAAAAAAGAAAGATTACATTTGAATAATTACATACTTCTTAAACTTTTATATAATATTTTATTAAACATGATTGCATTTACTCTGCATAATGATTTTGCGTGTCAGGTAGGCTCATTGGACCTACATTATCCTTGTGATACAGTATTAAGATGACAGCAGAAAAATAAGAACCATGGTAGATTTGTCAGTGTTCTTTTCCCTTGTCCTGTGTCTACCTTCATTTTTCACTTTCTGTCAGTAAACTAAATTTATGTGAATAAGCAAACTCAGTTACATTAATGATCTGAAAACCCTACAAGTCTGAATATTTTCTCTATCCAAACTTTTGAATTCTACTCTTAGAACCAGTGAGTATACAGCATTTTGTGTTTTATAAGTCTCTTATAGAAGTCAAATGACTTCAGGCCGGCCTATAATCCCAGCACTTTGGGAGGCCGAGGCAAGCAGATCACTTGAGGTCAAGAGTTCAAGACCAGCGTGGTCAACATAGTGAAACCCCATCTCTAGTAAAACTACAAAAATAAGGCAGGTATGGTGGTGGGTGCCTGTAATCCCAGCTACTTAGGAGGGTGAGGCAGGAGAATCACTTGAACCTGGGAGGCAGAGGTTGCAGTGAGCCAAGATCACGCCACTGCACTCCAGCCTAGGTGACAGAGCGAAAATCTGTCTCAAAAAGAGAGAGGAGAGAAGTCATATGCCTTCCAGCTTTTATACTCTGAACACTCCAAAAGTTTCAAGGACACCTGAGGGCAGCAAACAAAGTGCCCAGGGGCCCATATCCTAGACATTCCTGACTACTAAGTTGCACTCTTTGATTTTCTCTGTTCTAGTAGGAAAAAAAAAAAAAAGTGCTCAGGGCTTCTAAAATGCAAGTCAGTGGTGCTAATATTAATAATGAACTGTCTACTTTTCAATACAGAATTGGCTTTAACATAATGTTGACAGATCAACTGACAAGAACGATTATTTTTTAAGAATAGGAAACATAAAATCACAGCAGACACACACAAAAAAGCAGATCAATAAATATGAAGATCTCAGAAACAAAAGGGCAAACTATATTCTATGGTACATTGACTTGTTGTGCCTTTATGTTGACATTTTCAATTGTATGGAAGCTTTTTAAATAAGCAAGATCTGATGGTAGCACGTATTAAAAATGATCTTAGAAAGGAATGTAAAAAGGAGAAGCAATTTGAAATATTTATTTTCTGTTTATAATTCATATAAATATTGATAAAGAGAATATTTTCAGGGATTACATGGGTGTATGCTATCCATATCCATATGATATATAATAGGATATATGATTCAGAAGGCTGACAACATTTCACATTGCAGAATGTGTCTTATGGTGTGTCCAACATTACAGCACATCTCATCATTTTACAAAAATCTCTCAATGGCCAAAATGACATTCCCATGAGAAGATTTACTTTTAAGCAAGTAGGTACAATCAGTTCTCTTTAGCGGAAATAAAAACATTGTTGCTTCATTTAGAAAATTATCCTCAATTTTAACATAAATTTAAAAATTTAAAATAGATATTTAAACATATGATTTCTAAAGTTAAAAAAAGTTTTATATTTCTTAGAAGGCATAGATCTGAGTAATGTATATATCTAGTTTCCATGACTGCATATATTGTAACATATATGTGTATGTATATGTGTGGGTGTATATACATATATATAAAATTCATGAAATAAAAAGGAATAAAACAATGAGAGAAAGAAAAAATTGATTTATTCTGTAAACTTTTAAACCTATCACATTTAAGATGCTCAGATATATTGTTAAAAACATTTGTATTCTACACAGAGCACATTCAATTACCTACAGAAATAAATTATGGATGATTGGTGATCTGATTTATAAGCTTGCCAACAGAGTTCAGAAGCAATGTATCAGAAACAAAAAGACTACCACATCTTAAATAAGAAAATGGCATTAAGGAATTTGCCAACTATTCCAATGATATAAAGATCACACATGTCAAAACAAGAATAAGTTTATATCAAGCTTTACAGAATAGTACAGAAAATTAAAGAAAAAACATTTTAAAAATATATATTTGTACGTATCTACCCATTCATTTTAAGCATAGAGAATCTGAAAGAGTGGTTTTAGCTTCATGACTTATGCCCAGAAGAGACTGCTCTCTGATTGTTGTTGTCTAACTGGCAATTGTTAAAATAAATATATGTGAAGTCACTTTAAATATAAATATTAAGCATATGAGCCAATCCAAACCTCATATACAAATCAAAATACTTTATATATAGATCCATGATTACCTATTCTTTCAACTACATAATTTGAGGGTAGAATTATATATTCCCATTTTACAGCAATTTAAAATTCTGCAAGGATGAAGTTTCCAGATCTAGCAACAGTGACATAACATTTGGTGGGAGAAGGGAAGTGAGAAAGGGTGTGTTGTGAAGGAATTATTTCCAAATTGTCATCTTCCAATTTTATTTCAACAATTTAGCGAAGATTCAACATTAAAAGTGAAAAAAATACTCTAACAATTTTTCCACAATATACTGAAAATGTGGTAATTCTTTTGAAGTTGACACTTTACTAAATAAATGCTGTATTTCTGTCCTACAATGAAAAAATACGCTGTTGGTTACATTAGCCTGGAAGGCTATTCTAAGAGTTATTTCATTCCACCTACTGCTTCCAGTGAGAACAACACATAGTCTGGATAGATAAATGATTGTCCATTATAATTGCCAAATGAGGGTTATTTTTTTTAACTAAACTTGCTGATATCTCCAAAATTAATACTTTGGGTATTTGTCAAATTATATATACATTTCAAGTATCTCCATTCTGACAACAATAATGGTCTTCTATAGAAAAACTACAGATTTTTATGTTTAATAAATTGTTTTTTACCGTTAAAGCTCTATTTGCAAATTTCTAAATTTTACTCTCTTTGAATTTGTTTCAGTTACTCAAACTTCACACACTAAAGGATTACACTTAGAATATACAAACAGATATTTGTTGACCACCTACAATGTAAATACATATTTGAATTGTTTTAAGGTCTAATATGTTAACTACAGCAAAAATGCTACATTTGTGATAAAGACACTACTGATCACTTTGGTCACCCAACTGTATTATAATTTTCTGAAGGTCAGGTCTTCATTTGAAATTCATCACATTGCTTACAGCATGAGGACATAACAGGCGCTCAGTAAATGTATGCTGAATTGCATTAAATGTCAACACCTAACCTTCAATGAAAAGTCATCACTTTTTTCTATCAAGGAAAAGAGCAAATGTGACAAGATGATATGTCAATAACAAACTATGAAAAGAGGAAATGTTTTCAAGACTTCACTCAAAACTTACCTTCACTTTTTACATTATAATACATTTGGAGATCTGTTTCTGGTACTTGTTTAATTTTTTGTTTCCTATTAGTAGGATTTGGATATTTTGACTTTGAAAATATTTTCATGCACCTAACTTGTAGTAAACATTAATAAACACTAACTTTACAATACATGTAGTTACATATTTAATAAGTAACCAAGTAAAGATGTAAAAATAGGTTGTCCTTGGGTTTTTAAGTATTGGCTTTTCCTCATCAATAAATGGGAATTAGATGTATCTGTGAATCTTTATTACATTAAAATTCTGACCAAAGGAGAAGTGTGAAAATATTTTAGCTGTCCAAGTTAAATTAAGGGTAACATTTTCTTTTGGAGTATGTAAATGAGATTTTCCTCTAGCCTTTCAACCTTAAAAACTTACATCTTCTATGGGAAAAGGGGAATTAGGTATCTGTAAGTAAAGGATACATTCAACGGGATTTGAATTCAATTTTTTTAAAAAGCAATTCTGCAAATATGCTTACCATCTAATAAGAAAAATTAAAAAGTTATTAATCAAGATAATAGTCCAAGTGTGGTGGCTCATGCCAGGTGTCATGGCCCAGCACTTCGGTAGGCAAAGGTGGGAGTAAACGTTTGAGGCCAGGCATTCGAGACCAGCCTGGACAACGTAGCAAGACTCTCTGTCTCTAAAAATTTAAAAATTAGCTGGTCATGATAGCTAACGCATGCCTATAGTCCAAGCTACTTGGGAGGCTGAGGCAGTAGGTTTGCTTGACCCAGTTCAAGGTTAAAGTGAGCTGTTATCATACTACTGCACTGCAGCCTGGATAACAGAGACCCCATCTCTTAAAAAGATAATAGTGACCTCTGTTGTTTCACACTTGTGTTACTGCATAACTAAGAGAGGTATTAGAGCATGTGGATTTTACAATAAAATATTATTATACATGGATATAATAGAAAAATCTGATGTGAATTCAACATTCTCCTCCTTATAAGTTTCAGGAATCAATTGAATGACTTGCTAAATAACATTATTTGTGCTTAAGCTCATTTCAAATTAACTTTTACATTTAGTAGCACTTCTGATAATGTATCAATAAAACAGCCTGTATTTTTTTCAATCAAGTCAATGACTAATGCCAACAAATAGGCTTCCCCTTCTCCCTCACTACCAACCCAACACACCAACTCCAGTAACATAGGATGTTTAACAAGTCCTTCTCAGGAAAAAAGAAATAAAAAAAGAACATCAAAGCAAAATATGGGCATATCTCCCTTTGTCCTTCCATAATTATGCTTTTGTTCTTCCTAGCTACAGAAAGCCTACCAACATCCATCTGGTAGCCAGCACTGGATTGTATTCTTAAACTTTTTCTAATTTTAGCTTTGTACTGGTTAAAATTATATAATTTAAGTAGGAATATTGTATTCTTAAACTTTTTCTAATTTTAGCTTTGTACTGGTTAAAATTATATAATTTAAGTAGGAATATATTCATGTTTTTATAAACATATATAAATAATTATATGTGCATGTGGAGTTAAATACCTAATATCCTTATTGACTTGCTGACCTTTGATCCATGAGATCACAAACTTTCCTATACCACTTCTAGAAGTAATCATTACTATTAATTTTATGTATATTTAATATACTTATGAACTTACTTATACATATACAAGTGAAAATTGAATTATAATTTTCACAAATTTTTAAAGAAGTTTGTATAAATGGGCTATTACTATATGCACTGTCCTATAATGTGTCTCCTTTACTATACATATTGTAGAACTTTATACATCAGTGTGTGTAGTATTTGCTGCTATGTATCATTTCATGGAACTAATGTATCTGGTTTTATTTATGTATATCAGCTTAAGCATACATGCAATGGTTTCTTCAGAATAAAGAAGAGTAAGTGGAATTATTAATTATATAAATTTAGAATCCCACGGCCTTAAATTTGAGGTGAGAGCAATCAGCATGACATGTTATTTTCTCCAGCAAAACTGTGTATCTATGTATCCTTTTCTATGACTCAGTTCAACATCTTAATGGTGGTCTGCCATGCCTCTGATTCAGCCCTGGCCTAGTTCTTCAAATTGATTTCTTACCAAACTACCCTAGAACTATATGGAAAACTTTAGTTCACTCTTGTTATGACATTTTGTATTACTCACATCTCTTAAATTCTCTCTTTTTTAATCTGGCTTAGAGTTCGTGGCCCAATTACATAATTACTTTCTCAAAATTATTATTTCTCTTTTCCCATTTTCCTTCTATTCAGAAAAATATCTAATTTTATTCACAACAAAATTGTTGTCTACTCCATACCTAGACTCTCATAACTAAACATTTTGAGAGAAAATAACATTATTGCTTAATTTTCTTACTTCAGACTCATGACTACAAGTACGTCGACACTCAAAACTACTGGGAGATACGTGTTTTTCTCATGAATATATGTACCAATTCTTCAATACATTTTTTTAAGAAAATGAAAACAATCCCATGAAGATATCATATTTCTACCAGGAAATCTACCATCCACTCTTATATGTATCTTTATTATTTTCTTTGTGTTCTGTAGCAATTGAAAAATTGCCCATATTCTTATCAAGACAAATTTCCTATTTGTTTGTCTATCATTTGCTCCTTCAATCATTCCCACTAGTTTTCTCCTGAATCATTCAAAACAATATTAAAATATGTTCTAATCTCCCTCATCTTTTAAGAAATCCCAACTTTATGTTTTCCTCCAGCAACTGCCCATTTCTTGCTTCCCTTTAAAGTGATACTCCTGGAAAAAACTTTCTGTACACGCTGTCTTCATTTCCTTGTCTAACATTTTTTTCTTTAATCCATTCCTCATGGGCTTTCATCCACTCCACTTTACTTAAATGTCTCTAGTGGATTACAAGGCTCTTTGGTAAGAGCTTCTCTCTATTCTGGAACACTGTGCCCTAGATGTCTGTATAGGTCTCTCGTTCTCACTTTTCTTACATAACCTATTCTGTAAGAACCTCCCTGACTGCTACATTTAAAATGTTATCTAACATTTGAAATGTTATCTACTACCTAGATAGATCGTCCCCTTTCCCTACTTTATTTTCCTTCATAATCTTATTCACTACATAGCATATTTTATATTTCAGTTAGTTTATTATCTGTAACACCAACCATTGTAATGTATGTTTTATTCAACACTGTATTATCATCTGCTACAACTCTTTCTTCCACCAAAAAGTCTCACTCTGTCGCCCAGGCTGGAGTGCAGTGGCGTGATCTCGACTCACTGCAACCTCCACCTCCTGCGTTCAAGCAATTCTCTTCCTCAGCCTCCTGAGTAGCTGGGATTACAGACGTTAAGCCACCGCGCCCGGCCTTGAGAAGTATTTCATAGGTTCTCATCATTCTGCACTGTTTGGATTTCCTTCTGTACTATTAAACTCTCATTTTTCACAAAATTTGATAACTCCTCCTATTATAAAGTGTTTGAGTCCATTGTCCTGAGACTTAGTCATAGGAGACCTTCTTTTCTGAGTGTGCACTTTTTACCCAAGTGATCTCAACAAGTCCCCAAGCTTTAAATATCATCCATATTCTGCTGACTCTCATGTCTATAACTGTAATCCTAAATTTTCCCTTGAGCTTCAGACTTGTATAAAATTATGATGTGAATTGTATGTTAAAATCATTTTCTACATTCTGGTTTACTGCAAAAACAGAAAATATTAGAAGGATGAGCATAACATTCTTTAAGTTTTAAGTTCAAGAGAAGAAGGGTTATAAAGGAAGATTGGTTGATTTTTCAGGGATAGCAGAGTTTCTTGAGTATATCTCTTCTGAGATCCTTACTTCTCCATAGTAGAGGCAAGGCATTTGGCATTGTTATTTATCAAGTTGAGGTACTGTAAAAATTGCTCTTAAAGTTTGAAGATGAACCTTCTCAAGTACCAGGCAAAGGCTTGCAAACCGCAGAAGGTCTTATATGAGAAGCTGGCATAAAAACTGTGACAGTTGGGTGAAGAGGATAAGATGAGAGGGCAGCAGGACACAGAAAGGACCCATGAGATTCCCAAGATCCTGAAAGAGGATAAGGTAGTGTTGTCCTGGTAGAGTGTATCCAGATGATTAAGAGGAAAAATATCACCAAACATTATAATGATGATAACTCTTTTGGACATCAGAAAGGATGCACCCCCACTCTGATGATTTCTTGTGTCTTAAATCCAGAACAGAGGAAACAGTGCTTGAGTGCTTGAACAGAGCAGAGGAAACACTGTCTACACGAAAACACTTAAGCAGCAGGAACCATAAGTGTGGAACACCCATGTAGTATGAACCCATCCTGCAACTACTGAATGCCAGTGTTAGAAAGAAAACTTTCAATGACAGCAGAAACTGATGCACCATCCTAGTTATCATACAGCAGCATACCAAAGCAGAGATAAAGCAAGTTTCTGATGGTGATGTTTAAGTGTTTTCATTGCTAAACAATATATTCAAATTATCTACTTAACATTTTCACCTGGGTTTCTAATATGTATCTCAAACTCAGTATGTCCAAACTGGAACTTTTGATGTTTTCTCTACAAGCATATCCTTCTTCTATTCTTTAATATCACATGGAATGGCAGCATTACACACCAATTGGTTGAACATTCAAGAGTCATCTTTGAATTATCTGTTCTCTTCACTCTCAGAAGGCCAGCCATTTGCAAATCCTCTTCTGCTTCCAAAATGCATCTGATTTTGTTTTACTTTCTTTGTTGTTACTATCATATACGGAAAGTCCCCATGGTCTCACCTAGACCTGGAAATAGTCTCTTCTGATTCTATTGAGCACTCTACAAATTGGTCTTCAGCCAATAGCCAAAGCATTTTTTATAACCTATGTGTCACTGCTATGCTTAACTTCTCAAACTTGGAATGAAATTTTGACTTTTTATTGGGCTTTACATAGCCTGGAAATTCTGGTCTTCGTTTACTCTCTTATCTCCTTTCCCATGAAGTAATTTTACATTTACTACTTTTCTAGTCACACTGACATTTCTTAATCTTTAAATTTGGGAAGCTGTTTGCCACCACCAGGCCTTTGCACATGCTGTTTGCTAAGCTTGGAATGCCTTTCCTCAAAATGGCTCTTTGGATAGCTAATTTTTCAGTTATCTACTCAAAAGCTTATTCCTCAAATGGCTGTACTACAATGTCTAACCCAAAATAGGCCCTCCCTACTGCAGTTCACTATGCCATTTTAACACTCATAATGTTTTCAGTTTTTGGAACTATTTTACTTATTTATTTTTCAATAATTTCAGAAGCCCTGGCCTTAGAATGTAAGAGTCATGCAACCAGAGACCTTGCTTATATTATTCACCAATCTATCTTAGAACTTTGGAAGAATACAGAGTCTAATTTAGAAAAGCTTCTGAAAATGTAATTGAAAAGAATGTTTAGTATCAATTTATCTTTAAGAAAAGAAAATTTAACTCTTCTTTTTCAGTCAAAAGAATGTATCTCTATCAGGGGTCTTTGGACACCAGTGTGAATCTCATTAGAGCCAAAAATTTACCAGAACATAAATTTAGAACAACTCATAATAAATATTTATGAAATTATAATTTTGGCCATATTATTATCACTCACCATTATCCAGAACACAAATTTCAAAATTAGCACTCAATGATTTCATTTGAAATAATCATAAGAAAATTTTGTTATTAGTAATATTGATAGATATAAAATATTTACATACGACAAGAACCAACACTCCCATATTCTATACATAAAATGAAAAGCTTTCTTTTTTAAAAATTCTATTCTACTTTTATATATCAGATGGCTTCAAAATAATTACTAATTTTAGAAGCAATGAGATGAATAGATATGTAGGATATGAAAATAGATATGTAGGATATGAAAAAAATATTAATAGAATTGTGCTCACCTTGGTAGATAACTATGGTATTGAACTACATTGTAATACGTGTCCTAAATAAAAGACTAAAATAGAAATTATGCAAACATTTTGTTTAATCTATTATAGAATCACTAAAGAAAAATTAGCTATTTTTACTTAGTAAGTGGAATATTTTAATGATCTGAAAGGGAGGATTTTTAAAACTGAATATGCTGTTCTTCATAAAATAAGAAAATATGTTTATATGGAAATATTTTAATTGAAATATCAAAATTCCATAGAATATTTACATCAGTTGGTACACAGCTTCTTTCAAATAAATTTTATTACCCTATCAAGAAAGCTTTTGAGAATTATAATCTAACTTTATTTCTTTTTATTGTTTTTAATTAGTTATATATTTTATTTCATGGGTTAGCCAGTTTGAAACATTAAGTATTGTGGGTTGAAGTAGAACATGACCTGATTTTAAATATTCCCAGCTAAAGTTAAATAAAATATGCATACTTTAGATAAAGTTTGAATATTATGTTTGTATTGCTTTTTACCTAACTTATTGAGTTTGCTGGGTTTTTTTAATAAACTTTCAAAACAAGGGAAAATATCCTATGATGTAGGATAGTACAGAAAAATGTTGGAAATACAGCCCTTAAGTTTAGTTTTGTCTGGTATTGATACATGACATGGAATAAGTCAATTTATTCATTAGCATTCCAATTTTTATATTAGAAACATTCATAATAAAAATAATACACTTAAAGATGCTAAGTTGATGAAAAAGTAACATGGGGGTACTTATATTGCAATTTTTATTTTAAATGTTCCCTTAGGTACTGTTTCTACTTTAATTAAAACTATTTCATAAATCTAAAGAAGAAGCTTCCCTAGCGATACCTGTAAACTCCACATTTTCTTATGGCTTCACTTATTTTAAAGTGCTGAAAGAGCCAAAATTTTATTTTTTACTCTATAGTTAGTTTTTAATTAAAATATTCAATGCCACCTACTAAAAAAACCCACACAATCAAATACAGTAAAAAGAAGTATACTGGAGATAATATAGACTTCAACAAATTAACTATAATTATTCTTGATTAATAGCTAACACATCACACTATAGCTAGCATGGCAAAAGGTAAGTGGTACTATAACCATCTGGAAATTAACAAATTTATTCAATAAATTACATAAAGTAACATTAATGTTTTATTATACATAGCAGAAAGCCTACTCATGATTCCCCAAAGACATTTGTGATGGTTAAAAATCTAAACAGTTTAGAAACTGACAGTAAAAACGCATACAAATGTTCATCCCTGTAGGCATCTCAAAGCAATTTGGATGATTTTATTTTGTGTAAGTTAGATTATATAACCCAAAACATACATTCCCATCACTGCATGAAACAAAGCTTATTATACTGGTGCTTTGAGACACTAATCTAGCACCTGGAAAATGGAAAAGTAAGAAAAGATTTGTCTCTGGTACCCTTGGCCTTCATTTGGAATGATCCTTTCACAGTACCTTGATAACAGCTGCCCTGAAATTGTTGCATCTTACTTCCCTAGTTTACAATCCACTCATTTTCCCTCCTATCTTTTATATTGTTCTGCATTTGATGCAGAACAATAAATGCTGGCACATGAATCAGATACAAATTTTCCATGCTAATATTTTCACAAACTACTTATTAACTAAAAGGAAACTACTATTTAAAACATATTTAAAATTGACATATTTCTTCATAAATTTGAAAAGTGGCTTAAATGTTGAAAAAGATCTGAGGTTATGGTTGTATGTAAGATGCAGATGTCATTTGCTAATTAGCTTAAGTTTCAGAACTATGAATCACTTTAAAGATATCAGCTATTTCTAAGAAAGTTTGATCTATTGGGAACAAAGAAAGGAAGACAGAGATTTAGAGAAGGTTCTGCTACTTTTGCTTCTGGGTGTTCATTGGAAACAGCCCTGGGAATTTTCCGTTTAAACTGCAGGAGGAAAAATAAGCAGCCAGAGAGTTAGCAGAAGATATAGGCAAGGGTAATTTTTTTTCTTTTAATATGATATGCAAATTAATTAGAAGCAATTAACCTAGCAGTAGGACTGAAGACTTTAGGGCCTTGTTTTATTTTTATTTATTTATTTTTTTTTTATTATACTCTAAGTTTTAGGGTACATGTGCACATTGTGCAGGTTAGTTACATATGTATACATGTGCCATGCTGGTGCGCTGCACCCACTAATGTGTCATCTAGCATTAGGTATATCTCCCAATGCTATCCTCTCCCCCCTCCCCCGACCCCACCACAGTCCCCAGAGTGTGATATTCCCCTTCCTGTGTCCATGTGATCTCATTGTTCAATTCCCACCTATGAGTGAGAATATGCGGTGTTTGGTTTTTTGTTCTTGCGATAGTTTACTGAGAATGATGGTTTCCAATTTCATCCATGTCCCTACAAAGGATATGAACTCATCATTTTTTATGGCTGCATAGTATTCCATGGTGTATATGTGCCACATTTTCTTAATCCAGTCTATCATTGTTGGACATCTGGGTTGGTTCCAAGTCTTTGCTATTGTGAATAGTGTAGGGCCTTGTTTTAATGTCAAGGTTTATGTGGAACTGAGGAGCTGTGGGTCCTTAGAACTATATACCATAAACCTGAGGTTACTTCACTGGCAACAAAACACAATTAACTATAGACACAAATATAGTAATACTTCTCCTTTATATTTGTTGCTTATTTAAAATTTTTGCTTTTAAGCTATGGTATTCATGTATTTAATAAGACATACTCTATTTTACAAAAAATATTAAGTTCATATTATGCATTTGGATTTTCTTTAAAAAAGGTAGCCAAAAAAGCAAAGGGGTTGTCTCAAAAGATATTGCAGAAGCTGTGCATGTTTCTACACAGCACCAGCCAAAACTCAGTTAAAAAATTGGAGAAAAGCATAACTCTCTACCCTGCATCGCAAATCAGCTGAGGTTTAGGAAATGTTAAATGAAATGTCTCCATCTGCTATATCAAGAAGAATAACAATACCTGTAATTGCCAACACCAATAATACCCTTGAAAAATAGTCTTTACATATCATCTCTATTTCTTTTCTATACAATTATCTTCTCAATGTGATCTGACTTTAAGTAGCTGCACTCTATTGAGATAAGTCAGATTACTAATCTCACAAACCCCCTGGAGATTTTTTGTCATCCTTCTTAGCTTCTCAGAGCAGCTGGAACATACCCACCTCTTGTCTTTTCTGTGGGGCCATAACCCTGTTATCTCTTTCCACTCCTTCTCAGATCTTTTAAGGTCCCATATTTCTCTGATCTATTGTGTTGTTTGGAATTGCATGCACATCACTCTTGTGTTTTGGAAGGTATGCAGTCCCTGAAAATTGTAGCTACACATTATAGGGTTCTGCTATATAGGAAAAGAACATCAGCTTTAGTATCAAATAGACTTTACTAGGGTTTCAGAGGAATTATTGTCCACATGAATACTAGATTCATCCAAGAGTTTAATTATAATTCAGAGTAGATATGTGAGTCAGGAAGTTAAGCTCCTATGAGGAACTAGGAGCCTGGCCTGAATAACTGAGTAAAGGAAAGGCATTATGAGGCTGAGAGAAAACAAAAACAAATAAACAAAATGGCCTGATGTTTTCATGTGTTTTTGAATTGATTAGTAAAAGGTATACATGGAATTCACTGTTCACATATTTCAAATAGACTTTTGTCATTAAACTGTTTTGATTTACAGATGGTTTAGGTACCCATATATTTTTGATACTTGATTGCTATAACTCTAGAATTTATATCCCTAGAATTATATGCATATTTTAAGGTAGAAGCATTTTTATTTAATGTTGTTGGGATACAAATCATAGGTTAATAAAAAAAAAGTTAAAGCAGGATATCAAAAATTCTGTAAAGGAATAAATACATAACTTAAATATTGTATTTTATCTTAAGATGTGTAGATGCATAGCCCATTCACTAATCTTATGATATAGACTCAAGAACTTTTCTTTAAACATCTAATAATTGTAATTATTTCATTATGTCTTCTTTGTACATAATTCATGATACATAGTTTCTTATCATTCCAAGTTGAAAAAACTTGAGTAAAAATTAGAGACACCAGTTAAGCAATCTTAGTTTGAAAACTCTTAATTTGTCTATTGTTAATTCTATTACTTTTCTATTATTTTCTACTTTTAATTATTTTATATTAATGGCTTCCTATTTTTAAAGATATCTTGTCCACACCTAATTCAGGCAAATTTTTAGTAACTCATCCTTAAGTTTTCTCTAAGCATTCAAATTGGTTTTTGTACAAAAAAAGTTCATTGTTTATTTATTGACATTTCATCAAGTTACATATATACACACTAAAAGTATCCCAATAAGCCTAAGAAGTTTGTACTAAATACAATTGATTCTAAATAAGCATGAATATGAACTGCTCGGAACAAAATTATTCAGACAATATATGTGGTAGTCTGCTAAACAAAATAGCTTATTGCACTATAGAAACAGTTCAGTATATTTTATCAAAGAAATGAAACGTATTTGTTAGTCCAGTTGGTTGATTAAATAGAGGATTGATGAAAAGCACCTTGTATTTTGTCTGATTATTTCCACAACTGAAATTGTTGGTTTCTACAATAATTACTAATATATAAATGTGTAATGAAGCAGTAGGTATTAAAAAGCAGTTGAATAGGCCTATTACTACTGCTTATTTCCAATTCTTCCCTGTATCATGAAAATGAAAAGGCTGGTCAAATGAACCATATCATTAAAATATTACATATTTACTTTATATTCAAATGCTCCCTTTTGTTTGACAAAAATCTAGGTGTAACTGTTGAGGAAAAGCCAGACACATTTGTATTGTCTCTTTCTAAGCTGCATATTATATTGAGCCATTATTTAAGCTATTTAATAGTATGTATGGTATAACCTATGGTCTGGAAATTTGTTTTGCAAAGCTATATATATATTATCATTTAATTAATCTGAAAATACACAAAAGTATTTTCCGCTTTTATAGGTGACTTACATATGTAAATATAAAAGGAGTTATGCTTTATTATATAATATTGATTACTGATTATAGTTTTGTTAAAGGCTAACTTATAAGTAAGAGTTAATTTGCATCATATTTTGACTGTTTACATACACATTTTTTAAATGTTTCCAGAAAGAAAAAAAAAATTCAAATGTTTCAATCACATTCCCTACAAATATTTTACATTTGAAGTTTTCCTTCATTTTACTGGTAAAGCATCCAGCTAGAAAAATAAAAAGTAAAAAAAAAAAGCAAAACAAAACTTTACCATTCACAGTGATAGAATTGAGATTAGAATTCAGGTTACCTGATGCCTTTTAAGTTTGCATTACAGTAACAGAACATTTTTCTCTCTTTCATAGTACTTTCTATTTAACTAATATTGTCATTGCTGTGTCAAGTTATTTATCCAAAGGTATCCTCACTTCATGGATATTTATTTAGAAACTGTATTGATTTAAAACAGATACTACATTTTATACTAAAAATAGCATGCACAATCTTTAATATCTACTTTAATTACTGCATTTTCAGATTTATATTTAATTTGCTAATGAAATAGTGACAAGATTCATGTCAAGCATGCTACTTATACACTTGATTTCCTTTGAAAATTAAAACTCTGACCTGAAAATAAGCACACTGTTCAGGGATACCATCTTGTTAGTTTAGTTGTTAGTTACCCGCTGTTCTTAATAAATCAGTCTGCAAACTACTGATCCATGTTACTGCATTTTTACCTCTCTATTTGTTGGAAACATGTGCCTACAAACCAAACATAACTCTATTTAGTTTGTCAAATTGAAGATATCCTATCTACTTCAGGTGTAAGTTATGTTTACAGATATTTAAAGCAAAATAAATATCAGTAAATGTAATATCAGAATTATGATTTTCAAATCATAATTCACAATGAATTCAAATATTTTTAATATCAGCAAATAGATGATAGTAATAGGTGATACAGTATTATTAAGTTTTATAATACAATAAAATTCCTTTAATATATTAAAAGGACTATAATAAATAGTAAGGTCTAAGCAATGAATTTTAGGAAAACCTTTTAGTATATTAATAATAGTCCTTTAATAATATATTAAAGGACTCGCCTAAAATTCATTGCTTAAACTATACTATTTATTATAGTTACAATGACAGAAACTTGCCTAAAATTCATTGCTTAAACTATACTATTTATTATAGTTACAATGACAGAAGCTTATTATAATCAGTATATTTTAAAATCATTTCAGTGGTTTTACATGAACCATTTGCTTTGTGTTTATTCTCAAACATTGTTGAGCACCTTAGGTAGTAACCTTAAGAAATCCTTGAATTCACAGATTAAATTAAAACTGTATTTATGAATACAATTAGTAAGTACCCATTTGGCCCCATTTTGTCCATTTCATTAAAATATATAGAGAGAGATATTGTCTTTTCTATGTTTAATATATAACTTATTTAACATGTTCACAGAGCAAGCAAATCATGAGGCAATAAGAAAAATAAATAAATTATGCAAAACTTGGGGTTTTTTAAAAGGACTTTTTAAATTAATTCATTTATTTAAGATCTACTTCACTCTCCAAATGTATTTGACACTCTTAACAAAAACGAAAATAATACAGCAGGATAAAACTAAGCTATTGAGGAAATTAGTAAAGGATAATTAATAGGAGAATAAGATAAGGCCACCCAGTGGTGAGCTATAGCCAACAGGTAGCTTGAGAGAGCTGATTCTGTTCATTTCTTTGTAACTCCATGTTCAGTGATAGCAGGTTAGTAGCTTGGTTGATCATAAAATTAAACATGCCACAAATAACAAATTACGGCTTTTTCTTTTCTTTTCTTTTATTTATTTTGGAAGACAGGGCTTAGCAGTACATCACTGAAGCCATTCTGTCTCTGAAAATATCTCCTAGAAGATATCCTGAATCAACTCCATTATATTGACAAAAGATTGCTGAATATGACAAAAATATGTGTCACAGATTAGCACCAAGATAAATTTAGCTTGAATACTTTTAAAGAAAAACAATTGATACTTTTAATAAGTATGCATGGAACAATTAAATTATGTGGTGTTCTGTTGTATCTACAAAAATAGTGAAAATATACAGCTATATAGTTGACAATATTGTTGGTAATCTGGAGTTATAAATGAGCTAATTAGGTATAAATGTATATCAAATACAGTGCTTTGGGCTTGCTTGGATTGTACTAACCTATATTATTTTGCAATAAATAAGTAACTGAATAAATTGTTTGTTGATTTCAGCCTTAGGTTGTGACAAAAAAATACAAAACAAAATATTAGTTTAGAGAAGACGTACCTTGCTATTTTAAGTTCTAAGTACATGAAAGTTATAAGTACATGAAAAAGCTGTTTCAGATGATTAAAGTCCAAATAAGAGGCAAGGCATGGGGAATAAAACAGCCTCATGTTTTTGTTTGTTTGTTTGTTTTTCAGACGGAGTCTCGCTCTGTCGCCCAGGATGGAGTGCAGTGGCGCGATCTCGGTTCACTGCCAGCTCCGCCTCCTGGGTTCACGCCATTCTCCTGCCTCAGCCTCCCGAGTAGCTGGGACTACAGGTGCCCACCACCACGCCTGGCTAATTTTTTTTGTATTTTTAGTAGAGACAGGGTTTCACCATGTTAGCCAAGATGGTCTCGATCTCCTGACTTCGTGATCCGCCCGCCTCGTGCTCCCGAAGTGCTGGGATTACAGGCGTGAGCCACCGTGCCTGGCAAAAACAGCCTCATGTTTTAAAAAATTATCTGGTCTTTATCATATGTCATTCCTTCAGACCCTCCATTATGATGTCAGTGAAGGTTATGGGCATCACAGCATTAGTAGCTGAAGTTATTAATTAGGTTCACAAAACTTCAAGTCAATAGTTTTTATATCACATGTAGAATGTACATGATATATTAGTATTGGTATCTTTTAATGAAGGTGTATGTTCTACAGTATACAAATACATTACAGTTATATTTTATATTATTTATTATATTGCTCCATATTATATACCATATTGGGTATGTAAATATGAATGCTTTATACAGTGATAAATAAACAAATGGCAATGCATGCTCTGCTCAATTTTTTTTTTTCTGAGAGGTGTGCACAATAAAAAAGTTTGGAAACCCTTATTCTTGCTCTTGTCTCAAGGTCAAAGACCCAAGAAAAAGAAAAAAAAAAAAAAGAAAGAAAAAGAAAGGACAAAAAAGCGAGACAAATTGTTTGGTATATTGTGCTATAGATTAGTAGGTTAATTATTAATGATAAAATAGGTCTAAATTTGTACAGTATATTGTTCTGAGGACTTTAGAACTCTAACGTAGAGCACAAAGAGAAAAAGTGTTTTTGAATATTAGGTGGAGGCTTCATCTGTAGTTTGTTATGGAGTATGAAGAGGAGAGGGTGAGGTATGGAAGTAGAGGACTTCAGTTAAAAAAAAAGAAAGAGAAGAAAACAAATGATGAGAATGATTAGATCGACTACCTCTAAATGATGAATAATTCTAAAGATTTGTTTCACCAATCAGTAAGTGAAAATTTTAGTTAGCATAAGAGAATTCTTTTCAGTGGCTTTTAATTTCTGCCTTTTAAATTAACTGTGTCCCAGATTCCAGCTCTCAATACATCAGAGAAAAATATACAGTATACCTCATTTGGGCTAGTATTCCTGCTATAAATCTGAAAAAACAAGCTTCTCAAATATCAATCATGCATATCATAAAGGGGGATAAATCAGAATCTGGTCTCATTTATGACTCTAATTTACAAAGCAAATTTATAGTATAAGAAAAAGATCTGTTAGCAAAAGTTCTCTAACATCATGGACTATCTCTAGAGAAAGTAGAGCTAGAAAAAAAACAGATATCATTGGTTAAAATTCTCATATAGGATGGGACTAAGAAAATATTGCTTTGTAAGTCTAATATGCTATTCCATAATACATTAGATCAGGAGTAGGGTGGGAATGATGCCATTTTGTTTATTTCTAAAGGAAGAAAACAGCCTAATTTGGATTAAGTAATATTAAGAACTAAAACCTGAAGAATCATTTTTAGAGCCTCCTGGTAATTCAAGATTGATATTTGCTCCCTTTTGAAATGACAAGTGAAGAAAAAGAGAATTCCAATATTTTTTGTCTTCTTTTTCTCTGAAAATTTCCTTGGGAAAACAAGGGCTATGGAAAATGGTGAAATGGAAATTTTAAATTCCCTTTTATACTTACATTCTACTAAGATCCAGACTTCCTCTTTTCTTTGTAAATTGTCCAGTCTCAGTTCTTTATAGCAATGTGAGAATGGACTAATACAGTACATACTACAGTGCAAGAATCGAAGTTAGTGTAAGCAAAAAAATTACTGATTCCATTACAAACTTCTTAGACATATGAAATGTCTTCAGACTATTCATAATTATCAATCCTACTGAGAGCAGACTAGTACGGAATGGACTGAAATTGCAGCATAGATATTTAGGATCCATTCATGAATGCCTCAGTCCTTAAGCTTTGTGAAGTTCTAAAATTTATATAGTGTAAAGCTTGAAATATTAGGTTGGTGCAAAAATTATTACAATTTTGCCATTGAACACAATAGCAAAAACTGCAATAACTTTTGTACCAACTTAATATGTCAAGTATGCCTTAATTGAATGCATTCTTAGCACAGGTTCAGACAAATTGGACACTAAAATATTTATAAGTTGACGGAAAATTTTACAGCAGAAAGTAACACTCAAAAATAGTGACTTATTTTGTTTTTTCCAATATATTAAAAATACTTCTCATATGTTTTTTATTTCTTATAAGTTCAGCACCAAGAAAAGAGTGCTAGCAGTGGTTAATGCATGGTGTGCTTAGGGTATGAATGAGTTAATATCGCTCTTTAACTTGAAGATAATAAATGGTCTGAGCAACTCTCCCATAGCATTATCCTAAAATCACCAGGGCAACATTCTGCTTCAGTGGTTTAAATGTGCCCTGGTGGTTTGAAACATAATTGCACTGCTCTGGACACCTAATTGACTACAAGGGACTGACTTAGGTACTTTGAATAAAATTTCATTACTTTAATTATTGTTCAGTGAGGTGTTCCAATGTTTTAAAACAAACTGTTCATGTGAAATTTTGTTTCTGTGGAAAAATGCTGTATAAAAAGAGTTCTGTATAAAATACCAACTTTTGAGTGAAGTTAATAATTTCATGTGCATTTTTAGTATAATAATCTTTAGTCATAAAGCATATTTAGTGAATACTACTGTGAATTCTCGATGACAAACAGCCAAATGTCAAAAAGCAAAATATTTGGACAATTGAAAATAAGGAAAATAATAACAGCTAAAACGTACTGGGACCATAATGAGCTTTTCATCATGTAACCTTATATTCCAATGAGATGGACATTAATATGCTAATTTTAGAGACTCCTGCACAAGAGAAATGTTGCTGTGATTGGTCAGATCCAGAGCCATTTATTGGAACATTTCTCTATGATGGGCAGAGTAACTATGATTTAAAGTCTCCAAACCAGTTTTCATATCTTTCCTATCTATTCTTTTGTGGTAAACACACCTAGCCCTTAGGACTGTGCCAACAATCATCTTTGTGTACCTGGTTAGAAATGTCAACTGGCAACCTTCTCCACAACAGCAATTTTACACTACGGAAGTACAAATTAAGAGGTCCTATTAGATGACCAGAACTAAGCCTTCTGTACCAGAAAAGCTCCCTATTATACCTAAAAGCAACCTGGTCTTTCTCAATTGTTAATAAATAGCATAATTTATTTTCTATTTGACTGTTGATGTTCTTGCTATTTTTTCTTCTATTTGTGTTGATGTTCTTGCTATTTTTTTCTTTTATTTCACTGTTGATGTTCTTGCTATTTTTTCTTCTATTTGACTGTTGATGCTCTTGCTGGTTTTATGGCTGGGAAATGAAAAAATTCTAGCGAGACAAATTCATCTGCAAATCTTAACAGCTATGATGTGAGTCTCACTATTTAATTCTGTATAAGGATAAACAGGTAAGGAAACAGTTACTAGGGAGTTAAGCAACTTAACCAAGGTTTCAAGTGAACAAAAACAAACCAAAAAAAAAGGAGGATTAGAGACGACAAACGATTTTCTGATATATATGAACTTCTTACCTCCCTGCCAAAAAAAACCACACAAATGTTATTAAGTTCCCTAATTTGCTTCAAAGTGGGCTTTAATTTTGTACTATAGAATAGGCTATTTTAAACTTGGCACACACAACGCTGCCTAGTAGATTAGACTATAAATATATGCCCACTCCATTCTATAGAAATCCTTCTACAGTGAAGGAAACAAACACAGCAGAACATAGCAAATTTCTGGGTTCCACTGTCTGCAAGTTTGGAACAACATGTCTTCTCTTTCAGTGCCCACTAAATTCTGGTGCTATCTGTCTGATTAGTGTTATAGTTATATAGTAATATGGGATTATAACTAAAAATACCCTATTTATTTTAAATTCCATGAATGTAAACTTGGATAGATAATTTAAAGTAATTTAAACACTTTTTAACTGTTAGAATTCTGTTTGAATTCAGTGAACAAAAATCTGACTTACAGTGGCCCTAATGAATAGATATTTATTGATCTTACATAGCAAGATGTCCAGATGTGGGCAGTAATGGGATGGTATAATTGCTCAAAGTGCCTTAGAAGAAAGATTTCATGAGTACTTCTTACTTTCCAATACTCCTTCCCTTCCAGGGCACATTGAAAACTGCAATTTCTCGCCCTCTTGCAGTTAGGCAGGTTCATGTAACTAGTTCAAGACAACAGAGTACGGGTAGAAGACATGCCACTTTCAAGTTAAGGCAGTGAAAAGCCCCTTTATGACTGTCTTGCTGTATCCACCTGCTTCCCTTAGAAGCCATGTTCTGTAACTGCACAGACAAAATAGCAACAGTCTAGGTGCCTGGGTCACTACTTAAAAGGCAGTTGCCCAAGAGAGGAGCCAACACTGCAACTCACTTTGTCTAACTGAGAAACACACCTTTGTTTACTAAGCCACTGAGATGCTGGAGTTAATTTGTTTCACTCCATTCCCTAGACCCTGACTGACTGATGCATGATGATGGCTTTCATTATCATTCTTGCAGTAAGATAATTGTTACACTTCTAGCCACATTTAGCACTTTTTAGGCAGAAAGGTAGGGGAGAAGGTGGAGGAGAAATAGCCAAAGGAATTTCTACCACGTATGCTTTTTAAAAATTTATCTCCAAGAGGGCAAAATCAGTGACTTGTACATAAATTCCACAGGCCATAACTCTTTCATATGGTCATTGTTGCTGCATGGGAGTGTTTAAAGGTAAATATATTTAACTGAATACTATTCCACCTCTAAAAAATCATTTGTTAGTAAAAAGGATGAGAAAATTGGTGGCATTAAGTAGTACATCAATAGTGTCTGCCATAATCCTGGTAGAATTTTTCTCACATAGTCACTGCTTTTGTGTGGGGGGAGGGGGTGAAAATACTTAAGATCTATCATCTTAGCAAATTGTAGTGAATATACAGTACAGTATTGTTAGTCATCATTACCATGCTGAACATTAGATTTCCAGAACATATTCATCTTGCATAAATGAAACTTTGTACTCTTTGACCAACAACTCCCAATTTTTTCCACCTCTGAACCCCGGCAACCACCATTCTACCCTGTACTTCTATGAGTTCAACTAGTTTAGATTCCAAATATAAGTGAGACCATGCTGTATTTGTCTTTCTGTGTCTAGCTTATTTCACTTAGCATAATGTACTCCAGATTCACCCATGAATAGTGATGCAATGAACAAGGGAGTATAGGTATCTCTTTAACATTTCATTTTATTTCCTGTGGATATACACTCAGATGTGAGATTGCTGGATCATATAGTAATTCTACTTACAATTTTTTGAGGAACCTCCATACTATTTACCATAAAGAGCATACCAATTTACATTTCCACCAACACTTACAAGAATGCCCCTTTTGTCCACATCCTGGCCAATACTAATCTTTTGTCCTTTATCTAATAGCCATTCTAACAGATGTGAGGTCATATCTTATTGTGGTTTTGACTTGCATTTCCCTGGTGAGTAGTGATGTCGAGTGCCTTTTCCTAAACTTCTTGATCATTGGTATGTCCTCACTTGGGAAATATCTGTTCAAGCGTTTTGCCCATTTAAAAAAAAATCACTTATTTGTTTTTGTTTTAGTTTTGCTACTGAGTTTTGAAAGTTTCTTATATATTTTGGATAGTAACCCTTTGCCAGACATATGGCTTGAAATATTTCTCCTCGTTCTGCAGCAGGGAGTTTCATTTTATTGATTATTCTCTTTGAGGTGCAGAAACTTCAGTTTGGTATAGTCCCAATTGTTTATTTTTGCCTGTGCTTTCAGTGTCATAGCCAAAAAAATCATTGCACATATCGAAGTCAAGAAGCTCTCTATGTTTTCTTCTAGTAGTTTTATGGTTTCAGGTCTTAGAGGTAAGTCTTTAATACATTTTGAGTTGATATTTGCATATGGTGTGAGATAAGGATCCAATTTCATTCTTCTTCGTGTAGATACATTTTTTTATATCACTTGTTGAAGAGATATTTCTTTCCCCATTGTGTGTTCTTGGCAACCTTGTCAAAGATCAGTTGAATGATGATTTGTAAATTGATTTTCTTGTCTATCTATTCTGTTCCATTGTCTGTTTTTATGGTAGTTATATTATTTTGATTACTGGATATTTGTAATATATTTTGCAATTAGAAAGCTTGATGCCTCCAGTTTTGTTCTTCTTGTTCAAATTGCTTTCAAACTAATTCTTTGAAGTGGAGTCTTTCAGGGATCCATATCAATTTTATGAATTTTTTTCCATGTCTGTAATAAAATTTGTTAGATTTTAATAGGGTTTGAATTGAATCTTTAGATCACTTTGGGTATTATGGGCATTTAAAAAATATTTGCTGTTTCAATTCATGAACTCAGGAGATCTTTTCATTTATCTGTGTCTTCTTTAATGTCCTTCATAAACATAATTTTAGTGTACAAATATTTAACCTCCTTGGTTAAGTTTATTCTTAAATATTTTATTATTTTATTGCTATTGTAAAGGAGATTTTTAAAAATTTCCTTATCATATGGTTTGTTGTTTCAATATAAAAATGTAACTAATTTTTGCATGTTGATTTTGTATTCTGCAACTTTACTGAATTTGTTTTTTCATTCTAACAGATAATTTTGGTGAGAACTTAGGGTTTTCTATGTATATAATCATATCATCTAAAGCATTAATTTTACTTCTTCTTATTTAGATGTTTTCTTTTTTTTCCTTATCTAATTGCTCTGTCAAGGACTTCCAGTACTTTGTGGGACAGGAGTAGTGCTAGTGGGCATCCTTGTATAAGATCTTAGAGGAAAAGTTCACTGTGTTTTTTTCATTTCCCCCATTGATTATGATGTTAGCTGTGGGTCTTTCATATATGGTCTTTATTTTGCTGAGGTAAATTTCTTCTATATCTGTTTTGTTTAGATATTTTAAATTACGAATGGATGCCCACTAATTTTCTTTGATCTCATCTACTACTACAGCATCAATTATAATTTCCAACAGTTATTCTCAGTCTCGCTTGAATTCTAAATATCTTCTACCAACAATTTCCCTTTTGGTAATCTTTCAGTAAGTGTGTACTCAAATAATCATTTTTTATATCCAATTCCACCTTTTCCTATACTCTTCATTTCATTTAAAATCAGGAAATTTCAAGACATGCCCAGTTTCTCCATGTTCTTTATCCTGTCTTACTTCTAGCTGATGAGCAAATTTCAAAGGCTTTTCAGTAAATCAAATTTAAATCATTCTGTTGGTCTTTAACCTGGGTACAACTTAATTGATTCTTGTTCTTATCATCACCCACGAACACTAAATTTTCAAGCTTCTGTGCTGGCATTCTTGCACACATTCACTCCATCCTTACTCAACAATAACAATGATTCTTACAACTCTAAGTCTGACTTTGTTACTGATCTATTTCAAATCATTATTCATACCCCCAAGGAAAAAAACCTTCAGAAAAAAAAATGCATTACTAAATATATCAAATTCATTATAATCAGGAAATCTCTCCCGAATTTTCCTTTTTATGAACCAAAGAACATGCACATTTATCCATATGAAATTTCTTTGCAATACTCTTTGAGATACTATTTGAGATTCAACATACTATTTCATCTTTTAGAGATTTTACAATTTATTTTTTCTATTGGGAGACACTTTTTCATGGAGCTGACTCGTTTCTGCACACCTGGTAAGTCAATACAGTGACTTTTTTTTCCGACTATCTTTTTAAGGATTTTTTAAAATTACAAACAGTTTTGAAATATGGAGTTCGTAAATTCTTTGATAAAAAGAGTAGGTTTCCTTATATCCTTGGGGAAGAGAGACAGTGATTCAGTCTAGAGGAATGAACAAGTAATTCTTACTGCTCACTAGAACTCATGGTTTCCTATAAGGCAACCCCCTGCACATGTAGGTGTAACCTGGTCCTCTTCATAACACCCTGTGGAAAATGGGATAAGAGAATGTAATAAAAACTTGAAGCTCATCCAGCTTGCTGTGCCATGATTAGTAAAATCCTGTGTTTCTGACTACAATGTGTCTCATGCTTTCTCCTGAATATTTGAAAATGTAGCAGCCTAACTTGTTAGTGGATAAGTAGGATACAAAAGTGACCTCTCACAATTCTTTTTTTTTTCAGTAAAAATATAGAAAATTTTAATGACAATAGTTTAACATAATGGGCATATATAGGACCTTTCACAATTCTTGACAGCATTCGCCTTCGGAAATGTTGCCTAATTTTAGTCCCTATGTTCCCCAGTCTTGTCATCCTAATTAATTACAGGCTTTGCTCTAAAATTTAGCTGAAATATATGTCCTCTTCGAAGACTGTCTTAAATCCTTGAAACAGTCTTGTCCTCCTATACTGATCCAAGTATATTGCGTACATGTCTCTCTGAATCTCTCATGAAATTTCTAATTTACACTTAACCTTTCTGCCAAATTGTGACTTTATTGCTAAATATTATCCTTGTTTTTGACAGTAGCTTCTATGTAGCAAGCACTAGATGACTCTTTAAGAAATTATTTGTAGAATATTATCTTAAATGTGCAGTCTCCAAAATAAGACTTAAAGCACACACAGAGACACACACACACACACACACACACGCCACCTTGCTTTCTGTTGATCTGTCATCACATATCTCTTTCCTACATGAACCAAACTTCATTCTCACTGTTTCTCTAAAATTGTAATGCATTATTAATTCCATCTTCTTAAGCAAGTTGCCTGTAATTATAATTGTCTTTCTAAAAAAGAAAATGCAACAGCTGCACCTACTCTGAAAATGGATCCTTGGAGAATGTAATTAAGTTATTTCAATTTGGAAACTGAATATTATCAAGAGCTATGGGATGTATAACCTTAAGACAGACCTTTCTACCAGGTTTTTAAATAGTATGTCATTTGCAGAAACCTAGATAACTAGGAAATTAGAATGTAAATTTTTTGCATACTCCAATCAGAGGCTTAGTCAATGGAATTATGTATCATATAATCTTACTTGCTATAGTTAGTTAGAATATTTGCTAGACCACAGAGCAAAGAAGGCTAGAGCCATGTGTTTACTACCTTTGTGACACTCTTTATAGCTTTATTTACTTTATTTTATGACCATGAAGTTTCCCTATAACCCACAACAGATATTGCACAACTGTGTTTCTTAAGTCACAAACTTAATCTCAAAAGAAACCCATTATACATTTGTACCCTCTCCAGTAAGGTTAATTTCAAGGGCATAAACTGTTTTCTACAGTTTATGGCTTCATACATAAAAACAGAATTATTTTATAATGGAAAACTATCTTCCAGGAGAATAAAAAATAAACATTATGTCGTATCCAGACAATTCAAAAAGTATGTTAAATATTGCATTTAAACATTTAGTAAAACTTATTAATTATAATTTATGATAATTTTTTGTAGGCTTTTGATAAGGACCTACATTTTCATGGCTAAAATGATCAATATATGGCTAAATGGTTGGTGCTGTATTATGCACTGTTTCTAAGCAAAATGTAGCCCAAGTGAATTTTATTTAATTGACATACCACTTAATGTTAATAACACTTGGGTAATACTGAAGATATTGCTAATAAAAATAGAAATCTCGTATTAAAAACAAATTTTAATAATCATATAGAACAATTGCCATTGACATCGTGAATCCCATATTGCCAATAATACAATTTTCTCTGTATAAGTCTTTTCAAAGAAAGGATCTTATTACCTCAGAAGAAATCATTTATTTGGGGGGAAAGCATTAATCATATTAAATGTCTGCTAATCTTAGTCAAATTCTCTCCTCTTATAATTTATAACTATTGGCCTTAATTTTTTCATCTATTCAAACAAGCTAAGTATGATCCTTCTTACATTACCTATACTTTCAACATCTGAAAAGATCTCATATAACCATCCTAAATGTTAAACTTTTGATGCTGAAGATCACTATGAAATAGCTTCAATATCTATATATGCAGTCAGAATTGTCAGGCTTAATGAGGCCTTGGCTAATTCATTTCTCATCAACATAGAAACATAGGCTTGCATATTTGAAAGAGTCTTATTGAAGATTAAGGGTGATGAAATATGCCTATATTATTCAGGGTAACTATTCTGTCTCAACCTATTTAAATGTTATCCAATATTATTAGAACACTTCAGACTGATAAATGTTGATATTGACCCTTATAGGAAAGCAAATAATAGATGAAAAAAAATTTGTAAAGTATGCTACTGTTATAAATAATAATATACTTAAAGAATGCACCAGTGATATCCTGCAAAGATAAAAATATTCTATTGGCAACATAAAAGCTGAATATGCTTGTAAATTATTCCACTTAGTCAAAGATAATTTAATAGACTAGGTGATTTAAAAAATTCAATCAAGCAGTCACAATTTCTCTCGTATCTTCAACTATTGTATTCCTACTGAGTAGTTTCACTAAAAGTTATCTTTGAAATGGAATTTAAGGAAAACAAGACACAACAAAAGTTATTAGTTTATGAAATGAACTGTAAATTCATGGAACTTTTTATTTGTGATATGGAAATAAGAGCATCGGAATAAAAACTGGTCCAATTAGAATTCAGGATACTCTAATGGATACTAGATAGATAGCAAAGTATCTACACAGATATATAGATTAAGAATTTGCATAGACACAATTATCCTTTTGAAGTTGATAGCTTGTCATTACACTTGTTCATAATACATCTTTTGCTGCCACTGTCAAGGGCAAATTTGTGAACTGATCATAACATTGGTCTAATCCCTTATAATTTATATTCTGAATGAACTTAAATAATAAATTAAAGAAAGAGGGTAATGCCATAATACCCAGAACAGCAACATTAAAAAGTCCTTCAGTTAGAGGCAGTTTACAATCATAAAATACAAACTTTTATTTGATTAAATCTATAGTAGTACAAGAAAAATGTGATTAATGTAAAACCCAGAAATATTAAATCTCTTAATTAAGATTACCCAGTAATTTAGACATAGAGCTATCACATTATACATATTAGAATGCTTTTTCTTCATAAAAACATGACATTTTTAATATAACCTTTTTATAAATAAAAGTAAAGCAAATTTTAGCTCATTAAAGCATATCCTCAGGTACAAGGGTAAAATGGATTCCAAATAGAAGGATGGCAAAAGAACTATAAAACTATGGTTACAATAATGTAGGCAATATTTTATTGTATGGTAAAGTCAAGGTAAACAATTTATAACTATAATGTCACTGGAAGCACAAAGATACTAAACTTTTAAAAATTCAAGTAATAATTCATCATATTATTTATCACAAGATGGTTTGAAAACACTGTTATACTATTCCTGAAGTGACATTATAGAGATGGAGAAGGTTGCCAGGTATTAGGGAGACAAAAGGAAGAGAAGTGGCTGTGGCTATAGAAGGGTAATATGAGGGATCATTGTGATGGACTTGTTCTGTTTTGAGCATGGTGGTGGTTACAAGTCCACAAGTGTGATAAAATTACACAGAATTAAATATATATACACATACACACGAGTGCATATAAAACTGGTGAAATCTGAATAATTTTGATGGATTCTATAAATTTCCTGACTGTGATATCATACTATAGTTATTCAAAAAGTTACTATTAGGAAAACTGTCAGGAAAGGCTTACCGGATCTCTGGATGATTTCTTCCAACTAAATGTAATCTTAAATTACCTCAAAATAAAAGATAAAATGTAAAAACACTCTAAAAAGTTACTAAAAGCAAAAAAAAAATAAAATTAAAGTTTAAAAACAGTTATAAAAAAACCATTATGCTAGCAAATTTATATAAAAAGCTCTAAGAATGTCAGTGGCTCACGCCTGTAATCCCAGCACTTTGGGAGGCCGAAACGGGTGGATCACCTGAAGTTAGGAGTTCCAGACAAGCCTGATCAACATGGCGAAACCCCATCTCTACTAAAAATACAAAGATTAGCCGGGTGTGGTGGCATGCACCTGTAATCCCAGCTACTAGCAGGGGCTGAGACAGGAGAATCGCTTGAACCTGGGAGGCAGAGGTTGCAGTGAGCCGAGATCGCATCACTGGACTCCAGCCTGGGTGACAGAGCAAGACTCTTGTCTCAAAACAAAAACAAAAACAAAACTCTAAGATACACTTCCAATTGAAGGAAGCTAACATTCAAGGTTTAAAATAGGAGCATAATTGATCTCAAAATTATATGGCTTTTTAAGGAAGAGGATTATTTCTAATGAAACAGTATGAAAATGAAACATTAATTGGTTTATACAGCATGTTTAAAGAAAATAAGTAGATTGCTTTGATCCCAGTCAAGTGATCTTATAGTATAGGAAAATTAAATCAAATTAAATTTTAGAAATTAAATGTAAACAAAAGCATGAAAAGACATTTCTTTACTTATCAATAATAACTCAATGAGTTAAAAACTATCTATTCACATGAGTATACCCAGGGCAAGGGAAGAACATCCTGGCAAAATCAGGCTAAACAACAAATTATATTCAATGCTGGCATAAGATGCCATTTACAGTCACACAGGCTGTGTACTGTACAACACTCAGGAATGTCATTTATGCAGACTATCATATTATTGGACACTCCTGAAATTGTACATTGTGTCACCTGCACAGCTGTACTGAGTGGTTCTGGGGAATAGGAGATATGCTATTTATTTATTTATTATTTAATTTTGCTTATGCTACTGAGATCCCGTTAAGACAAATTAGAGATCAAACAGAAAGATTAAATGTTTTCTTATGGCATACAAAATGATGAACACCCAATGTCATGTATGCCACTTCCATTGGGAAAATAACTTCAATTTAGTAAATTAAACATGAAACACGTTCTATGCTCTAAAATACTGTTACATTAAAGGAAATTAGAAGCTGATCAAATGAAAGCTCAGACTACCTCTCAATAAAATACATGAACATAAAATTTCAATTGTATCATGACTTTATTTGGACTTATCTTAGTCATTTTGCTCTTACATAAATTTGGGGGGTTTAATAGGGTCACATCTTCTGGTTAATTTTTGAACACCCACATGAGCTTTTAATGAAGGTAGAAATCTTCAGTATAAAGTCCATTTATTTTCCTCCTTGAGGAAAATTAGTTTGAAAATATTGCCAGTTACCTAAAGGAACTGCATCATTTTCATATTCTATTCACAGAGTAATAGCTGCACAGAGTCCTCCTAAGAATCCCATCTGCATGTAAATGCCGCAGAAAGCAGTCCTCACAAAATACCTTCAAAGCTAGACAATTACATTTAGAGAACGCAGCCAGGGCTCCTGGAGCAAAGTATACTGGGAAGGTTAGAGTCCTAGTTAATATGTACCTGATAATTTATGAAACATTCAAGATTATTGAAGCAACACCTGTTTAAAAAAAAGATGTTTGCTTCACAGACAGAATATGTTTTCTCTTTGAGCAAAGATTATTATTATAAGATTTAAGCAACCCTGACCCAGAAAAAATATATTTGAATACATTCTTTTGCCATTCACCTTTTAAAGAGTAATTATTATCTCTAATTATCCTAACTTACTCTTCTAAATAAAATAGTAAAATCGAGCAGATGATTGAGATAGTATAATCAATTTGGGATTTCTCAGAATAAATGTCATTGTTCAATACATAATGGTAGAAAAATGTAGATGGAAAATACATTCCTAGCAAATTCTAAGATTGGCAAATTAAAGATTCTTATCTTAATACAAAATCTACATTAATACTTCTACCAAAGATATTCTTATTTCCCAAATGAACTTGCTGGCAATAGTGAGACAATGACTGGAACAATTTTCCCTAGTATCACACTTTGATTTTTTTTTCAACTCAGCTTCATTACATTTTATCTTCCTAAGTAAAGAGAATATTATATATAGCTGCTATCAAAATTTAACAAAGACTGCATCTGAGGTTGCATCATGAGTTTCAGGGATTTGGTGACCTTATTAGAGAAAAATGAAGACTTTTTGAGTGCTAGGACTGAAACCTCAGTCTTCTTGTAGAAACTTAGATCAGGACAAATCATGTAGACATGATACAGATAAGGAAAGGCACACTAGAAGAACAAAACCTAAATCTTTGACTGTTGAAGTTAAAATTCAGAAATGTTTTTTTCGTTTGATGCTATATTTTTGGAGTTCTTTGAGAAGTCACAGAAACCAGTGCTTCTGTGTTCAGTTATAATATTCTGACTTCTTGATTACTTGAAATAAGACATTCCTGTTTAAGTGCACTGTTGCAATAAAATACGCAAAGTCATATAAGCAAGATGTTAAAGTCGTTTTCAACTTATAATACATAGCCTTGGTATTTTTAAATGTTTGTTTGTTTGTTTGTTTTTCTCTCCACATTTCTCCACTTCTAAGTTGAGATGCTCTTTTTCTGAACTTGCATGGCACCTTCTGCCTCAGTTTTTGGAATTTTCACTCATCTCTCTCTTAGGGGAAGGACAGAGGATTGTTTGTTTGTTTGTTTGTTTTTATTTAGCCGTTAACATGTTCTCTGGAACATATACTGAGTGATGTTTGATGAGTAGATGGTTTTCAGCACTTCTTAAATAAAACAAAACACTTTGTCAATCCACTCAACTATACACATGGGAAGACTGCACTAAAATCCCATGACAGGTAAGTAATTAAATTATTTTACATCTCTCTTTCTTAATTGAGTAATGTCCATAAAAACAATTTTTATGCTTTTCACTACTTGAAAGTGGCATTAATATAAACTACACCTTGTGGATGTAACTACTGAAGCTATGAATTCAATAATTATTTCAATTCATAAATATTCATTATGAGCCTACCACAGACGAAGCACTATGCTAGGCACAGAAAATTGACATATAATGAATAATTTTATTTGCCTTTGAGGAGTTATCTATCTAACAGAGGAGATAGACAAAAATATCTCCCTAATGCAATATGATGAGTACAATAATAGAGGTGTGTGCAAAATATAATGGAAACCCAAATAAGGAAGTCATTCATTTTTCAGGCACAATAAGATTTTCTACTACTATGAATATTTTCATTACAAAAAGCACAGAGTCAGTGAAAAATTACGTTTGTTCATGAAGTTTACAGAAGGCTTATTTCCCTAGGTGTAGTTTCTAACCAGAGAAACCAAATTTGACTGAAATAAATAATGCAGACCATATGAATGTATTTCCTTCAGTTCTACTTAAGTAAGATTCAACACAATAAAAACTCACGATATTTTTACATTCTCGATATCAGCTATTTTCATGTATGCCATTATTCCTGTTATTTTGAAGCAATGAAAGACAAAATGAGCAAAAACTGCTATATCTTCTAGTTCTCTGTTAGATAGAATTGGAAATTTAAATTTTATTTCTCCCAAATCATCTTCCATATCTAATATGAAAACATAGTAACAACATCATATTTTAATTTTATATTGTTCTTCTTTGAATACTTGGAAAAATAATGTACAGGATATTAAAAAGTTTAGCTATTACCTTAAATGTACTGTGAAAATGTAAGAAATTACTGCAAATTTTATTAATTAGGCTCCTAAAGATGCCATAACAAAATATCACAAATTGGGTGGCTTTAAATAATAGAATTTTATTTTTTCATGTTTCCGGATACCATAATCTCAAAATCAAGGTTTCTACAGATCCATGTTCACTGTGAAGCCTCTGTAGAATAAACTTTCTTGGCTCTTCCTAGCTTCTGGTGGTAGTTGACAAATTCTCAGTGTTCCTTGGCTTGGAGGTGTGTCATTTCAATCTCTACCAGAATCATCAAATGGTTTTCACCCCTGTGTCTTTGTTGGGACTCCCCCACTGCTGGAAAAAGGTAAGCAGAAGATCCTCAGCAGTCCACATTCCCACAATATACACCTGCAGTACTAGCTAGAGGAAAGCCCCCTCAGCACCCCGATACCCTGAGTATAGGGAGTTACCTGGAGTCTCTTGTGACTGCGTTGTTCCAGAGAGTTCACGCTGGGTCTCTCCCGCCTTCTAGGACCCAAGCTGCTACAGCATGGTATCATTTTGAGAGCAGAGCCACCATCACACTACATCTTGCCCTGGGGCTTGATACTCCCCGCATCTCAAAAATCCCTGGGACTCTGCAGATTTCTCCCCAAACCAATCCAAATGGTTGCAGCAACATGTCACAAGCTTGACCCAGCAGTATAGCTGTAACCTAGCACCTCAGACCACATAGTACCCCTATACCTCTAGGAAATTAGGCAGCTGAGCACAACAGGGTGGCTCACCTCCAGATAATATGAGGCAAAGCAAAAACTCCCCAGATCCTGAGAGCCACGTACCCGGACCTGCAGCTGCCAGCAAGAACATCAATTCCTCTAGCAGGGAAGCCACTATGCATCCATGCATGCCCTCTGGGGATCTGAGAACTGGCCCACCTGGACAATCACTCCCACCCTGACCATCACTATGTGCCACTCACCATCCCAAGGACTAGCCTGCTGGGGCCCACTGCAAGCACCACTGATGCCCTTGTGTTCTGCCAGGGGCCCAAGGACTGCTCTACCTAGGACCTGTTGCTACTGCATGCCAAACCCACCCTCTTCAGCAATGGGGCAGCTGTGCCTTTGCCTGCTACCCAGGAGTGTGAGGATAGACCCACCTGGGGCCCATCACCCCCACTGCTGGTCCTGTGCATACCCCCGATCAGCTTGTCCACTGTCCCTGTTCCCAGCAAAGCTGCATCCAGTCTCCACAAATAAATGCATTCTAACCTACTCAGGAACTCACAGATATCACTGAAATTGATTACAGCTAAGTAAATCATACAAAGATTATACAACTGTGCCCAATCAGAACCAAAACCAAAGCACTCTGTCCAACAGATACTATAGATAAATCTACAGAAAAAAAACTTTGCCCTATAAATCTACTCCACAAAATTGGAAGAAGTGTGTACACCAGGTACACAGATATCAATATAGGGTCATAAGAAACATGAGAAAAACAAAAAAGGAAATTTGACACCTCCAAAGAAAAGGAAATCTATAAAATTCATGAAAAGGAAATCAAAATAATAATTTTAAGGAAACTCAGTGAGAAGCAAGAAAACACAGACAATTTTTAAAAATCAGGAAAACAATTCTTAATCTGAATGAGAAATTCAACAGAGATATCATGTAAAGGAACAAAACAGATATCCTATAGTTGAGAAATACAATGAATAAAATTAAAAAATACAATTGAGTGTCAACAATAGATTAGATCAAGCAGGAGAAAAAATTTCTGAACTTAAAGACAAGTCTTTTGAAATAACACACTCAGACAAAAAAAATTACAAGAAAATGAATAAAGCCTACATGATATATGAGACACTATTAAGCAAACAAATATTCACCTTTTGGGAGTTCTAGAAGAAGATACGGGAGAAGGCACAGAAAATCTATTTAATGAAATAATAGCTGAAAACGTCCCATGTCTTAGGAGAGAACTAGACATCCAGATCTAGGAAGCAGATAGATCCCCAAACTGATTAAAGTGATAGATTTTGGCAGTTTGAATACAATGTGCCTTGAAGAGGACCACAGAAATGAAATATTTCTCTTCAAGGCACACTATATTGAAACTGCCAAAATCAAAGACAAAGAGAGAATTCTAAAACAGCAAGAGAAAAATGTCAAGTCACATATAAGGGAATGCTCATTAGACTAATAGATTTCTCAGCAGGAACCTTATAAGCCGGGAGAGAATGAGATGATATATTCAAAGTGCTGAAAATAATAATAAAAAAGCTGTAAGAAAACTACCTAGCAAAGCTAGGTAGCTTAAGTTCTTAAGCTATGCTTAAGAAATGAAGAAGAAATATGGTCTTTCCCAAGCAAGCAGAAACTCAGGAAATTCATCACCCCTATAATGGTCTTACAATAAATGTGTAAGGGAGTCTTATATCTGGAAGTAAGGTACAATATCTACCATCATGAAAACAAACAAAAGTATACAACTCACTGGTATAAAAGATATACAAATGAGAAAAAATATAAATAGTAAGAGAGGAAGAAACAAATAATATACAAAACAATAAGAAAACAACAAAATAACAAGAGTAGATCTCACCTATCTACAACTTTGGATGTAAACAATTTAAAATTTTCAATTGAAAGGTAGAGGGAGGATCACTTGAGCCCAGGAGTTCAAGGTCAGCCTGTGCAATGTGGTCAGACTCTGTCTCTATAAAACATTTAAAAATTAGCTGGGTGGCATGGTGGAATGTGCCTGTAGCCCCAGTTACTCAGAAGGCTGATACAGGAGAATCACTTGAGGCAAGAAGTTGAGGTGGCAGTGAGCTATGTTTGTGCCTTTGCCCTCCAGTCTGGACAACAGAGCAAGATCTTTCCTTGAAAAAAATAATAATAAAGGAAAATTTTAAAAATAAAATGATATAGACTGGCTAACGAATAAAAAACAAGACACAAGTATATGTAGCCTAGAAAACTCTTTTCTCTTATAAAGTCACACAAAGATTTAAAATGAAGGAATTCGCCAAGGAAAGGAAATAAAAGGCATCCAAATTACAAAAGAGAAAGCCAAATTATCCTTGTTTGCAGATGTCATGATCTTATATCTAGAGAAATGTAGACTCTACCAAATGCTTTTAAAACTGATAAAAAAATTAGTAAAGTTTCAGGATACAAAAACCAACCTACAAAAATCAGCAGTATTTCTATTCACTAATAGCAAACTAGTTAAAAATAAGTCAAGAAAGAAATCCCATTTGTAATAGGCGCAAAAAAATAAAATAATTAGGAAGAAATTTAACCAATTAGGTGAAAGATCTCTACAATAAAAACTAAAATGTATTGATAAAGAAATTGAAGATGACATAAACAAATGGAAAGGTATCCCATGCTCATGGATTGGAAAAATTAAACATGCTAAAATGACCATACAACCTGAAGGAATATACAGATTCAATGGAATCTCTATCAAAATACCAATGACATTCTAAATATAAAAAATATAAAAAAATTCTAAAATTTGAATGGAACCAAAAAAAAAAAAAAAACCCATGAATATCCAAAGCAATACTAAGAAAAAAGAAAAAAATCCATGGACATCACACTACCTGTTTTCAAAATATAGTACAAAACTATAGTAAGTAAACCAGCATGGCATTGGTATGAAAGCAGATACGTAGATCAATAAAACATAATAGAGAACCTGAAAATAGATACACATATTTACAGCCAACTGATTTTTGACAAAGATGTCAAAAACATACACTGGGGACAGAACCCCCTCTTCAATAAATAGTATTAAGAAAATTGGATATTCATATGCAGAAGAATATAATTAGACCCATATCTCTCTCTATTTAAAAAAAAGATCAATTTAAAATGGATTAAAGACTTAAATGTGTAAGACCAGAAACTATAAAACTACTAGAAGAATGCATACGAAACACACTTGAGGACATTGGTCTGTACAAATATTTTATGATTACAAAATAAACAAATGAGACTCTATTAAACTAAAGAGCTTTGGCTAGCAAAGGAAACAATCAACAGAGTGAAGAGACAACCTGCAAAGTGGGAGAAAATATTTTAAAACTATTTATCCACAAAGGACTAATATTCAGAATATACAAAAAATTCAAACAACTCAGCCAAAAAAAAACCACCCACAAATAATTCAGTTAAAAGGGGGGCAAAGATCTAAATAGGTGCTTGAGAAAAGGAAAGTCATACAATTTTGGTGGGAATGTAAATCACTATAGCCATTATAAAAAACGGTATGAAGTTTCTCAAAAAACTAAACTAAAACTACCATATGATCCAGCAATCCCACTATTGAATAGTTATACAAAGGAAATTAAATAAGTATATCAAACAGATATCTGCATCTTCATGTGTACTGCAGCACTATTCACAGTAACTAAGATTTGGAATCAACCTAAATGCCCATTGATGCATGAGTGGATAAAGAAAAGGTGGTATATATGCACAATGGAATAGTATTCAGCCATAAAAAAGAATGAAATCCTGTCATTAATGGCAACATGTATGAACCTAAAGAACATTATTTTAAGTGAAATGTCACCCATGGAAAGTTAAATACTACATTTTCTCACTTATATGTGGGAGCTAAAAAAAATGGTGCTCATAGATGTAGAGTAATTTTATGGTTATCAGAGGCTGAGAAGTGTAAGAGGAGAGTGCTAGAGAGAGGTTAGTTAATGAATATGAAATTACATCTACTTCCCAGAAATAAATTCTAGTGTTCTAGAACAATAGAGGATGAATATAGTTAACAATAATTCATTGTGTCTGTTCAAAAAGCTAGAAGAAAGGATTTTGAATGTTCCCAATAAAAAGAGCCAACCGGCTGGGTGCAGTGGCTCATGCCTGTAATCCCAGCACTTCGGGAGGCCGAGGCAGGTGGATCACGAGGTCAGGAGATGGAGGCCATACTGGCTAACATGGTGAAACCCCATATCTACTAAAAATAAACACACACACACAAAAATTAGCCAGGCGTGGGTGGCGGGCGACTGTAGTCCCAGCTACTCGGGAGGCTGAGGCAGGAGAATGGAGTGTACCTGGGAGGCGGAGCTTGAAGTGAGCCGAGATCGCGCCACTGCACTCCAGCCTGGGCAACAAAGCGAGACTCCGTCAAAAAAAAAAAAAAAGAGCCAACCAACCAGTACATCAAAAATTCCTGATAACGCCCCATCCTGTAATGTTCCATCAATCAATCTATAGAAATAGAGAATAAATTCTAACACTATAAACCATGACGTTTTGTAATTTATCATTCCAATAGGTTATAAATTGAACCTGTAGAAGTAGGAAGTCACCAATAAATTTGACTTGTAGAAGTAGAAAGTGTGAAAAATAACAATTCTTCATAAACAATATGACAGAGGCAAAATAAATTCAAAATATATTCAAAATATATTATTGGGAGCTTTTGACTTGTGTAATTCTAATTTATTTTGTTAAATATTAAGAAAATATATCATAAATATTTGTAATATATCTTGCATTTCATCAGGCATATCTACTGAGTATAACAGTGCTGAGTTTGGCTTTACGTATGCTAATTAAGAATATGAGCATTTGCAAAAGACATTGAAAGAATAGGGGTTTATTTTTAAAGTATGATATTTTATTGGTTTTTCTTGAGTTATATTCTAATCCTCTTTAGCAAATTGGTACTATGATCTGTATTTTCCTTGAAAATTGAGTTTTCAGTTTAAATCAGTGTCCTATTGAGGACGTTCATTTTCTCAATCAAAGATCTTTAATAACTTAAAAATTTAATATATGTGGCTTTACTTCTTTGTGTGTTTTCCAACAAGGCAAAGTGTAACCTAGGTGTCAGCTAAGTCATCTCTTTTAATATCTGAATATGTTTTGTTGGAACCGCATCGCATAGCAAATGAAAGACACCTGATTCTCTCTCTCTCACACTTCTGCAAATTCCTAGGAGTTTATTTTTTTAAGAGTCATTTTCCACTCCAAATTTCTCTTTGACTACTCTTGATCTCACTCATGTTTCATTTCCTATGGTTGTTTTTGTCTTTCTAAAGGACCCACCACAAACCACATACGTGGAAAGTGGCATCTTTTTTATGAATCCACCAACTTCTTATTCAGAAGATTAACTTGGGTAGGAAGAATCAATATCGTGAAAATGGCCATATTGCCCAAGGTAATTTACAGATTCAATGCCATCCCCATCAAGCTACCAATGACTTTCTTCACAGAATTGGAAAAAACTACTTTAAAGTTCATATGGAACCAAAAAAGAGCCCGCATCACCAAGTCAATCCTAAGCCAAAAGAACAAAGCTGGAGGCATCATGCTACCTGACTTCAAACTACACTACAAGGCTACAGTAACCAAAACAGCATGGTACTGGTAACAAAACAGAGATATAGATCAATGGAACAGAACAGAGCCCTCAGAAATAATGCCGCATATCTACAACTATCTGATCTTTGACAAACCTGACAAAAACAAGAAATGGGGAAAGGATTCCCTATTTAATAAATGGTGCTGGGAAAACTGGCTAGCCATATGTAGAAAGCTGAAACTGGATCCCTTCCTTACACCTTATACAAAAATTAATTCAAGATGGATTAAAGACTTAAATTTTAGACCTAAAACCATAAAAACCCTAGAAGAAAACCTAGGCAATACCATTCAGGACATAGGCATGTGCAGGGACTTCATGTCTAAAACACCAAAAGCAATGGCAACAAAAGCCAAAATTGACAAATGGGATCTAATTAAACTAAAGAGCTTCTGCACAGCAAATAAAAACTACCATCAGAGTGAACAGGCAACCTACAAAATGGGAGAAAATTTTCGCAACCTACTCATCTGACAAAGGGCTAATATCCAGAATCTACAATGAACTCAAACAAATTTACAAGAAAAAAACAAACAACCCCATCAAAAAGTGGGCCAAGGACATGAACAGACACTTCTCAAAAGAAGACATTTGTGCAGCCAAAAAACACATGAAAAAATGCTCACCATCACTGGCCATCAGAGAAATGCAAATCAAAACCACAATGAGATACCATCTCACACCAGTTAGAATGGCAATCATTAAAAAGTCAGGAAACAACAGGTTCTGGAGAGGATGTGGAGAAATAGGAACACTTTTACACTGTTGGTGGGACTGTAAACTAGTTCAACCATTGTGGAAGTCAGTGTGGCAATTCCTCAGGGATCTAGAACTGGAAATACCATTTGACCCAGCCATCCCATTACTGGGTATATACCCAAAGGACTATAAATCATGTTGCTATAAAGACACATGCACACGTATGTTTATTGTGGCACTATTCACAATAGCAAAGACTTGGAACCAACCCAAATGTCCAACAATGATAGACTGGATTAAGAAAATGTGGCACATATACACCATGGAATACTATGCAGCCATAAAAAAGGATAAGTTCATGTCCTTTGTAGGGACATGGATGAAGCTGGAAATCATCATTCTCAGTAAACTATCCCAAGGACAAAAAACGAAACACCGCATGTTCTCACTCATAGGTGGGAATTGAACAATGAGAACACATGGACACAAGAAGGGGAACATCACACTCTGGGGACTGCTGTGGGGTGGGGGGAGGGGGGAGGGATAGCATTAGGAGATATACCTAATGCTAAATGACTAGTTAATGGGTGCAGCACACCAGTATGGCACATGTATACATATGTAACTAACCTGCACACTGTGCACATGTACCCTAAAACTTAAAGTATAATAATAAAAAAATAAAATAAATAAAGATGTATACAAACAATTCCTCCAGCAAACTGGGATTAAGGATTACATTCTACACCAGCAAAGAATACACCTGAATATTGAACATTAAACACATATTTTTCTTCAAACTTTCTGAGTCATGACTCTGTCAGAGAATTTCTCTTTTTTTCGTGTTCTTTCTTTTTTTTCTTTTGGAGATAGGGTCTTGCTATGTAGCCCAGGCTGGAGTACCATGGCAGTGAACCATGGACTAAAGCAATCTTCACTGAAGGAATTCCCTGATGTACTACTTTTCTTTTCAACTTCCTCCACTCTCCTCTTTCAATACATAATTTTCATTCAACATCACTCTTGGTTTTCCTCTTTTCTTTTGTATTATTTGCAGATAATGTTATTCCTGGAACAATGGAAGAATCTCACTACTAGCCAATCTGTTCTATGCCAAAGGGTGTCATTTTTAGCCAATCACTTAACAAAGGCAATTGTTCTTCAAGAGGAATTCTAAGGTAGCTATTTTTTTCTATTTTCCACAAAATAATTTAAATACAAGTCATAGTACTAATTTAGAACATAAATCATATTATCTAAGACATAGAGTTAACAATACATTGAATAATGACACGTCATCTTCTATATAGCAGAATAAATATGTAATTATCTTGTTAAATACATGGAAGAAAAACCCTGAAATTTTTTATTGCAAGAGAGATAATAAAGGGATATTAATTTTTTAAATACCCATTATTTTGAAATATAGAAGATGCTGAATCTCATTAAAATCATCTGGTTTTATGGACTATAGTGCAAATAAGGCAAGTATAGTGCAAGTCTTCACTTGTCTTCCTTTATCACTTGTGTCACTTGCCTTTCTTTATCATGCCCTTTGTTATTGGACTTTGCAGCTCCTCCCAAGAGTCTGTCTGCTTTCTCGAGAACTGAAAATTCCATATCATCTTATAAGGTCTGATATCCTACTGTTCTATGCTTAATCTGGAAAACAAACAAAGCGAAAAATAAAATAAAATAAAAAAGAAAGCACCTGCCTTTTGACTAACCATGATGACTGTTGGTTGACTAACCATTATCCCGTTTTGTAGAATAATATAGGGAGGTATGTTGAACAGAAAATGAGTGTTCAGAAAAAAAAAGTTAAAGTCATTGTAGCAGAGAAAGTCATTGTAGAAGGGACCAGTGAGTTTAAAAGGAAGTTTTAATGTTTCGCTTTTATGCTTTTTTTGTATGAAAATGATCCTATATGAATTGGCTACTTATTTTTAAATCCATGCCATCAAAGGATTTTGGGGCTAAAATATTTGCCTGTAAGCATTTACTAGATAAGAGAAATTAGTCAAGTTAGGCATAGGCTAGTTTCATGAAAAAGATGCTAATGGAGGGGAGTTGCAGAGGTGACTTTCAAAAGTAATGCCTAAATCAAGAAATTATATTTTGATGATCTGAATTATTAAAAGTATTCAGAAAATTGTCTTATTAAGATGAAAAAATTTGAAATATTTGTTTATTTAAAAATGTAAGCTATTTGCATATTAGAAACAAATATACCAGTATAAGATAAGTTCTCAATTATTAAAACCTTACATTCTCTAATATTTTAGAAAATTGTAGGTTCTCTGTTACAATTTGTTTCTTTCTACACAAACTGACAAGAATAAATTGTTTATACAGACTTATGAATAAAATTTATGGATAAAATTAATGTGCTTAGAAGAGGCAAACTGCTTTGGAAGCCCCTTTCTTCCCCATCCACACTGTGCTTTGCCAACATCTTCAATCTCCTCCTCCATTGTCCTAATATTCCATGGCCCAGCAATGCTGTTGCCTGTCTTGTTATGCTTACATATAAGTTAACAAGCCTGCTGTAGAAAAATTATGCAAGCTTATAATTGTTTCTCTTACAAACATATGTTGTGAAATCTCAACCCTATTCAAAATACTGCCCAGCAATCCTTTGATTCCCACCCCCTTTTTCTCACATTCTCCAGAGAAAGTATTTCAAATAAATCTCACTCTGCTAAAATATCCTAACCTACCACCTCTCCTCACTTTCAGGACATGATTTTGCCTCTTTCTTAAGAAAGAAATTAGAAACTATTAGAAAAAAATACATAGAGAGAGTTCAATTTCTGGTCACTGCACTTATAAACTTAAATGAGATATATCTATCTTTTTATACTTTGCTCTTATCAAAATGAAAAAGGTGTTTCCTCTTGGCTAGGACTAAGTAATAGGTTAATAAATTACAGAAAAAAAAATATGCCAAGCATTAGAAATTATGATTAAATTAAAAATAGGTGAAAGGAGTAAGCAAGAGGAACTTTGGAGTTTAGTGTCAAAGTTGTAGGGGCTCTGAGCAATGCTCATGAAAGTATTTATTAAAGTAGAGCAAAGGTAAGACTGGTCTGATAGAATGAATTAGGAGGTATTCCCTCCTCTTCTATTTTTCAGAATAGTTTGAATAGTATTAGCATTAGTTCTCCTTTAAATGTTTGGTAGAATTCTGCACTGAAGCCATTGACTCCCAGGCTTTTCTTTACTGGAAAACTTTTTATTATATCTTTGATCTCATTACTTGTTATTGGTCTGTTCGGGCTTTGGATTTCTTTATGGCTCAGTCTTGGTAGGTTGTATGTGTCTAGTAATTTAACAGTTTCTTCTAGATTTTCCAATTTATTGGCATATAGTTAATCACAGCAGCCACTGATGATTTTTTGAGTTTCTGCCGTATCAATTATAATGTTTTCTTTTTCATCTCTGATTTTACTTATGTGTATCTGCTCTCCATCTCTCTCTCTCTCTTTTACTTTAGTCTGGTTAAAACTTTGCCAATTTTGTTTAATCTTTTCAAAAAAACAACTTTTTGTTTTACTATCTTTTATATTGTTCTCTTTATTTCTATTTCATTTATTTCTGCTCTTATCTTTATTATTGCTTTTCTATTAATTTTGAGTTTGGTTTGCTCTTGCTTTCATAGTTCTTTAAGATGCATCATGGGTGTTTTATTTGAAGTTTTTCTTTTTTGATGTAGGCACTTGTAGCTATAAACTTTCCTCTTAGTACTGCTTTTTCTGTATCACATAGGTTTTGTATACCCATATATGTGGTATCTATACCTTATTTGTGGTATCTATTTTTGGCAATAAAGATCATACACTCTGTGATATTCAATCACCCATTCCCCTGACTCTAGTCTTTGATAAACAGTCTTTGTCCTTTTATTCCCATATGTAGAGCTTCGAAATCAATTAAGTTCCTTACAACCTCTGACATAAAGCAGTCTCCTAAATGGCCTATTAATCTTCACTTTCTTCATCTGTCTCACTTTTTAGTTATTGTATTTTTTTCCTCCTGCCTTTCACAGGCAGATTATCAAAGGAAAGTTTACTTTCTACTACTGTATCTATCTGTGCCAGTATAGACATAAACATAAACACACACATATTTCTATAATATGTAAAATACTAGTGAGTATTCATTATACACATTTTTCCTACAGGGATTGCATCAATAAAAACCATGTATCAGAGATTGCTAGTTATCCTCTAACACCTTTTCTCCTTTTCTTTCCTAAAAATGGGATTTTAGCTGGGCAATAACTAGCTAGAATAAGGATTGCTTTCCCCTGAGTCCCTAACAGCCAAATAGCCATGTAATTAGATTTTGGCCAATGGGATATAAGCAGAAATAGGAGAAAATGAAATAGAAAATGTAGGTCAGCAACTAAAACTTTGTTTAAGAGGTAGCTGATGACTGCCATTTGGGTTTTCCTTTTCCTTGTTCTTCTTCCTACCGTTTGAAGTGTAACTTAATGGCTCAACTTGAACAAGATATGATCTTGGGAATGAAAGTAACCTACAAGTAGAACAGTCAAATAAATGGATCCTGAGTGTTTGATACTAGGTGGTGGTGGTGCGGTTCCCATAAATGCCTACCTCCAGAAACCTGCATTAAAAACAAACAAACGAACAAAAACAAAACACAAACAACTTGTGTCTTGTTTTAGCCTCTTGGTTTTTGTTTGCATTTTGCTTATATTTTCTTTTATTCATAGTTAAACCTAATCCAAACTAATTTATGTAACTTCAGTCAAATCAAGTACAACCATTGGAAAAAACATGTAAAAGCAGATTATCAATGATGTCAAATTATATGTGGAACAAAAATTATTTATACATTTCACAAATGTATGTAAAATAAGTATAGTGTGAAATGTTCAGGGCTAGGCATTCTGTTTATTTTGAGATCCAAGTTCTCATTAAGATCCTGTTATTTGAGCAAAGATATGTGTACAGATAGAAACAAAGCAAGAGAGAAAGTAATCTGGAAGGAGAAAAATCACAAAATCTTTAGATTGTTGAAGTCACAGGAAATTATGCATTCCAAAGTAGGGTGAACAGAAACAAAAGATGAGAAAAAAGCTGGGTAGATGCCATCATATACAGAATGGATGATGGAAGAAAAAAGAAAAGAAAAAGTCTGAAAGGATATAGTCAGTGAGTAATAGAAAAAGATACAAGAAAGAAAAGACATCCCAGTGAATAAGAATGAAGGATGTTCTGGAAAAGAGGTAATAATCAACAAAGTCAAATGTTGCAGATAAATCAAGTGAGATAAGTATTAAATTAGGAACTAAGAAGTTATTGCTCATTTTGTAAAAGACAGTTCCAGAGAAATGATGGGTAAGCTAGTTTAATAGTAATCGATTAGGGAGCAAAAATTGATGGTATAAAAGAGAATTAAGAAAATTGGGGCATGACACTCCTGAGTAGTTGAGAAGGAACAGTGCACAAATGGAGGAACTACCTTTAGATGGGAGTCAGCCTTCACTGGAAACTTGTATTGACTAAATTTGTTAGTTTAAATCTAAATGTTTAGTATTATTTTAACCAACTAATAAAAATAAATAATTGTGCAAAACGATTTTAATAAAACAAAATGTATTACATACCTTATTGCATTCTTAATTTGAATAACATTACATAGATTTTCTATGTTATATAACCTGCATGCCATGTTTTCACTAATATTCTGATCTTGATAACCATATTGTTCCCTTGACTTCAGCCAGTATTTCATTTTTAATGACTTAAAAATTCTTATTCTTACTTCAAACTATATATCATAATTAAGTCAAACATCCAATAGGACATATTCTTTTTGGAATAGTGCTTATCTGCAACCTACATCTTACCAATTGAAATCATTATTTATCTTCTGGGCCCAATGTATTAAAATGTCTTTCTGACCTTTCTATTATTATTTACATATTTTCCATAATCTAATCTGAAGAAATTACTATTACTCTCTTTGATATTCAATCACTCATTCCCTAACTTTAGTCTTTGAAAATCAGCCTTTAACCTTTTATTTCCATATGCAGACCTTCCAAATTAATGAAATTTCATTCAGCCTCTGGCATAGAGCAGCCCCCTAAATGGTCTTTTAATCTTCACTTTCTTCTTCTGCCTCACCCTTTAGTTACTGTAACTTTTTCCTCCTTCCTTTCACAGACAGATTTTCAAAGGGAAGATTTCTTTGACTATCTCTACTCCTTCACTTTGCTTAAATGATTCTCCCCACTCTTTATCATTAATTTTTCAATGTCTGGTAGGTGATCACCATCACAGTATTAACTCTGCCAATAAACAAGCAAAACCACAAAATAAATAAAAATTCTTCTCACGCTACTAATCTATTTATCACTAGGTCTTATTTATTCTATCAAATCATGTATTTGTATCAATTAATTTACTATAGTTTACAATAATCTATTGTATATTTCAAAGTAGCTAGAAGAGAATAATGTAGATGATTCTAGCATACAGAAAAGACAAATATTTAAGGTGATGGTTATCCCAAGGACACTGATCTGATTGTTACAAATTATATAAATGTATTCAATTATCATATGTGGGCCAGGTGCGGTAGCTCATGCCTGTAATCCCAGCACTTTGGGAGGCCGAGGACGGTAGATCACGAGGTCAGGAGATGGAGACCACCCTGGCTAACACAGTGAAACCCCGTCTCTACTAAAAATACAAAAAATTAGCCAGATGTGGTGGCACGCCCCTGTAATCCCAGCTACTCGGGAGGCTGAGGCAGGAGAATCACTCAAACCCTGCAAGCAGAGGTTGCAGTGAGCTGAGATTGCACCACTGCACTCCAGCCTGGGTGACAGAGTGAGACTCCATCTCAGAAAAAAAAAAAATCACATATACCCCAAAACTACGTGCATCTATTATGTAAAATTCCCTGAACAATTTATTCATAATATCTGTTCTCCAATTCTCCCTTAAAACTATTCCAATCACACTGTCACTTGCAAAATTATTTTCATCAAAGTTAACAGTGACTTCCATGTTGCTAAATCCATTTATTAATTTAGGAACGTATTTTATAATAAGCTCCAAAAAAGGAGAAAAAAACTCTTCCCTTGCTCCTACTTTCTTTTTAACCTATTGTCCCAACACTCTTTCTTGCAAAATTCCCTGAACAACTTATTTATAGTAATTGCCTATAATATCTCTTCTCCAATTCTTTCTTCAAACCCCTCCAGTCAGCCTATCACCTACAAAATTACTTTCATCGGAGTTACCCAATGACCTCTATGTTATTACATCCAGTGATCAGTTTTGGAGCTTATTTTATTAGCTTATCATTCACATTTGACAACTGGCCAATTCCATTATAATTTTTTCTTTTGGTTTCCAGGAAAATTTATAAAGTCAATCTTATATGTCTGTGGGATCTGTATTAGCAGATTCAACCAATCACAGATCAAAAATATCTGAAAAAAAAATCCATACAACAATAATACAACAAAATGATACATACAGTTTAAAAACTATGTACAAAGCATTTGCATTATATTAGGTATTGTACATAATCTGGAGATTATTTAAAGTATATGGAAGCATGTGTGTAGGCTGTATGCAAATATTACTACATTTTATATAAGGAACTTCAGCATCCCAAGATTTTTGTATAATCAGGGGTGGTCCTGGAACCAATTTCCTGAAGACCCTAAGGGATAACTGTACTGTATTGTTTTTCCTCCTATCTCATTTACTCTCACTCTCAATCTCCTTTACTGGTTCATCCTAATTTTGCTGACATTTTAGTGTTGGAGTGTCCCACAACTCAGGTATTAGTTTCTTTTTCCTTTTTTTAAATTTAATAATCACTTCAACTGGTAGAAACAGGAATAATTACTTCCACTTTGAGATTTCCAAATTTAGAAGTTCAGCCCACACCTTTGACTTGAAACTAAGATTTGTATATCCAACTGTCCCCTTGAAATCTTCAACTACAGATTTATTAGCCATCTCAAACTTCACACATCCAAATTTAAGCTCCACATCATCCCTCCAAAAATGTTTCATCAATAGCCTTCCCAATATTAGTTAACTTAAATTGTATTTGCTCAGTTCTTCAGGTCAAATAATCTGGGATCTGTATTAGCAGGTTATTAGAGATATTCTTTAGAGCTATTCTTTTCTTTCTCCAACTTCACATTTCAAGAAATTCTATCATTTATCTTGAAAACCCAATAATTTAGCCTCACCTCCACTGCTATTTTCTTATTTCATAATTATAAACTCTCACTTACATACCACAAATAATGTCTGTTCTTTTAGCTTTCCCTCCTATAGTTTATTCTCCACACGGTAGCCACAGTGACTTTTTTTTTAAGTAATAAGGTCAATCATGTCATTACTGTGCTCAAGCCCCTCAAGTGAATTCACATTTCATCTAAAGTAAAAGACAGATGAATCTTGAGCCAGGCTCTATTAATTATCTTTCTTTCCCTCCTACTGCCTTTACCCATGGTCATTCTTTTCTAGCCACAATGGCTTCTTAGGTGTTTCTACAACACAATAAGGCCCACTCTGCTTTAAGTATTTTGCTCTAGATGTCATTTTTGCCTGAAGGCTCATCCAGTTGACTAACTTCCTTATATTCATCAGGACTTTGCTCAAATATCAACTTTACAATTAAGTAAGCTACACACTCATCAAAACATTCTTGCTCTCTTGACCTCTCTTACTCTTCCACATCTTTTCTTTCTTATCACTCTCTAGACAGAGTGTAGGGGTACCTTATTTATGTTGATTACTGCTTTTGTTCTAGATTCAGCTTTGGCTCCTTGTTGATGGATGACAATGGGTAAGTCATGTCACCTCCCTAGATCTCAGGTTCTCACCTATAACATCCAAGGTTTCTCTTAATTCTGATATTATGGCATTGTCAGCTTAGACGCTATGACAGAAACAAAGAAGTAAAACGTTCACTAAATACAATACTTTGTAAATAACTATTTACAAAGCCTTGGATGGAGAGTTGGATTAGATGCTCTTTAAAATTATTTCCAAACTTAATTTTGATTTTTACTAGAATTCCATTTGTTTAATGTTTATTCAACAAATACTTGTTGAGGTGCCTGCTACATAACAGCATTGTTCTAAGTGCTTCTGTGTCTAAAGCACCAAAGAGGCCTGCTCTTTCTTCCCTTGTCTGCATGAAAGTATTTCACAAGACTTCCTTCTCTTACCTTTTCAAATGACTCCTTCGGTTTTCTTTTCTGTATCATCCTTCTAAGTCCAGGACTTATATGTTGTTAAGTCTCAGATTCAGTCCCAGTCTTCCTTTGTTTTCTCATTTTATCCTCTTTCTATATATCCAATTATATTGTTGCCTATTGGTTCACTTACCATCAATATTAACTAAATACCAGTGTTGTGCTTCTACTCTAAATTATTGAATCATATAAGAAATATAGTTGTCTAGTAGATGGCTTTAATTGCACATCTTGAAGAATATTCCAATTAAATATATTCAAAACAAATCTCAATATTTACAGGGTTCTCATTCCAAACTTAACCTTTCCTCAACAATTTCCAACTCAGTGAATATTACTACTGCCTTCACCATTTGTTCAGATCAGAAAACTAGGTTTTATTTCAATACTGCCTTCTTTATCACCCCCCAGTCCATTACAAAGTCCTTTTGATTATACATCATCAGTATCTCTCAACTCAGTCTACTTCCTTACCTCATTAATATGACTCTAATTCCAGCTACCGTGATCTTTTCTTGGAATACTGCAATCATCTCTTAAGTGATCTTCCTACAGCGAATCGAGTCCCTCTTCAAATCAATCTCTTCATTTCAGTAAGAATAATCATTTGGATATTCAAACATCTTCAAGTAATTGTTTTGGATAAATTCCCATGGTTCTTAGCAAATCTTCACATGGCTTAAAAGATCCTCTCTAGTCTAGTGTTTACCTATCTCTTTCCTTTATCAGTGTCATCTTATTCATTCTTTCACTCAGTTACTGAATCATAATCTACTCAATGATATAATTAGATACAAATTTTTAAAATAGCATAAAGAAGCATTTTACTTTAAAAATATTATGTCTTAAAAGCATGTTCTGAATACTTTGCAGGTTTCATTAGACCATACCTTGAGTTTCTAAAGAAACAAACCATATTCCCCCAGATGATGGTGTTTAATTTTTGCTTTCAGATAACAAGGTATATAACAAGTCTGCTTAAACAAAGGAAAATTACTTCCAAGACTATTCAATTAATTTGAGAGAAACCATCAAGTTTGGACTGGCATGCTAAAAAACACAACTGTAGATTACAATAGGAATAACTTTTATTTGTTTATACAAGTTTTGAATTTCATCTATTTTTTATGTAAATAGCTCGATCTTCAAAAATATCCTTCAGCTCTGACAACCTCTTCACATAACTTTCCTGTAAGATCTTTTAAATATCCAAACCTGTAAAAGTCCACATTCAGTTGTTCTTTGTTCCTTAGTTTGCTTCAACAACATCAATGCAAGGTTAATAGAAGCTATTTACTTACCATATGGTAGGTGGCTCAGAACCTTCTATTTCTAAGTAATCATATTTCTCTTCCATTTGAAAATCAGTAAATATGAGTGAAATTGTGTCCCCAGGCTCTGCTACAATGGTCCAAGTGCAATCAGCATTGTTATGGTACTCATTAGGAAAACTAGGGCTGGATATGATGCCACTGGATCCTCTCATTGTTCCTCCACAAGCATCTTCAGCTGTTAAAAATGACAAAATATTCAGTTGTAAGTTATTGAGATAAATGCAATTGTTCAGTTGTAAGTAAAGCAAGTCAATATGTTTGGATAAAAATAACAGTTCAAATGTGATACCAAGTGCATAATATACTAATAGAGATTAAATAAAATGAGAATTTTATGAAAAAATGTATCAGCACATATACAAGTATAAAGTATATCTTAACAATTTTATAACAATTAGTTGAAATAGCAATAAAAGTAAGCAAAAAATCTACACTCTAAAATTAGACATTAGGAAAATAGAATCAAGATTTTATTTTCATGTTTAAGTGACAAAGTGAGTTAAACAAAGGAAACATGTATCTTAAAGTCTGTGATGGGAAATCTTTGATCACTTTGTTTATTGACGGAAGAGCTTTTTGGTTTTTCAATGCAAGTATGTACAACACAAAGACATAATTTAAGAGACAATATAATATAGTTCATGTCAATGGTATGTTTCAGAAGTTATTGAAAAACGTTTGTAGAAATACAACTCAAATAAAAATATATCACATATCCAGGATATTTTGTTTACAGAGAAATAATAGGGTAACTAATATAACTTTAGAAATATATTCATATGAAATCAAACAATGTATCTTTTACTAAATAGTCATATAATGTACATAGATACAACACCATAAATAACTTTTTGACTAACCTTACATTTGGAACTGTGATTCTGAGTTTCCAAATTGGGGCCATAGATTCTCCACTAGTCTACTTTTGGCTGATGGTAGGAACTAGCAGCGTGGTTATATGAGTAGCTGTGTTTGGTATGCAAACATAAGAAAAAGCTCCTGTTTCATAAAGGAATTGAAGCTGGGGCATTTGCCTTACTATAACATTGTTTAGGCCAGTCAAGCTAATAAGTTACAAGTTCACTTGTGAAATAAATTGTCTTATTACTTATGTTATTGCCTTGGCCAACTCAGGGAATTCCTTCAAGTTTTTGAGGAAAACTCTGGCTCTATAATGACCAATTATTATTTGATGTGACCGATAGCTCCAGAACCTAAACAAATGGAGATGGACAATATCTTTGTATTCAATTCCATGATGGGTAGAACATAAAAAAAATTGCTTTGTTATTAGAGACAACTTTATTACTGTATTATATGCATCAAATAGTATTAGCTTTTTTCTTTCTTGCTCTTTATCCATTTACCTCCATAATCTATAAATCAAAAATGTAAGTATGTTCGTCTTAAAATATATTTAACTTTTATCACACACTAAATATATTTTTTAAAAATTTTATTGTGTGCTCTTTCTCTCTTAAGTTTGTTAGATAACTGAAATGAACTAGTTGTCTTGTCTAGACCATGTGGCATACTACTACAAATATTTTTACCAATGCCTTCAAGACCTAAATCTTCTAGTAATCCTGTCCTGCCGTCTCTACCCTCAACCATAAATCACTTCTATTCTTTCCCTTCTCAAGTACCAAGACCAACATTGAATACTGCTTTGATAATAAATTATTTCACTAGCATATATTCACAGTTTAACTGGCCCACAATCTATTTAAACCAGCTCACTGAGCTATTTATTTTCCTTCCTCTGGATAAAATCTGAAGGAGACACATAACATTCTGGATCACACTCAGATTAAAGAAAAAAATCCCACAGTTTAGAGATTATAGTTCAAGTGTTCTCATCTCAAAAATAAAAAGTATATGAAGTAAGGCATACGTTAATTAGCTCAATGTAGCCATTCCACAATGAACACATATTTCAAAACGTCATTTGTACATGATAAATATACATTACTTTTGTCTGTTTAAAAATAAATGATTTAACTTAAAAAATCACAATCCATCAATTAATATATCCAGTCCTGGGTAACCAAAAAGAAATTAACTTCATTTTGATTAAGCTTCTTTGCTCCCTATACCTTGGACTTGTGGCAGATGGAGCAGAGGTGGGGCAGAGGTGAGATGGAGAAGTCGGTCTCCTTCCTTGTTTCCCTGCTAGTATTTCTGTTCATCCTCCCCTTTCTCACTGAGATCTCTATGAGCCTCCTGGGGTTACAAGTAGGAAGGATCAGAGGATCTGAATCCTCTTATTTTCCTAACACTAATTTGGCACTGGTTTCTAAGGGCTTTGACAGACAATTAAAGAAAGATGATTCTTTCACTCATAGGCCCTTTCATGGGCTCCACAGAGGTGTCCCCATCAGTTCCATTACTGTGGGTGACTGTGTCTCTCCAGCTGGCTGCTTACATTTCTGTCTCATGCTATGGGTATAGAACAGTACAGTTTCATCTTCTTTCCAAATGTCTCCTCACCTTTTGAGATTGGCCTCTTGGACAGCATGTAAGACCATGCCAAGCCAGAACTCCCTCACAAAAATCCTGCATTTAGTCAAATGAAAACACACCCATTTATTCACCCTCTGTGGAAATGCAGTTTCTTTCAAAATGCAGTCCTTTGGGTTCACAATAGACATTTAAATACTTTATCCATCATTTTAATAATAATAATATATTATATTCCGTAAGCTCCAAGGCATAGAAATCAATTTCTCTACATGATCTCTTTGAATTTCCTCAACCTAGACTCACAATGCTGATAAATAACTCTACACTCCTGACACATGGAAGAGAGAACAACCCAGAAAACAACTCACTTCAAGGAAATCTTGATTTTACAGCAAAATAATTTCTGTTCAAATGTATGACTAATTTTCACTTGAAAACAAGGATAGGGACTCAGTTCCTCCAGCATTCAAACCAATGTTCATGTCGACTCTTGTACTGAGTTCTATGCTCAACACTTCTGTTTAATTTGTTTGTTATGACAGAGACTATCATAGAATCAGTATCTGACAAAATGGTGAAATAGGTAAACTTTTCTTCAGTAAATGTTAGATTAAAAAAAATTTTGGTTTGGTGTCCCTACTTGAATGCTGAATTCAAGGCAATATTTTAAAAAAAACAACAACATATTTTCTGTAATTATGAATTCATAGCAGAACATACTACCTAAGTCAATTTAAAAAGAACTTATAGTGGATTTGGGACAAGTAAAAGGCAGCATTAGAACAAACCATGAAACTCTTGAATCCAGTGCTGTGCTCTTTCTGCTAAATACCATGGCTTGGTCTCTGTTCAAAATGAGTTGGTACATATCCTGTAAATGACAGGATAGAGCCTTCTATTCTTTCATCATTACTCTGTCACAGCCTCCAGGCTTGCTTGATTAATAAATGATGTCTACAGCATTTTCTATCCAACAATTCACAGAAAGTGGGGGGTTCACAGAAGGTTGTTCCATAGAACCATCTCCTTAGAGGCTCAAGATACACATAGGATCATATTGGTTATTTGTATAAACTTCTTGTGAAACAAAATTTATTCATTTTGTCATCTGTCCAAAAAGTATTCATTGAGATCTTCCAAGTGCCAGGAGGAAACCATGTAATCTCTCTGACTATAATGACTATAAAACGTTTTCATGATCCCTGTTCTCATGGAGTATTCTATTAGTGAGTCAGGCTCTAAGCAAATGACAAAGTGAATACATAAAATTACATTTCTGTCAGGTCCTATGAAGAAGGAACATTTAGTACTAATGCTGTATGTTTGGGACCTTGAACTAGTTATCGAATTAAGGAACAAGAATTTCCTGAGGAAGTGATGCTGGACCAGAAACACAAAGCAAAATAGTAAGCAGTAACTACATGAAAAGCAGAGGGAAGGGTGTTCCTGCAGCTTCACTGACACTTTTACCAAGGTAATGGGCCTGTGTGCTACAGTAAAAAGGGCGAGGGGCTATCTGGTACCAAATCCAATTGGAAGGGCAACTAAGGGTCAGACCTTGCAGGACATTTCTGACAAAGGTATGGAATTTATTCATAGTAATGGAACATTAAAGTGTTTTTAGTGGGGATGTGACATAATTGGATTTAGGTTATCAAAAGATCATTTAGTTGCTCTATGGAGGGATAAGAGAGGAAGGCCATAGCTGATGAAGATTAAGAGGCTGAATCAAGAGTCCACGCAAATTCTTGCATGCTTCATTGCTGCCTAAAGATAAAACATCTCGTTTTGACTATATTATTTTATTTTTATCTCATTATCTTCAAAAGATTAGTTTGGTCTTTCTAGATATGTCAGAAGAAATACCATGATGACAAAATAATCAGAACATCCATCTTAGGCCAAGACTTAAGAATAATATATTTTCACCTAAATAGTAAAGCAATGCCATTAAATACCTTAGACTTCCCTTGAGGTTAACTAGAAGTTGTGATGGCTTCCGAATGTGGTTGCTTAACATACAGATAATACAGTGAGTAATAAAAACAATGGTGGATTCTCTACTCTTGTTCTAGGAAAAGTATAAAGTTTGTAAGATTTAAAGTCATTTAATTTTTCATATATGTATATGTATACACATTTACATAGCCCAGATGTTAGCAAATTGCATGTTAAGAAGTTTGCAAAGTCAATCTGTTGTAAAACATGAAGAAAACCACAAATTCAGCTAATGGGATCAATAAAGACAATGTGGAATTTTAAGAATGAGGACTAAAACTATTAACCCTTTTGGAATTTGGATTTATTCCAATTTTCAGGAGCAATATTATCAATTCCCTCGTAAGTTCTTAGTGAATTTAAATCTATTAATTAAAAACTATGGCTGTTAAAAATGTTAGTAAACATCATTTTAATTGTTTAAAATATTATAATATAAATCTATCATCAAATAACACCATTTATTATACTTTAAAATAACTGAATTTATGTAAACTTCATAAATAATGCTTTTTTATCTCTTACCTATAGAGCAGGGAGAAACATAACAAAATAAAATAAAGATTAGTTGTATTAAAGTGAAAAGGTTTTTAAAAATAGTTCACTATGATTTCACAAATGTACTTTTTCCTAAAATTAAATTTTTATTTACTTTTAATCTCTGTGACAGTTATTTAGATATTGTAAATGTATGACCTTGTTTTGGCTTTGGGTATGAGACCACACCATTTCATTGAACATAATATAAATTGGAACTTTTCCAAACATGGCTGTTAATAAAAAAATAAACACAGCTTCATAAAACACCCAAATGGTTTTCTGTAACACATCTTTTCCAATACTGATCTCATACTATGCTCTACCTTGCTATTAGTTTCTGCTGAAATAGCTTAGTGTTGGGGGTGGGGTGCAGGAAATAGGCTTGTTTATCATCAAAGAGAAATGAACTGTAAATTGTAGGAGAGAAGTACACTTGGTCGATTCCAGATGCTAAGCATTCAATTCAATTTCAAATTTTATCATGGAACATTTTTTCTACAATTCTCCTTTGCTAAATCTATAATTTCCATCAGCACTCAAGTGAAACTGACATCTATGTGAGGCTTTTTATTTCGTCCCAAGACAGGCATCACTGTTGTGTGCCTAATTAGGCAAACTATTTAAATATTACACTGTCATTAATTAGCCATCTTATTACATATATGGAGCAGTAGTTAATTTTGTGTAACTGCCTCTACTTACATTTAATAGTTCAACTCTTTGCATTCTTGTGTTTAAAGAGAAACCCCTTTCTCATGGAGAAGAAAATTGAGCAACTGGGTAAATAACTGGTAAATAACACTTCAGATTGATAATTTTGTTTTATGTTTGTCACGGTACAACAAATAATACCTTCCCAGCTTATGAAGAAAACAAAAGTGCATTTTCAATGATTCTGAAGGAAATTAAAGATTCTCATATTTTTATTTTTCAGTCAAGCTACCTCAGTTCCTTTCATATTAAAACAGATGAAATTAAAATGAAAAACATGTATAACAGATCAAAGAAAAATATTCAATATTCACTGAGATAAACACCTCTGAGAAGTAAAAAGAGCAAAGTATAATGGCATTTTAGCTTTGAAGGTTTATTTTTGAATGCACAAATATGCTTATTACAAATATCCTACATTAATTTCCATTTACCTTCCAAAGAGACATGTTGAGAAAATGAGAGACAGTTAATGCACTGAAGAAAGTAATTAATAAGTATGTGTTTTTAAACATACAGCTTAAAATACTTCTCAGAATCTCTAAATAAGACAAAAATATAGGCATTCATTCAATAAAACTTAAATTATTTAAAGATTTGGAGAAAAAAATATTTAAATTAAATCAAGTAATAAACATGAAAGAGCAAGAGGGAACAAATTTACATTACTGACTTAAAAATTAAAACTGAGAAAAATATATATAATAACTGTTTTAAAACATTAGACCAGGTCTATGAAGAACTGTGATCTAAGAGAGGAGAAAAACTAAGAAGGAGAGCCCTATTATCACTTGGCTTTCTCTAAGGAGATACATTCCGGACCATAGAATAAGGAGAGGGATTACAAGTAGAGCATAGTGTTTCTTTCAGCTCAGTACATAGAATTCAGGAAGCATGAGCAATGGAATGTTAGTCATAGGGCAAAGTTCTAGAGAGGAGGAAGCTCTGCAGAAGAAAAGGACTCAAAAGATTTACATTAGATTCTCTTCATTAGTGTTTGCTAAATACTAATAAATGCATGCAATTGGATGAAATTTCATGAAGTCACATAAAGAGGAATGTGTAAGATGAATGGTTCCAACAAAGCACACAGGGCTGAGATTTGTTCAGGTACCACTAGCTAGAATATAGAGTCCACTTTGAATGGAGTATTCAGTAGAAATCTCAAAAGGGGTGCACTTCAGTAGAGAGGGTAAACTATGCCTAGAGTTAAGGCCACTTAAAAATGCAATACTTAAAGCTTAAAAACAAATCTCAAAAGACACAAACTGAACCAAAAGTAATTTTAATACATACATACTAGAAGAAAGCTCAAGATTCCTTAAAGATAACTAAATCCAGACACTAAATATCTTAAAATTCACAATGTTCAATATACAGTTAAAAAAAAAAGTACTAGCCATGTCAATAAACATAAAGATGTGACTCATAACCAAGAGAAAAATCATTAGAAACAGACCAAAACATATGGAGATGATGGAATTAGAAAATAAGGACTTTATAGCAGATATAACTATATTCAACTACTTAAAACAAGGGTTAGCACACTATACCCCAGACTAAATCTGGCTTATAGACTTTTTTTTTGTTTTGCCTGTGATCTAGTAATGATTTTTATATTTTTAAAGGATTGTAAAAACAAACGAACCAAAATCAAAGATGAATACATGTTAGAGAATATATAACCACAGCAAAGCCTAAAATATTTACTATTTAGCCCTTTTCAGAAAAACTGAACTCAGTGACCACAGTGAGGAAAGAAAGGGAAGATATGAAAAGATGACCACATGAAACGTTAAGAGACACAAAATATATTACTAGAAATTAAAAAAAAAATACTCAATGGGCCTCATAGAAGAGTAGACAGTACAAAAGAAAACACAGTGGACTTAAACACATGGCAATAGAAACTATTCAGAATGCAGCTAAGAGAAAAGCAAGATTTCTTTTTAAAGAACAGATATCCCCTATAGGAAAATACCAAACAGTTGAATATGTGTTATTGAAGTTCCAAAAAGGTTGTGGAGCAGGGGCAAGCATGGAAAACTATGGAAAGATTAATGGTCAAAGGATTTACAAATTTGATGAAAATATAAAATCCATAGTTACAAAAGGCTTAGAGTTGTTTGCATCTTGATGTGGTAGAGACGACTAGCTGAGATCCGAAATTCATGTTCCACTTCCATTTATGAGGTGTTGCTGGGAGGCAGCTGCCAGCCAGGACAAATATTTTAGTGCTTTTCACATCTAAGTGAGGCCATGTAGCTGAATTCTGATTAATAAGTTGTCAGTGAATTGAGATAGAATTGCAATCTTTGTTATCCACATTCTTTATTCTCTTTCTTTTTTTTTCTGTTTTTGTAAAATAGCTTTATTGAGATATAACTCACATGTGTTCACCCATTGAAAGTGTACAATTCAATGCCTTTTAGTATATTCAGAGTTGTATAACCATCACCACAATGAATTTTAGAACATTTTCATCACCCCAAAATGAAATCTCACACCTTTTAATCGTCCCCTCCAATTCACCTATGCTCCCTTCCCCCTGGGCCTTAGACAACCATGAATCCACCACAGGCTCTATAGATTTGCCTATTCTGAACATCTCCAAACCTGCCAAAGCTATGCCATTAAAAGGCACTACAGCAAAGAGCATCATGCAAGTCGCATCACACTGGGGGCCTGGCACAGAAGTGGTGGTGGTGGCATCAGGCAGGGCCTGATCCATGGGGTCCAGGGTGACCATGTGGGTCATGCAAACGGCATTACACAATATGCCATGCCTGGCTAAGTTTTGTGTAGAAAAGGGGTTTCACCATATTGCCCAGGCTGGTCTTGAACTCCTGTTCTGCCTTGGCCTCCAAAAGTGCTGGGATTACAGGTGCAAGCCATCAGGCCCAGTCCCTTGAATACTGTTATGCAATTGTCCCCCAGTTTCCGCCAGGTATTGGTTCTAGGATCTATTATGATACTAAAATGTGAGTATGCTCATGTACTGTAGTTGACCCTGCAGAACCCATGGAAATGAAAAGTCAGCCCACCCTATACACAGGTTTCACATCCCATACTGTATTTTCCAACCATGTTTCATTGTGGATGTGGAACCCTCTGATAGGGAGGGCTGACTGTATTTATTGAAAAACAAAACAAAACAAGGGTTGTGTTAGTAGACCCATGCAGTTCAAACCCTTGTTGTTCATGGGTCAAGTTTCTATCTGGATGGAGGCTGTGTTCTTGGGCAGCTTCAATGGCTATATGTTTATGATGGCAGAGTCTCTTTTCTACTTCAGTATTTAAAATGTCTGCCTCCCTCTCACTGTAAACTTCATAAAGGCAGGGCTTATGTCCCTTTTTGTTCATATTATATCTGTTACTTAAAACTACTATACCTACATATATAGTAGGGACTCCAAGTGAATTTATTGAATTAAACATGAAATGAACAAATAAATGAATATAAGTATTTAAATTGATCATCAATTTGGATTCTGATCTCTGAGAATCTACAGAATAGAATAAACAGAATTTCAAAGAATACATCACAGTTCAAAAACATAGGAATAGTATGTTAAATGGAGCAAAAAGTCAAAACAAAGTAAAACAATGGGGTGAGTTGCTAAATACATTTTAAGAACAAGATATGAGGCTGGGGATGGTGGCTCACACCTGTAATCCCAGCACTTCGGGAGGCCAAGGCAGGTGGATCACGAGGTCAAGAGATTGAGACCATCCTGGACAACATGGTGAAACCCCATCTCTACTAAAAATATAAAAATTAGCGGGGCGTGGTGGCAGGTGCCTGTAGTCCCAGCTACTCAGGAGGCTGATGCAGGAGAATTGCTTGAACCCGGGAGGTGGAGGTTGCAATGAATCGAGATTGCGCCACTGCATGCCAGCCTAGTGAGAGGACGAGACGCCATCTCAAAAAAAAAAAAAAGGTTATGTATGTTGCAGGTCAAAATAACATAATTGGAAAATCTCTACCTCTGTTCAGCAAGTGGAAATTGTTAATTAATTTATATTCTCCATCCTTAATTTCAAGAAAGGGCAACATAACTATTCGCAGATTCCAGAACTGTGTATGTAGGACATTTTTTTAAAGTCATTGATAAAATACCAAACTTAATGAGTGAATTTAGCAGTACAACTAAATAGAAGGAAATATACAAAAACATATCAGAGACAAACAATTAGACTGACATTTTTAAAATACCATTTTTAATATAATAAAATTTCATATACCTAGGAATGAAGGCACTAAGACATGAAAAAGCTGGGTAAAGCTCTACTCAAAATATTTTAAAGCATTCTTGAGAGAAAATACAAAAGACCTATGTAAACAAATGAATATGCTGTCTCCCAAATTAATCTATGGCTTTAGAATAGTCACAATCAAAATACTGGCAAATGTGCATGTGTAAATTGACAAGCTGATTTTTTAATTTCCTGGAAATGCAAAGAGCTAAGTCTAACTCAAACAATCATAAAGAAGAATATACAGCTGAAAAACAACCAGATTTCAGACTTATTATACAGCTGCCATAATCAAAACAATGGAGAATTAAAAACAAGTATAGAAGAGTTAACCAATGGAACATAATGAAGAGTTCAGATAAAGACTCACACATATTCATGACAACAGCAACGCTTGATTTATGACAACAGCAACACTGTAGAACGGTGAGGATAAAACATCTTTTCCAATTCTGGCCCTGAAAAATTAATGTCTTTCTCTCATTCAAAATACATTCATACCATTCCAATAGCTCTAATAGTCTTAGCTAATTCTAGTATCAAGTCGGAAGTCTAAAGTCAAGAGTCCTATTTCGATATCATCTAAATCAGCCATGGATGAGACTCAAGGTATCATTTGTGCAGAGGCAAATTGCCCTCTGACTGTGAACCTCTGAAATCAAAAATGATATCTGCTTCTAAAATACAATGGTCAGACAGACATAGGATAGACATTCCCATTCCAATAGGGAGAAACAGGAAAGAAGAAAGGGGTAACAAGTAAGACTGAAATCTAACAAGGCAAACAATATTATGTCTTATAGCTCAAGAATAATATTCTTTGGCTCAATGTTTACCCTCCAGGGACTGAGATTGGGTTCCTAAGGCTTCAAGCAGCCTTGCTCCCGTGACAGTTCTGTGTTGTGGCCCTATCTTCAAATCGGCTCTGTGCCTGGAGCTCTCCAAAGCTGAAATCACATACCCAACAGTCTACTGGTCTGGATTCTCTGGGGTGGTCCTGCTCCCATGGCTCCACTGGACACTGACTTAGTGGAAACTCTTCATGGTGGCTTCACTTCCAGGGCAGTTTTCTTTCTGAGTTCCACAGCTTTCTTTACAGGGCATCCTTTGCAATCTAAATGAAGGCAGCCATGACCCCATAACTTTGCTAGACATAGCCCATGTCGTTCTAGGACCCACCAAAGCTACACCAGGAGTGGCTGAGAAGCACGGAAACAGAGTGCAGGCAGCAAGAGCTGAGTTTCCATAAGTATCCCCAGTCCCTTCTTTGAAATTGTTCTCCTCCCCAGGCTCTTGTAGCCTGGCCTTATGATGGGAATGGCAGCCCCATGATCTCCAAATTGCCTTTGACATCATTCTTCCACTTTCTCAATTAATAGCACCAGGCTGATCCATATTAATCTCTTTATCAAAGGGTCACCTGACCACACCCTTCCTGTTCTCTCCTGTACACATCTTCATTTTTTATAATATGGACAGTTATACAATTTTCTAAATCCTTAAGTTCCACTTCCCTTTATTAAAAATTCCATCTTTCTATCATTTCTTTCTTTTCCTATTTTATTATAAGCTTCAAGAGAAGCAAAGTCACACTTTCAACACCTTCAACACTTTGCTTAGAAATTTCTCCATGCAAATATCCTACATCATTAACCAGAACTTCTATCTTTCATAAAACACTAGGACATGAACAATATGCAGCCAAGGTATTTGCCACTTTATAACAAGGATCACCTTTTCTCTAGTTTCTAATAACATGTTCCTAATGTCCATCTGAGACCTCATCAGAATCGCTTTTACCATCCATATTTCTACATTTTTTTAATGACTAAGTTTTTACCTAAGAAGATTGAGGCTTTCTCTACATCTCCCCTCTTCTCTTTCTGAACCCTCACCAAGATTGCCCTTAATGAATGGATATTCACAGTAATGCAGGCTTTTTCAGCATGTACCTCAAAACCCTTCCAGCCTCTATTTGTTACCTAGTTCTGAAGATGCTTCCACATGTTTAGGTATTGTTGCAGTAGCATCCTTACTTCTTGGTACCAGTTTTCTGTTTTAGTCTATTCAAGCTATTATTTCTTACAGATCTGGAGGCTGGGAAATCCAAGATGAAGGCACTGGCAGATTCAGTAACTGGTGAGGACCCACTTTGTGGTTCAGAGATGGTGCCTTCTTGCTGTGTACTTATGTGGTAGAAGGGTTGAATGAGCTCCTGTGGGCCTATTTTATAAGGGCACTATTCCCATTCATGAGAGTTCTGCCCTCAAGACCTAATCACCTCCCAAAAAGTCCAACCTCCTAATATCATCACTATGGAGAGAGGATTTCAATGTATGAATTTTGGGGGAACATAAATTTAGACCACAGCATGGGACAAGGGAAAAAGACAGGATTGAAGTCATGGTCTTTGTCATTCCCAGGTCAGAAGTTTTCAAAGAATTTTTAAATTAAATATTGTTTTAATCAACAAATCATGATTATATATATATTTATGGGGTACAGCGTGATGTTTTATAATATGTTTACTATGTGGGATAATTAAATCAAGCCAATTAACCTATCCATCACTTCTATTATTTATCATTTTTGGAGATGAGACATTTGAAATTTACTATGACTTATTTTGAAATATACATTGTTATTGCCTGTAGACTCCCTGCTGTGCAATAGATCTTAAAACTTATTCTAGTTTATCTGAAACTTTTTACCTTTTAGCCAGTGACTATTCACTTTCCCCCTCCGCCCCCACAATCCACCAATCTTATTCACATTTCCCCAGTTTTGCTTGTATTTATTTACTGTGTGTTTAGTTCTATGCAAGTTTATCGCATGTGTCGATTTGAGCGTCTACCATTGCAGTCAATATACAGAACGGGCCCATCACTACAAGAATTCCTAGCGTTGCTCCTTTTATTTATGTATTTATTTATTTATTTTTTGAGAGGGAGTCTCGCTTTGTCGCTCAGGCTGGAGTACAGAGGTGTGATCTCAGCTCACTGCAGCCTCTGCTTCCGAGTTCAAGTGATTCCCCTGCCTCAGCTTGCTGAGTAGCTGAGTTTACAGGCGCCTGCCACCATGCCTGGCTAATTTTTGTATTTTAGTATAGACAGGGTTTCACCATGTTTGTCAGGCTGGTCTCGAACTCCTGACCTCTAAACGATCTGCCCGCCTCAGCCTCCCAAAGTGCTGGGATTACAGGCAGGAGCCACTGCGCCTGGCTGTGTTGCTCTTTTTAAAGTACACTGACTTCCCTTCTTCTTCTTCTTACTCCCTAATCCCTGGCAATCATTTACTTATCTGCCTTTCATTTTCAAGATTTTCATTTCAAAATGTCTTATAAAATGAAATGATACAGTATATAATCTTTTGGGGTTTACATTTTTTCGCTCAGCTGGAGATCTCTCCAAGTTATTGCATATTTCAATAGTTTATACCATTTTATTGCTGAGTAATATTCCATGGTATGTATGTGATTACAGTTTTTGAGAATGCATCTTTTAAAATGAGGTTGGATACCAAGAATTGACTACAAATTACCCTAGGATAAGAGCTTGCCAGTTCAATGACTTTGGTCTGCAACCAGACCTCTCAGAATGCAATGATATACACAACTGACCCAATAAAACATATATATATATATATATATATATATATATATATATATATATATATATATATATATATATATGTATATACACACACACACACACACGTACACACACACACACACACACACACACACTTGTGAGTGTCCTCAGCAAGAGTTGCTCTTTATTTTGTGTTGCAACTCCAGTTGCAATTGTCCTGAGTTCCTAGAAAGCCCAGTTCTTGGACTGAGAAGTAGTCATGAGACCGAAGTCACTGCAGAAAATTGAAGCTTATTTCAATGGCTGGATAACAGTAAAAGGAGAGTTCTCATGTCCAAATGTCAGAACCTCCCAAATAGTGCTAATCACAGTTCTCACTTCACTGAAGATTGAACTTTGTTCCAAGAGTGTTTAAGTGACTTGCCTAAGGTAAACCAGCTGGGATTTTTTGTTTAGTTTTGTTTTGTTTCTGAGCCAATGCTAAAAACAGTCCTCTGACCACCTCAATAAATGGCTTAGTTTTATATTTTGTTTTGCAAGTGGAGTACTGGCCTTTTAACATGATCAAAACTGCATAACTAACTTTTGTGCACAGTGCAATCCCATAACATGGGGGCCTTCCCTTAAAAGAACACAAAAAGGCCTATTTATCCCCGCAATGCCACAGCTGACTGTGCCACCTTTGAAATTTAACTTTGCCTTATTTTTTGGCCTTCTTGATATCTCCTCCCAGGAGTTCCCACTGCACTATGTGCTCCTTGGAGCCAGAGATGCTGGCCACAGTGCACTAAGTGGAGAAACCTCAGACTTTGAAGTCTGCAAGTTTCCTAGACTAAGAATTATGAATATTTTGTTTTAGTTTTATTTATAGATACAGGGATGCATGCTATGTATATAGTTTTTAATCATAATCCAATCATCCATAGTCATATTAGGAGCAGTAATTTAAACTGCTGACCTCAGTGCAATTGCTGAAATTTGCAAATAAAATTAAATACAGCAATGAACATAGTAATGTTGCATCTCTTTCCTCTGAGGAAATGAATAAATTTCTATTCCACATTTAATGATTACATCTGAGGCAGGCACAGTAGAAAAAAAGATAGAAAATAGCTATGTGTCATGTACCATACTAAGCAACAAATAATGTTTTTAAAGGCTAGGTTTAGATGTGATTTAAGTCACATTTTCATACTTCCTATAGGACAGCCTTTAGCTTCAGGGCACCATCTTAACTGTGTTGCTGGCTGGGACATTCAGTCTTGCCAAGGAAATAGAGAAATAATCACATACTGTTGTTTCTGTCTCACAATACTTGCAATCAGTCATGAAAGTAAAAGTTCTCTATGTTTCAATAAATTTTCCTTTTTACTTGTCCTAAGTAACTGCTTCAAGCTGCTAGAGTTTCTGAGAGTCTTCTCTACAAATGCGAATCAATAACCCCTCAAACTAAAATTCATGAAATCAATTCTTTGAAATGAACACAATTTTTGGAAAAGATAATTTCTACCCAAACTAGTTAAGATGCTTTTTGAATATTAAATATTCTCCACAGGCAGTTGAATGGTTAAGAGTATTGAGCCGACTGACATAAATTGCAGAATCATCATATACATGGAGGACAATTGAAATCAATAAAGTAGACATCATCTTCTACTAAACAGTATATAGTATGAACAGTGGAAACCTGGGAAACCATAATATTAAATTAATTGGTAGAGAAACAGGAGGCAATGAGGTAGATAGAGAAGTGGCTAGACAGGTACAATAATAATCAAATTATTTCACAAGAAAGACAAAAAAAGATATCTAAAGAATGAGTTAATAACAATGTCAAATGTCATGGAGAGACTCTACTTTAAAAATGTGAACAATTATGTGTCTATTAGGAAGCCACTGCTGAACTTAGGAAAAGGGTTTCAATAGAACGTGTGAAAAGAAGCGAGACCAGTCAATTGAGAAATAAATGGCAGAAAAATGAATAGAAATGTTAAACAAAGACAAATTTTCTGAGGAATTTGAAAAGGGAAGAGGGAAAATTTACTGTTAGGAAGAGATAATAGAATAAAGCAATAAAAATTTAGTGTGTCTTGCTATTGAGAATAGTATGTGTTGGCTTCATTTGTGTTTGGACCTTGGAAAGATATTGGAGAGATATCTATCAGCTGAAGGGATCCCAGGTGCAGAAAGACCCTGACCTAGGCAAAAGATAAAGAAGACCACAGTGTATAGATTAGCTATTATGCATGGGTTAGTACAGTAATTTTTTATTCTTATCATGCATTAGCATCACCTGGAGGACTTTTAAAAAGCATCCTACTGTAGACCCCATTATTAACCAATAATATTTTTACAAAAAGTAGGAATTTTAGGGTTGGAGATGAATTATAGGTATTTTTAAATGTTCTCTAGGTGTTTCTGATGGCAGCCTAGTTTGAAACAGAGGTAGATAGAACATTGGAAATTTTGAGAAAAATCATACCCTAATCATCCTCACTTTCATAAATGAAGTAATATTAAAGTTTGCAAAAAGCATCAAGTGGATTGGGAAATCAAGGAGAGCGTGAAGGTTAAAAATGAAAGTAGGCACAAATAAAGACAGAGCTTTCATAAAATATAAAGGGCTGAGATGATGCCTACTTTCGTTACTTAAACCATAGTCCTTGCACCCTTCCCTGTACCTACAGAATCAGAAACTCTGGAGATGAGGTCCAGCAATGGACGTTTTAACAAGCCTTCCAGGTGAATCTCATCCTTGCTAACCTTTGAGATACACTGACCTAGGAAAATTCTGAATGCTTAAATAATGGTCAGATTCTAATCAGCATCTCAGGGAATTCAGAAAGAGGAGGAATAGATCTGACCAGTCCCTTGAAGATCTGTGAGACATCTCACACTACATTAGCTGACTAGGAGAATATATAATTTTGAGGTGTTCTCCTTTTTATTTGATAATGTTTTAAATTAAATACAATATAGGTGCTGAAAACTTCTAAGTGAATAGCTTGATGAATTTTCACAAAATGAGCACAGCTTTGTTGCTAACACCCAAATCAAGAAGAGAACATTAGCCTAATGGTAGAAATCTCCCAAATACTCCCTCTCAGTCCTTGCTATTTCCATCCTGAAGATAAACACATTTCTACGTTATAGCATAATAGATTATTTTTGCATGTTTTGAACTTTATAAAATGGAAGCTGAAAGTATGTCCTCTTGAGTCTGGCTTCTTTCAATCCGCTATTCTTTGTGGCATTCATCCATATTTTTGCATGTAATTATAGTTTATTAATTTTCACTGTTTGACAGTGGTACGTGTCACTAATTTAACTGTATTATCTCTAGTGAAACTTTGTGTTATTTTGAGATATGGTTATTATGTCTATAATGTCTTTTGCTACAGATGTGAGTAAATGTCTAATAATGTGCTATGATTAAAATGCTTGTGTCCCATCAAAATTAATATGTTTAAATCTTATCTTCTGAGGCAATTGCTTAGGACAGGGGGCCCTTTTGTAGGTGATTAGGTCCTGAGGACACAGCTCTCATAATGGGATTAGTGCCTAGAAAATATAGGTCCAAAGGTGCTTATTCTCCCCTTCCTCTATGTGAGGACACAGCAAGAAGGCATCATCTATGAATCTGAAAGTAGTCCTTCACCAGACACTGTATCTGCCCACAGCTTGATCTTGGACTTCCCTGTATCCAGGACAGTGAGAATGAAATTTATGTGGCTTATAAGGTACCCTGTTTATGGTATTTCTTATATCAGGATTAATACACTAAAAAAACATAATTTATTTCTACAGGGAAGCTGATATGATTTGGCTGTGTCCCCACTCCAATCTCATCTTGAATTGTAGTTCCCATAATCACCACATGTCATGAGAAGGACCTGGTAGGAGGTAATTGAATCATAGGGGCAGTTTCTCCACGCTATTCTTGTGATAGTAAGTTCTCACAAGATCTTATGGTTATATAAGGAGTTTATGCCTTCGCTCGATTCTCATTCTTCTCCTTTCTTCCGCCATGTGAAGAAGGATGTGCTTGCTTTTCCTTCCAGCATGATTGTAAGTATCCTGAGGCCTCCTCAGCCCTTCTTAACTGTGAGTAAATTAAACCTCTTTCCTTTGTTAATTACTCAGTCTCAGTATGTCTTTATTAGCAGCATGAGAACAGACTTATACAGTTAATTGGTACAGGGAGCGGGGCACTTACTATAAAGATACCTGAAAATGTGAAAGCAACTTTGGAACTGGGTAAATGGCAGATGCTGGAACCACTTGGAGGGCTCAGAAGAAGACAAAAAACTGTAGAAAAGTTTGGAACTTCTTAGAGACTTAGAGAGGGCTCAGAAAACAGGAAGATGTTGGAAAGTTTGAAACTTCCTAGAGAGTTGTGAATGGCTTTGACAAAAATGCTGATAGTGATATGCACAATGAAGTCCAGGCTGAGGTGGTCTCAGATAGAGATGGGGAACTTGTTGGGAACTGGAGTAAAGGTCACTCTTGCTATGCAAAAAGACTGATGGTATTTTGCCCCTGCCTTAAAGATCTGTGGAGATTTGAACTTGAGAGAGATGATTTAAGGTATCTGGCAGAAGAAATTTCTAAGTGGCAAAGCATTCAAGAGGAAACACGGCATAAAAGTTTGGAAAATTTGCAACCTGATGGTGTGACAGAAAAGAAAGACCCATTTTCTGAAAAGAGATTCAAGCCAGCTGCAGAAATCTGCACAATTAACAAGAAGCCAAATGTTGATCACCAAAAAATGGCAAAAATGTCTCCATGGCATGTCAGATGTCTTCACAACAGCCCTTCCCATAACAAGCCTGGAGGGCTAATAGGAAAAAAATGGTTTTGTGGGCTGGGCCCCGGGCCTTGCTACTTTGTGCAAGCTCAAGACTTGGTGCCCTGTGTCCCAGCCATGGCTAAAATGGGCCAAGGTACAGCTTGGGCCATGGCTTCAGCAGGTGTGAGCACCAACCCTTGGCAGCTTCCATGTGGTATTGAGCCTGAGGGTACACAGAAGTCAAGAATTGAGGTTTGGGAACCTCAGCCTAGATTTCAGAGGGTATATGGCAACACCTGGATGTCCAGGCAGAAATTTGCTGTGGAAGTGGAGCCCTCATAAAGAATCTCTGCTAGGGCATTGTGGAAGGGAAATGTTGGGTTTGAGTCACCACACAGAGTACTCACTGTGGCACTGCCTAGTGGAGCTGTGAGAAGAGGGCTACTATCCTCCAGACTCCAGAATGGCAGATTCACGGACAGCTTGCACTGTTCACCTGGAAAAGCCGAAGGCACTCAACACCAGCCTGTAAAGGCAGCCAGGAGAGGTGTTGTACACTACAAAGCCAAGGGTCAGAGCTGCCCAAGGCCATGGGAGCCCACCTCTTGCATCAGCATGACCTAGATGTGAGACATGGGATCAAAGGAGATCATCCTGGAGCTTTAAAATTTGACTACCCTGCTGGATTTTGGATTTCCATGGGGCCTGTAATCCCTTTGTTTTGGCCAATTTCTCCCACTTGGAGCAGGCGTATTTGCCCAATGCCTATATCCCCATTGTATAATATCTAGGAAGTAAGTAACCTGATTTTGGTTTTGCAGGCTCATAGGTGGAAGGGACTTGGTTGTCACAGATTAGACCTTGGAATCGGACTTTTTGGGTTACTGCTGGAATGAGTTGTAGCTTCGTCCCCAAGTTCTTCCTATGATTGATTACATGATGTCATTCAAATCAGTAATGCTTTTCTTGACTAATAACCATGTCAGCTAAAACAATCCCCCATCAGTCTCGATTACAATATCCCATTATGTAATAGATTTTTTTACCGTTGTCTCATTTGACTTTAGAATATAAATGCCATCAACTCTTGACTACATTACTAATACATTAGTTACAACTTTATCTTACATACCTAGAATGAGGCTGACTTATGGCATATATCTAAAGAATAGCTTATCTGATTAAATATGTTTTTTGCTTCTCAATATGTCCATAAAATTTATTGGACATTTATTTGAGAGGCAGTAATGTGCTGAGCTTAAAAGTGACTGCTCTAGAATCAGAAAGACTTGGGGACAAATCTGACACTAATAGTGTGACCTAAATCAATTTACTTAAGCCTATTCTGGATTGGTGTTATATTTGTAAAATTATTACTGACTGGGCATGGTGGCTAACATCTGTAATCCCAAAACTTTGGGAGGCTCAGGCAGGAAGATCATTTCAGCCCAGTAGGTCGAGGTTGCAGTGATCTAGGATTGTGCCACTGCACTACAGCTTGGGTAACAGAGCCACACCCTGTATCTAATTTTTAGAAATGTATTATTATTTTAATAGTGCATTTTTATTAACTTTAATGTTTCCAGCAGTCTCAGTTTCAGGTTTTCTGACTTCTTTATCAGTATCCTAGAAGTTTTATTTTTGTCAGTAAGAAGATTCCAGCAAGGTGATGGCACAATTGACTTGTTACTCCCTCTGGCAAAATTGCCGCAGCAGGGGATTGAGAAGGCACTCTCAGTCGCATAGATTTCATTTCGCTCTTGCTATCTCTACTAGTTAAATGACAGGTTCACTGCTTCTGCTTGTTTCTCATTTTCTGCTACAAAATAAGAGTAGTAAGAAGAGAATAGAAAGTGAGAACAAAAATGTAGCAAACCTTTGTCCATAAGAAGCCCTGTGAGAAAGGCAAAGTATGAGAGCACTTTTAGTATAATTTGAAGAGTTCTACAGAGCTGGGTTGCTTAAAAATAGGCTACCTCTCACTCTGCTCCTGAATTCTATATTTTAAATAACAGTTGGACTTTGAACCTATTTTTCCCCAATGAAATTCAGGAGAAAGCAGATTTTTAATAAAACGTTATATAGACTAGACAATTTGGTAAATAATGGCTAATATGTATTGTGTAAACAAAGGCACTATTCTGAGCCTTTAAAATAGATCATCAAATTTAATTCTAACAATAGCTCTAAGAGACTAAGAAAACAAAATGAAACAATTACTTTTCCTATTTTATAGGAGAGAAAATTGAGTCACAAAAAGTTAGTAATTTGCCCAAGTTCATGTAGTTAAAAAGTGGTGGAGACAAGTTTCAAAAAAAGCCATCTAAGAGAATAGCCTTAATCGGTGAACACACTGCAGTTTGAGATGTTAAAAACATAGAAAGAAAGTGAAGAAAGTTAAGAATGGAAAAAGATGCCCAAAGGAGGAAAAGAAACCAAAGACATAAAAACAAGCATTGTCCTTTTTACTTTTTCTAGAAAGTCCTTCCTGACTAGGCTGAAGAATACATGACAACAATAAACAATGTTCGCAGCAAATTTCTATCTAAATTTATCTTCTATATTTGAATTTGAATAGGAAAAATAGTTAAATTCCTAAAAATAGGAAAAAATAGTTAAATACATATTGCAACATTTCTTACTGGGTAAATAATGGGAATGCAAAACACACATTAAATTTTTGATTGGTGTTCTTAATAAATTGTAATAACAGAATTATTGGTTTATGCATATAGAACAATCATTATAACATTTCTATTGCATTTTTGTATTATTGTCCTGGATTTTTCTCTAAAGTATGGATTTAAAGAGAGTCTGTTCAAATTTATTTATTTAATAATCCAAGCTCAATATTCATACTCATTACACAAATAAAAAAAATTTTCCTAATCGTTTTTAAATTTACAATTTGGAAGGCATCAGCCTAAAAATACAATGTAAAATGTATGTATATATGTTCAAACACATATATACACATACTCCAAAAAAGTCTAAGAAATGAGGTTATAATGAATTCATCTACAATCTGCTTCAAGTATCAGGACTTTTTAAATGTTTTCAATGAGATTATGCAATATGACATACAGAAAGCTCCTGTGAAATTTTATGATTGTACTATAGTTGACAAAACTTATATTGAAATATTTTCATTTCATTAACAACTGTAATCCTCCCATTTGCATCAATATATTCATTGTTTTCTAAAGTTAAATGAATTAAATAAATATTGTCCTTCAATGATAGATTTATATGCATGTTTTATTATTTATTCTAAGCTTAGTGTCTGTATTTTTGCATACTTAAATACATACATAAATATTTTAAAATTCAAAGTCGTGAACAAAGAAAATAAAAATTCTAATATCTTTAATAAATGATTTATGCTACAAATAAAAGTAAGCAGCGTTTTATGTATTTAGTAGATAATTTCAGCACCAATCTTGTGCAAGGTGTTATTGTAAGAAGATATGTGTCAGGTTCTACTACAACAAAACTTACTATAGCCAAAATGCATTTATCCAAAATTATAGCTAATCAGTATCCCAGCTGTAGATTTTGAGCTGTGTATTCTTCCTCTGAAATCTTGCCACTGAGTACATATCTGGGTCACCTTTGCAGGATGTCAGTTGCCATGTGGTTAGGGAATACAAACTAATTTTATGGAGTCCAAAGCCAAATGTAAATGAGTTCTGGATATTCAGCCTTTTTGGATAATATTTATCTTAAATGATAAATAAAATTTTGACTGTATAGTAATATAAGAGGTGGACATGGGTGTTAGACACCCACATTTACACGCAGGGCCTCAGAAACAACAATGCTTACGTTTTTCTAAATGGTTAATTTTAGCATCCATCCAAATGTCAGTTAGCCTGTCAGTGAAGTGAAGCTGCACTTTCAGTGATGTCCGTGGGCTCTTTTATACAGTGCTAACATTTGCATAAAACCAGCTTTTTTGTGCCTTATGTTTCCAAATCAATTTAGTTTTGTGTGCTAATATTTTATTAGAGCCCTGGAGATAAAGAAGCATGCAGGTCAGCCATGTGTGCTGCTCAATCCCCAAAGGAAACCTCTACTAAAAACCAAAAGATTGACACCAGACAAGATTAACAAAAGAATTAGTCATGCACAATCAACTGTGTTAAATACTGGTGGGGGGAGGGGGAAGCATCTTCTTCTCTTGTCTTTCAGGGTGGCGTGCTAATGCTTCCAGTGTATATTATTATGTGCTTCTGAGTGTACCATTGTTTTCTACAAAGGTGGATTTGTTAGAAACAACTATCACCATTACTTTAAATGCTACTAATGAGGTGATCACGTAAAATCTTCAATCCTCTGTGCTATTTAATCCTAGACCTACACCAAGGGAGCTTCTCCCTAAGGAATAAAACAGTTTGGTCTCTTTCTCAGTCTGGGGCTGAATAGGCTTGAGCTCTAACCTCAAAATACTACATAATGGCTGAAAATTTCCAAACTGAGCAATCAATGAACAAAAATATTCAAGAAGTAAATCCTTTCCCTAAAGGGCTTATTATCTAAAATTGTTGGTTAAAACATAGAAAAAATATTCTATCACACAGTTAGACAGCATTCACGTTCCACTTCTGAAAAAAAATGGGGATTTGTTTACAGTTCTTTATATATTGTTTAATGTTCTAAATTTTAAGATCTCAAAAGAATTATAACTAAAGTATGAATACTTTAAAATAAATATTTCTTCAAATACCTCTTATACCATTTAATATTTAAAATCTGAATCTGGATTATTTGAGGGGATAATTTTGTTGTTACTATTAAAAAATTAACCAGAGAATAGAAAAGAACGTGATGTATAAAAAGGTACCCCTTTACGTAGTTTTGATATTTTGTGTTCAGTACGACTTTTTTCCTTCTTAGGTCCACATCAAGAAAATACATCATTTCAAATGAAGTACCTATTATACCAATTGTGTGGTTTCTTCTTGAGACAATACCTTCATTTCTACTCAAAGTCTACAGGAACATAGCTAATTGTCACATACATTGGATTTAGTAGTTTCACTGATTGAGCATATATGCTATGCAAACTGTTGGATATTTTACTTTTATTGTTTATTTAAGTCTTATTCATAAGTCTATATTACATTTGGGAAAATTAGCTCAGAGTTGTTAATAAACGTGCCCCAATTACACTATGAAAAAGTAGAAGCATCCATGTTTAGATAAATAGTGTGAACAATGTGTGTTAGGCAGGATAATGTCTCTGCCAACAGATATTTTCCCTGGGAACCTATGAATATGTTACTTTAGATGACAGATGATAATTATTAACATTGAAGATACATTTAAGTTTGCTAATCAGTTGATGCAATTAAAATCCAATTAAGGCTACTGATGAAATTATGAGATCACCCAGGAATATTTCAGCAGGCCCAATCTAATCACATGAATCCTTAAATTGGGGGAAGAAGAGGGAGAAGAAGGAATCAGAGAGAGAGAGATGTGCTTTTTCAGGTTTTCAAGATAGAAAAGGACCAGGAGCCAAGGAATTGAGGCAGCCTCCAGATGCTGGAAAAGCCAAGGCAATGGTCAGATTCCAGAAAGGAATGCAGCTCTGATAACACCTTGCTTTTAGGCTAGTGAGACCTGTGGCAGGCCTATGACCTACAAAATTGTAAGATAAGTTTTTGTTGTTTTAAGACACTGTATTTGTGGTAATTTGTTACAGCAGCAATACAAAATTAATACAAACATTTGTAACATGATTTCCTACTTTCTTAATTATTTTGAAATATTGTCAGGCAGGAGGAAGCTAGGAAATAAGGCAAAAAAAAAAAAGGTCTGGCATGTCCTTTAAACGTCATTGGCCCACCCATGGGCTTACACAATTAACTTAGCTGACCAACATTTTACTATTAGTAAATAATGAAGACTTAGTGAAGTCACATGTTAGCTTTTAGATTTCACTCCAAGAAATGCCAGTTAACTATTGTATGATTGAAAATATAATTCCAAGGTATGGTTAGTGGCCTCTGTAGGTAATAACCAGTTTCATATCTAATCCAGCAACCTTGTCCTGTGATTGCCTCTAAATGCCTAGCTTCTCAAATGCTCTTGGAATGGTATTAACATGTTACTGGTTCCCTCATTAATTAATAAGCCAAAATATATTTGACAAGTGTTCATTTTATATTGGCATGATAGTCATGATTTCGTCCTTTTGAAAATTATGCTTTATCAATATCAACTAAATGAGGAGTCAGCAAACTATGGCTTCTGGGCCAAATCTGGTCTATTGCCTATTCTTGCAAATAAAGTTCCTTTGAACTCAGCCAGGTGAAGTAGATCCAAATGCTTCACACAGGCATATTCTTTCTTAAGTTATTTATGTAATTTCACATGCATTCTTATTAGTAGAAAACTAAGTTGGTCACTAAAATTGTTAATAAATTTCCTCAGTTTTAGGCATAGGATCAAAACTCGTTTCTAACTTTCACTTTTCTTGCTCTCCTGAATATCCACCTGTAAACCAGTGGTTCTAGTCCTGAGCATCAGGAATAAAGAGAGAGCACTGTGTTGCTGAATCCTTTGCAATGGAATGCTCTGTGTGGCTGAGGTATCCTTTTTTGTGGGTAGAGAGTGCATTATTCATAAGCATACATTTACTATCTTAGTGGATGTAGATCCCATCTGGCTTATCTTGAATTCAGATCTGTCTCTTGAGCTCTGGATCCATTCCACCAACTATATATAAAATATCTGTCTCTGTTTAAATGTGTTAAGGACATCTTACTCTCAAAAAATCTACTAATCTACTACTAATTTTACCCTGCCCCCATCCTAATTTAATTCCATACTGGGCAATCACCTTTTTGTATCTACCAAAGCCCCCAAAAACTCATTATCCAAGAGAAATATTTGGGAACTGGCCTACATTTTCTCATATCCTTTCTTTGCATCTGTACCAAATACGTGGTGGTTCATTCTTTCCTCCCCATTCATATAGTAGCTAGTTGTTTATATTAATGTCATAGGAATGAAAAGAGCAAATGGAGGCAAAAAGAATAATAGAAACAGTAAAGCAAGAGTGGGGTAAGGATAAGGATGGTGTACAAAATGCATACTGCAAGGTCCTTCATGGTTTGCTAAATGAGGTTCACATTTTAAGAATTATCTCAGAGGAATAAACATGATCAGTTTACATTACTTATAGACTCCATAAGACACATAGGCACAACTATTTTTCGGCATCAAAATAATTTTTTTCTCACATTATTTAACGAGACATCATTGTATAATAATAAAGACATTATATAGGAAAAGTTTGATGGGACTCTTTCTCATTATATTTCTTAAATAAACCTTGTGGGAAAAAAGAAAAAAAACCCTATGGGATTCATTTTTATCATGAATTTTTATCATAATTCATAATTATCTGCCAAGAATTTCTTATTTCTCCATAAAGGCTATTTTATTTTTGGTGATATGTTGGATAAATGAAGAATGACTAAGGATCAGAAGTCACAGTCCTTGAAAATAAGTGAATTGCAAATATATTATATTAATAGTCATCAGTGATCAGTATGGCTGATCACATGTTGTGGTAGTTGAAAAGCTTAATAAGGACACTTGCCTAAAAAGAGACTTTGTTGTGTAAAGAATCTGTCATATTTGCCATCTTTTATCTTTGCACCTCTATACTCCTGCATTATTGCTCTTATCTCACCTATGAAAATAACAGAAGTTTCTGTTAGATATGTTTTCCTATTCAGTCTATTCTATAAGTATACCCAGAGTCATATTTCTAAAATGAATATTTAATCATACCAGTCTTTAAAATTCTCAATGGTTTCTAGTCCCTGCAGGTCCACGGATAAATATGACACCCAAAGCTCTACAAACATACTGGAAGGTGTCTCTTTCTAAACATAGCATGCTGTTCCATGTCTGTGTCTTAAGTTTTGAGTCTTTGTTCTCTTTCTGCTAGATAAAGTTCTCATTATTCTTCAGGATATAACTCAGAAATCTATTCCTGCATAAGGAGTAAGCACATAACTTAGTCTTTGAACAAGGAATTTTTTTGAGAGTGAAAGGGTGTACACAATGATTACACAAGGGCTCCAAGTAGAAGTGGACTGGGCCCACTGGTTTGCATGATCCTCCTGTTTATGCCACATCTGTGTATCTATATTTACTATCACATGTGTCACATATGTCTGTACACAATCCTAGCTACACATTTCTTGAGAATATTCCCTTCTACAGTTCAGGTAAGGATTTGGGGCTGGAGATTAAAAAATTGAGGATTATCAGCATAGAGATGGAATTTAAAGTTATGAAGCTTTGTTACAGTACATGGGAAATGAGTGTTGATATAGAAGAACTCAGGAGAGGATAGGAGGGAGACAAGACAGGGAGTGAGAGAAAAGGAATAAAGAGGAGAAGGGATCAAGAATCTTAGATATCATAAAACTGAGAGTTCAGAAAGATGAGAAATAAATACAGTAGTAAAGAAGAGTGGGAAGGACTGGCCAGTAAAGTGAAATTAAACCAGGGGAGTAAGGTGTTTCTGAAACTAAATAAAGAAAGTGTTTAAAGACAAAGACTGAGCATTGGATATTGGATTTGGCAACTTGAAAATCATTGGTGGCTTTTAGTCATTGATGAGTTTTGGAGGACTGGATAGGGGGAAGTCTGATGAGAAGGAGAGGAAAAGGAGTTATGGAACAAAGAAACTTCTTTGAACACTTTATTAAAGAATAACACTAAAGTTAGAAATGGGAGTGGAGTGAGATAGATCAAAGGAGATTGCTCAGTAATTATTTTTTAAAAAGACATGTAATAGGATAGGTATGCATGAAAAATAATGTTATGATCCAATCAAGAAGAAAAACTTAAAGATGCAATAAATTATCATTGTACTGATGTTACAGTATAATTATCTCCATTTTAATACTAACGCACTTGAGAGGAGAAGGCATAGGAAGTGTATAACTCTTCGAATTGACTAAACTTTTTCACACTTATTTCATTTCATCCTCAAAACAACTCTATGAAATCTAGTGATGTTAAATAACTAGCATAGATGAGAAACAATAAAGCTAGGCTCCAAACCCAGGCAGTCCAGCTCTATAATCTCACACTACAAGGCCAGAATGAGAGAAAGAAAAAGAAGCACAGAAGGAAAAACTACAGACTTTTTCCTGTGGCCTTTTAATGTCCAAGGGGAGACAAACTGGAAAAATACTTGAAAATTCATGGGCACATACATATATCAAAAAATATATATATGTGAAAATTATATTGATGTATATAGTTGAAAATATATAAAGGATATCTATATTTAAACAAATAATATAGTAATTGCAAATAAATATTATAAAGTTGATGTTAAAAGAATAGACAACAAGTACCAATCTGGATGACATTAATAAAGGCAATTTTGATGACATTAATAAATGCAATTTTGATGAGAGAATACAATTTGAGACAGATTGTCCAGGAAATAGTATCGTAGATTGGCCAAAGGATAAAATAGGAGGAAAAGCAGAAGGAGGAGGAAGGGGAAGGAAAACTGGGTGGGCTATACCACTCCTTTTTTATGTTGTTTATATTGTTATTGACTGTTCAATTTTCTACAATTAATTTAAAAAACAGCAGAGGATTCTGTTTACCCTGCAAGCCTCGGTTATTTCCACCCCTTCCCTCCACACCTCTCCCTCCCTGCAATTAACACAGGAAGCTCTCTCCTACCATCAGCCTAAGTCAATCCCATCTTTTCCCCTCTCCTCCTAGATAATTCCTTCCCCTCTTGTTTTTTTCATTAACTACATAACCCTTAACTTTTGCTTCCAGCATAATCTTACTCATTCCCTTAAGAATCATTTTCTCACTTTCCCACACCAGGTGACAATTTCTACTTAGGTGTTTACATAGCACCACAACACCACTTTATACTAATATATAAATTTATATATTATACAAATGAACTCTTTGAGGGCAGAGCTGTGCCTTATCTTACAATTCTCCTTTGACTGGCAGAGTGCCTTGCTCCCAAGAGGTGTCTAGTTAACATTTGTTGAAAGGAGATTGCGAATGAAGAATAATTCACACACTAGAAATTGGAGTTCCAAAATCATATATTCACAATCACCTGTCATGTCCACTTGGATCTGTCACAAGCATTTCAAACTTGGTATCAACAAAATAAGGTCATAATTTTCTTCCACATTCACCTCCTTTTATTATGCATTCCTTCATTTAATCAGCCATCCTTGCATGTAACATTTATTGAGTGCTGACTGTGTACCAGGCTGTATTTCAAGCCCTTGGGACCACCAGCACCAATAACTACCCTGTTGCTCCAAGAAAAACCCTCTGTCTCCTACTTTCCCTCACCCCATTCCCCAATACCTAAGTCACCAGCAAGTCCTACTCATTCTATCCTCAATAAATCCTGAATATGCCAACTTCTCCACATCACCAGGTTTACTCCTTTCACCTAGGCTTTCATCATATTTAATTACTGATCATCCTAATGTGTCTCCTCACAAAAATTCTAATCTCCTTTAATCCATACCCTGTAGAGCAGAAAAATAAAAATTCTAAGCATATAATTAAAACATGTTACTCCCCTCCTATAATGCTTCAAAAATGTTGACTACATTTGGATCAACATCTTAATTATTTCCTGTAAGTACCAAGGGCCTTCATGATGTGGTCCTCCAATATTGCCTCACTTATTTTGCTAGCAACTGCAACCCAAACACTGTACTCTTCTTTCATTTAGTCAAACACTTCAACCCAGGTCAAACTTTAAGTCATTGCCTGTGACTTTTCCTCTACGTAGAATATTCCTTACTACACTCTTCATTGGGAAAGTTCTCTATTATCTTTTAGAGTTCAGTTTAAACATCACCCACTAAGAGAGGTATTTTCTTACTACCTCGTCTGAAATAAATCTACATTATTCTTCATTTCAGATCTTTGTTTCTTTCATGACCCATACAACAATTTGCAATTTTTGTAATTATGTGTTGTTTTTCTGTTCTGCCCCATGAAGGTGGGAACTAAGCAGATTGAGTACTTTGGTAAATTTTTGTTCTTAACAAAGTGCTAAAGAAGCTTAATAACATGTTTTTGAATGAGTGAATGAATTAATGAAAAGAGGAAGGAAAAGAGGTAGAAAGGAAGGTAGGAAGGCAAAAAAATACACATTTATAGTTTTCTGCTTACCTATTAAAAATCCATAAAATTTTTTTTTATTTTTCTATGAGCAAAATTTTATGACCATCTCATTGTATACCAGATTGTATACTGAAAAAATAGAGATAGAAAATAAAATTTGAATGTAGAACTTTATTATGCAATGCTTATGTCAAAACAAAATTTTTAACATACTGTATTACACTATGTAGAATTTATTAAAATTATACAGAGAAGGAAGACCTAGATGCATTGATACAAATCATACATATATTTAAAATATATTTCCAAACACAAAAAAGAAGTTAATATGTTTAAAAACTGCAAAATAAATAGTTAATATGTACTCAGACAGAGGCTTCCTTATTTAAATTCCAAACATATTTGAGTATATAAACCAGTTCCAATAACTGCTTATAATTTCAGGACCAATTTCAAAATACTGCTCTCATTGTCTGTTTTCTTACTTTCAAATTAATACATAGCTACATATTGAATGCTTACAAGTAGTGTGTGGTGCTAAGCGAATACAGTTTTTGAGGCATCGAGAAAAAGTCAACTAAATGGCATACATTTATATGTCAAATTGGGTAGTATGATACTTTATCAAATTGCAAAATGCATTTCTGCTCAAATACTCAGTTTACTGAAACATTTAAAGAAATTTGAGAAAGTTAGTGATCTGTTACTAGACTCTCTTCCATTTGGAAGTAATCAGTAGAGGTTTTATATTTTCTCAGCAATGGTAAAGGCACGTATGAACTGTTGCATACAGAAACAATGTTAAAATGCATAATGAAGATTGGATTTTCATATACACAGAGTTCAATTTTACACATATTTTATGTTTCCCTTTTCATATTGTGAGCATAGCTTAGGCAACAGAAATTCAGTGACTGCAGCTCAATAGGCTTGACTTATTTCTTCTTGGGGGATATTCCCACCATTTGAAGGCAAAAGTACTTCTCTTAGAGGCACTAGGGTGGGATTCAGGGAGTATAATACGTAGAGATGATAGCTTAGAGATTTAGGGAAACATGCTCTATATTCCTTCAGAGATCCAATGATAAGATGTAGAGCCAGCCAAAGAATTTAAGGCCAGGCCACTCAGGCTTTCCTACGGAACAGTATTAGTATGGAAAAGGAAATTTAGTTCACCTTATTAACATGGGCAACCAGATGGAAATTTGTCATGCAATTCTCATTTACTCAGCAAATATTTATTGATAGCCTGTTAAAACCAAGCACTGTGTTAGGCTTTAAGGATAGAAAGATAAATGATACTCTCAAAAACTTCATGTTCAGTTGAAAGTTATAAATTGCATGTAAAATCACAGGACACTGTGAGAATCATGGAGAGAGCCAGCTATCCCAAGGAGGATTCATAGAGAAGTATACACACACGTGTAATATTAAAGCATGATTATAAAATTAGCCAATTCAAATAAGGGAGGGGAGAGTGGAGGATGATGCTGAAGAGGTATCTCAGGTGATTCTGACCACATAATGAAACCTGGAATCTGGTACCAGGCCATAAATTTGTTTTTACAAAGATAGGAAGAAGGATACAGCCAGTAATTTTATAATAATTTTATGTTTTTATTTTACTTATATATGCTAATTTTATGATACTCTGAAAATCTAACTTATTTACATATATATATAATAGCAATAAGGATATAATGAATAATACTATCATATTATTATCAATTTATTAAAATATGATCAAAATAATAGCAGCTTACATTTATTAAGCTCTTTGTGATAGGCACTGTCACACTAAGCACAGTAATGTGCTTAGTACGCATTATAAATGTATTCTTAAAAAAGAAGTGAATTTAGGTAAATTTGCACATAATAGTGACAGATCAGAGAAAAATAAAGCTAGGAAAAAGTAGTTAAGGCTTCACATGATCAATAGGACTTTGTCAAATAGAAGGATAGAGAGTGATATGGTTTGTATTTGTGTCCCCATCCAAATGTCATGTCGAATTGAGGGAGGCACCTGGTGGGAGGTGATTGGATCATGGGGAGGAATTTCCTCCTTGCTGTTCTCATGACGGTAAGTGAGTCATCACCAGATCTGATGATTTAAAAGTCTGTGGCACTTACCTCCTCTGTCTCTTCCTCCTGCTCTATCACAGTAAGACGTGCTTGCTTCCCCTTCACCTTCTGCCATGATAGTGGGTTTCCTGAGCCCTCCCAGTCATGCTTCCTATTAAGCCTGTGGTACTGTGAGTCAATTAAACCTTTTTCTTCATAAATTATCCAGTCTCAGGTAGTTCCTTAGAGCAGTGAAAAGATAGACTAATACAGAAAATTTGTACTTGGAGTGGCACACTGCTATAAAGGTACATGAAAAAGTGGAAGTGACTTTGGAACTGGGTAATGAACAGACATTAGAACAGTTTGGAGGGCTCAGAAGAAGACAGGAAGATGTGGGGAAGTTTGGAACTTCCTATAGACTTGTTAAATGGCTTTGACCGAAATGCTGATAGTGATATGGACAACGAAGTCCAGGCTGAGGTGGTCTCAGATGGAGATGTTAAACTTTTTGGGAACTGGAGCAAGGCCGCTCTTGCTATGCTTTAGCAAAGAGACAGGCAGCATATTGCCTCTGCCCTAGAAATCTGTGGAACTTTGAATTTGAGAGAGATGTTTTAGGGTATCTGGAAGAAGAAATTTCTAAGGAGCAAAGTGTTCAAGAAGTAACATGGCTGTTTCTAAAAGTGTATGCTCATACACATGATGAAAGAGATGGTCTGAAATTTGAAGTTATATTTAAAAGGGAAGCAGAACATAAAAATTTGGAAAATTTGCCAACTGACCATGTGGTAGAATAAAAAAATCATTTCCCTGGGGAGTAAGTCAAGCCTGCTTCAGAAATTTGAATGAATAACAAGGAGTCAAATGTTAACAGTCAACACAAGGGGGAAAATATCCCCAGGGCATTTCAGAGATCTCCCCTCCCATCACAGACCAAGAAGCCAAGGAGGAAAAAATGGCTGTTTGAGCAAGGCCCGGGAAACCCTTGCTCTGTGCAGCCTCAGGACATGGTGTCATGTGTCTGAGCCACTCCACCTCTAGTCATGGCTAAAAGGGGCCAATATGCAGCTTGAATTGTTGCTTCAGAGGGTGGAAGCCCCAAGCCTTGGCAGCTTCCACGTGGTACTGGGCCTGCAGGTGTATGGAAGGCAAGAGTTGAGGTTTGGGAACCTCTGCCCAGATTTCACAGGATGTATGGAAACACCTGTATGTCCAAGCAGAAGTCTGCTGCAGGGGCAGAGACCTCATGGAGAACCTCCGCTAGGAAAGTGCAGAAGGGAAATGTGGGGTTGGAGACACCACAGAGTCCCCACTGGGGCACTGCCTAGTGGAGCTGTGAGAAAAGGGACACTGTCTTCCACACCCTAAAACTGTAGATCCACCAACAGCACCGTGCACCTGGAAAAGCCAGAAACACTCAATGCCAGCCCATGAAAGCAGTCGTGGGGGCTGTACCCTGAAGAGCCACAGGGGCAGAACTGCCCAAGGATTTGGGAGCCAACCCCTTGCATCTAGGCAAGTTCTCACTATTTTGCTCAGGCTGGTCTCAAATTCCTGGCCTCAAGCAATTCTCCCACCTTGCCTCAGCATGCCCTGGATATGAGACATGGAGTCAAAGGAGATCATTTTGGAGCCTTAAGATTTAATGAGTGCCCTGCTGGGTTTCAGACTTGCATGGGGCCTATAGCCCCTTTGTTTTGGCCAATTTTTCCTTTTTGTAGCAGAGGCATTTACCCAATGCCTGTACCTCCATTTTATCTTGGAAGTAACAAACTTGCTTTTGATTTTACAAGCACATAAGTGGAAGGTAATTACCTTGCCTCAGATGACACTTTGGACTTGGTCTTTTGGGTTAATGCTGAAATGAGTTAAGACTTTGGTCAGGGGGTACTGTTGAGAATGAATAATTGTATTTTGCTATGTGAAAAAGAAATGAGATTCGGGAGGGACCAGGGTTGGAATTATATGGTTTGAATTTGTGTCCCTGCCCAAGTCTCATGTTAATTGAGGGAGGGGCCTGGTGGGAGATGATTGGATCATGGGTACAGGTTTCCCCCTTGCTGTTGTCATAATAAGTGAGTCGTCAGGAGATCTGATGATTTAAAAGTGTGTGGCACTTCTCCCTTCTCTCTCTTCCTCCTGCTCCACCACGCTAAGATGTACCTGCTTCCTCTTTGCCTCTGCCATGATTGTAAGTTTCCTGAGGCTTCCCAGTCATGCTTCTTTTTAAGCCTGTGGAACTGTTAGCCAATTAAATCTATTTTCTTCATAAATTACTCATCCTTAGCTAGTTCTTTATAGTAGTGTGAAAGCGAACTAATACAGAAGCTTTCCCAAAGAATAAAAATACAAGAATTCACAAGAATATGCAAGACACATTTTGGAAACAGGAAATGCCCAATGAGACTGTGCATTGGGAATAGGGAAGGGGGCTTACATGTAATCAGGTTGAAAAAGCACACTGAGTCTAAATTATTACGCTATATGCCTTTGTTATGAACTGCAAAATGTATCCTGTGACCTCAGGGTTTTTACTTTTTTAACCAAGTGAGTAATAGGATTTCTTACAAAGAAAACATGAAGATCATTCTGAAATTTCTAGCTTAAGTCATTATCAGGATGATGGATAAAGTTTTCACAGTACATTCTTGAAATAAAAAGAAAACCAAAATCAGAAGCAACAAAAGCAAAAATAGACAAATAGAACCATGTCAAAATTAAAAATGTTTGTGAATCAAAAGGGACAATCAACAGAGTAAAAGGCAATCTGAAAAAATTTAAAGAATTCTAAATTATATCTTACAAGAAATTGATAACAAGAGTTTTTAAAAACTTCTAAAATTCAACAACAAAAGATAAGTTAAACTTCACTAAAAATGGATGAAGGAATTGTTAGATATTTCTCCAAAGGTTATATACAAATAGCCAACTAACAAATGAAAAAATGCTCAACATCACTAATCATCAGAACAATACAAATGAAAACCACAAAGAGATATCACCTCACACCGTTAGGATTGCTACTGTAAAAACAATAACAAACAACATCAAAGCAAAAAATAACAAGTGTTGGCAAAAATGTGGAATAAATCAGAACCCTGTGCCAGTCGGTGAGATTGTAAAATGATGCAACTTATGTGGAAAATAGAATGGAGGTTCCTTGGAAAAATTAAAAATAGAACTACCATATGATCCAGCAATCCCACTTGTGGGTTTATCTCCAAAAGAATTGAAAGCAGAGTGTAAAGTGATATTTGCACATCCATGTTCATAACAGCACTATTCACACTAGCCAAGATATGGAAATGACTCAAGTGTCCATGGATGAATAAGTGGATAAACAAAAAGTGACATATATATATAGAATGGAATATTATTGTCTTAAAAGGAAGAAAACCTTATCTCACATTATAAAGTGAAATAAATCCGTTATCAAAATAAATATTGTATGATTCTCCTTACATGAACTATCTGAAATAGTCAAATTAACAGAAACAGAAAGTAGAATGGTGATTACCAGGGGTTATGCAGAGGGGGTAAAGAGGAGTTGTTTAACAGGTATAGAGTTTCAGATTTGCACTATGAAATGGTTCTAAAGATCTGATTCATAACAATGTGAATGTACTTAAGAGTGCTGAAATGTATACTTGAAAATGATTAAGATGGTAAATTTTATATTATATGTTTTGTTACCACAATTTGAACAAAATGTCAAGGAGGTCAAAGTGAACAATATTAGCATTTACAGATTGCAAACTGTAGTGATTAGAAGGATTAATAAATTCATATGTGATCAAATACCAAAATACTTTTCTTGCTCTGGGTTAAATTGTAAAATAGGCAAAGTCTTTCCAGCATTTTGTCACTTTCCTATATTACCTCCTTCTACTACTCCTTTCTGTATAAACTCAACTCTTAGAAGGAATGCTTCATGTAGGCTTGAGGCTTTTATTTTGATTTAAAAGGCTATGTACCTTATTTAGTGCTCTATGATGACCCAATGTTCTATATGTATTAGACATATTTTAGTTTTAAGAGCATGATTTCAGATGAGATCAATGCTCATCTCATTGCATCACACAGTATTCACAATCTTAAACTGGAAACACACAGTCGAAGGATTTGGTTTAGAAAAGCCTGTAAGAACACAGTCACTCATTTATAAGATATGAACTATAGATGACAACTGTAATCTTTTTAAAGGAATCCTGTGTGTTTAGCTATGCACATACCTATATTTATATATGTGCATACACACATATGAAATATTTATAATTTTGTAATATAACCTAAGTAAACCAGGTAGGGGTTTTCAACAGCCTTTATATTTACATATGTATATACTCCAGGTTGGATGTGGTCTTAGTCTGCTTTATGTTACTATAACAGAATACCTGAGGTTAGGTAATTAATTTTAAAAAGGGGTTTATTTAACTCATGATTCTGGTAGCTGGAAAGTCCAAGAGTAAGGTGGTGGCATCTGTTCAGCTTCCACTGAAGGCCCCGTGCTGCATTAAGATATGGCAGAGAAGCAAAAAGGTGAGCAAATGTGAGCAAATGAGGATCAAACATGAGGAGGAATCTCACCTTGTAACAACTCACTCCCTAAGAAGCTAATCAATTACAATGAGATCTAATCCAGTCTCATGAGAAAAATATTAAGCCATCTTAATGATTTAATCACCTCTTAAAGGCACAACCTCCCAACATTGCTGTACTAGGAATGAAAGTGCTAACTTGAGTTTAGGTAAGAACATTGAAACCAGAGCAGACTGTTTTGAAAAGCAAGTGTTGGCATTGTATACCTGACACATATTAGGCTGTAGATTATAATTTCCACACTAACTTGTTATATGTACACACAAATGAAATATAAATATCATTTATAAATTGCTGATAAATTAGGAATAATAAAATAAATAAAAATTATTTCAGTTTAGATGCACACAATAAAAATAAATACAGACAATTTAAATAATGTGTCAGCTCAATTGCAAATCCAGTCCTTTGACTCCAGTTGTTCCTTTAGCCTAAATAATTTTCTTGATTATTCATATAAATTAATATATATTGTGCTCCTACATATGAGTTGACTGCATGACAAAAATGGCTTTTTGAAACTCAAAAGAATATTTGAGTAGACTATAGTTCTAACCACCATATAATTTACCTGAGTTTAAGAAGAATTAGATGCTACCTTCCAGTGAGAGTATGTGTGTTTCTTATCACTATATATTTAAAATATGTATTATTTAAATATTAAAAATTTCCCAATGCTTAGACAAAAATAAAGTCCCAAGAGCAATTCATTGAAAATTTATTTATATATTTTTCAGCCAAATCTTCGTTTTCTTAGAAGAATCCAATTACTTGGATCCTTTCAAATTAGGAACTCTTAGAGAATCATTTGAGGAGACTGGACCTTTTCCCCACAGGTCACTATTGGACTGACCTCTGTGGAAACAAGTGTTAAGAAATTTGAATTAAGCCTTAAAATACGGGTAACTTCAAAATATTAAAAAATACGTATTTTAAGTCTAATTTAACTAAAATCTCCGAGTTTCTCTGATTATTGTTGCATTAATTCATTCATCTAACAGTATTTTTAGTGTCAAAAATATATCAGGCACTGTTAGATATTGAGAATGCAAACAGGCACAATATAGAAATTGAGAAACTTAAGACATAGTATGGGAGAAAGACATTTGACCATATTACGTATCATATAAGCACTGTGAGAACAAATTAAGTATGAGTTCAGTTGGAAAACAAGGAATGGTCAAGTGTTTCTGGTAGTGGGAAGCAGTGCTTGTGACAGAAAATACTGAGATGCTAAAAAGTTTTCTGAGCCATCGCAGACAAGTAAGTATTTGATACCAAGCACTTTATCCACTATGGTAACCACTAGCCATATGTGCCTATTGAGCATTTGAACTGTGGCTAGTATGACTAATGAAGAGAATTTTTAGCTACTATTAATACATACTTAAATTTGAACAGCTAACTTTGGCTAATGGCTACCATATTAGGCAGTAGAACTATACAGAACTGTGAGTAATTTTTTATGGTTAGGATATATATTGTATGGTTTAAAGGTCATGGTGTTAGATGAAGAGGTAGACAAAGGCAAAATCTTAGAGTGCCTTTCTTGTCATGTTTAAGTCACAGAAACTAAGTAGGATGAAAACAAAAAAGAACATTCTAGATTTATTAAATGATCACGGCGACATAGGCAAAGCTAGTTTGTCATGGAGGATTAGACGCAGAAACCAGGATTTAGTAGATTAAAGAGGTGAATGGAAAGTGAGGAAGGGAAATCAGCAAGCATTTACTATTTTCAGGTATGTCAGCATAAAGAGAAAGAGAAATAAAGGAAGATGGGTTTGAGGAAACAAGTGTAAGGAGGGATTTTAAGACTGGGGATACTGGAGAATGTTCATAGATAGTGGGGGAAGTCAGAAAAATAGGTAATTTTATAGAATATAATATTAGGTTGGATTCTAGCAGATTTAGTGAAAAAACAACACCCATAAGTCAAGCAGACAGCCTATAAATGGAAGAAGAAATATTCTCTGGATAAAACAGAGAGTAAATTTACACAGAAATAAATTTGTGTATAGATATTGAGAAAGTTTAGTAGGTTTCCTCTGTGATAAAGAAAACAAATATTAAGATATACCTAAGCAAGACTGGATGAGACTGAGAGTACAATTCTGGAGGGAGTAATAAAGATTCAGATAAAGTTGCCAAGAATAATGAAGGTAGAAATCAGACAGCAATGTTTAGAGTCCAAGTGTATCAAGTTCTCAGTTGTAATATCAACAGATACTTGTAGTCTCAACACAATACAACGTTGTTAACTAAGTTTAAGAGTTTAAAAAATTTAAATGATGGCGGTTTTACCTGGTATTGTCTAGAAATAGAGTTAGTCTATAATTGATATATTAGGATTACTTAATATCCTGTTTTATCACTTAATAAAGACTATGTTATTGAATTTATATGTTTATAAAAAGAGTTTATTAATTCAGAATCTACATGTATTTTAATTTGTCTTGTTTAGTTTATTCCCAATGCAATTGTGCTAGCTCATTTGTGCTGCTCTATCAAAATATTTGAGACTGAGTAATTTATAAAAATAGAAATTTATTTCCCATAGTTTTGGAGTCTCAGAAATCCAGTATCTGGGCACCAGCACATTTATTTTCTGACAAGGGTCTGTTCTCTGCTTCCAAAGATGGCACCTTGTTACTGCATTCTCTATACAGGAGAAACATGTGTCTTCACATGACAGAAGGCAGAAGGGCACACCAGACCATTTCCCTCTATTAAGCCATTTTATATGATAACCTAATTCTAATCATAGGAGCAGAACCATCATGACTCAATTACCTCTCAAAGACCACACCTCCCAATATTGTTCAACATAAATTTTGAAGGGGACAAGAACATTCAAACCAAAGCAGTAACTGACCCTTCATATTCCATTCACATAACACTCAGTTTCTTATTGGAATTACATCCAAACCCTATAGAATGACACAATGAGTCCCAAGATAGATCTCAACTTCTTCTCCTTAGCACTCTTCAATGTGAATAATATAAATACTTTTCCCTCATAACAAACTTACTTAACATTTCTGAAGATATATTGCAATGTTCTGCCCTATCAAATATGCTCCTGCTCTTTTTTTCCCTAATGTAATTCCAAATTGTCTTTTTCTTTGGCAAAATCATACTTATTTGATTCTACCTAAAACCACACTTTTCAAAACACTCAAAGGACACTCAATTTACCGTAATTATTATTCAAAGTGTTTTCCTAAACCTGTGGTATTTATAGACTGTCTTGAAGTATGTCATCCATAATTGTGGACATGTATAGTTTTAGTGATGTATAGGCTATTTGAGGGTCAGTGTCACTAGTTGTAACTAAAAAAATTGAATTTTTAAAACTACTGAAAATGGAACAAAATAAAAATACAGATTAATTGTCCTTAGCTTATAAATGCTGGCAAATTCACATATTTATTCCTTTGCTAGTAATTTTGCTGCCATTTTAAATTGTAGTTCTCATCAAATAAGTCAATAGGTTTCAGTAATATCTAGAGGTTAATTCCAATGCTAAAGATAAATTCATTATACATCTTAATAATGAAGATGATTTGAAGTAAGCTTTCTTAATAAAACTTCAATGCTTTTATATTTACTGCAAATACAATTATAAGCTATAATAATAGGCATTGGATAAAAGACCTGAAAGAATATTGCAAATTCATAAGGGGTTGTGTTATCGTGATGGGATTTCAGATACAGGCAAAAGAAGACATTTTACTGTGAGAGACAGCTATATTTGAATTTCAGCTGTGTGATCAAGTAGAAATTATTTAGGGTCTCTGAATTTCAATTCCCTGTTAAAGTCGTTCTCAGAACTAAACGTGTTAGTGTGTGTGTGTGTGTGTGTGTGTGTGTCTGTATATGTCACATACTACATATATCTGAATATATGTATATATATATGTCACATAATACTAAAGGAAATTTAATTATTATATAATGTTTAGTATTGTATTATGTTTACAAATACTTTTATTTACATTTGAAATATCATTAAACAGAGAAAAAGGAAAAGACCTAAGATTTTTGAGAAATCCTTTAAAAATATCCAATGGATGGGCTTAACAGAAGAGTGAACAAAAGAAGGAATGAGTGAGTTGGAAAACAAACAAAAAAAATCACACAATCTGAACAGAGAAATAACTAGACTGAAATACAACATAAAAAAGACTTGTCAGCAGTAAACCTACCCTAAATGAATGGCTAAGGTCTCTAAATAGCAAATAATAAAAGTAAAATAACAAAATTTGAAATATTAGAAGGAAAAAATAAAAGAGTAAGCAAAAATATTAATAAATATAAGAGATTTTTCTTCTTACCTTGAATTTTTTAAATTATGGTTGATGGCCAGAGTAAAAATTGTAACACTGGTTGTAAATATATGTACAGAAGAAATTTATGATTTACTGTAAATGCAGGGGTATAAAGGGATATAAGGAGAGGTAAAGTTTTTGCAATTCAGCTGAACTGCTAAAATGACGGCACCATTTTACATGTATTTATATATAATATATGTTTTTATATATGTAAATGCACATAGCCGTGATAAATTATGTAAATATAATGCAATACCTAGAGCAACCACTAATAAAACTGTAAGAAATACACTAAAAATGCAGTATATAAATTTAAACAGCATTCCACAAATATGCTCAAATAAACACATGAAAACAGAGAAAAGAAAATGAAAAACAAAAAGAGAAAGCAGACTTACGTCCTAACATCAAAATTACATTAAATATAAAAGCTCTAAATACACCAAACAATATAAAGAGATTGGCAAAGTTGATTGGAAAGCAGGACTCAACCATTTGCTACCTATAAGAATCCCACTTCAAATATAACAATATAGCCATATTAACAGCAAAATAATAGAAAAAGCAGTATCATGGAAATATTTATCAATGGAAAACAAGAGTGGCTATATTACTATCAGATAAAATACAGGTAGTCTCAGATTTACAATGGCTTGACTTATAGTCTTTTGGGTTTATTATGGTGCAAATGCAATATGCAAGCACAAGGTTTCAGACTTCAAGCATCAGTGATTCCTTGACCAAAGACCCTCTGAGCTGTATTTTTGACTTACAAGATTTTCAACTTACTACGTGTTATCATAGTCAAGGAGCATCTTTAGATTTGACAGCCAAGAAAATTACCAGACGCAGAAACGGACATTATATATAATGATATAGGGAAAATCCACCAAGAAAACATAGTAATCTTAAATGTGTATGCACCAAAAAACAATGCTGCAAATTTTTTTGTGTGTAAAGCAAAAACTGATTGAACTGGTAAGAAAAATTTTTAAAAAACACAATTATCGTTGGGAGTTTTAACAGTACTTTCTCAACAACTGATAGAGCAACTAGATGGAAAATCAATAAGAATATGGAACAACTCAGTAACACTACCAATTAACAGGATCTAACTTGCATTCATAGAAGACTCCAGCCTACAAGAGCAGACTACACATTCTTTTCAAGTAACCAGGAAACATATGCCAAGGTAGATCATATTCTAGGCAATACAACAAAACACAACTAACTTAAAATATTTAACATTATATAGAATTTATCTGTAACTACAAAATAATCAAACCGGATATCTATAACTCAGAGATAAAAGAAAAATCTTCAAAAATGTGGACACTAAACATCACATTTCTAAATAAACTGTGAATCAAAGAGAAAGCCTCAAGGGATGTTTTAAAAACACATTAAACTAAATGAAAATGTAAAAACAATCTAAGAAAATATGTTGGGCAAACAAAAGCACTAGAGAGAAAAACTTACAGTACCAAACATATGTTATAAAAGAGGAAAGTCTCAAATCATTGATTAAATTCACACCTCAACAACCTAAAGAAGAGCAAACAACCTCAAAGTAAGCAGAAGTAAGTAAATAATAAAGAATACATGCCAATGAAATTAAAAACAGAAAATCAATAAAACAGAAGGATTTTTAAAAAATCAATAGCATTGACCAAAAAAGACAAATTATTGACATAAGGAATGGAAGATGAAATATCACTAAAGACCCTGAAGATAGAAAAAAGTAGAAAATACTATGAATTTACAATCATAAATTTGATAACATAGATGAAACTCACCAGATCCTCAAAAAGCACAAATTACCAACTGTAAAATATGAAATTGTGCTATAGTAATTAAGGAAATAAAAAGTATAATTTTAAAAAAAGTCCAGAAAAAGACTTCTTCAAGTTTAATAAGTACAAATGCTTTTGCTGAGGAATTCTACCAAACGCAGAAAAACAACACCAATTATACATAATATCTTCCAAAAAAACAGAACAGGAGAGATTTCATGACTGATTTTATTAAGATAGTATCTTTTGATATCAAACTAGAAAAAAACTATGCCAAAAAAGAAGAAAAAAACTACTAATCAGTATGTCAATATCCCTCATGCATACAGATACAAAAATTCTTTAAAAATATTAGCACATAAACTCAGTAACATATTTTTCAAATATGATAAACTAACTGGAGCACATTCTAGGCATACAAAGCTGGTTAAATATTTGAATGTCAATCATTATAATTCACCATATTTACAGACTAAATGATAAAAATTTTATACCTATAATAATATCAGTTAATGCAAGGAAAACACTTGACTAAATTCAACATTCATGATTTAAAAAAACTCAGAAAAAAAGAATAGCAGTGAACTTTCTCAACATAACAAAGAACATTAACAAATAACCTATAGATAAATTTGTACTTAGTGCTGAAAATTTTCTATAACATCAGGAACAAGGCAAAAATGCCCACCCTCTCCAGTCATTAAAAACAGTTGTAGCTAGTACAGTAATACGATAAACACAAAGGATTAAAAATAACATTTGCAGATGTTATGTTTCTCTTCATAGAAATTCCTAAGGAATCTACAACAAAACTCCTAGTACTTCAGCAGGGTCTCAGAATATAAAATATAAATAAAGAAATCAAGTATATTTCTGTATATGAGCAAAAACATGCAGATATTTAAATTTAAAAATACACTACCATTTGAAATCATACAAATAGGTTGAAATACTTAGGTGTGAACCTAACAAAACTAGTACAGGAACTGTATCCCCCAAAATTATAAAATGCTAATGGAAGAAATCATAAATAACTAAGTAAATGGAGAGGCTGTATTCATGGATTGGACGACTCAACACAATAAAGATGTCAATTTTTTCTAAATTGATTTATATGTTTACTGTGATATCTATAGAAAATATCAACATGTTTTTATTATAGACATAGACAAACTTAATCTAAAATTTATATGAAAAGACACAGGGACTACAATAGCTAAAATTATTTTGAAAAAGTAGAATTAAATGGATGAATTGTTCTACTCAATTTCAAGTCATGTGATATAGCTATAGTAATCACAATTGTGTGGTATTGTCAGAGGTACAGACACACAGATCAATAGAACAGAGTAGGGAATCCATCAACAGACCTACACAAATATGCCAAGTGATTTTTCAACAAAGCTATAAAAGCAGTTCAATGAAAGAAAGATAACCATTTCAACAAATGGTGCTAGAGCAACTGGAAATCCAGAGTCAAAAAACAAAACAACCTGGAAAGGGCAGTAGCAGGGAGAGGAGCTGGGGAAGTAGAGATGGTTAATGGGTAGACACATATAATTAGAATGAATAAGATCTAGTATTTGACAACACAACAGAGTAACTACGGTCAACAATAATTTACTGTACATTTTAAAGTCACTAAAAAAGAATAATTGCATCATTTATAACGCAAAGAAAGGGTACATGCTTGAGGTGATGGCTACCTCAGTTACCCTGATGTGATTATTACCCATTGTATGCCTGTATCAAATTATCTTCTGAACTCCTTAAATATATATATATATATATATATACCTACTATGTACATGCAAAAATTAAAAGTAAAAATAAAACAAAAGACAAAATCTTAACCTAAATCTCACATTTTATTTTTAAAAAAATCTTCAAAATGAGTCACTGACAAATGCAAAATATAAAACTATAAAACAAGTTACAAGTTACAGCCTGGGGAATATTTGCATACTATATATCCAACAAAGATTAATATCTTGAATATATAAAGAACTCTCAAAACTCAATGATAAAACAAACCCAAACAATCCAATTTGAAAATGGCAAAAAAATACATGAATAAACATTTTACTGAAAAGGATATACAAATGGCAAATAAACACACAAAAAGGTGTTAGACATCATTAGCCATTTGGGAAAAGCAAATTAAAACCACAATGAAATAACACTATATATCCACCAGAATGGCTAAAATAAAAAAACAGTAATGCCTCCAAATAACAGAGAGAATGCAAGGAAACTCAATCACTTACATATCACCAGCGGAAACAGAAAATGGTACAGGCACTCTAGAAGACAGTTTGGCAATTGCTAAAGAAACAGAACATGCAACTAACATACAACCTGGTAATTGTGCTTCTGGGCATTTATACCAGGGACACGAAAATTTATGTTCACACAAAACCTCATATACCCAATAGCCAAAACTGTAAACAGTGAAGATATCCTTTAATGAGTAAGTAGTTAAATAAACTACAGTACATTCATGTCATCAAATGCTAATGCCAGCAATGAAAAAGACCGAACTATTGATACATGCAAAAATTTGCATGCATCCCCAGGGAATTATGCTGAGTAAAAAATGTCAATCCCAAAAAATTACATACTTTGTTTCCATTTATACAACGTTCTTAAAATGACAAAATTCTAGAACTGAATTGATTAGTGATTGTAAGAGGTTAAGTAGGGGGCTGGGGTGGGAATGAGTTTGGCTATAAAAGGGCAATATAAAATATCCTATGGTGATGGAAAAGTTCTGTATCTTGATTATGTAAATATTAACATCCTGGATGGGATATTGTACTATATTTTGCAAGACATTATCATTGGTAGAAACTGGGTAGTGGATACATGAACTTTCTCTGTAATTTTTCTTAAAACTGCACGTGAATCCACAATTATCTCAAAACAAAAGTTTAATTTAAAAATAAAATGTGATAATTATTTAGTTACTACTTGGGTTAAAAGGGTTATTTATAGTTATTTTTATTATTATTTATTATATAATTATTACTTATTATTTATAAACCTGCCAATATTAGATGTTAAAGTTAAAGCAAAATAATACATTTTTGTATATTATGAGATCCTTAAATATGTTCTCAGCTTCAGAGACTGCAGTAACTATATGTAAATTTCTCTCAGTCATCATTGTTCCCAAAAATCTGGTAATGGTATGTTTCCTTTTAGAGCTTGCCCTTTCAATTTCTAGTTAGTTTTGATAGGATCAACAATCATAATATTCGCCAAATCTGTGCCCCACAACTCTGCTGGCCATAGAGCAGACAGGCATTCTAGTTATGTTAAACCAAATTGTTTTCATTTGGAACTAGAATTTTGATTAAAGATGCACAGATTTATAACTTGTACTCAATAATTCTCGAAATATCCTGTTTCTCATATTTCCGGAAATAGTCTGGCTCTTTTCAAGGCTTAGATGCTTAGATCTGCCGTTAATTATGTTCATTATCCAATATTCTTCAAATACATTTTTTTTTCTTATTTGAACTACTCAGATCTGTTTTCTGTTGCTTTCTTACTCTGTGCCCCCTAGTAAGCAATAGAAAATTTATCTGGTCCAATTTACTTTAATGCCTTATGTCCCTATATTAAGGCGCAATATATATTAATTTACTTAACAAATATCTAAAGAGACTATGTGTAAGGCCCTGGCCTAGATGCTGGAATCAGAAAACAATCAACAAAGCAAACCAAGTCATACAATCCTGGAGCTTAGTAGGGGAGAAGAGAAATAAACAAAAATAAAAGTATAGTATTATTTACAAATATAAAGATTGTGAGAAACAATAAAACTGGAGATTGGGAAATGAAAGTGATGATAATACTGGGCTTTATTTTATAGAAGGTCTATCAAATGCTGTAATATTTAATAGAGCCCTGAGGGGCAAGGGTGAGTGATTTGTCAAATGTCTGGGGAAGGATTTTCCAAGCAGAGGGAATAGAAGTGTCTGTGTGCAGAACTGATAATATACTTGGCAGGGTGGAATAATCCCAAAGGAAAGGGTGGGGTGCTTGGAATGGAGTGGGTGTTGGGGAGTGGTAGGAAATGGACCAGTGAGGTAACAGGATCTGCAGACCATGTAGAAATTTGAAGGCTATTGTAAAGACTTGGCCTTTTTCAAGTGAGATGTAATGCAATCACAGTGTTTGAGATGTAGTGGCCTTACAAAATGTATTATAGCAATGCTGTCATGGGATTCTTTTTATGATAATTTTATCACAAGTGTTTTGAGTATCTCTGCAAGTGTCAATCTAAACACAGTATCCTATTGTTACAAGGGCTTATGAAATCACATGGGCCTATTTTCAACTGTCACAATTCTCTCCTTTCTTCTTAATTTCCTTACCTTTTTATCATTAGTGTTGCCATGGAAATTTTTACTATTTGTCATGTATCATAATTGTAAAGACGTATTTTGCACTAAAATATAAATTGATGGAGAGTAATATTAGTATTATATTTATCTTGGTAGTCAACCAAAGGTATAATGGTATTTTTATACCAGTTTACTTAATAATATCTTATTGAAATGAATGAATAAAGTCCAAAACATTGTATATTACCTGGTTTATTAATTTCTGCCTTGTTTTGTTCAATTTAGATTTCCATTTTCTAGATTGGTACATGACACAGAGGAGGTACTTAATAAAGATGTCTTTATGGATAAATGAATATCCTCATTTTGCAGATGGCAAAAATGAGTCCCTATTTTTTCCCTATATTGACTGCTGTTGGCCACACAGGCATAGTTAGTGGGAGAGAATCCATGTGAAACAGTTTATAATATATTGTATTTCCACTGAAATAATTTATCTATTAACTCTTTCAATAAGCATTTGTTGAGTACAAATTAAGTGCTTAATACCATAACACCATGACCAAATATTTTATGAGGAGAAAAGATGTTTTTATTTCTCAGTTAAAGAACCTGAAACATAGCATAAAATGTAAATATATAATGTAAATATATTAAGGTTTATTTGAAGTGAAATTAAATATATATTAACATAACTCAAAAATATATTAGAGTATAGAAAATGAAGCCCAAAAGCAAAACAGTGAATGCTTATTGTGTTTCCTCTTGTCAAATATCCAGGAATAAAAAAATGAGTGTATACTGTGTTTGTCAGCCTCAATGTAACCACATGCTTCATGGGGGGTAGGAAGTGACACTTTAATATGAGATCCTGTCTACATGTAATGTGAATTGTGCCCCTGGATTTTGCATTTCATTAGCCTGGAGAGGTAATAAGAGTATCAGTGACACAACAATATGCATACTCTGATAGATGAACACATCATTTGATTTACACTCTAGCTCAATATATCAGAGAATACACTTTTAAAAGCCTAACTGGAATATATGAACAATGAAAAATTTAATATCAGGATTGGGACCTAATTTGAATAATTCCTAAAATAAGGTACATTTTATTCAACATTTGGAAGAAGGCAAAGAATATGCATTACCAAAGAAAAAGAAGACCTTCAAGGGAAGGTATGCAAGCCAGAATGAACAAATTTGAGTGGGTAAATAATAAATGTGGCTGGAAAAGAAGATCTGGCACTAAAAACATATATTGCAGCCAGCTGACTGATGTCATTTTATTTATACTGGCCATATACACGAAAACATATAGTGGTTTTTGGTAATATGAAAATCTTAGAATTATAAAGCATTAGGAATATGAAAAAGATTATGAAGTCTCCAGAAATACTGAGGTATAAGGAATAAAAAGTGTTCCTTGCTAGTTGATAAAAATAAATTCATGTATAATAAAAATCAGCCAGGGCCAGAATCTCTGTGAATTTAATTAATGACTAAATTGGGCATACTTTACTTAAAAGGTGATATGCACAACTGAGCACTTGCACTGTGTACTACTAGAATGTTTAACTATGTCATGGAACTGAAATACAACATGCAACATTATATATTTTATGGCCTTAGCAGCCTTTAAATATGAATTATTTAGTATGATTAAAATCACTCCCTAATAAATAAACTAAGGTTTGCATATGCTAGCATTTTTCCTTACAGAGAAATAAAAGGAATATTATTGGAAAAGAAGCTTTCTATGGTTGTTAGCTATTTTTTTATTTTAGTTTATAGCATTTTATTGAGTTCTGTAAGAGATAATGGGGATAAAGAAATATAAGACATAGACTTTGCCCTCAAAAACTATATATTGCATAAAAGTTTTCATTGTCTCATTCTTCTATCTGGTTGCAAAACTTAAAACTTACTAGTTGACTTTGCCACACTTTTCTTCTCAGAACACTCTCTTCTTACTTTCAGGATATTATATTCTGTCGGTCTTTCTGATGTCTCTGCTTTTTTATGATCTTAGTATTTTGGATCTCTCCATTATTGTAGGTCTTTATGTACTTCAGCGCTTTTGGATGTGGTTCTGAACTCGCTTCTCTTCCCAGTCCATATTTCAAAAGCTCCCCTAGATTTCAACTCCAGCTGAAACACTACTGTTCTGTTCTCAGCTCAAGATCAATATAACTTACTCTTTTTGGTGTGAGTAGGTGTGTGGAGGGGAGAGGGTTGTGTTTACTTTGCCACTTGGCTGTCTTAAAGGTGTCTCTGTTTCGCTTCCGTCATTCCTCATTTCAATGAATGGTCCATTTACCCCCACTTGTGTTCTCTTCCTTGATAAGGCCTTACCATTCACACATAACACTCATGAATAACAAATCTTTGTTAATTCCCTTCCTAATTATATCTCAAACTCAGCACATTATTACCTCTCCCTCTGATCACTCTTATCCAAGCCACTAGTGTCTCTTGTTTAGAACACTACATCACTTCCTCCCAGCCCCTAGTTCCCTGTATTCTTGGTCATAGAATCTTTAATAATGCAGTTACAATTCTTATATATAATACCTTACACTCCCACTTTCTCAAACTATTTAGTAGTTACCCATTGCTCTTAGGATAAATTTAAAAAATCTTTAAAATGACTTGCAATGCCTGATGCATATTCTCATTTCTAAAGAGTTTTATATCCATATCTTCCATTCCACAGCCTCTCACTATTCCAAATGTGCCAGATATTTTTAATTCCTCAAAAATACCAAATAATTTTCATCTTATTTTTCATCACATCTTTATTCCATCTGCTTAAAATGCTCTCTTTATGACCCTACCTCCCTCCTCACAGCCTTTTGCCATGTCATCTTTATCTATTTACTCTTCAAATTAAAGTCTGAAAGTCATTTCCTTCAGTTGCCTTCCACAACCCTGCGGATCAGTTATATGCTCTCGTAGAATACTGTATCACTTCCTCATAGCTCTTATGATAAATGTAACTGTATCTTCTGTGTAATTATTTTATTTATACTTTTATCTGCTTATTCTACACTTCAGTAAGCTCCATAAAGGTACAGAATATTCCTGTTGTGTTCACAACTATATTTCCAGAGCCTAGTACAGAAAAAGTACTCAACAAATAGTGGCTTAAAGAATGAGCAATGAATTAATACAAAAAACACTAAGCCCACCCTGATACTATCAACTTGGCATGGCCCTATGTGGAAATTTTGACAGAGTACATATTTAAACACCTGTAAAACAAAACCTGTAAACACCTGTAAAACAAAACAAACCAAGAGTTTTGTTGGTTTCTTCATGCATGTTACAGTAATAGATTTTACCTTCATAAAAATAATCCAAATAATTGTATATTTATAAAAAACAGAACTAAATATAACACTAAGATCTCAAGTGAAGCAACAGTATTTACTTTAATTACAGTTTTCTAAAGATTTCTACAGGTATAATCAGTATATACATGTTTATGCACACACATACATATATACATATATATGCACATATATACATATGTGAATATCTGCAAGAGACAAAATAAGTAAACAGTGTCCGGTTAAATATGTTGCAAAATCCTGAAAATGTGTATTTTATGGAATCAAGATCAAAATCTTCTGAGGAGCAGGTAAATATTTCAGTTTAATTGAATGACAAAATTTAGGAAAGAGAGGCAAAATTCCAAAATTTTCCATTAAATTTAAACTCTTAAAGGGGCATTTTATATTTTTATTCATATTATACAAACATCTAGGACACGGAAAATGCTCACCATAACTTTGTAGCCTCTGACTGTATTTTGCTTTCTCATTATTGCCACAGCCAAATTCCTAACATAGGACATGTGATCTGGTCTCTGCATCTGCATCTTTCAGATTCATTGTCTTCCCTCATTATTTTTTTACTTACTAATACAGATATACTATGCAATCACTTATTTTCTACTTATAAAATTGCACTGCTTGTGGAAAAATTCAAAATCTCTGCTCAAGATATTGTTAATCAAATTCAAGACCTTCTTTTTGAGATACAATGCATTATTTTGGTTTCCTTGACATGTATGCAATTCCCCACATTTCCAAAGCTTTGAGATATTTTTTCAGAGAAATTACTTAAAAATAAATCTCAAAGTCTGACTGTGCAATGTCAACCAGACCCAAGTCTTGTGATTGTACATGGTGTAATCCCAAAATTTACTTTTAGCTAGTGAATGAAAAATGGTATATTTCTCTAAAATATAATTTAACTATTTATAAGGGAGGAAACTCCTTTGGTAATAACTTGAGTTTTCACATATGCTATCCCTCAAAGGTTCCTAGAATCTCCAAGGTGTAACAGCTGTGAAGCCATCTGTGAGCTGAATCAAGTTCCAATAGCAAATGCATGCCATCAATACAGAAATTCAGCCAAAATTTAGGATTGGGTCAGAATTCATTAGTAAAACACTGCTACTTTCCTAACAAATAGGTCAATCTGCATTAAATACTCTGAAAATCATTATGTGAGAAAGATTTTTTTTTCAAGCAACAAATATTTTCTTAGGACAATTACAAAATTAACTAGTTGTGAGGAGATTCATTCATTCAACTAATATTTAGTGGTGGCACTGTAATAGGCAGCATATCTATAGTAACAAAGAAGACAGAAGTTTCTTCCTCTTTAGCATACTCTACAGAGATATACACTTTTGTATAATCCACTCCTTGAGTGTGAGAAGAGCCTGTGAATACAATGGTATATCACTTTTGTGATAATTTTTGTATTTTATGGCAAAAGGGTTTTGTAGGTGTAATTATGGTTCCTAGTCAACTGACTTTAAATTTAGGAAAAAGATTATCCTTGGTGGGCCTGATCTAATCAGGTGAGGTCTTAGAAGTGATACTATGCAGCAGCAGATCCTCTACTGTTGAACTTAAAAAAGCAAACTGCCTTGTTAAGGACAGTGTTAGGTGGCAGAAATAGGTAGGCTAGGATCTGAAAGCCTCAGTCTTAAGCTATAAGGAACCGAATTCTGACAATCAATAATCTTGGAAGATGAAATTGCAGCTGTTGACAAAACCATTCAGCCTGGTGGAGACCCTGAGCAGAGGATCCAGCTAACCCATGCGCATATTCCTGACCTACAGACACTATGAGATAATTTTTGCTTTTGTCTTAAGCTGCTATGTTTGTAGCATTTTGCTATGCATTAATAGAAAATGAATATGGGAAAGGACAAGATTTTCATGTTTTATTCTTAATTGCTAATAAATACATAACACATTGTATTAAATATAATTTATTCATTACCACTATATGTATTAATGCCAATAATTTAAGTGTCAGGATTGAACAGATCAGGCCATGACAAGTAAAGAAGGGGAATAGTATTGTAAACAATTTAGAACTGACATCGTTCTTTCGGTTCTATATCTGTATTTGTGACATTAGCTTCTTGGATGAGTATAAAATCTGAAATAAGCACAGTCCATAGCAAAATCAAACATTAAAAATGTGCAGAAAATATAGGATTTCATAAAATCATAATCAGGGAATTTAGCACATAAAAATTAAAAGATATCTTTTGAGAGATCAAATAATCTCCCATTAATCAATAAATAAATATTTAGGATAAAATGTTAGGGATCTTAGTAAAGTAAGTCAGTTGAAAAGTGAAGTTAGTAGGTGAAAAATTCCATATGTTAATAGGTTCAAAGTTATCACATTGCTCTGTGATTCACTAACACAATACCACATTCACTTTTCTGTTTCAGCCAAATATAATGCATTAGTTCTCATCTTTATGTGAAATACTATTATCTATTTTCTAATCTTTGTATTGAATGTTAGCCTTCACATATATTCATTATTACTATCTTAATTGTATTATTGTGCTAAAGGTTCATTTGGGAAGCCAATGGAAACTCTTTGAGTCAATCATTGCAATTGTTACATTTTAAGACAAAACACCAGAAATATACAAATAATATGCACAGCACTGTATTAAATAATAATAACATAATATGAAATATTGAGAATAATATAAACAATAGGAATGACAAGAATAATACAAACAAAAATAATGGCAAGAATAATATAAACAATAATCTAAACAATATTAATGACAATATAAAATAGCAAGAGACAACATATTTGCTTGATTTTAAAATAACTTCAGCAGAAGTTTCTCTTCAGTAGAGGAATTTAGTCAGTTTTATAACCGACATATTTTGACAGAGTATTGACAATAGAATCAAACAATGTTCTTCTACAGACACTTTGATGTAGTGAGACTACCTACAGAGTCAAGATTATTTAAAATTGCAGTTTATTTCTGACATTATCTTATGATATGATTTTGAGAAAAATGCCTAACTTCTCTGACACATATTAGAAGTTTTGATTATGCCCGGTTTTGTCAAAATATAACAGGAAATTCAAAGCATTACTGGTGGAAATATAACCAGATGTGGCCAGTCTGAAGAACAGCTCAGAAATAGTCAAATCTAAAATGCATTTGTAACTATGACCCCACAGTCCTTGAGTACATTTCCAGAGTAACTTTTACATGGGGGTTTTTAGAGTATGAGGCAATATAGGTGTCCAGCAGTGGGACCACTATATGTGAAACTACATAACATGGTGGTACAACCGCCTGAAGAGCTTTTTAAAACTAGCTTAATCCTCAGACACTCTGATCCAGTCCACCTGGGAAGGTTTTGGGGATACTAGATGTTTCATCCAAGATTGTGAAACCAAGATGGAGCAAGTAGACAAAACTTAAAATCACACTACTGAGTAAACAGTAAGAAACAGCAAGAGATCTATAGCATAATACCACTTATGTAACTTTTAAAAGCATATAAACATAAAATACTCTCTATTTCACGAAGATACGTAAAAATCAAGGATATGGAACAAACACATTTGAGTGGTTCCTTATATGGGGAGATGCATAGAAATATGGAATAGGGATTCAAGACAACTCAGTATACACATATTCACACGTGAACACCTGCATCCGTATGTCTTGTAGTGCTGCAAAAAAAGTTTGGTGACAATGTTCCAGGAGTAAGAAACATGATTAACCCAATCCCTTTTAACCTAAGCTTTAAATAGAATTAACAACAATGATATAAAATTAGTATATGGGACTAGTTAATCTTTAAAGCTCATTCTAGTTTATAGCATGCATTTTTTTCTCTAGGTAGCATTTTTCAAAATACACTTTGCCTGGTTAAAAAAATTTGACTTTTGGCTGTGTGCAGTGGCTCATGTTTGTAATCCCAGCACTTTGGGAGGCCAATTGAGTGGATTGCTTGAGGCCAGGAGTTTGAAACTAGCCTGGCCAACATTGTGAAACCCCATCCCTACTAAAAATACAAAATTTAGCTGGGCATATGCCTGTAGTTCCAGCTACTCAGGAGGCTGAGGCATAAGAGTCATTTGAACCCAGGAGGCAGAGGTTGCAGTGAGCCGTGATTGCACCACTGCACTCCAGCCTGGACGACAGAGTGAGACTCTTTCAGAAAAGAAAAGAAAACAAAACAAAACAAAAGAATACAAAAGGAAAAGAAAAGAAAAGAGAAAAGAAAGAAAAAAGAAAAGAAGAGAGAAAAAAGAAAAAAGAAAGAAAAAGAAAGAAAGAAAGAAAGAAAGAAAAGAAAGAAAGAAAGAAAGAAAGAGAAAGAAGGAAGGAAGGAAGGAAGGAAGGAAGGAAGGAAGGAAGGAAAGAAGGAAGGGAGGGAAGGAGGAAGGGAGGGAAAGAGAGAGGTACGGAAAGAGAAAGAAGAAAGAAAGAAGAGAGAAAGAAAGGAAGGAAGGAAGGAAGGGAATTTGTCTTTGCATCACTCACTTCCTTTTCAGCCTGAGGCACTTTCTTTGGTTGGAATCTCATCTATTATGTGAGAATTCAATAGATAAAGAGTAATATGCCAAGATGCATAATTATTATAAGAGGCATAATTAAGGGAACAAACAATGATTGCTTTGGAGTAGGAAAGACTTGATAATGGGCAGTGGGACTATGATAAATGTTTTCTAACATTTGAAAAGCCTTCATCTGTTACATGATAAAAATATGACACTTACATTGTTTGGCAACAAATGATTCAGAGGCAATCTGAATCACTAGATGGAATTTAAAGGAATTTCAGTTCAACATAAGAGAGGGTTTCTATTTAGAGTTGTCCAAAAAGTGAAAGAGTTGCCATTAAAGGTTGTGAATTCACAGCTGCATAAGTGTTCAAAAGTAGTGGGGGTGCAACAGAATTTAGTCAAATGTTGATGCTGCTCATATAATGGTTTTTTCTCAAATTGAGTTGGATCAAAGCTATTCTCTTTTGACTTTCTCCTCTACACACGTATTTGGAGTCCATGGTAAAAAATGTATGCCATTTTTTTCTTCAAGATTGTTTATGTTCATAAATACTGAATTAGATGATTTACAAGATTTCCGTTAAGCTTGTGATGGTATGAGAAGAAAAAAAACCCATCCAGTGCATGAGTCAGTTATCACACTGATTATATTCTGAAATAGATATCAATTTCAAAATAAGATTAACTACATCCCAATAAATGGTAAGTTTGGTGCACATATTTAAATTATATACTTTGATGCCAATTACTCTGTATAGTTCTTTTTTATTTGGACCTGTGTTTTCACGTAATTTAAAAAATTTTATACAGAACAAATTTTATGTACAGAGATGAGTAAGTTATTTACTGCTTTTAAGAGGAAAATTACCTACAAAACCAAATACTTACAAACCAAAACAGTTTAATAGTAGTGTAATTATTTTTTAGTGGGTGATTATTTATAGAATGTCTGAATGTGACCAACATAAAAACATTGCTTGAGAATGTCATCAATGTTTTGGTCACTGAAATTTATTAAAGAAAACCGATGGCATCAAAATTGGAATTATAAGACTGAGATTTATATTCAGAAGACCTGAGTCCAAATGCATCACTATCACCTAAAATGTGTGACCTTTGAAAACAATGTGTTTTTTTTAATCTCTGAAATTCATTTTAACTCAACAAATATTTATTGAGTAACTACTATGGGATAAGTCCTGTGTACACAGAATACAATCTTAGGGAGCTCAAAATCTTACAGTAGAGCTGCCTATGTAAATAAACTCTTGTATTCAGGGCAGTAGAAGAATGAATATAGTGAATAACAGAAGTAAACATATTGCGCAGTTGCTGCAGAATGAAAAGATGCATAGTGCAGAGAGTGGATAAAAGAATGGAATGCTGAAACAACAATAGCTACTTCAGAGCTTTGGTAAAAGGATGAAAAGAGGCTAGGCATGTTTAAATATTTTGTATACTGTATGTCTTTCCCATTTGATGGAGAAATTTTGGAATGTGCAATATTTGTCATATCCTTCTTTTCTATTCCTTCTGCTGCCATAACTGTTAAGCTCCCGAACAATTCACATGTGAACATAAGAAATATAAATTTGTCTATTTTGTGTCCTAATGATCAGGACATTTTCCTCAGAAAGTTAAAATAAATGTGCATTTTCTTTCCTTTTAATAAACAAGCTACTTTGGGGACTGGCAGTGAAGAGAATAACAGAAAATGAAATATAATAAACTATCTTCCAAATCTTTGCCTGAGACCAAGCAAGACTGCAATTAAAGTAAGAATAAAAATTTAATAGTTACTGTAAAGCAACAAGTAAAGAGTGAAAGCTATTACTGAAGTGTGAAAAGAGGCTACCTTTTAAAGGCAGACAGAAAATGATTACAACCTAAGTGTCCTGTAAAAATCGCCCTAATCAACAATTCTGTTAGTACTTGATCCAGGAACCATTCTCCAGTTCCTTAATTGTAAATAAGGATGACTTCACAGGGCAACTGCAACAAGAGTCCAATGGACTAGCTTCCCCAAGTATAACGCTTGACATATACATAGAAATTCAATAAAAGTTAGCTCATTTCTTGGCCTTTATTTTTGTATTTGCTGAAATAATTATTGCACATACTCATGGCAGTTTTATGAAACAAAGAATAACATAAATTCCAATAGTAAAACTATTAAGGGTGGGAAGTGCAAAATATTTGAAGACTTTAAGATACCATCCTGAGGGCAAGACCACAGGGTCAAGTATTCAAGGTAAAGATCATAGAACAAAAGGGGGATTGAAGTAGAAGTACAGTTGGAAAAACAAATCTATATACTGTGAATATATATTTGAAATTAATTTCAACGAGGTAATCCTGAGAACATTATAATTTTAGATATCAAACAGCTTGGTTATGTTGGAAAAATGCATAACTAAGATCATGTTGGTTCTGAAAATAAGTTCGTTCCTAATATGTATGGTAGAAAGTTTAATACAGATATATTCAGTATGTAACTGATGAATACTGAGTGACTAATAGCAAGATTTAGGCTTCTCAGTCCTCCAGCTGGCAGAGATATGCAGGCAATATAAAAACTGTTGGAAGGTGGATACAGGAAGCCTTTCAGCTGCTGTGGTTTTCTATAATGATTCTGAAAGTTTCTTTGTTTTTTTAATTCCTGGAATCAAGAGTTAGAGAATCAGGATTGTGGGTGGTCACTCATTTGCTCAATTTTTTTTTCTTTTGTTTTCCATCATTAAGTACTTTACAGCTGGGAGCAAGACAAAAAGCAACATTTTAAGCTGTGCTGCCTAAATATGGCTTAGAATAGAAAGGTAAGCAAAAATTTCTAGGAAAGGCACATTACTTTATTAACCTTATAAGAATCAGTGTGTTATTATCTCACTATTCAGGTGCCTAGTGTGCCAAATAGAAATAGGTGGTAAGTTAAATTGGATACAACTGCAATATCTCTACATAAGCTATGATCATATGGAATAACTTAATACTTCTCTGACAGCAGACATTTTTAATAGAAACATATTTTATAGAATTTTTCCTTTATATCACTCATAATTTGTAATTATATGCTTATTTGAAAATATCTGTCTTCTTTACCAGACTATTCTCTTCGTGATAATATGAACTATGTTGTTGTTGCTTTATATATCTGTATCCCCAATGCCTAGCATACTAAAAAAAAATTAATATATTGTTAGAAGTTCTTGTCTACTCTTTCTCTTTTTATTACTGTAATTTCACAATGTCTGCTCCTAGAAGTGGACTACTCTATTCTGAAGGATGTTAGAGAGAGAATAGGCTAAGCATAGTGGTTCACGTCTGCAATCCCAGCATTTTGGGAGGCTGAGGAAGGTGGATCACATGAGCCAAGGAGTTGGAGACCAGCTTGGGAAACATGGCAAAATCTCACCTAAATAAATAAATAAATAAATAAATAAATAAATAAATAAATAAATAAAGTTAGCCAGGCCTGGTGGCACATGCCCATAGTCCTAGATATTCGGGAGGCTGAGGTGGGAGGATCACTGGAACCAGGGAGGTTGAGGCTGTAAGTGAGCCTTTATCGGGCCACTTCAGTCCAGCCTGGGTGACAGAAAGAGATTTTGTCTCAAAAGAGAGAGAGAGAGAGAGAGAGACAGAGACAGAGAGAGAGAGATGGTTTGTTTGTATTGTATTTAGGTAGGGTTAAGAGAGTACCTCAAACCCATTAGTTTACTAACAAAAATAAAAACAAAACTGCAAGTGTTGGTGAGGATATAGAGAAATTGCAACCCTGCTGAACTGTTGGTAGGAATATAAAATGGTGCAGTCACTATGGAAAATGGTGTGCTAGTTCTTCAAAAAATTAAACATAGAGTATTGGGGTTTGCTATGCTTAGGATTCCTCAGCTGTGACATAAACCACACGTGGTACTTTACGTTGCCTTCTGGTACTAAAAGGGCAACTTGAGCAAGAAGAACTGCTTTGACTATAAAGCTCATGCTGTTTGCTGTGCTTTGATTAACAAAGTCCCTTGTCTCTGACCCAAGAGTCTCATGTCTTTTGCCAGCTTCTATGACACTGTGGCAGGCTGACTTCTAAGCTGTCAAGTAGAGCAAAATCTCATAACAGTCTCCTTTTTCTTTTTTCTTTTTGATTTCTTCAAAGGTAAATGGAATACTTCTGTGTGCTACAATATGTTAGTTTTTCATGTGATACAGCTTGCCAAAATAATTAACTTTGAAACAACATTATGTGTTGTTAACACTTAAAGTTACTTAGATTTTTCTTTCTTTAAAAAATCACTAAATCCACTGGACATTGATAGAGTTGAAGAAAACAATGGTACATTTTATACGATTTCTATGTTTGCATTTCACATTTCAGAAATAGCTGCTCAAAATGCAGAGGTAGTTAAATTTTCAGAGGATGAGATATGTATTATAAGCACAGCTCTCTCTGAATACATAACATCCTTATGCTGAATTTAAATCTAATTTTGTGACAGCTGTAAAAATGGCTACCTCGTCAAGAAGAGCAAAGAAATCAAATTTATGCTATTTTCTGAAAAGTTACAATGCTAAATAAAGCATTGTTCTGAATTTTAAATCATAACATTTCCGCCTCTAGTGAGGTTCTTGGGAAAACGCGATTCTTTAGGATATACTTATAAATCACCTTTCATCATGAAGAATTTTGAAATCATTTCAAAATATAAGTAAGTAGAAAAAGAAGGGTGGAACTTCACACAGAAAGTATTTGTTCAAAAATACCCAGAATAGAAAAAAATATACATTGCTACCAGCACTAAGTGTGCTGAAAATTCTGATTGAATAAGTCAGATTTGTACTAAAACTACATTATGCCAACAGTTCCAGACCAAAAAAAAAAAAAATGTAAAGATGGGAAAAAGAAAACAAAACAAGAAGCAGTCAGCAGAGTCCAGCAGGAAGAAAGGCTGACATCACTAACGCTACCATGAGTGTAGGGGCAGCAAAAGGAGACAGAAATATGAACCACATATATGATAACGGAAGGTCCTCCATGCATGTATGATAAGGTTCATGAAGTACATGTATCATAAGGGAAGATCCTCCATGCAATATGTTTGGCTTTTGAATTTTACTTTTTTCAAGTGATAAAATACAAGATAATAAAATAAAATAGAATACCATCACTTGAATTGACTCTGTCAAAGTTCATAATTTTCAAATTCAGCTTGCAAGAATTTCTTTCTTGGAACAAATTGAAACAGGGAGTGATTATTTTCTTTCATCCCTTCAAAAGTTAAAATGCCTATCCCTGAATATAAATGCAAGCCTAAACTTACAGATCTTTTTAACTATCCACTTTGGGAACAGTATGAAAATATTATACTATGAAAAGGTACATGATCAGAATACATTTTGTATTCTGATTCTGATTTTGGTTTATATATATTTTTGTATATGTGTATATATACAGATATAGATATAGATAGATGTACATGTATTTATAAATATAAAATTTTAAATGTACAAACGATATAAACAATACAGATATTTTTATACATGAAGTAGCAATCTTTCTTTTGCAACATTTAGGGGGAAATGTGACGGAAAAAATAAACAAGACGGTGCCAAATATTTTTTGAAACCTAGAAGGGTTTTCTAAACAGTTTTTGTTGACATTACTCAAGCATCTTTGAGATCTCTTAGTGTACTAGTCAATATTGATGGTTCTTTTTAAGATAAGAAAAGGAAAGGCCTTGTTAGGAATTCCAGACAAAATAATCTGTTCCTTAAAGCCATGTGGTGAGTATAATAAATGTTTACAAATATTTTTGTTCATCTTCTAGGCTTGTGTTAGGCTTGTGACTTCTCTACCTTTTTGAAGTAATTACAGTCGTGTGATTTCTGATTTGTGCAATAAAAATATGTATAATATGTAAAAATATGTAAGATATGTAGAATATATAATTATATATATTTTTGTGATACATACTTTAAGATGTTTATAGACATATAAATATGTGTTTGTGCCAATATTGGCCAATAAAATATGTGTGTATACTTTCTGGCACTTCCTGACCAAAATTCTTAAAAAGTAGTGCCTGATTGCCATTTGTATTTTGTTTTCTTTTTTTCTAAAATAGCAATTATGGGAAAAAATTCAGAGTTGGGCCATTACAACCCTGAGTTCTCCTGTGACTACAGTAAGTAAATCTCTCCTGCCCATCTGCATTTTTCTGAAGCAATTAAGCAACTAAGTTTGTCAGGTTATTACCGTGTGACCTCATATATTCTGATAAGCCATAATTAGTCAATATTTACTTATTAAAATGAAAAAGATATTCAAGGTTTCTTCATATGTACTTCTCAAGCTTTATTCTTTTTCCTAAAGTCACTTTATCTGAAACATCTCCATAGAAATCCATTATAATATCTATAGGATTTAACCTGAATTTAATTAAGAAAAATCAGTGAAATAGACTGAATTTCTCATTAAATTATTAAACTACTCCTCAATAATAATTTGTCCTAATAGTTGATCAGTTGATTAACTCTGTGGGATATAAATTGATTGCGTTATTATTCCAATGATGAAAAAACAATGGAAGTGGCCTCTGTTCACTATCCACTCTGGCTGGCAGCCAAGTCAGAATATATATATATATATTTCCACCAACTCCCATAAGCTAATCAAAACACTGGTGCTCAGGAAAAGTAACACTAAAAACTCATATGTGAAAGAGTAAATAGATGATGGTAATTGACACTTTTGTAAATAACAATAAGTGAGAAATATATCTTACATTTCCTGAAAACACAAATTTATAGAAACAAGAGTTTTTTAAAGTTATGGAATCAAATGTTTTTGATTGTTTATATGTATGTATGACTTTGTAACAAATTTTAAAGGAGCATAACTTGTGAAGTCATAATTCATATTATAATAACAAAAGAAATAATCTTATTATTTTTCTTCTATATTAACAACCTAGAAAAGACTCAGCAGTTCTTTAAAATTATAATCAATAATGATGTTTTAAATGCATGGCTTAGATTTAGTTACAAGAGTGGAAATGATGGTAATATATTTTTAAGTGTTGAATTCAAAACGTCTAACGTATTCAAGGTGTTCAGTCATAAGGCAATATTTTAGGCATTTTTACACTTTATTCTACTTTTTAAATGTTTAATTTTATATTTAACTATTTCCTCATCTATGGATTATATATTGAAGAACAGCTTAAACTAGAAAGAATTCTAACTTTTGATAGTTGGTAGAATGTCATTGTATAAAACAAACTGATTTCCCCAGGACCTTTGAGTCCACAGCCTATAAATAAAAATAAAACATAACTCATGGTATTCATTAATCTAAAATCAAATTTAGTTAAATTTTAAAAGAACGCATAAAGATAAATTATTCAAAAATAACTGAACTGTTCCCTTTGGGGATTATTTGATATTGCTTAGGAAGCAAATAATAAATCCGTCTTCCATGAATATTCTACTCCAACATGCCTAATAACATTCTTTGGTCTCTGAATATTACCTAGAATTCCTCTCATTTTGAAAGAAGTCATCTGAAATATGATCCAGGAATCATATGTGCTATATTCAAGGGGACGGATGTTGAATCAAAATACAACATGCCCTGAAGGTGCTAAAATTTATGGGGAAGAAAAGATAGTCCCAGAAGGAATTAAATCTGGCCTTTGGTTACAATGTTTGAGGACCAACTGCAGCATGTTTCTAAATTCATACTAGTTACTAAGGTCAATATAATAGTCACTACAATTTTTCCTTGATAATGGGAATTTTAGTCTATTCTCTGAGCATCTTCACATGCCAGGAGATGAATCCGGATTTATCTAAGTCAGTGATGATAGATTCACACCAAAGGCAAGTAATTGGTATAGCATTGCTTCAATGAATTCAAAGCATTTTGTGTAAGAAGAATTACCATCATTGGAAAGTTGCAAAGGTTCTAGAATATCAGAAAGCTGTTACAGAAAATGGTTCTGGTTTACTAGGTTGTAATATCTATTCCAGTGTAAAGTTTGGCAGGTTTTTAAATCTCTACTAGCTTTAGTCTGGATACAAGAAAGGATGAAAATCATAATACCTAATTGATAAGTTTTTAGAAATGTAAAATAAGGTCATTTTTGTGTTATGCTTAAAATTATAGTATATAAACTTAAATATATGACATGCTATTATTATTGTTGAGGTGGCAAATAGAAACTTTGCTCAACTGTCCTCCACTTCTAACATAACTTTTTGTGGTCTGCCAAAATGGAGAACAAACCTATATATTGCTGGTGTTCTCTCTTTTTATGATAGATACTTTTACCGGAACAGTATTTGCCATTATGTCATAAGAACATATTTACTGTCTCTAAAAAAATCAAATACACTTAATAGTTTACACTAGCTTAGAGGATAAGTTTTAGACTCTTTTGTCTGAGTTTCCAAATTGTTCAAAATATCTTTGAAAGATGCTTGCAACCAATCTTCTCACTTGAAATTGTCACCTCTTTTCTCTACATTTATCTTTATCAGCCAAAGTCAACTCACTTTTAGTTACCCCAAATAAGGTGTTACTTTACCAAAATTATTAACACTTATATAACTCTACACGTTATACATGACTAAATAACATTTGTTCCTGAATCCTAGAAAGTGATTTTTTTTTCAATTTTCACCCATTGAAACATCTTGAAAGGTCAAGAAAGTGTTTTATGAAGAGAGAAAAAGACAAGGAAAGATTACTATTAATAAATGTTAAATTGAATTAAAGTGGAGCAGAAGGACACTGGCTCAAGAGTGTAGGTTGTTATAAAATTAAAAATGTTTGATTGGGTGGTTGGTGGGATTTTATTTAAGGAAAAATGTTAAGCCTTTATACAGGCAAAGATTAGAGAAAAAATGGAAAGAGGAAGTTGTATAATCAAGACAATGTGAAAAGAAGAATAACAATAGCGGTTAAGAACTTGTCACTCTAGGCCAGGCGCGGTAGCTCACGCCTGTAATCCCAGGCGTGAGGCAGGTAGATCACCTGAGGTTGGGAGTTCGAGACCAGCCTGACCAACATGGAGAAACCCTGTCGCTACTAAATACACAAAATTAGCTGTGCATGGTGGCAGGCACCTGTAATCCCAGCTACTTGTGAGGCTGAGGCAGGAGAATCCCTTGAACCCAGGAGGCAGAGGTTGCAGTGAGCTGAGATCACGCCATTGCACTCCAGCCTGGGCAACAAGAGTGAAACTCCGTCCCCACATCAAAAAAAAAAAAAAAAAAAAAACTTGTTTACTCTAACCAAATTTCTTGAATTCCAATCCTAGATTTACCTTTTATTACTTGTGTGATGTTGCACTTTAACCTTAACAGTGGCTCAGTTTTCCCATTTATATAATGGGGATCTGAATACCATCCACTTTATAGCCTGGGTGCAAAGACTAAAAGGGTTGTTATACATAGAATAGTTCAAAAATGTCTCTGGTCCACAGAGAGTGCTTATTAAATGCTAGAGATAAAAAGAGAGAGGCAATACAGTATAAACATATAAGTTATTCTTCAAGTCTCTAACAAGATTAATACTCTTCACACCACGTTAAAATTTTCAGATGCCTTTGATCTTCCATGGCATTATATTTGTATCTTTCTTAGAAGATGGAGTTTTACTCCTTACTAGTATGTAATTATTTATGTATGCTTCCCATAAGCTATAAAAGCTCCTGAAAATCAGCAATAGCTATTGACCTCTTCTCCATCATCATTCAATAGATATTTGTTAAAATAATACAAATATAATAAAACTATGTTATCTCTCCTATAATATGAAAATCTGTTGCTATAATATTGATATCTTATTAACATTTCAGCCATCGGATGCTGTGTTTTGAAAAAACATAGAGATAAAACAATAGAATGCCCAATAATTTTTTTGAAGTTAGTACTTTGTAATGTGATGATTTTTAAAATATGCAACTGCATTGTCAATGACCTCATCTCCGTTGTTTAGAAAAAAAAATTTGATGGAAGATACAAGGATTCAGCAACAAAAGCCATTTTAGAAAGAGCTGTGTGTGTGAGAAATGCAATCATATAACAACTTCAGAAAAGCTTGAAATTAATGTCTGATATTATATTTATAACTAAAAAGTTATTAGAAATTAGTGCTAAGTATAAATTTTTTTGTTAACTAAATTAATATTGAATTTTCTATATAAAATGTGAAAATATATAAAGAAACTTATTCTAGAAATTAGGCATCCATTAAATATTAAACTGTAGAAAAAATTAAGATAATATTAATGCAAAAACATTATGCTTTTGATTCTGTTTTCAGATGACTAACTTGCAGGGCAAATTCCAAATGTATGAATTAACAAAGAGATTCAAACTTTGAAAATATATAAAAATTGGGTCAGAACTAAATTTAGACAGTTGTGTTATACATCACTCATACTTGACCAGTGACATTAGGCATGTATGATTTGATTTTACTGACTCTGTGAATACAATTCTCCAATGCAGTTCTCCATCTACTTTTCAATACAAAGGCATTGTTTATATGTCAGTAAAAAGAGGTAATACAAACCTGACCTGAGAAGCTAATTTTCCTCTCATATTACTAATATTGTAGATAATGTAGCTCCTTAAATTATACTGTGCCTTCTTTGCGTTGTTTAGCTAAAGAAATATTTCATTGTCCAGTAAGTTTGGTTTTCATCAGAAATTATTTTCTTTTACTTTGTGAGACTATAAACTAATCGTGTTTTCCAGATTTGTTTAGGGTGTAAGAAAAATAAAAGCTAAATATAATGCTGATTCTAACAAAGATACAAGAATTCAGAACTTGACTTTTGTAAATTAACCTTGCTCTTGGTTTCATCTTACTCTCCTGTTATTTTCTTTTATTATAGTTTGCCTTAATTCCACTTTATGTTATTTAGCTACATATATCATATTTTTTGCTGCATCAACTGCTTTTTTAGAGTTAGCTATAAATTAAATATTAATAGATAACAAGTGGCCTTAATAATTTAGCTTTGAATACTATAGTAACTTCAACAAATGTCGGGAGCAGTAAATGGAAATTGCCTTGGTCAAAATATAAGGAATTAGTGCAAAAAAAAAAAGAAAAAAAAACAATTCCTCCCTGACTCCTTAAATATTTAATGTATTTAGACCCAGTTTTACATACATAAAAATTATGGAGTAAAAAGAAAATTATTTATTTTCTTTTGAATCAGATATGCAATGGAAAAAGCCTAAGAAAAGTGGTTATAAAAAGCCTTTAGATTTCATGCACATTTAGACCAAAAATTAGAGTTTTTGAAGGCATCCAAGTTCCAGAATTTAAATTCTGTTCTCTATTATTAATGATATGAAAGAACTTTCATCACTGAATGGTTCAACCACGTATATCTTTTACTTAACTTCCTACGTTAGTGAGTGATCAATAATATTACACAGGAAAAAAAAGAGAACAAGACCAAAAGTGTACAAAGTATCCCTCCCCAGTGATTGCTGTAAAAATACCTATTACTATGCTTTCTTAGCACAAAACACAAAGGACTTTTCACATGGAATGAGTCTACTAAAATATGTGTCACATAGCATTAAATGTCTTTGGTGGCTACTATTCTCCTTCCTCCATTGGTTTATTCTAATTCATTTTGCTTCGTCTTTAGAGTGGTGGCTTTGCAAAGAGCAAAAGAATACCAGATGGTCATTGCTGTGGTTCACTGAGTTTATATCCTAGCAGGAAGTTAGATGATTGCTTTTCAAGGTTCTTATCATGCATTGAACAGTCTATTTCACCACAGGGGATTCTGAAGCTGTCAATATATTCTTGGCTAAGCATGCCCCATCATTTTCTCTTTAAGACATGGGCCTATATAATCATATGAATGCTTTGTGGACGCAAAGATAATATAACTTGTCTTTCCTTCTACATATTGTGGAATGTAGATTTGTGTTAGAAATGAGTATTTACTTAATGTTTATAAAATTCTGTTTTAATTTTGGGAACAACATCGTTAAACTATTTGTTATAGCTTCTTCAAAAATGTAAACTTTCCCTAAACAATCTGGATTTTGCATTTAGAAAATTTACTTTAAAATTCTTATTTGTCAAAACAAGTAAACAAAAAACTCCAAGTAAACAAAAGCCTTCCCAGAAACAAAAGACTCAAAGTTACACAGAATTTGTGTAAGCAATGAAGACTCAGTTGCCTCAAAAAGAGACTGACGTTTTTCTTTGATTTAAAAAATACACAGCTGACATTTTTCTAGGAATTGCACAGAAAGAGAATGAAGTTAAAATCATTCCATCGAAGAAATAAAAATCTCTAAATTTACACTATCGTAACATATAATACTAAAAAAATACACAGATGGTCTCTTTATCGTCAAAGAAAATGGATTAGTTTAAAATAAGAATGATAGATGAAGGAATAAAAAACTTGAACAATAGAGTAAACCAACAAAAATGTTTTAGCTATTGCATACAAGATGAGGGGAAAAAGTAAATAGTTGTGTGAATGAAAGAAAACACAACTCACAAATGCAAAATGGGGAACATAATGTAAGTCAATGTTAAATATATGGCTGACTGTTGCCATGGTGGGGTCAAGGGTGATGGCAGGATAAGAACAGGAAGCTTTGATTTTCTTCCTTGATCATAAGAAACATACATAAGGCCAACACATATTGTTTATATAAGAACACCAGTGGATCTTTTTGCATGAAATTAGACTATACACAGTTAGACAATAACCCAGATCACCTTTCAAATACAAAACTCCCATATTCAAATACAAAACTCAATAGATTGAGTTTCATGAGGCCTGTAGCTGTTTCATTAATCATTATACTTAGAAATGTGACTTGTGTGTAGTGAGTTTTTAAAATATATGAGTTTATGGCTGGGTGCGGTGGCTCACACCTGTAATCCCAGCACTTTGGGAGGTCGAGGCAAATGGATCACTTGAGGTCAGGAGTTCAAGGCCAGGCTGACCAATATAGTGAAACCACATCTCTACTAAAAATACAACAATTAGCTTGATGTGGTGGTGCATACCTATAATCCCAGCTACTTGGAAGGATAAGCCAGGAGAATTGCTTGAACCCGGGAGATGGAGGTTGCAGTGAGCTGAGATTGCACCATTGTACTCCAGCTTGGGCGACAAGAGTGAAACTCTGTCTCAAAAAATAATAATACTAAGTGAAAAATAAAGTAAAATATGTATGTGTTTAATTATTGAATATACTTCAAATGTGAGAACTTCCAGACATGGATAACTCAGAAATGCTATGTTAACTTTGGAAAATATATTTTCAAAAACGATGTCTAATACTTGCTGATCCACACCTAATTTTTAGGGTAATGTGAGGCTTAAAGTTCCTTTTAATGCTGAAAAAATTAATTCTACTGCCTGTATGATCCCAGAACCTAGATACATCCATTCTCTGGTACCCTTAGTTTTTCAGTACTTCATACCTCAGTGTTATTATCATATTCAAAAATATAACTTTACAAATGACTCTTAGTATGTTTGTCCTCTTTTGGTTGTGAACATGATAAAAATAACGTAGTTATTACTAGTTGTTGAATACCATTGATTAGGTATTTTACATACATTAACTAATATAATCCTTATCTTAATACTATAAGTAAGACTTGCCCCTAGTATACAAGTGAGAAAACTGAGGTCTAAAAAATTAAATATATAGGTTAAGGTTTTATATCTTCTCAGTGGCAGAATATGAAGCAAACCAAGGCTTTTATTAGTCTAGAGTCTACTCTTTCCAGAGTTCTTGACTATCTTAGTTTTTTAAATATTCTCCACTATTTCTGAACCCAGGCACATGTTTAACTGTCAATAGATATTTTAAATACGATAAATACAAACGTAACAAGTGATAGCTATTACTTCTATAAGATTTTTAAAATAATTGACTTTTATGTGTTTGGAACTAATTAGATAGTTTTGAGCACCTTCTATGTGTTAAGCATTAAATAAATTTTTCAAAACTATCATTTAATCTAATTTCTTTAACCTTCACCATTCTGAAATAAGTAAAAATACTCAGTTTTTGACATAAGAAATAACACACTCAGGTAATACATGGCAGAAATATAAATCAACTCGTAGGTCTTCTACCCCTAAAGACAAATCATGTTGCCTTTACTCCATCACTTTAGATACTACTAAAACAGTCTAATCAGGACATGTACGTTATTTTATAACACAAATGTACTTTTCAAAACAAGATTAAGGTGCATGATAGGGCTATTGAGTGTTGATCTGACTGTTGATTGAATAGCCTGTATTTTCCAGGGAGTGTTGAAGCAGCACCAAGTGACCTGTGACACTTGTGAAGTTTTCCTTGTGGATTGACATCACTGCAATTTTGTTAGCAGGCTTTGAGCTGATAAAATAATTCCATTACCAAACAATTCATGCTTAACTTGCTTGTTCTTTAAAAGACATGCACAACATGTTTTCTTCATTAGCATCAAATATAACTGCTCACATTAAGAAACTAGATCTCTATGTGAAATGACAGCTAATGAAAGCTGAATGTGCCCAAATAATATTGCTCAGATACTGGCAAGTGTGGTGGTGGAACTCAAAGTCTGTGCTAAAACATTTTCTGAAATAATATTTAAAATAATATGTTTGAAAATGAACTCAGTCAAACCGTCAATGCTTCAATCCTCGAAAAGAACTTTTAATACATGGTTCATGACATTTTTATATTCAATAGTGCATTTGAGTCCTTTCTTCTTTGGCGTAAAAGAGGTTACCACTGACGCTACTCTCTCTGTGATTCAGAGAGTTACAATAACACATTGTCTTTTCTGGGAGTGGGTTTAAGAAAAAAGGAGATGACAGTTTACAATGGTTTGTAATAAAATGTTTTTAAAAACTACAGATTTTAGACTGGACGTGGTGGCTCACACCTGTAATCCCAGCACTCAGGGAGGCTAAGGCGGGCAGATCACGAGGTCAAGAGATCAAGACCTGGCCAACATGGTCAAACCCTGTCTCTACTGAAAAAACAAAAATTAGCTCAGTGTGGTGGCACACGCCTGTTGTCCCAGCTACTTGGGAGGCTGAGGCAGGAGAATCGCTTGAACCTGGGAGGCAGAGGTTGCAGTAAGCCGGGATCGTGCCACTGCACTCCAGCCTGGTGACAGAGCAAGACTCTGTCTCAAAAAAAAAAAAAAAAAAAAAAAAAAAACTACAGATTTTAGCTACAAAAAATGCTAAAAAATAATCTTTACAGTGAATAGATAAAACTGGGCTTTGTTTTGATTGAGTACATAAAATCTTAAAATATATTTTCATTTTGGCGAAGTACAATTTATTATTATATTTAAGCACTATATGGGAATGAATAGAAATATGGCACCAAATTATTTTTGTGTCTTGTTTCAATATAGTACTTTTCAGTTTTCTTTAAGTTAGTTTTATCAATAACCTTATCTATTATTTATTTAGTATCATATTTCTGATATCACATTTCAGCATTTACTCATATGTAATTGGGACTTACTATGCATAAAATAAATGACATTTTTGATTTCCTACTGCCTTTGTGAGGTAATTTCCAGATACAGAGCAGGGAACAAGCAAACATAATAAATATCCTTTCATTAACTAAGTCACTACTTCTTTGGAGGAATTTTGGTATATAAAATTTAAAAAATTACTAGGCTAAAGCTTCCTACTTCTTTCTTCTCCAACTATTGTCTTTTATTGCTCAGCCCAATTCCATGTTTTGGTATTACATTTTGATCCAGAAAATTGTTGATCAAAGTTTTTTGGCAGGAGAATAATATAATATGGTGACAAATCAAGCTGCTGTTCTTATTTCATCAGTCATTTCTCTAACACATTGTGGAAAACAGTCTTCCAAGAATAAAACTTGGAAGATTTATTTTTCTTTGTCAAAGGCAACAGTTTCCTCATTAGCCCTTTTGCTTAGATGTACTGTAAATATATGGTTTAGGTCACTCAGCAATAATTTACCATACAACATCTACATCACTAACATCCAAGCTTCTCCAAAAACTATCTCACCTGTCAGATCACAGTAAACTCTGTCAACATTTTATAGCATCACATCCCCTTATTGATCAGTCCTTTCCCTGAGCCCTCATATGCATTCCAAGTTCTTTCTTTTTGGCCACAAATATACTCAAATCATCAATACAATATACCACTCTTTTAAAATTTTCTTTGGTTAATCTAAAATTCACATTTCTAATTTAGCCATATGTTTCCTATGACTGCCTTCTTAAATCTTAATATGTTAACTCTTCCATCAAAAGTATGTGTCTCTTTTACATACAATTCTATTAGTTTTTCCTGGGGTATGTGTATTATATTGCCATTCTGAATGCAAAATATAATTATGAATTTTGGAATTGTTAACATAGGAATAGCATAACCATTTCACCTCATCTGCCACTTCATCTGTGAGAACTGGGTTAAGAAGGATTCTAAAGCTACATCATGTGCCCCAGGTATTCTCATTCAAGACTTGGCGCATAGGAATTAGGCTTCACTTTGTACAGAATGTTGCTTAGCCCAGCAGCAGGCAGTTAGTTGACTTTTACAAATACTACCAGATGGTGTTGATAAAATTCATCCTGCCTGTGAACAAACACAAAACCTTTACACCATACCCTCTAGGTTGATGTGGAATACATTTTTTCTTAATTAAACTACCATTGTTAGGAAGCATCAAAAGAACTCTCTACAAGCAAAGGTTTCATCAAGGAGAGACTCTACGTAAACTCCAGGGAAAGCAATGAGTAGATCATTACAGAGTCATCAGCCCCCTGCAAAGTTATAAATGCTATCAAGTGGCAAAGAAAAGCAGAGGGAAGGCATGAACTGAGTAGTCTGCCATCTTTTCTTTGGAAATGAATGACAACTACACACACTGCATATACAGTACTCCATTCTTTAAGTTTTAATGAAAAAAATTGGTTAGTGAGAGATAAATCACACCTTAGAAAGTTAGATCATGTGCTCTATGAAGTATGACTTAGACTCTACCTTTAGCCAGTGAATATTAGTAACACGTGAGAACTAATTTTGAGGCTGGAAAGGAAAATCTGTACTTTCTACATGAATTATTGTTTCATTCAAAATGTTCTTGCTCTATATAGTTTGTATTTTTAGCAATTATCTGTAAAATCTTCTCTTAAAGCGTTGTCCCTAGCTGAAATTCCTTGCACTCAATGGGCGATATTAATACCTTCCTTATCAAGATTCCTAGCTTACTCTACAGATTCTGCTATTAAAGCAATCATCATACATTACTGCAATTACTTGATTACTGTCTGCCCCACTGGACCACAGGTTCTTAAAAACAGAAAATGTGTCTTAATCAATCTTTTGATTCTCAGCACATAACATAATGCTTTGCAGAAGGAAGGCCCTTAATAAATACATACAAATCAGTAAATTTATTCATTAGTTTTACAGCTGAGGAGAAAAAAAAGTGACCTGGGTAGACTAAAGTTAATCAGGTAGCATTTTCAAAAATAGTGGGTGCCAATTTTGATAGATTTTAAAAAATCATAGAAGTTAGAGTGGTGGTCAAATCTTGCTGGGACCTGGGAGTGAAGAGTAGGGAAGTAAATACTCTGGTAGCAGAGTTTAACCCTGAAACTAAAATGGCAATAGAAAAAAAAAAAAGCAATAGAAGCATTGGTTTTAGGGTTAGATTTGAACAGAAGGACATTTGATATTATTCCATTTCAAATTTGTCTTTGTTGACTGTATATCCTTTCTTTAGGGAGGAAATAGTAACAGGTGCTGAGGAAAAGTTGGATGATAGAGCTAACATAAGTAATAAATTGGTATGTAACTGATGTTTTATGAATGCTATTACATTAAACTCTAACAGGTTTATGATTTTGGTATGTCTGCCTCTCTCTTCATCCCAGTATAGCTAAAAAAAAAATAGCTTCCAAAATAATTCAATTATTACTCTAAGTCCATAGTCAATAAGTGGCAGAATCAGTATTCAGAATAAGGCCTTTCTGATTCCAAAGGCTATTGTCTGAATTGAGATGAAGGAACCTAACAACAGAGATTCATTTTCAGGCAGTGTTGAGAATGCTCCATTGAAATCTCTTCAAAGTACTTCTTAGTTTTAAGTGTCTTACTACTTGGTTTTTAAGAATGTTAATATGTCTCTGATTTAGGGAGTTTTATGGTTTTTTTTTTAAAGACTGCATTTCTGCTGATTTCCATATAATATTCCATATAATATCCAATTCCTCCAATTATAAAGAAAAGTTCTTAAACAGAGACACAAATTATTTTGGTGATGTATCAAAAAGGTAACAAGCTCAGGCTTTGGAACCTGAGAGAATATTTCAGACCTTGCTTCTTTACCACAGCCCATTTGCTTTTGGGAGACATTTCTCCATTGAATGCTCATGTTTCTGCATATCTTGTGAGCACAGGTACCAGTTATCCTGCTTTTTTGTACCTGGTTATCCTTCTGTACAGAAAATAGCCAAGGAGAATATAGTGTTTTCCACCAGAGCAAAGGATAACTCTGCTTACAGCCTTGAGAGACGGAGATAGTGCTCCCTCCAGAGGAAAGAATGGGAGGGCCTACTGCCCATTATAAAAGAGTCAGGTTTCTAAGCTCATGGTTCATCTCTTATAATACCATTTAGTATGTTGTGCAGGTTTCTCACACTCTTCATGCCATTCTATGAGAATTAGGGCTTGGGAAACTGGCACAAATCCTGCTATTCTTGCTCCTAGTGCTGCTGTGAGTAATAAACTATCCTTTATTTCTGACTCAACAGTCTTGTGTTTTTCATCAACATCCATAAAACTGTGGCAAAGAGTTTTAACTTGAAAGTAGAGTAAAATGTCAGAACTCTTCATAGTTCTTGATGTTTACCAGCTGAGTAATCTAGAGCAATTATTTTTAAATATCTGAGCTTCAGTTTCCTATTATAGTGAAATTTAAGTGATAATGCTTATAAATTTCATAGTATATTTATAGTGCTTAAATAAATGACAGCTAATAGCAGTTATTCAATATTAGTAGCAACACCAGCAGTAGCAGTAATGATAGCGGTAATTGTGGTAGCCGTAGTAGTTGAAGCATACGCAGCAACGGAATCTAACATTGAAAGAATGCCAACATATAGCAGACATTTTTACTAAGCAGCCAGTGTAGCTTATCTTATTTAATCCTCACAAGAAATGGAACAGGTGTTTTGTGTTTTGTTTTGTTTTCATTAGTTAAATGAGGTAAATGAGACTCAAATTGTTGAACTGATTTTCCTGAGGTAACTCACATGGCAATTGACAAAGCTGGGATAAGAAGCTTGTTGTGTCTAATTACCAGGAGGTTGTGGTGCATGTATTTGCAGTGACATGTTTGGGAGGAAGCTACAAAGTAATTTAGATGGGCAGTTGGACATTCCCACATCCCAGTCATGGAGGAATTACAGAAGCATATGCTTACTAAGGAAAAAAAGAAGCCCAGAGGAAACACAATGTTGGCCTCCAGAATTTTTGTAAGAAAAATCCATCCATGTGCTTAGCTAATGTTGAACACGTTCTGTTTCCCAAGCTCTGTATTTTGAACCTTTGTCCACATTATTATATTATTGTGTTTTCCCCATGATACAAATAATCTTAATAGTATTGATAGTAAACAAATGCAGCATAATTAATTTCGAAAATTTCCATGCTGTCGTCTATCAGAAAGATTTAGACTCAGTCAATATTTCTTAAAGCAAAACAATTTTGACAGCCTAATTAAATTTCTAATCATAAACTCCATGTTTTAAATATAAATATGAAAGCATATAAATACACAATGCATGCATAACTATGCATATAGAGATATATAATTTACTACCTAATTTCACAAGCAATGTGAAAGAGATACTAGTCAATACTAGAATTTAGTATTTTTCTCTCCTTTTCATGTAGTATATGAGACTATTTATCCTTTAGGTTTTTGTTTTGTTTTGTTTTTTGAGACAGAGTCTTGCTCTGTTGCCTAGGCTGGGGTGCAGTGGCGCGATCTCAGCTCACTGCAGCCTCCACCTTCTGGGTTCAAGCAACACTCCTGCCTCAGCCTCCTGAGTAGCTGGGACTACAGGCGTCCACTACCACACATGGCCAATTTTTGTATTTTTAGTAAAGATGGGGCTTCACTATATTGGCCAGGCTGGTCTCAAACTCCTGACCTCAAGTGATCCACTCACCTCAGCCTCCCAAAGTGCTGGGATTACAGGCGTGAGTCACCATGCCTGGCCTCTCTATCCTTTAGATTCCGTAGAAGAAACAGGCACCAAACACATTTTTCAAATACACTGGCTGATAACAACTCTCATTTTTAAAGTGTTTTCATTTTACCTCTACAGATAGGAACAGGAAAATCCCACGAAGCTGTATTAACTGAATTGGCTATGCAGGTGAGCTGAGGGTGGCCATCAAGGATGTATCCAGTTACACAGCTGTAGCGGATCTTGTCCCCGACGTCGAATCTTGTGCCATATAATACACCTTTGGGTGGAACACCAGGATTTCCACAAGAGCTACTCTGCAATTCTATTAAAAAGGAGGAAAAGGAGAGTTTACAGTTATTTCAATAAGCAGTTTATTGTTTTAGATGTATAAAATTATATATGTAGATATGGATATTCTTATTTCTTTGGAGAAGAGTCACTGAAAGGAACTGTCTTCTATTCCAATACATGTGACAGTGAATATGGGAAGAAAACTAAACCTTATCACAGAGGTATTATTGGTCATTCTTTATGCTAGAAAGTTTTAGATATTATATTACTTAGTCTTCAGAGCATTACTCATATATTAATATTTACTCAGATAAGTAAAACTGAGGATAATATCATTCACATGGCTTTTTCAAAGTTACATTCTAATAACATAGTAATAAGCAAATTCATTTCCTTAATATTATCTTCAGTCCTTCAGTGCTTAATCTTAAACCATGAACCTAGATAAAATACACATTTTTCATGGAAACCTTTATTTCATTTAAATGAGAAAAATACAGTGGAGTAGTAAATGGACAATTTTTAAAGTTAGGGACGGTGAGCTAGAATTCCAACTCTATTATTTGTTATTAACCTTGAGTGTATACTACGAATGATAATAATAAGTGCAAACAGTTGTAACATTTTAATTAGATCAATAGGCAAAATATATGGAAAATGATATATCAGAATGTTTTACCTATCACCTTCTTATTCTATTAGTTGATGCTGAAAACTAAACAAGTATACAAACATAAGAGTTTTTTAAATAATATTCAATTCAGAAAAAATCCAACTTTAGATTAAATGAAAAAATTTTTTTGAAAATAGCAGAACTTCAGGATTAAAAATATTAGAGGTTATTTGTTCTCATATTGTTTTCTAAATTTTTATTTTATTACTGTTATATTACCTTTATACTACAAATAATAATAAAAACACAAACAGTAATTAATGAACTAAAAGATATTCCAATTTGAGTAAAGTCAGTAGTTAATAGTATTGTGCAAACATTAATTTCTTAGTTTTGGCCATTTTACTGCAGTTCCATAAGTAGTTATATCAAGGGAAACTAATTAAGACTATATGGGAACTACTGTTCTTGCAAAATAATAAGCTGAAAGTCATGTTGCAATAAAAAGTAAAATATTTTCCCATTTTGCTTTGATATTTATTTCATTTGTGCAGTTACTAAATTCTATATAATATTACAATGTTAATTCAAATAATTACAAACCATTGTAATAATTAAAATATCGATGTCAATATTAAGCAAAAATATTAAAATACAAAATGGTTCACAATATATAGCTTAATTTTGAGAGTGTTTTTTAAACTTTCATTAATTTTTTGCCTAAACTTTTCAAAGCAAGTAAAAGAAAAATCACAGATTAATTTCCAGTATGAGGTCAATTTAATCAAGAAAAATGTATTGAGCACAGGACATCCATATATTTTAGAGAAAAAATATTTACTTTGAGTTTTAAAAATGTAGTTTTAGGTTTCTTAAAACTAGAAAAGTGAAGAAATTGGCTAATATTTACTAAACATAAATGGTTTCAATAGACAATTTTCTTAATAATACATTCTAAACTTAAATTTGTAAAATATTTAGTGTCAGTAATGAAAGTTATTTCTAATTTTTTATTTTGTTATTTCTCCAAGACATTAGCTATATGTGAATTTTCAGTAAAACAATACAACTTTATTGTCTGTGAATTTTGAGCAACTTTTAAAGAAACACTTTGAACAGTAGTTTATTTTGAAATACTTAATTTTTTGGAAAATTATTTGATTAATAGATGAGATGTTTGTTCCAAGAGACAGTGAGGTTAATAAGTTTTGACAAAATGAATAAGAATTCAATCCTCTGAATATAGTAATAACAAAGGAGATACTTTTAATGAAACTACCACTTTTGGCCTTAGAATTAATCCACTCCTCTTCCTTCCACCCTCTAAAAAATAATTAAGGTCAGGACTTCAATTATCATAAAGTTATATGTCTAGGAGAAAAGTGGTTTCCAAATTATGTCACAGGAAGCAACTAGGTGGGGGAATAAAATGAAAGAGAAGAAAGCTCTGAATAGTTTTTGGACTCCAAATTAACTTTGATTTAAATGAACAAATAAATGTATCCAGAATAAAGTACCTAAAGCAAAATGGAAATCATGTCAGGTGAAGTAGTGAATGAATAGTAACATTGAATGGAATCTTAATAGATTACCTAATCTCCTGCCTTATCGCTTAATTACTTCTAAAACTGATAAAAATTTAGGTTATTTCAAAATGAAACTCAAAGAAGACAATTTTAAAGCATATCTGGACTTCACTTTCAGGAAAGTCCTGCTGTTGTTTGTGCCTGTTTATCATCTTCATATAGAGAAATATCTACCCATCATCCTCTGTTAACTGAGTAATTCATAAAGACAGTTAAGATGTTTTACATTCAGGTTTAATCAATCCTGATTCTATAACCACTGCTCATGGATTATATTTTTGTCTTCTTCCAACCCTTTAATTCAGGACTTCTCTCTATGCTGTCTATGTGCATTTTCAAAGGCAAAGCAAGTATGATGTGTCACTAACTGAAGTACAAAACCCACCATCAAAAAAGATTATGTTCTGATTGAACATTCTCTTCTTACTCTTAATGTTTTAAAACTAAGTAGTGCTGCATATTTAAACTTTTGAATTAAATTTACTTTTAAGTAATAAAAAGTTTTAGAAATTGCTAAGATAGACTAGATTTTAGATAATGTTTCTGCCAGCCATCCAGAGTTTGAATTTCAGAACAGAAAACCAAACACCACATATTCTCAATTATAAGTGGGAGCTGAAAAATGAGAACACATGGACACAGGGAGGGGAACAACAACACTGGGAGGGCGGGGGTGGATAGAGTATTAGGGAAAAGAGCTAATGCATGCTGGGCTCAATATCTAGGTGATGGGTTGTTATGTGCAGCAAACCATCATGGCACACTTTTACCTATGTAACAAACCTGCACATCCTGGACATATACCCAAACTTAAAAAAAAAAATAAAGTATGTTTAAAAAAGAAAAGAAAATGAATTACTCAACCATGTTCAATATATCAAAATATAAAATAATTATTAAATATATGTTGTAAGTATTTACAGTAAGTGATGATATTGCTTAAAATACATAAAATTACAGATTTTATATATTTAAATATATACAGATTTATAAGTGAAGTGAAGTGAAAAATACAGATTTATAAGTGAAGAACTTTTTTGTAATTCATCAGATGTACATGCAAGCTAGACACATTATACTTGTTATCTCAATGTGTTTTGAAGCAAATAATTATACCTAAAAGCAGAGTTGCAAAATATAAAATAATTATTAAATGTATGTTGTATTTACAGTAAGTGATGATGTTGCTTAAAATATATAAATTAAGGAAAACAGATTTATAAGTATAATGAAGAATTTTTTTGTAATTCATCAGATGTACATGCAAGCTAGACACATTATACTTGTTATCTCAATGTGTTTTTGAAGCAAATTATTATACCTGAAAGCAGAGTTGCTGAAAAGACTTCAGTTATCTTCTTTTACCAGCAGATGACAGTAATATATTGATTAAGAGGTTTAGGTGACTAACACAAAATAATTATAGAATCTGAAAAATTGTCTTCTAACGTCCCATAATACAATGATTAAAATGGGATTGCAGTAGGGGAGGCAGTACTTTAAAACCAATTACACAATATTCTTGGTTGAGCACTTAGAGCGGGCAGGTTGATGAACTGAGATCACTGGAAAATAAACCTGAAGAATTTGTACTCAAAATATGTCTCTGAAAATGTCAGAGACTCTTTATGTTAAGTTTACTGCTCTAGGCATAACAAATTATTTAGTCTAATTAAAATCCATCTGGTTTTGGCTGGAAATATGTATATTTTATTTATCTTCTCTTCTCACAGTATTGAGATTATCAGCAAATATGAAGATATTTTGACAACATAGACTATTCTAAAGTGTAGAAGATTTTTGATATTGCAAAATAATTCCTTGGAAAATATACAAGATAAACTTTTAAAATTCCAGTTGTGTTTAAAGGGGTAGAGTTCAGTGACACTCTTCTCTATTAGTTGAAAGAAAAGATCAATTACTTGGTAAGTGACACTGACACTATTTTATTCATCAGAAGCTTTTAAGAGTTACCACTAACATTGCTCTATGATATGTACTAGTTAATACTACAGCATGTCCCTTGCCTTCTGAGTTAACAGTTTGAGAAAGTCAAACTTCATTGTTGAGTATCAGCTTTGATAGGCATTTGGGCATTCTTCCACTTAAATCTCACAAAACACTAGACATTATGGGTATAATTCTCCCCATTGTGTAGAAAGGAAAACTGAGACTCAGAAAGATTAAGTAACTTTCCAAAGGCCACCCACTAATAAATAGCAGACTTGTGGTTCAAACCTAGGTTTCCTAACTCAAAAGCCTTAGATCATTTCACAATTACATATTGCTATCTACAAAAGGCAGATATTCATTCCACAAGTATTTATTAAACATCTATCATCAGCAATGCTCTGGGGATATAGTCTAGCAAAAGGTAGACATGGAGTTTATGATTTGGTGGCTACCAAAAGTAATAAATGAGTAATTTACAGAATACTAATTGTATTGCGACATGTGGCAGAAACGAAACATGTAAGTTATACTAAAGGCATATAATGGAGAAATCTGAATTAGTATTGATTAAGAGGAGATCTGGAAAGGATTTCCTGATAAAGAAAGGCTTTAATTGTGATCTGAAAAGGATAAAAAGTTAGTTTTTGTTTGTTTGTTTCCAAGGGCAGTGAACAAGTATATTTGAAATAGAAAAGTATAAGAATCAAAGTACTGTAATAGTTATTAGGTTTGGCAATACAATGAAGACAGGTTTCATGGAAATGGTAGGGTAGTGTAGAAACTAGATTGCGAAAAAATATTTCGAAAGGCTTGATCATAGATGGCTTCACGCAGTGATGTATATCCTTTTCATAGGCTCATAAATATGAAGGAGAACTATTTCCTCATTAAATATTTGGTCGTGGGGTGCTATCTGCTTTTTAAAAGAGTAATTGAGAGTAAATAATTAAAATACATTCTATAAATGTACAAGTGAGCAGAGATTTTCATAAGCATGCATGATATAAAGTGTGTAAGTTTACTAATTTAATACTAATTCAATGTTGAGTGGGAAAATTGTGATAAAACGGATTATCAAAATTAATTTTAAAAAAATTAGTAGCCAAAATGATGTATGCATATTATTTTAATATGAGAATACCAATTTTATAAGACTGTTGATATTATTACATAAAACAGTATATGTTAGTCATGTATATTTTTAGCAAGCACTCAATATGAGACAAATATTATTAACTCAATAAATTGCAGTTTTATTATTATTATAAATTGTGTATTTGAGACATCAAAATTAGATGTGATTATATTATGATCTTCTAGAGGTTGTGTCATAAGTATCAAATTTTCATTAAATGTAATGAAGTATGTTAGATCATTCTTGGTCTTAAAAATTAATTTAAAAATAGTAATTTAGTCAAGGGTAAAATTCAATTGCTCCTCTCCGAATCATAAAGGAAATCCAAGGTCCAATCTTAACTTTCAGCAGAAAATTTGTATAAACAAATTCACAGAAAGTCCCCTATAGGTGTCATTGATTTCTTCATTCTTTTGTCTATTATTTGGTATCATATATTAAGCACCATTCCAAGCACAGTAGTTACCAAAAGATATATTCAATGAATTGCAGGCTAAAAAATCCAGATAATTTTCAAAAGGAAAATAAGTAAGTTTAAAATGCAATTTAAATCTTGAAAGAGAGCATATATAAAGGACTATAGGAGAACAAAATTTTTGTTATGGTTTCCTTGGATAAATGAAATAAAACTCTACCAAGAAATTTTTAAAAAAAAGTGTGTGATTAATACTAATAAACATGTTACAACAGTCTCATTCTTTAAAAAAAATACCCAATTTGTTGGGAGCACATGTATAGTTGCGAAAGGCAAAATGTTTTACAAATTATCAGGAAGAAAACCTTACCTTGAAAATGGGAATGAAAAATTTAAAAAAGGGATAACAGACATCTTGACTACAGAATTGCATAATTATTCAGTCAAATAGATGAAGCATGATCCTGCTGAGATCAATTAACAATGCTTTAAAACAATGCAAAATTATATCTACTAAGGGAAGTAAAATCAAGTTGTTTGTACTTCTTAGAGAAAATTAATCTCAGGGTTTATTTCCCAGATGATTAAAAATAATTTAGGAGAGCATAACATCAAGCTGAAACAAAACGTTTTGCACCTAGTACCTCTCATCCTGAGACTTCCAAACACTTAACAAACAAATCCATTTTCCAAATTTTTTAGTGATACAAAATGTTCTTTATTACAAATATTGAACCATTTCATTCACACAGGACATAAATGGTATAGTTTGGAATTTACCTGGGGACTTCAGTTTGAGCAAACATTTTATGAGTGTTTTGAATCACCTATTGCATCTATAACGTCCTCATGGTCTTTTCTTTCAGTACATAAAACTGAATGAAATTTATTTCTATATACATTTACTTCCTCACCAGATTTTGAGCATCTTGAGAAGAGGGACTCTAATTCATCTTTGTATACCAAGAATTTAGCACACTGTGTTGTCCCCAAGCAAAAAAGAATTAAACTAATTGCATTACCTCCTTGAGTAGAAAAATTTAAAAGTTAATTATCACACAGATCTCATAGAATTAAATGTTTAAATACAAAATAATAGAGTGGAATCTGTAGTATAGAAGAGAGTTGCAGGAATAGCATGATTTAAACTTGTTTTAATAAGCACTGGATCACATTGCCACCATGTGATTTTGTATGAGTCAAATTACATAGTTATGTGATTCAATTCTGTTTCTATGTGAAAATCCATTCACTTCTGTAAGCCATTTCCTTTCCATAAGCATAATTTCTAAGCTGGAGTCATGTCACAGACCTCACTGGGATGCTGGAGATGTTGCAAACATGAGGCCGCATTTGCCGTTTTGGAAGTCATCCTGAAACTTCAAAAAGGTTCAGAGTTGCTAATCAAAAGGACAACTATTATATGTTATTTGTTATTATTATTATTATCATTATTTGTTATTATTTTAACTTATTGAAAGGGAACCCAAATAAATTACTGGTTGCTAGAAAAGAAATAAGAGCAAGACAGTACTGTCTTAGCTGGGCTGCCTAAGAGGAAAATAGATTATTGGATTGATTTTAGGGAGGAATGAACACTGATTAAAATGTATTATAAGCAGTAGGAGAAAAGTCTATTGTCATTTTAAAAAAATATTTAGATAAGTCTCAGGGTAAGATGCATATATTTCCAAGGAAAGAAAGTATGAAGCATTGGAAAAGTTAGTGTAAAACCAAACACATACACATTTATGCTATGTTGGTAATGTCATTCTGTTTTCATATTGTGGATACAGATAAGGTCCACTGGCACTACAGAAAAATATTTCAGCATCAGATGTAGATTTATGGTTAAATACAAGGTAGAAAATACTTTGCACCATATACAAGGACAAGTCATTAGTTATGTTGACCCATGAATAAGAGGTAATGCCCATTCAATTGGAAATATCTGTGCCCTTTTATTGGCTAAATAAATTTTATCACCCAAAATGAATTTACAAAAACGATATTATATTTTTGTTTTGTAAACTCTATAACCACCATTGTGTTAACATAGTTGGGTGAAAGGATCATGAAATATAAAAAGTTATGATTATTCGAAGCTAACTCTGTTGTACATAACTACCAGAATATTACCAAAACCAAAGAAATACAAATACAAAAAGGAGGCATATTAGCAGCCATACTCACATTAAAGTTTCTGAACATGGAATAATGTTGCATTTAGCACAGAGTAGCATTTGATAGATTAATTCAGAATAATAGAAAAATATGAATAGGCTCTCCTCTGACAGAATTGGGACAAGTATCTGTATTAAGACTTTTGGATAAAGGTAATTTAATTCTTTAAAAAGATGTGTTAAGCCGATCATGGATAATTTACTGGAATTATATATTCAACAAATATGAAGACTGAGAAATGCCACTGTATTTTAGCAGTTAATCCATCACCAAATAATTATTGAAGCCCGAGGCACAAATGTCAAATGAGTATAAAATATGGCATGACACCATTTCTATCTTGTTGAAACATAACTCAAGTTGGAAAAATAAGACATACATGGTAATGACCTGGAAATTAAAAAATAAAACTGATTCCATAAGCTGATTTTTAAAAAACAATTTTAACTATTATATACATATGCTAAAGGAAGACTATTTTATGAAATGAGATAAGTAAGTTTTTAGTTGGAGAGGATTCAGAAGAGTCAAATAAATCATATGACTAAGACCCATAGAGAGGAATGTCCAAGATGTAGTCAAGAGCAGTATATGCAGAATAAGTTGCTTTTAATACGTTGGTCTGAATAGGTTGATACATATAAGGAAACACAGAATGTAACTTCAGAAAATAATCTTAGGGTTGCACTTTGGAAAGACTTGAAATTAGCTGTTTTAGGGTCAATGCTAAGCTGCTGCTGATGCTGCCAAAAAAAAAAACAAAACAACAAAAACAAAAAAACAACAAAAACAAAAACAAAAAAAACTCACAACGAATTGCTTAAATAAGATACCAGTTATTTCCCTTCATGTGACTCTCTCATTGCTCTAGGCTAGGAGAGACTGGACTGTGCCCTCAGGCCATCAGGGACTCAGTTTGTTTTCCAACTTGCTACTCAATCCTCCCCTAGGGCATTGCCTTTGTCCTTTGTCTATAAGGAGAAGCTGGGTTGCTGCAAATATTGAATTAGAGGCTACTGAGTTGAATGAGAAGATGTTAAGGGAAAGAAACAACAACAGCAACAAACTTCTCTGGGAGATGCACAGCAGTTTTGTTGTTGCTGTTGTTGTTGTTGTTGTTGTTGTTATCGTTTTTCTATCAAGGCCCACTATAGTTCCTCATGGAACAGAGACCTGGTGGAGCAGAAAACAGATGGTTACAATACATAACCCCATGTGGGTAGGCAAATAAAGAGGAATATTCCACAGTTAAAGAGCATGGCCATGCATAGATCCTGCCGGACAGAGATTCTGAAGCACTTACTGCCCTGGCAGACCCTGGTCCTGTTCTCTAGGAGGTGCTCCTTTCTCCTGCATCCTGTAGTCCCCTGGCATTTTCTTCTGAATAGTTCTTTCTTGTCCACATTCTCTGTGGTAAAATTTGAAGTGGGTGTTGAAGAGTAAACTATCTTTAGGAGTGCTTTGAGCTTATACCCTACCTCTGCTAATGCAGGTTTGGTGCTTGAAAATTGACTTGGGGATTGACAACCAGAGTTTTGCAGATGACTCATATAATTTATTTGGCTAAAACCACCCCTGAAAACTTACTAGGAATTAATTTATTTGATTCCAGGTTTTTTTTGGTGCCAAGGAACACTCTTCCCAACCCCCAACTTGTTCAAACCATGGCTTACACTGCCTTTTCATTGGAGCTACCTTGAGGTGATCTGAAACAATAAGCTTGGACGGAAATGCAACATTCCTTACCTGATCTTTGGCCCCAAGGCTGCCTTCCATCCTTAGACTAAGAAACTTATATGAGATTCTGATAAACCTTCTTATCCCCTGCTATACAGAAGCAGTTGGTTTCTCCAACCCGTAAGTCCCCAGAATTTAGACTCTATTCACTCTCTTCTTGAAAATGGCCAATTTATGCCTGAGCTCTTCTCTGTTTTATATATAATGTCTTACTTGTTTACATTTTGGGGGTACATGTGATATTTTGATACTATATACATGCAGTGTGTAATGATCAAATCAGGGTAATGGGTTCTTGTGTGTGTAAAAGCCAAATCAAACTGTGTTTTTCCTCTACTCCGACACTAAAACAATGGGCACAGAAAACTTCTCTGACCACGAAGCAAGCAATCAATTTTTGCAGTGGACAACAATTGGGTGTCCTCCAATTCAATTCTGACATTGTCTACCTGGCAATAGTATCAGATCTCATAGGTTGAGGGCTTAATCCCCAAGACTGACCCCCCAGGCACCAGGCAAAAGTCTGGGCCTCTGGAACCTTTGCCTGACAATCTTCCAGTGGAGTTTTCACTAGGGAGACTCACAGAACTTAAGGATTCACTTGCTTACGTTTACCAGTTTATTACAGAAGATATTACACAGGATACAGATGAAGAGATGCATAAGGTGAGGTATGGAAAGGGTTACAGAGCTTTCATTCCCTCCCTGGAAGTGCCACCCTTCAGGAAGCTCCAGATGTTTAGCTATCTGGAAGCACTTCATGCCCCATTCTTTTGAGGTGTTTATGGAGGCTTTATTAAAGAGGCATGACTGATGAAACCAATAGTCATTGGTAATCAACTTAACCTTTAGACCCTCTCCCCTCCTTGAAGGCCGAAAATCTCAATCCTCTACTCCTGTCTTGGTCTTTTGGGTGGCCAGCCTCAACCTTGAAGCTTTCTAGAACCTGCCAACCATCAATCAATTTATTAGCATCACTTTGGAGTTTCTAAGGATTTTAGGAGTTGTATGCCAAAAAAATGAGGCCAAAGATAAAATATATATTTCACAATATTGGAGTCCACCCCAGTCTTTGAACTCAGATCCCTTACATCAAAAAGACATACAACTCAAAACGTATGGCCAAATCACTAGAACTCCAGTTCATCATTAATAAATAGCTTAGTCTATCATATTGTATGAATGTCTGCTAGACTGAGGCCACTCAGGTGCAGGCTTTCGTTCAATCTTATCAGCTTCCGAAAGCAGATGTGGTCTCCACAAACCTATAGCTTCACCCTGTCAGACATCTGGCATAATTCAGCTAAGAAACAATGTCTTCTCTAGCTCTGAATCTCCTTCAAGGTGTTAACTAATATTAGGTTTTTCTCAATTTACAACCCATTCATTTATTCCATAACCTTCCAGTTACTCTTTCTCCTTTTTTCCATCAATGTCCAAACTTTTTTCACCTTTGGAAGGGACGTTAGAATCATCACTGTGCTGGTCTAGATTGCAGGCAGCAACACTAGTGGGTAGCACGTGCTTCCCCAGCAGTTCATTCCAACACTTACTTAGGGTATGGTTACATAGGTCAGAACTATAGGGCCATTTTTAACACCAGGCAATATAGGCTGCATTCACTGTTAACTCAAATTTTGCCAGATTGTAAAGGCACAACCCACCCCCATCAGGCACTTAAGAATTATGGCAGAAGGTTCTTTTTTGTGTGTTTGTTTTTTCTTTTAGAAATCATTCTTGTTTCGATCACTTGTAGTTGCAGTCCTGGTCCTAGGACCACTTACCAAGTAAGGAAAGGAGAAAAAAAAGTTGAGGTGATGTGGGAAGAAAGAAAAGGAAAGAAGCATAATCGTATAATCATTATACTGGCTTACTCCTCCTTTGGCAATAATCACATAGTCATACCAGTATCCTTCCCCATCCCTCTTTCCCAGATCAACCAGAAAAACTGAGGAAAATCTAGTGAGGACACTCCTTTAGTCCCACTCATGTTGAGTATTAGCACACGTCCATGAAGGTGTGTAAGCCAGCCCTTCATGCTTTCATCTCCCCCTGTTTTAGACAACCAATGTTTTAATGTCCATTCCACTTTTCTATTAAACTTTCTCTGAGGAGGATATATCTTTGCCCATTGTTGAAAATGATGGGCTGTAGAGTATGTTTCTTGGTCTGAAGAAATGAAAGTCAGATGTCCAAATCTGTATATTTTGGTGTGTGTGTGTGCATGCATGTGTGCATGCGTGTGTGTGTGCATGTGCACGCGTGCGTGTATATGTGTGTTGTAACAGCACTCGGGGCATTTGTATCTTTCACAGGACAAGCAAAACCCAGTCCATAATCAGTGTCTATTCCTACAAAGACCCATTCGTATCTTCCCAGGGATTCCAGCATCTGTCTCACTTGCAAGCTATGTTCAGGACTTCCCACCAGGGAATCTGCCCCGTATCTGTCAGCACCCTCTGTCTCTCCTGCTGGCACACAAAACCATTCTTATTGACATTATGTGCCTGAGAAGGTATAAAAGGAGCCTGATCAGATTCAGCACTCCTGTATCCACTCATTTCATGGACCAAATTAGCCCTCAGGAGAGCACTCCGGGATATTTGCTTGTCAATTCCAGTCACCTTCCATGCATGGAAAAGGGTTCTGCATGGCCATCAACATGTTCTACTTAATGTGAGCTCAAATTTCCATAGGGCTGTGCCCTATGTGGGCATCCTTTTAATAAGATAGGTTTCTATTGCCCTCCTCCCTGACCATATGGCCAGGTCATTGGCCACTACCCACAAGTCAGTAAAAACTCACAGAGAAGGTTCTACCACCATTCAATTTTTCCATCACTGATGGAAAAACAACATGTAATTCAGCCCACCAAGCTGATTTACTTTTACCTTGTTTAGTCAAAGTAGCAGCCTTTCAAACAGGATGTTGTACATTTACCTTTGAACCACCGTCTATAAACCAAGCAACCCTTTGTTGGTCAATTGAGAGCCGTTTATAGGACGCTTTCCCATTGTCAATAGAACCCAGCAGCTCCTCACACAGTTCCAGGATCAGCTCTTGTGGAAAAGAGGCTCCCTGCTAGTGATTGTCCCCTCCTTGCCTTCTCCAGGTAGAACGACCCTGTATAAACCATTTCCATTTTATTATGGAACTCTTCGGGGCACTGCTACACAATTAGAGTGTTCCCTGACATTACTTAGCACAGTATTTCAGGTGTCAAGATCATTTTACACCCTGTGGTCACATGGATAGCTTTATTTAACGTTCCACAGCAAGGCAGGAAATGCCCCTCAGGTGAAAAATTTCTAGTCCCAAGTCCTCGTAGTTGTTGCTGGGAGAAGTTCATGAGCTTTTGCCATGAGTCCGAGTAAACACTCTACAGAGGGCTAGAAAATGAAGAATTTGTCCCTACCAGCACTCCAGCTTCTACTCTACACCATGCATGCTTGGACAATATAACTGGTTCCCATTGGGGATTTTCAATTAATATTGGTGGAAGGGTGGATTTACATACCTTCTGTTTAGGGGGATATCAGTTATATACAATATTTATTCTCATGAATATGAGATTCTGTCTGTGAGGTGGGCGGGGGGCTGTTAGCAGGAACCCCTTTCACTTTGCTGGGAGTTTTTTTTTTTCTTCTTCTTCTTCTTCTTCTTTTCCTTTTTCACCCAGTAAATTCCATTCCCCTCACCTTTCAATGTGTCTGCATTCCTAATCCTTCTTGGTCATGTGATGCGAATCCAGTTTTAGCTGAACTAAGGAGCAAATTTCTACATCAAGGGGACTGCTACCCTGAGATCACCACTGGAGTAAAGTTTACATAGAGTCACTGTCACCTCATCACCAACCTCAGAACAGTGAAAAGAGACTGGAAAAAAAATCACCTAAAATTGTAATTCAAGGATCAAGGAGTTGTAACAAGAGGTGACAAATATGACCACTCTGTTTTATTCACTTAAAGCTGGAAAATACTGGAAACTTCTGTAGTTAAATTACAACCCTGATAATGAAACCAACAGGCAGAGTCTTCAGGAAAATTGTGTGCATAAATTTCGTGTTTCATTTTTATATGAGTGTACATGTTTGATTCACATTGACAAGAGAGTCTCAGAAATGTGGTTGAGTTTTGCCTTTTGTTTTTCTCTAACATTTTAAAAAAGAGAAAGAGAGTGAAATGGAGATTAGTAGAATTTATTCAATCACCCCACCTAATATGTAGGTAACTCCCCTTCATCCTATTTCAGTTTAAAGGTTAACTACCCTTTAAACTGTCCTACACAATTCTTCTGTGTCCATAAAAGGAAGTCCAATTTCTCACCTGATGATCATGATCCTACACAATCCTACCCCTTTATACTTCTCCAAAATTGCCTTACGCTTGCCTAGCCACATGCTCTATTTCTGTCAAATATTCACTGCTTATCAATATGTTTCATGTATTCTTGCTTCACAGGTTTGCTTACACTATTTGAAATATCTCCACATTTTTTCTTTGCCTATCCAGATATTTCCATTCTTCAAGATCTAAACCAATTCCCACCTTCTCCATAAAGCCTTTCCAAACTCTTCAGTCCACGGTGATTACCTTCACACAGGAAGCAATAGTTTTTATTTTCTATTATATTTATTGACCACTTGCTCAAAAGTCTTTAAACATATTATTTTGCCTTTTATTGTTTCTTTGAATTCTACATGTTTCTTTAATTTGTAAATGCTCTGTCTATTCAATTGACTTGTGACCATAATCAAGTCAGATATTATACTTTTAATGCGCATCTTTAAAATGGTCACTCTTCAACTCAGATATACTAAGCTCCAGATATTTATTTGGTTAAAGAATTGTTTTAATTCAAAGAAAAATTGGGGAGATAGGAAAATATGAGAAATCTCAAATTATTTCAAATCTCTTTGGAAACTCAATCCCCTTGGGGGAATAATTGAATTCTGGATTGAAGCCAAGTACAATAATCCTTATACAAGCAGTAATAGTGTGCAATTGGGAACCACGGCCATAAGAGTTTCTTGGATGACAAGGAGTACAATAAATCTTGATTATTTTGCCCTTCTAGAGTAATGCTCAACCTTTCCTCCCTACAGGGATAATTCTAAAAGTATGGGAGAAAATTAAAAACAAGTAGAAGGGCTTGTTCCAGTTGGTTTGCCTTGTTGCAGCTGACCTTAACATTAGACAATGAAATATAGTGATAAAGCTTCCATTAATAAAATCAAATAAACCTGCCTTCGAATCCTATCTCTGCCATTTACCATAAGCATGTGGAAGTGAGACTATTGATACTTCAATTTCTTTTTGAGTACCATCATCATTACTGAGATTTATTTGGGTTACTTAAACAAATTAATAGGAACTCACTGATTTTAACTATGTTGTGAGTTTCTTAATATCATCACATTCTAATCTTTATTTAATGGTCACTGGTTCATACTGAAAAGGTGATCATTTGGGCACAGACTCATTTTCCTCAGAAAATATGTATTTATGAACCTTGAGTTTATTGAATATGTCTGATTTCATTCCATTCAAACCACATTACATTTAACAATGGCAAAGGTTTCCCAACGAAGCAGTTACATTGTTATTCAGTTCATTTATCTTTACTGAGATCTTAACATTTAGAATGTATTTTACCTTTTTAAGCATTATACCTACTAATCATGCTAACTAGTTTTGTTACTGGTTGTAGTTCATGATACAATACAATGAGAATTGCTTCACCAAAGCTATAAAAACCTAATTGAAACCAATTATGACAATTATCTCTCTGTTTGATTGCTTGCATTAGACTCTTTCCTCATTCTATACTGTCAGACTGCAGACAATTTTTCCTGATGTGACCTATCCAACTGTATTTCAGGCTTTATTCAGTGAGCAAGCATACTTCTGATTAAAATTAATAGGAATTTTGCATGGATTGAGTGAGAACTGGAGTTATTAGGATTGTAATATGAATTTAAGTGAGAATTAAGTATTACTGGACTTTCTTATTTCAATTAAGTATGAAAACACTCTTAATCAAGCATATAATTAAATTTAAGAGGAAATGTATTGTGTGCTAATTGCCATTGATTATTAATAATATGCTTATTTATGCATGCAAAGTCTATAATGGTATATATCTCCAAACTGTTTCTGAATGACAATAACTGAGTTCTGCATAATAAAACTATTAATGAAATGGAATCTTGCAAGAAATGTCAGAAAGGAAAAATAGCTCATACTTCAGAACTCTTCTTCTCTAACTTTTCCTGTTGAAAAATCAGAGCAAGTCACATGAACTCACACAGGAGAACATCAATAATTATAGACTGCTTCCTTTTTGCAATCATGTTTTGTTTTCTGGGATAATATAGTTTGGAAATATTTTATTGAAATGTAAAGAATTCATGTGCTTTAAAAACATAATTAAATCTTTATTTTAGCCTTTAAAATAATATGTATTCTTTTATTTTGCCATTATAAGCTTTTAGAAATGACTCTTCATGTGTTATAAATTTATAATTTTTTTTTATTCATTTATTTACTTATTAGGTTGGTGCAAAAGTAATTGTACTTTCTGACATTGAAAGTAATAGCAAAAAACACAATTACTTTTGCACCAACCAAATAATACTATCTAATGTTCACTTATTTATTAAACACCTACTGAACGCTAAAAATTGGTCTTCAAAGATACAACATTGAACAATATATACTCCTTTTCTCACAGAGCCTGTGAGGTAAACTTGTGAGCAGGTGGTGGAGAGGAAACCCAGATAATAAATACAATAATGCATGTAATATTTACCACTGTATTATTAGATAATAATAAATGTTAAAGAGAAATATAAAGTAAGGAAGGGTAGTGGAAAGTCTGAGAAAACATTTCAGGAAACGAGAACTGCAAATGCAATGACCTTGAAGCACAGAATGCATGGAGAGTTGATGGAATGGCAAGAGTCCATTTGGGAATGGAATAACTGAGGGAAAGACTGAGATGAAATGAAAACAGAATGCCAAAACAAAGCCAGAGGGTTAGACTTTGAAGCCATTGTAAGTATCTTTTCAACCCTTTTAACTGATCTCTACCTCTGCCTCTTAAAACATATGTCTATGACGATGTTTTTAGCATTATAAATTATTTCCTTATGGTGGAAAAGAAAGATTTACTCTGGTTTTTTTTTTTTATCATCCCAAACTTTGATCCCCTGCGACTTACTCTTCCTATGATTTTTGTTGAAACAGTGAATGTTAACATCACAACTTTGCGAATGCTGTTCTTAGCAAAGGTATTCATTGTTAGGAATACTTTTGTTTCCTAAATGTTTGTTTTCCATGACATTAACAATTTCCTGTCTTTTATTTTTCATTTATTTCATATTGAGTGTAACCACAACTTTAAACTCTGCCAATTGTTTAAATCTCTTTCTAATACATTTAAATGTTTTAGGCATTTAACTTCAATTCCTTAAAGAAAAATTTTCAGAGCACTTTAATCTTCTCCATCTGGACATTTGTTTCTATTACTAGAAAGTGTTCTTGATATTAGATTCAACTTTCTTCTTAGTTGGATATTTTCTTTTCTGTATCTTTCAATGTTCTCTTTCTTTGTTACAGAGAAACACCAGGAACTTCCAGAGAATGGATGTTTAAGAGATAAATAATGCACGTGGGCATACATGTTCATACCATTCTCAAATTCCATGATAGTTTCTATGGGTATAGAAATGTTTTTCAACTTTTATGCTGGATTCAGAGGGTAAATGTGCAGGTTTGTTACACGGGCATATTGTGTGATACTGCTGTTTGAGGTACAACGATTCTATCACCCAGGTACTGACACAATACCCAATAGGCAGTTTTTCGGCCCACATCTTCCCTCTTTCCTTCCCAGGTCCAGAAGTCCCCCGTGTCTATTATTTCCATCTTTATATCCACGTCTATTCAGTGTTTGGCTCCCAATTATAAGTGAGAACATGTGATGTTTGGTTTTCTGTTCCCATGTTAATTTGCTTAGGATAATGGCCTCCAGCTTCATCTCCATGTTGTTGCCAAAAAAAAAACAAAACAAAACATGATTTCATTAATTTTATGACTGCATAGTAGTCCTTGGTGTCTATGTATCACATTTTCTTTATCCGGTCTGGTGTTGATGGGCACCTAGGCTGATTCCATGTCTTTCCTATTGTGAATAGTGCTGCAATGAACATGTGAGTGCATGTGTTTTTTGGTATACTGATTTATTTTCCTTTGGGTATATACCCAGTAATAAGATTGCTGGGTCAAATGGTAGTTCTAAGTTCTTTGAGAACTCTCCAAAATACTTTCCACAGTGGCTGAGCTAGTTTGCATTCCCTCCAATGCATGTGTTCCCTTTTTCTCCACAGCCTTGCCAGCATCTGTTATTTCTTGACTTTTTAATAATTGTCATTCTGACTGGTGTAAGATGGTATCTCATTGTGGTTTTGATTTGCATTTCTTTGATGATTAGTGATAATGAGCATTTTTTCATGTTTGTTTGCCACTTCTCTATCTTCTTTTGAGAAGTGTCTGTGTCTTTTGCCTATTTTAATTGGATTGTTTTTTTGCTTGTTGATGTGTTTAACTTCCTGAGAGATTTGGATATTCAATTTTTTTCAGATTCATAGTTTGGAAACCATGTACATTAGGATTTGGAAGGCAAGGCCCTGTGCTAATGTTGATGTTTTGAAAACCAAAGCCATTCTGAATTCTGGCACTTTGAATTTGAGCTACTTATTTCTGTTGCTAAAAATCTATGTATCTTCTTACAGTTCACAGTTGTTGTTTTTTTTATATTTGACAATGAAGGCATTATTTTCCTAAATTGTTCTAGATGCTTGCTGGGTCTAGCACCCTTTCAATTTTCTTTCGATATGGAATTTCCTTTCAGTATGGAAATTCTTGTCCTCTGCTTTATAAAAAAGCTATTTGTTTAGCTAATTTCTCCCCTTAATGTTACTAATTTACCTTTCAAAAATGCCTATTATTTGAACACTTTTCTGGACTTAAATGACTACTGCTGCTGCTACCACTTTTTCTCTTATTTCTATTTCCTATATCTCTGACTTTTTTCTCTCCCTTATGGAAGTTTTCTTTAATGTTACATTTAAACCCTATCGAGTATTTCATATACATATATTTTTTATAGCCAAGAGCTTTCTTTTGTTCTTATTTCTATAGAAAATCATGTTCAAGTTTTATATATTTTAGAGAACAGTTACATTAGGTTTGTTTGTTCATTTTAGAAGTTTTCTTCTGTTCTTATAGTCCTCCTTTTTCTTTCAAATTTTTCGATTCTGTTTGTTTTGGACTTTAGCTTCTATGCTAGAGAACTTCTTCAGAAATCAGATGATTTTTGTTTGCTATTTCTAAGTAGTTAAGTAAAACGCTGAATAAATGTTCTGAGTACAAGTGTGGCATTTGATACATTTGTACTTTACTGTGTAGTGATTGTCTTGATTGCTTTGTTAAGAGACCCATTATAACAGCATTTCTTTCCTATTGAACTGCTTATACTCAAAGTAAAAGAATTCTCCATCACCTGCTTAGGGAATACAGACCTAGCTGCAGCTTTCTGAGTTAAGTAGTGAAAAATGTGTGTGGAGCATGTGTCAATATTTTGCATGGAAACACTCACTTATTCCATCTCGTATTCGTATTGTGCCTCTCTTTTCAATTGTATCTGAGACCTACTATTCAGAGACTGTTTTACCACATTCAGAGACAAGACCTCCAATATTTAGCTGAGGTAGAAAATGGGAAGATGCCTAGTTGCATGTTTTTGGTCCTCTTATTGCTTCTTAATTGAATTTTCAAGCAATCTTCCTGCTTTAAGCATGACTTTCACTGCCTCTTTTAGAGGTTCTTAATGCCACCAATTCATTAGACTTCCAGGAATTCTGAGATATAAACTAGATTGCTTCTTAGCTTTTCCTACTAGTGACTTAAGATTCAACCTTCTAATGACTTCTCTCTGTTACTACTGCTTCATCTGATTACCAGCTTCCAAAGTACTGTTTGATTTTAATTATCTCCCATTATCTATATTCTTATGCATTCATACCATTTAAAAACAATTTAATGTTTGAGATGGGTTTCAGGAGAGAGTAATAGACCACGTGTTTCCTCTTTTATCTAAACACAAAATTCCACATCTATGACTTACACATTCATTGGAAATTGCATAAATAAACTATGATGTGGACATCACATTAAGTATACTGTGCAGTAGGTTACCGACTTTAAAACCTCTATGTAATCTTAAATCTAAAAGAATTATTTCTTGTGACATATGCAATCTTGTTTATGAATAAGTATGAAATATTTATAAATGTGTACATAGACAATATTTTAGAAGATTTGGAGTTATTATTTAGCAAATGTATTGAATATGCCTGCAAATAAGACTCATTTTTATTTAAATTTACTTCAGTGTACACACTATGTGTCTAAACAATAAAAAGCAACATGAATATTGTAGAATTGAAGGACTTAATTTCCATAAATGGAAAAAATATAAAACTTTGTTGAATCAGGAACCAATTTTCTTTGGGGGAAAAAAACCTATACCAAAATATAACATTATTTTAAACATGTTCACATCTGCAGGTGTTTAACGTGATAAAACAGTAGGGGACACTGCCATGCTGCCTTTAAGTTATTATACTAAAAACTTAATTACTCTGTAATTATAGACAAAACTACATAGTGAAATATACAAGATGCATTGCTATAATATGTAACTAAATGTAGTTGTCAGTAATACCATGTATTTCTGAAATGATTGATCAATTGATTTGTTTCAATTGTTAATATAACACACAGAGTGTACTCAACAAACAAATAAGTGAAGTTAAAAAAGAGAGGAGAAAGGAATGAATAGCTAGAGCACAGAGGATTTTTAGACCAGTAAAACCTATTTTATAGGAAACTATGATGGTAGATATATATTGTACATTTGTCAAAAGCTGGAGAATGTATGACACCAAGAGTAAACTCTAAGGTAATCTATAGGCTTTGAATGATAATGATTTGTCAATATAAATTTATTGATAGTAACAAATGTATCATTCTGATACAGAATGCTAATCCTGGGGGAACACGTGAGTGTGTAGGCGAAGGAGATGAAAACTTTCTGTATTTTCTGCTCAATTTTGCTATGAAACAAAAATTGACCTAAAAAGTAAAGTTTTTTAAATTTTTCGAAAAAACCCCTCAAACATAATAGTTAATATTGATGCAGTAAATTTTAATAGGCCTCCATAATCTTAATCCTGCTATAATCTTTCACAGTGGCCTATACCTAGCTTACAAACAAGTAGCTTTCACATTGTTTAACTGAGCCAAGAAAGATATTTACTATGTATTTCGTTAAAGTCTTGGCAACTTACTACATATTTCATTAAAGTGTTGGCATAGGTTACAGAACCTTCCTCCATCTTCAATTGCCCCTGATCTCTTCCATCTACTTCTCTTACACTGTTCTAGTCCCCACACTCAATTACAGGTCATTCATTGTGCCTCTACTTCACTGACATCAAGAGATCAAAGACATTTAATGGTTGTCCTTATATTGTCTTTTATATTATATCTGCAAAAGCAAGTGATTGAGCTATTTTTTTCCTTTCTTTCTTACAAAAAACACTCACTACTGAAAACGATTTCCCATGACACTGCCCATTACCCTATTCCAAGCTTTTTTTTTTTTTTTCAAGCTTCAGGTGCTTGTTAACGACCTTTGTATTTCAGGAAATACATGTGATGTTGAAGTCTCTGGAACAGAAGCAGACTATTGAAAGAGCTGAGATCTAGAACCCTTGGTATTACAAGTCAGAAAAAAGGTGTTTTGAAACTGAGCCTTCAAATGGAATTGGTAGGCTAGGAAAAATAATCATCTCTGTGATGATTATGATTTTCTTTATTGAGTAGGAATGCCAGAGAAAATACAAGTCCAGTTAAACATGAATTTCAGATAAGTAAATATTTAATATAAGTATATCTCAAGTATTGCAGGAATGCTCTGTATTTTTATTTGCTAAATCTGTTAACTCTAATTTTGGGGATTCTGGATAAATGAAAGAGGAGGATTCTCTAATGTACAACAGACTGCATTTCCCACCATCATGATGAGAAAGAACCTAATGGTGCGTAAAAGTTACATAAATATATAGATAGGTATTTACTATTCATATCTATAACTATATCTCTATCTATTTAACTTTTACTTGGATACATATATATAATATTCATATCCTATATTTTATATATATATATATATATATATACACACACACACACACACACACACACCCCCACACACACATGCATATATAGTGCTCAGTGTTAAGGGTTTGGGAACAAATCCATATCCACCTTTTTGCCTTCACTTCCTCTCAGAGGATAAGTTGTACATCCTTCTCATACAGATATTAGAGGACAACTTATGGTATGAGGAAAGGTGTCATCCTTGCCAAATGCCTTCAGTTAATTTATTAGGAAATGTCATTCTCTAATAAATATTGGGCGGAAACTTCAGTCCCTTTCTCACTCCACGAGATACTTATCTAATTTTTCTCTTGCATGATAGCTTCTTTTTGTCTTTTCTCTCTTAAGCTATTAGCTATTTGTCTGCAAATGTTTTTTGTACTCCTCTTATTTTTTTCTTTTTATAGAGTCATGGGGCCACAAGAAAAAGAAAAAAAGTCATTCTACTGGAAAACTGAAAAAATATATTTGATTTGGCTCTTCAATTATGCATAAAAACTCACTGGGTAAAGATGGAATGAAAGACTATTCAGAAGAAGGGACATTTTGCAAAGCCAGAGGTATGAATACACATGACTTATTTGGGAAAGGTGGGCAGATTGGGGTGAATAGACTTTAGAAGATACTGTTATATAGACAAATGGACACAAAGCTTTAAAGACATTTTGGGGCCAGATTGTAAAGAACCTTGTAAACATTGTTGATTACCTTAGATTTTAGCCCACAGTCAGAACAGCACATGAAACACTTTCACAAAAGTTAAAGAGCATGACGAGGATTTTATTTTTTAAATGTAATTATGAAAAGAGAATCAAGGCTGAATTGGAACAGAGAGCAGGAGAAGACTAGAGACGACAGAAGGAGACTTCTTCAACTAGAGAAAAAAAAGTCTTGAACAAGTGGTAAACTAATTATTTCCTATCAGTCAATTAAAGTACCTTTCACACTTAGAAATTTATCATGGCGTTTTATTTCCCATTGCAGAAAGACTGAAATCTTCCTGGCATTAATGACACCTATGATTTAAATTCACTTTTCTCATATAATTATTTCTTACTCTACTGGTTTGTCTAAGCGTGTTCTTAAAACTTGTAGTAAAGTGATTTTAAAAGTATCTCAAGCCCTGACATTCTGTTTGTGCAATCTCAGGTAAGTACTTAACCCCTCTGTGGAACAATTTTCTTACTTGTTTTATTAAGGCATGGTCTATGTCTACTTTGTCCATTTTTGTATTTTAGCCCAGAGTACAGGACATAAAAAGTGTTCAATAAACATTCACTGATTAAATAGAGTGATAATAATATCTACCTCATATACAGGCTGAGCATTACTAATCCAAAAACCTGAAATTCAAAATTCTTCAAAACCCAGGATATTGTGAGTGTAGACAAGATGCTACAAGTGGGACATTCTATGTCTGACTTCATGTGATATGTCACAGTCAAAACTTTGTTTCATGTACAAAATTATTGAAAATACTGTATAGAATTGCCTTCAGCCTATATATATATATAACACACATATAAAAACATAAATTTCATGTTTAGACTTGGGCCACATCACCAAGACATTTCATTATGTTATGCAAATACTCCAAAAAAAAATCCAAAACAGTTCTGTACTAGACAGTGGTCCCATGGGGATCCAATCAACAAATGCAGGGGATAAACATTTGTGAAGAGTTAAGCCATGTTAAAAAGTTAGTTTGGTTATTATTTGGTGCCAAATCTTATATGTATATATTATTATTACTGTAATGATGTTGAGTCCACTTATAAAAGTAATGTATATTTACTGTAGAAAAACTTTATAATAAATTATGAACAAGTGAACATTATTATGCCATGCAGAGATAATTAGCAGGATGTGCTTATCTCCAAGCTTTTCTATAGAAAATACACATTTTAAAACGATCTTATAGTACAGAATATTTTATACATCATTTTTCTGTCAATAATAATTGTAAACATCATATAATCATTTTATGACAATCTTAATAGTTCAATATAATTTATTTTATATATTCAACAATGTCTTTAATTATCTGTTTATTAGATAGCACAACATTGTTCTAGGTGGACAGAACTAAATGGAGAGAATGTTTTATATAAAATGCTTACCATAAGAGGATTCAGCACTGGTGTCATGTAACTAACTATATTTGAGAAGCATATACAATCTTTATAAATGTAGTTGTTCCTATTGTATAAAAATAGTAAAAATAAACCAATTAATGTTGGGATAATCATACATGAATACCTATTTATTTCTGTAATACATCTAAAAAGATTAATGCAAACTTCAAGTTATTGTGCAGTGGTTACCCATGTGGAATTCAAGTTGGTACCAAAATTGATTTCTATTCTAGCTTTGCTTTTTATTAGCTTGGCTGACCTTCAGCAAGATCCTTCATGTTCATCAGCTCCAACTTTTGTATATGTAAACTGGAGATAATAACTTCCACACGTGGATTACTTCATATCATAATCACTGCACATATGCCATCATCCTGTTAAATTTAGTATGTGTATGTTGTATATACATACTATATATGTGATGTATTATCCATGTGGAATTGGAGTTGAGACCAAAATTGATTCATATTCCAGCTTTGCTATTTATTAGCTGGGTGACCTTCAGCAAGATTTTTAATGTTTATCAGCTCCAATTTTTGGAGCTGATAAACATACACATACTAAATTGACAAAGAAAGTGACTAACCACCATTTTAAAATATCCTTTCTTTTCCTTCCACTTCATACACTAACTCAGAAGGGTTGTGTTTGTTTTTGTTTTTGTTTTTTTTTAAAAAGAAGTCCATAATTACATTTTAACTTAGTATTAAAATTTTTTTTGGACAGACTAAATGATTATTTATTTTGCAATGTTAGATATTAATATGACTTAATCATTACTCCCTTAAAGAAGTAGAGGAAGTGTTAATAGTAACCTTACTGAAGCTCTCTACTGACCATTTTGGAAACTGCAGCCCATTTTTCTATTCTCCATTTAATATAATTAATACCTTGTTTTCATTTGGAAAATGTGCGGGATTATCAAAATCCCCAAAAGAATTAAACAGAGCCAACGTTAGAGATATTGTAATCTGAAATTACTTAAAAAAGCAATCAAATATTTAATTTCCTGCTTGAAATAAATTATTTCTTTCTAATTTCAATTTCCAATAGATGTTGAGTATTAATTATGACTCTCATTATGCTAATTGGAAACAAATGTACTTTCATGATGGTATTAGCTTAAATTATATATATTTAAAATTAAACATATATTTAACTATATATAATTTCAAATATATATAGTATATATTTGCAACTGAAAACAACAGCACATTGAAGACGGTTCATTTATATTTTCTTTATCTGAATAGCTTCTTAACAAAATGTCAATGACTAAAAGACAGGAACTTATAAATAAGTTATATTTTAGACAATTCTCAAGGTCAACAATTGTGTACAAGCCTGTGTAAAATTTAGATTTCAATTTCTTAAGCAAAAATTATTATCAGAGTGATATGGTTAACAGACAAAACATTGAAACAGCCTTTATTCATCATTGAGAATAACTGGTACCAAGTAGATTACTGTTGATCTGTCTGCATTTTTGGATTGGCATGACTATTTTTAAATAAGATGGTTTCTAGTATACAATATGATCTGGGTGGGATAATATTATAAGCTCTATTTAATAACACCTTAAATTTAAAAACTGCCTTATTATTTTTTTAACTAATACATTTTATGCTGGATTTTTCCAACACAAAATGTGCACACATCTACTCTATAGGTTGAAAGGGCATTTTTAGCTGCCCATTTTCATGGAGGATGGGAAAATAGAGGCCCAAAGACATTGAGCAGCCTGCTGAAAGCCACAACATTAATAAATAATGGATGTATATTTTTATGTGAGGTGAATGATTTTTTCCCATTACACTATGCTGCATTTCATCACTATGGAAATTATAATTTCCATAGCTATCCAAAGTTCTTGGGAAATGGAATACATTAAAAAAATGACTTATTAAAGGTTAGGAAAAAGGACAGAAGTATCTGGAGCTGAAGATGCTGCTTCCCATTGCTGGAGCTGCTCTTCCAGGTGCAGGGCCTTGATTATTAACATGAGTAATGAGAATAGTGTTTGATTTTATGCTGATAACTCTCACAATTATCTCCAGTCCAAATCTCCTCTGTGCTTCAGATTTATATACCCAAATGCCTGTTGAACATCTCCATTTAGATGCCTCATGGGAATCTCAAATTTCACGTATCCAAAATGGGCTTCATGCTTTTCTTCCCAGTTTTTGCCATCTTAATAACCGGCAGCATTTTACCAATTGTTGAAAGGAGAAAGTTGGGAATTGTCCTTATTTCTGTGACTCCTCTTATTCTTTTTTTTTCCTGATTCATCTGTGGATTATACCATATCTACCCCCAAACTATACTGCACATTTGCGCCCTTCTTTCAATCTCCATTGCTACCACCTTATTTCAAACCAACCAAGTCTCTCACTAGGATGCTGCAATATGCCCCTACTTGGAATACCTATTTCCATTTTTGCCTCCTTGTAATCCATTAGTCTACATAGCAAGAGTGATAATCTTAAAAGGTAAATCATAACATGTCACTCCCAGTTTAAATGTTTCAACTGACTCTCATTTTGTTTATAATATCATCCATGTCCTAAAATGTCTAGGTGTCCTGGCTTAGTGCACACTATACTACAGCTAAAGAGGCTTCTTTTCAGTTCCTTGAAACAAAGCAAATCTATTTCTTTTATTTATTTATTATTTTTATTATACTTTAAGTTCTGGGTTACACGTGCAGAACGAGCTAGAAGAAGGGAGTAAGTGTAGAAATAGATTTGCTTCATAACGAAATGAAGATGAAGCAAATCTATTTCTACACTTGCTCCCTTCTTCCAGTCTTACGTTAAATGTCACAGCCTCAAACAGCCTTTTATTTTTTAATCTCCAGTTTTTAATAGCGTTTATGCAAAATAATTACTGAACAGGATATTTGCTTCTTTATTATTTATGAAGAACAAAAATTTCTTCTGTATAGAGGTTATAACTATTTGTTCATTAATGGTTCCTAGTGTATTGTGCAATCTGTAGCATCTAGAAAGTGCTGAGTAAGTGCTAGTTGAATTAATTAATTAGGTTGAAGTAGAAAACTCACCAGGAAGCAAGATCCAATTGAAAGGGCCTCTCCAGACTATTTGCATCTCTCTCAGAACCCTTTGTAGAGACAACTTCATGTGAAAGATCTCCTTGTATTATTTTAAACTAGATCTCATTGCATAGGTTTACCCATGGATTAAAATCTTTTCCTATGGTCATAGCTCTGCTAAAAGGATTCTAAAATGCTAAAAACAATTCCTCATTTCAAAGCTGGGTTTTGCAGATATTTATTGTCTGAACCACTGCTAGCATCATTTCAACACAGCAATGAAATTCATTGAGAGTGTGGTTCCCTGTATTTTATAATATATGTCCTCATATATTATAAAAGTTCAAAATCCTCATGGGCTTACAGTCAAAGGTTAATTGAAATTAGTCATAACAAATTTCAAAATTATGATTGGAGCTCTACTCCACCAGTCTCTTCCACTCCTTATGTGAGTCAGAATGACACAAATCAACATTAAAACTTGAGTTAAAGAATAAATTGACAGCTGTTTATTAGATTTTTGTTTTTGATAAGGATACTATATATTATCAGGGAATCCATCATAAAATACAAAACTTGTGCATTCTTCACTTAATCTAAAAACAATGAAACTTGAATTTTTAATGAATTACATGATATGATAATGTTTTAAAGGTAGCCCTGCTTTTCAACTTTGGCTATTACTACAACCAGAGCATTGTGCAGAGACAGCATGTGACTTTTGAAATAAAAATCGTATGCTGATTTTTAAAAAAACCTTTAGAGCAGGAAGTTTATTTCTAATTTATCCCATGTAAATCAGAGTATTGCATGATTCGTTCAATTTATGAATGCATTTAATAGTTGTATAATATTTATGGAAAATCAAATATGCAATTTTTCATTTATTTTTCTCTCCAGTTGAGTAGGATTGCTTTTATTTTATAAAAGAAATTTCAACATAGATGTTTTGGTATTACACACCCTATAGCTATAACCCAAACTGCCACAGCTAGTATGCCACATGTTCTGTTACTAAAACAGAGCCACAAAGCTGGAGAAAAGTAAAGTAAAGCAAAAACAATACTCTATTGATGGCGCTTTCACAAAATTGTAAATTTACTGGAAGCATGCCAAATCGTAACACTTGACTTCATATTCATTCTATTGCTATAAACCAGGGCTAGCATAAAGCAACTTTCACTGCACAATGGCTGCAGTTTTTGCTTAAAATTAATTGCACATGTGTTTAATTATATAGCAGCTCTTGGAAGTGATTATATAAAATGTTATTTCTTCTTAGTCTTGCTTGGATCTCTCAAATTATAGTTCTCTAACTCTGAAAGCAACAATGAATTTTAATAAAGGGCAGGGCTTGCAAATTACTGTTGCCTGGCTGCTGCTGCCAGTGACTGAAGAGCCTCTTTTAAAAACTGAATGAGGTTCTATTGTCTTTGTTTACTTGCAAGTGAGAAGGAACTACAATTACTTGATTAGGCCTCCAGGGGGCACTCTGAAAAAGACTAGATGATACTCCTTTGAAGTATTTCTGGAGATGCCACCATCTTGGAAATGCCATTGACATATGATTGTTCAAAGGCTTTCTTTGATATTTCCTTTTATTCTGAAAAATTTCCAAAAAGCAATATTATCTGCATTCTCAAAGAACTTGGTAAGCACTTATGTCAAGGTTGCCTAGTTTTTCCATCATTCTTAGAACCTTATGTAGTTCAGGCACACTGAAATAGATGAATTATCTTTGGTTCAAACTGCCAAATCTAGCTGTATTCAATTTGGACGCAATGTAAAATAGCAACTTATCTGTAGGTATAGACTTTATACTAACATATAGTATAGGTTTGAATATATAGCTCTACAATGAAGCTGAAAGGAGAACGTACACTTGAATCAATTTCAAAATCAATACATTTTTCACCTGAGCAATTGTCCAAGTATTTGGCACTTTGTTAGAACAAACCTAGTATTTGGCAATTTATGGAATTACAGAAGAATAAGATTTCGCTGGTGACTCAGTTTACAGAGAAACCCATATTTTTTCAACTGAATTGAAAAATAAGTTCTAGAGTTCTGTACTACTGTAAGATGACTGTACTTAACAATAATACAGTATAGTTTCTAGTAAATAGCCAGAAGGAGGATACTGAACATTCTCATCCCCCGAAAATGATAAATGTTTGAAATGATATATATGCTAATGACCTGACCTGATCACTATGAATTATATGTATTGAAACATCACTATGTAGCCCATGAATATGTACAAATATTTGTCAATTTTTTAAATTTTTAAAATGTGTTTTTATAATTATCTATTTTATTTATTTACTTATTTCCTGAGACAGAGTCTCTGCTCTGTTGCCTGGGCTGGAGTTCAATGGTACAATCATGGCTCACTGCAGCCTCCACCATGGACCTCTTGGGCTCAAATGACCCTCTTGCCTGAGCCACCATGACCATCTAATTTTTTTTTTTAGAGATGGAGCCTCACTTTGTTGTCTAGGCTGGTCTCAAATTCCTGGGCTCAAGTGATCTTTCTGCCTCTGCCTTCCAAAGTGTGTGAGTCACTGCACCTGGTCAAATGCTCTCTATATATGTTAATTTTTATCCAATATAATTAAATATATAATTAAAATATCATATACCACTGAAGCGTTTATAGTGAAAATTTAGTTCTTAAATTCAAACCTTTCTACTTCCTCAGTCCAGCTCCATCAAGACAAAATCTTTTAACATTTTTTGACTTTTTTATTCCAATGGTAGTTAAACTAAACATTTGTAGATAACATGTACAGACTTCTCTTCCTTGTTTTATCTACTTTTAAACATGTACTATTAAATTTTTCTTATATAGGTGAGAGTTTCACTCTTTAACAATGTACTATCTCCTCCTCCTGTCCTCTTTTCATAAGTATGCATCTATTTTTAGTTAAATCAATGATGGGTGTTTATGAATTGGCTCCTTCACTGGAGATTCAACTTGTCAACAAATATATATATTTCCTCTGTGGAGTAAACCTCTATTTCCCCCCTATACTCACACTTATTAATCACCTCTTTTTTCACTTGCATAATTTTCTGTCGTAATATTTTTTCCCAAATGCTCTGCCAATTTCATCATGAAGAGGTAGGTATCTTAGATTTATGTTTTTCCCTGGAAATCTCCTTTCCAAAATTTTTAACTCTGCCCCAAGCTTTTCCAGTTTATCTTAAATTGTCCTATTTTATTAGAGGAAATTAGTGCCCTAGATAAAAAGACTTCACTGACACATTTCACAGGCTAAGGAAGAGCCAGAGAGCTTCATGGTATTTCCCTATATCACAGAACTCACATATCACAAATGTAATCTTGGGTTTTTGGCTCTTACCCCAGGTACTGTTCATTTTTTAACAAAATAAGGTACATATGTTTTCTATTTGAAATCATAGAAACATTCTTTATCACAAAACAAAAAGCTTTACAAATTAAGCTTATAAAGTAAAAAAGTTATACTAAAATAATATTAATTTATTATTGAAGTAAGAACAATTTTTAAATAAATTTAGTATGCCTAAATGTACTGGATTTTAAAGTTCTCAGTAGTGTACACTAATGGACTAGGTTTTCACATTCACTCAGACTCATTCAGTGACTCAGCCAGAGGAACTTTCAGTCCTACAAGCTCCATTCATGGTAAGTGCCCTCTACAGGTGTCCTATTTTAAAAAATATTTCATATGGTATTTTTACTATACATTTTCTATGTTTAGATGTACATGTACTTACCATTCTGTTACCATCATCTGCAGTATTCAGTATGGTAACATGCTGTATTAGTCCATTTTCACACTGCTAATAAAGATATACCCGAGACTGGGCACTTTACAAAAGAAAGACGTTTAATTGGACTTACACAGTTCCACATGGCTAGAGAAGCCTCACATTCATGGCAGAAGGCAAGGAGGAGGAAGTCATGTCTTACATGAATGGCAGCAGGCAAAAAGAGAGAGAGCTTGTGCAGGGGAACTCCTTTTTTTTTTTTGGAGACAAAGTCTCACTCTCTGGCTCAGGCTGGAGTGCAGTGGCGTGATTTCGGCTCACTGCAACCTCCACCTCTCGGGTTCAAGAGATTCTCATGCCTCAGCCTCCCAAGTAGCTAGGATTACATACACCCGTCACCCTGCCCGGCTAATTTTTGTATTTTAGTAGAGACGGGGTTTCACCATGTTGGCCAGGCTGGTCTCTAACTCCTGACCTCAGGTGATCCACGTGCCTGGGCCATCCAAAGTGTTGGGATTACAGGCATGAGCCACCGTGGCCGGCAGGGAACTCCTCCTTTTAATACCATCAGATCTCATGAGAGTTATTATCATGAGAACAACACAAGAAAAGCTTATCCCCATGATGCAGTTACCTCCCACTGGGTCCCTCCTACAACACGTGGGAATTCAAGATGAGATGTGGGTGGGGACCAGCCAAACCATATCACATGCTATACAGATTTGTAGACTAGGAGCAATAGGCTATATCATACAGCCTAGGTGTGTAGTAGGCGATACCATCTAGGTTTGTGTATGTACACTCTATGATGTTCTCATAGCAATGAAATAGCCTAATGGTGAATTTCTTGGGACATATTCCCATCATTAAGCAATGCATGACTTAACAGAATGTGCAGACAGAAGCAGCAAAAGAATAAAACAACCTTTTCTCTCTAGTGACTATAATTGTAATCAAAATAGACAGAAAAAAATGTCATTTTTATTCTATAACCTCCCTCCTGTAAGGAAACACAGATGAAACAACTACATACATTAATTTAGGAAAGTAGTGATATACTAAAACATAAAACATAAGTAATGATATACTATTTTGCATTAGAATTGCAGTTTACAAGTAGACTTTACTCTCACTTGCTTTCATCACGTTTGTTCAGGTTAGATGTGGACAGTTATAATCATCTTTTTTTTTTGTCAGTGTAGAATAGAAGCTGAAAATATTGCTCTCCCACCAAATATGGCCTGATGCCCTTTGTATTTAAAATTGCATTGGACCACAGCTAAGCTCCTTTGTTTATATGTTATCAACAGCTGTTTTTGCACTACAAGGGTAGAGCTGGTAAGTTGTAATGGATGGAAACTATGTGCCCTCCAAAGCATAATAAATGTTCTGTCTGGCTCTTTGTTGAAAATGTTTGCTGACCCCCAAGAACGAGACTACAAAATTGCACATGTCCCCCTATATTTTGATTTCTTTATAGTTATGCAGCAAATTTCACAATGATACACAAATATATATGTATGTGCTTTGGATGACAGTCATTTCACTTACAAGTGGCTTTACTACCATTGCCATCCATCAAAATTCTATACTCTTTTTCCATTTAATTTTCAATGTTTCATTATTTTGCAATCAATGATGAAGTAACCAATAATCCTAAGAGTGAAACAATGTTACCTTATCACATCCTGTTCCTGTCCATGTGCATATTCTATTTTTTCTATTTGTAATAGGCAGAAATTTATATTCTTCATTTTTCTGTCTCGATGATTCCTTAATTGGATGTAGTTTTTAATTTTTTTCTGTATATTCTTCTCTATTCTCCAGTACCCCGAAACCCCTCAATCCATGTTAATTGCCTAGTTTTTACACCCTTCAACCTTTTCCTCAGCCTTGTACAATTACATAGATTCAAATGCACATGTATAGAAGTTCTTATCATTTTCTCATGTAACTGTACACCTTGGGAGTCTAACTAGATTAGTTTATAAATATCTGGTCAAATTTTTAATGATTGCCTTATATACATGAATGGAAAAAAATGTATTCAATTATTTCTCTATTGATGGCTATTCAGGGCATTATCAATTCCACACCTTTTCTTTTCACTAAACATTACATTTAGTACAATTCTTGTACAAATATTCTTACATACTATCAAGTTTGTTTCTACACAATAGTTTCTGCTGATGTTAATATTTTCCTTATCTTTAAACCAGTGTTTCTCAAGTATGAAATTTCGGCATCTAGTTGGGCACGGTAAAAATGCAGGCTACTGTGTTCTCCAAACAGATATACTAACTTACTAGGCATGGGATGGGATGTGGTCCATGTATCTGCATGTTGGTAAGTTCCCTATGTGATGATAATGTACACTAAACCACTAATTCATTGCTCTAACTTTATCTAAAAGAATTCTTCTTATCTTTCTTCATTGAAAACTTTCATCTGGATGTAAGATTTTCCTCCTTGGAATGAACATGGTGGTGGCTACCTTGGGACCTTTATTTTTCTTATTCATATTTTTATTTTAATCAAGCCAAAGCTGTCTATTACAATTTATTAAAAAATTATTTTCAACAAGAATTTTTTCCCAAACTTCTGATCTTTTTTTCTCCCGAAATATAATAAACATCAATTATTTTTCTTTTTTTTTTTTTTTAGATGGATCCTCGCTCTGTCACCCAGGCTGGAGTGCAGCAGCGCGATCTCGGCTCACTGCAAAACTCAGCCTCCCAGGTTCAAGTGATTCTGCTGCCTCAGCCTCCCAAGTAGCTGGGATTACAGGCATGCACCACCACATCAGGCTAATTTTTGTATTTTTAGTAGAGATGGGATTTCACCATATTGGCCAGGCTGGTCTCAAACTCCTGACCTCAGATGATTTGCCTGCCTCGGTCTCCCAAAGTGCTGGGATTACAGGTGTGAGCCACCCTGCCTAGCGAATATTAAATTTTTTTAAGAAGATATTGACAGTGTCAACTAGGATCTGGTGTTTTGAAGTAAAAAGAAAGATATATACTTGATATTTACTGAACTTAAGAGTATAGGGAGGATCCAGGCAAAGATAAACAACAAAAGAAAACAAGTATGGAAGTAATTAAAAGATAATATAACGATTTTTAAATCATTAGGACACCTGCTACTTAACAATATACCTCACAACGTGACATCATTTCCCTGTCTGATTTCAGAATGGGGTTTGGCATACGGCCAATGATTAGCTCTCTGCATATATTTCTGCACAATACTGATGAAATTTTAGAGGCCGATGGTAGAATGCTTTATCAAGTCTGCAGAATTAGGTTCAGTGATACCCAACAGCAATAACTGCATTTTAACAGTTTTAAAACTTCTTTTTCTTTGGAAACGTTATTTTAACCAAAATAATATAATTGAATGAATGAATGAAACCTTACAGGAAAATTCTGTGCATTTCTTACAGCATATTAAGTCCCCATTAATGTTGAAGATTCCTGAATCTTTATTACATGGTGTAGTGTATTTAGCAATGTGGGATGGATGGTGGTCAGAAACCGGGACCAGAGAATCAGACTTTCTGGAATTGGGTTCAGGCTGGACCAGTTACAGGCAATGTGACCCAAGGCAAGTTTCTTCTCACTGCATTTCAGTATCCTCTTCCATACAATATGGACAAAAAGCACCTACTCTGTAGATTGGATGTACAGAGTAAGTGAGATAAATTATAGAAAAGTATTTTGAGAACTATCTGGTACATAATAACCAATTAATAAATGTTAGAATTATCTCCATAATAATAATGTATTCCCACAATGTTTCTTTTCTGTCCACAATATAATATCATATATAAAAGATATCTTTATTTTGATCATTTCGCACAGATAACTTTGAAATGTTATCTTGAAGTTTGTCATTACAAACTATGGAGTGCATATCACATAAATAAAGATGAAAAAAGGTAATTAACATAAGTACATGAAGAAAAATTTCATTAATCTTTTTTAATGCAGCAACATTAATTTATAAGTGTATATATATTTTGTCAAATACCTTATATATACAGACATATATGAAGTATGTAAGGGTACATGTAGTGAATATGTGTGTATATGTATATTTCTGTGTTTATACACTTAAGTTGATTTCCCTCTCTTTAAATAAATGTAGATATTGAAAATATCAATGAGAGCAAAATATTTTTTCATTTTCTAAATTAAAACACCCATTTGAAATGTCTTTCTAGAGAAATGTGAATTTTAATCTATGTTCTTTTACAAAATGTTATAAAAGATCATGAATAAGCATCTACCATAAAAGCTTGTGTAGGTTCTTTGAAAGAAAAATAACATTGTTTCTCAGAGTTGACACATTATAATGGTTGATGTTATTAAAAGTTTAGTAATATTTCAAAGGAACAAAGATAGGAAAGGATCTGCAGAAATTCATTATGTGTGACACTGTTTTATGTACTCTTTTCATAAAAATGTGTCACCTACACTGAAGCAGGCAATGTGCTTTTTACTCATGATACAGTGGGAACAGATAACTTTGGTCTTTGGCCTCTAAAAGGTTGTAATCTAATGAAGGGCATTTATAAATAATTTAGTAATTATACTATGGTACATGACTTATTTTAAAGGTATGAGTCATTCCATTATATCTAAGGCACAAGATATTTCAAGAATTCATCTATTGTAAGTTCCATAAGAGTGTAACAAGTGTTGCTAGTGCCGTGCTAAAGAAAAACACCTCGCCTAGTCTTAGGGATTCAAGGAAGTCTTACGGTGTTAATGTGAAATCTATATTAAAAGTATGAATTGGTCTAAAAAATAAATGTAACATAATTCTTACTAAAGTAACTCTAAATTAATCTGAGCTATGAGTAAAGGATTAGCTGGAGTGGGGAGAAAACGAAATACGTGAGATTTCCGGTATTTCATAATTATGTCTTCCTTATTGATGAAGCAGAAAACACAAAGGATATAAATGCTTGACAAAATTTAATTTTCTCTAATTTTATTCAGTTATTTAAAAAATTAATAAGGAGTCAAGCAAAGGTAATTAATATTTAAGAAAATGCAATTTTTATCCAAAATGAGTTTGTGTACAGAATATTAAGTTTAGCTAATCATGGTTACATTCATTTATTATGTTATTTTTGTTTCTATACTTGCTTTTAAAAAACCCAAACTTTAAAAATGCCTGTATTTTCTCTCTTTTCTTTACCCTTTTAAAACAATTGACTCTGTTTATGAAACTAACCCGTTTTACTTCTCCTAAAAGGTGTGTGTGTGTGTGTGTGTGTGTGTGTGTGTGTGTGTGTGTGATACACAGTGTTTTCTAATTTTAAACTACATCCTTATTTTATGCTCTTGGATTTTGAAAGGTTAGGTTCAGCTACTGGAAGTATCATATTTTGCTTTTCACCAATAATCAACATTTCAAAAAAATCCTCTCTCTGACTTTTGTAAATATCCATTTCATTTTACACCTGATTTCCTAAACTAGAAATTTCAGCGTGATCCTGAAGCCTTCGATGAAATTACACAGATTCATGGAGTATGAGCACTGGAATATCATAATTTGTGCCACACAATTTTAGGCTGCTTCAATCAGAAGATTTAGGTCACAGAATTGATTCTTAATTTATTAAAATAATAATTCTCTTCACAAACTAAATTTAGAATACATATAGAATCTATTTCTCATTCCTCAAACAACATTAAATACGAAAAATATCAATAATAATAATAGCAACTTTCACAAGTAAAAATGTACATATTTTATATATTCGAATCAAATTATCATTAGATTCATCCAAAATAAAAATTTCTACTTTTACTCTATATAGGAGAAAATTGAATCTTAGAAAGGCTGTGGGGCGCAGTGGCTTAGACCTGTAATCACAGCACTTTGGGAGGCTGAGGTGGGCCGGTCACCTGAGGTCAGGAGTTCGAGACCAGCCTGGCCAACATGGTGAAACCCCGTCCCTACTGAAAATACAAAATTAGCTGGGCATGGTAGCAGGGACCTGTAATCCCAGTTACTTGGGAGGCTGAGGCAGGAGAATCACTTGGACCCAGGAGACAGCAGAGGCTGCAGTAAGCCAAGAGCACCGCTGCACTCTAGCCAGGGGCAACAGAGCAAGACTCATTCTCAAAAAAAAAAAAGAATCTTAGAAAGGTTGAATAACTTGACCAAGACTACACATGCAGTCAAGGGCAAACCCTGGATTTGAGTCCACATTTCACTGCCTCCCATGTCCATGTTCTCTTTGTTCCACCACCTTCCAGTCTAGCTATCATAATGCTCAGATACCCTGATGATGTGCTATGTTAAATTATACGTATTTTTCTACATCTTAAACTTCTTCTAGAAGTCCCTCGCAATGACTGGAAATTGACTCAGGCGTCATGACAAATATACTCAAATATAAAAAGACACAAAATTATATGTAAATTTTTATTGAGAAATTTATTTAAATACATAATAGAGAATAATTTTCTCCTTTTAATAATTTTAGTGTGTGTAGTAGAGGTTCCTTTCTTTCCTCAGTTTCTAACTATACAATGGCTAGTTCAATTTCCATTTAAATATTTTAAGTATCAGAGATACAAATCTGGCCTTTGGAAAATCACTGAAGGTCACTAAATAATTTGTTTGTAAAACAAGGACCGTAATACCTAATTCACAGGGTCTTAGTGAGATGTAAATGAACAAGCTATATAAAGCACCCAACAAAATGGATCACTTGAGGTCAAGAGTTTGAGACCAGCCTGGCCAACATGGTGAAACCCTGTCTATTCTAAAAATACAAAAATAGCCAGGCATCATGGCGTGTGCTTGTAATCCCAGCTACTGGGGAGGCTGAGGCAGGAGAACCGCTTGAACCCAGGAGACGGAGGTTGCAGTGAGCCGAGATCGCACCACTGCACTCCAGCCTGGATGACAGAGGAAGACTCCGTCTCAAAAAATAAATAAATAAATAAATAATAAAAGCATGCAAAGTTCTCATTTAAGTGAACCAAAACCTGAATAACTTGATCCCAAAGTCAGCTCTGAATAGCCATGGCATATATGCCACCTCAATAGAAGATTTCACATGCTACTTCTCTATGCTAAGTAATTGAGAAGGTCTAATGTATTAGATTTTGATGTAGGCTATCTCTAACTTTCAGGTTCTCACAACAAAGTGCCATGTATGAAAAAAGAAGATTTAAATGTTGTCTTTCTGAATAAAACTTATTGGGCAAATTTCCAAATATATCTAAAAGTAAAGTAGGAATTACTTTATATTAATAAATGACTAAAAATTGAAGTATTACTTCAGAAAGCTAGGCATTTATACCTTTGTATATTATAAGACTAGATCAAAAGAGACCCAATATTTAAAAGTTTATGGAGCTGCTGGAGTAAGATAAAGATTCTATATGCAGAATTTATTATGTTCATGGCATGAATAAGAAAAGCACATTATAGGCAGATTGGTTCATTATTGGTTATCAAAGACAATAGATTAATAATTTTAAGTGAATATAATAAAATCTGCTGTGGTGAGGATAACCATATTCACATAAAGAATGAGGTATATATTGATATCTCTTCAGTAGCAAAAGAAAACTCACTGATGGAAAATATACAATAAGTACAAGTTTAATTCATTTGCAAATAATTCACATCTTCCCAAAGTTGTCTTTGTTATTTCTATTGGTTTCTTATTACCTTACTCTAGCCATGGATGTGGCTACAGACTGGATACATACTGAACTACAGCTTTTCTTTCATGCTATATTAAATACTAATGTGGCACATATACACCATAGAATACTATGCAATCATAAAAAATGATGAATTCACGTCCTTTGTAGGGACATGGATGAAGCTGGAAACCATCATTCTCAGCAAACTATCACAAGGACAAAAAACCAAACACCGCATGTTCTCACTCATAGGTGGGAATTGAACAATGAGAACACTTGGACACAGGAAGGGGAACCTCACACACCAGGGCCTGTTGTGGGGTGGGGGAAGGGGGGAGGGATAGCATTAGGAGATATACCTAATGTAAATGAGGAGTTAATGGGTGCAGCACACCAATATGGCACATGTATACATATGTAACTAACCTGCACATTATGCACATGCACCCTAGAACTTAAAGTATAATAAAAAATATATATATATATTAAAAAAAAAAAAAGAAAATCAAGTTAGATGTACCTAACCTGGGAAGTGACTATAACAATTTCTAAATTCAGGGGACAGAGTGCTCACCATTACCCCATGGAACCAGCTGTTGACTATAACAATTTCTTATCGCATTTATATATCCCATAGATTTATACAGGATCTGAATATTATTTTATATATAAAATGCTTTTCATAAATGTTAACTAAGAAAATTTTATGAAAACCAAGATAGATTTTAGAAATGCAAATGGAATCTACAAATCTACCTCTTTTCCTAGAATGTGGGATTTCATGTGCACTTTCCCTCAAAAGACTTCACAAATATCAACTGTTCTCAAGTAATTCATCCCATGAATCAGGTGTAGGCAGGGCATAAAAGATCAGAGAGAAGCCTTTAAATTTCTGTGACATGCCAGCATGAACACAGTGTAATTTGTACCTTTACTGGCAGAAAATCAGGAATCATGGACATATCACACCTACTTGATGTTTGGCTTTAATCAGTAGTTCAAACTGAACTCTTCTTAACACTGTTACCTTTGCCACAGAGGACAACCGTACCCAAATAAAAACTTCACAGAAATTATTATTCTTTTGTGTGTTTTTTTTTTAGTCCAAATTGAAATGTTTAAGTCATTAGTGAAATCTACACAGCTCTTTAATTTTGGATCAGAGAATAAACTCTTCAGTCAGTTTAGATTTAATATGATTATTTTCTTTGAGTATAATCTGAAGATTAAGTCTAAGTATACAATTATGAAGCCCATACAGCAACTTTAAAAAAACTATTACAATGATTTTATAATTTCAAAAAACACATTCAAAAGGAAAACTTGATTTGCTTATAGTTCTCTATACTTACTTGGCATTTAGTTTCCCTATTTTATTAATTCCCTTCATGTATCCATTTTCATTTCTTCATTTTAAAATAGATAATTAGTCTTTCTTTTATTCATTTGTGAAAGTTCTTTATACAATATGGATGTCATATATTCTTCTATAAACTAATCTTTATTCAGCATGCACTGTGAGATACATAGATGCTGGAGGTACAGTGACAATAAAAATCCCTCCCCTCACAAGCATACAAGGAAATCTAAACTGTGTACATAAGTTACTAACAAATGCTGTGAAGATAAATGGTTAAAAAGCATTAAGTGACAGGATAAAAATGGCAGTTAGAAAAGCCTGGAGAGGCTACTACTTCAGTAGAAACCAGAAAAAAGTGAGGCTTCCACTTCCTACTATTCTTGGGGGATTCTTTTCTGTTCATGTGTTGCTATGTCATTGTGTATATTTAATTTTATTTTTA